>NC_000001.11:221934587-222559587 GCF_000001405.40 Homo sapiens | reverse complement strand
GATGGATGCATACAAGCTGAAACTGTAATGAAATTAATTTTTCATATGTGAATTATGGTCTTATTCATTTACCAACTCTAAAAAACCTCAATATCCAGTTTACATTTTTCTTACAGAAATATGATTCATTTGTCTGAAATATTTGACAAATGCTTGACAGTCCTTTGTGTGTTGTAAGACTTATGAACAGCAGGTGGAACTTCTAATGAGCATGAGGCACCTCTGTGAGAGCTACATGGTCTCCACCTTGCTGCTCTCTACATGGCTAGAATGAATAGATAATGTTTGACCGTTTCTAACCTATGATTTGTTTATTCTAATCCTTCACATCCTAAGATTTTCTACAGAGAACTTTCTTACTGTTATGAACGTAACTTTGGCTGATTTACAAGCTAACATTGAGAAGGAAGCTATACGAATGTGCTTTTGGAGAAGGCTCATTTAATATGTGACTGTATATAATATGCCTGTCACCATCACTAGGGTGTAGGAGGAAGAGTAGAAAACAAGCTAAAGTCTATGCTTTAATTATGGTGGATTAGAAACATCTTTATATATAGGAAGAAATATGTTTCGTTGGGCACAGCTGAGAATATACTTATGCCATATTGGTAATACAAATAAATTTTGTATATAGGAACAAATGTATTTCATTGGGCACAGCTGAGAATATGCTTAGGACATATTGATAATACAAATAAATCTATTTTCATAATCATTAGTGTGCTAAACTTAAAGCAGAATTTTTAAAATGTAGAAATATACTTGAAAAATGTGATGAGTATTAAAACTTTTTATTTTGCTTAACTTTTTAGGTTGTAGATATTTCCGGTATATTTTAAAGCAAGATCACCAAATCTTAGGGAAGAAAATTAAGCGGATGAAGAGATCTGTGAAAAAATACAGTATTGTAAATCCAAGACTCTGATACTGAATTTTAGTTATTTCACAGTTGTAGCTACACAGTAAGTAGCTTGGTAGATAGTTATTGAATGTATTTATGTAGTGTATTAAGAAGCTTATATTACTACAAAAAACTTATTTTTATATATTTTTATATTTTTGTATTATTTATAGCTAGAGAAACAATATTACTGCCTTTGCTCTTTGTAACTATGTCTGTTTTCTTTTTTGTAATGTTAAATGTTACATTTGTTAAGGAATAATTCTTCAAATGACAAACTAATTACAGAATATAGCTCTACAGCAGTTATTGTTTGCAAATACTTTGCCTCTTGCTATTGTGTAATAAACTGTAACTTGTAGTGCTGTGAAATGTATTTATATTCTACTTTTATATTCTAATTAATCCATTTTAGGTATACCACCATGAAGAAATATATTGGTGATGAGTTCTATTGAGGAATTTTGAAAAGAGAGAAGGATTTAGAAAAAAGACTCTTTCTCGGCCGGGCGCAGTGGCTCACACTTCTAATCCCAGCACTTGGGAGGCCGAGGTGGGTGGATCATGAGGTCAGGAGTTCAAGACCAGCCTGGCCAACACAGTGAAACCCTGTCTCTACTAAAAATACAAAAAGTAGCTGGGCGCAGTGGCGGGCATTTGTAATCCCAGATACTCGGGAGGCTGAAGCAGGAGAATTGCTTGAACCCGGGAGGTGGAGGTTGCAGTGAGCCGAGATTGCACCACCGTACTCCTGCCTGGGCGACAGAACTAGACTCTGTCTCAAAAAAAAAAAAAAAAAAAAACAAAAAGACTCTTTCAGTATAAAGACATGACAGTTTGGGGCAAAATAACCTCCTGCTAGAGAGAGACCTTTGACTCTAGAGGACTAATTTGGGTCATAGCAGTAGAGTGGGCTGGCTGTTTTCAGCTGGCACTGGCCTAACTTTAAAGGGCTCGGCTTTTTTGGTGCCTGGCACAGCAGTCTAAGATCATGAGGTCAAGAGATTGAGACCATCCTGGCCAACATGGTGAAACCCTGTCTCTACTAAAAATACCAAAAAAAAAATTAGCCGGGCTTGGTGGTGCGCGCTTGTAGTCCTAGCTATTTGGGAGGCTGAAGCAGGAGAATCGCTTGAAACTGGGAAGCGGAGGCTGCAGTGAGCTGAGATCATGTCACTGCACTCCAGCCTGGTGACAGAGCGAGACTCTGTCTTGGAGAAAAAGAACTCACGCATCCCCTCTCCTTTTTCTCTTGGAAATGAGGATGCAGCGGTATTTGACTGGACACTGGAGGAAACTCACCGGTGGGATAGTGTCCCTGAGTCACACAGTAAACCCATGGGGAAAACCTGGCCAGAAGCCAACAGCAACTTTCCTGGAACATGAGCTGAGCTTTATAATATGTTGGAATAATTGGTAGAATAAGTGCTTCTTCAGAAATGTCTTGGCTTTTACATTTACTGCTGGAATAACTAGTAATTGAGTTCCATGAAGACTCACTAACTTCAGAGCAAGTCTAATATTTAGATGGCGAGACACACATTTCCCTTTGGCTTATAGTCCTACTAATTCTAAACCATCTGCAAGAAGGTTAGGGGGCAAATTGTGCTTTGTCAATAGTTTATATTTCAATATTACTTAGTAAGAAAGGTCTATCAATAAAGAAGCACTTAGAAAGTACATGTAAAATGAGTAGGTGTTCCACAGAGCCAAAATAAACCAAGTTAAAGCTTCCACATAAATAGGGAGTCCATAATTCGGTTGTGTAGGAGTTCTGTATAAGACCAATACTCTAGCAATGAAATTCCCAGACGATGTGGAAAAAATCTGAAAGCATAGGCCAAGATCTACTTCCTGAAACTTTTAGTCAAAAGCTATAAAACAGGACTATGATTTCTCTTGATCTCTAAGAAAATGGAGGTGAGAATAAAAGAAATGAGTAGTTTTGATTCTTGGTTTCCATACAAAGCTGTCTCAACATTTTTACATCAAATGTTCTTATCAAATGTTCAGTAAGAGTAGTGCAAGTCACCTGTGAAACTTTTTTTAGGTCCACTGATGTTTAAGCTGCTTCCATGAATAACAGTAATAGCTAAAATTGGGCTTTACCTTTCATTGTAAAACCACCACAGTCCTATGAATTATTCCTATTTTACCAATAAAGAAAATGAGGTCATTGGAGATGAAGTAACTTGCCAAGGTCACAGCTCATAGGTGTTGGCACCAGGATCCCAACCCAATCAATGTGGTTCCAAAGATCACACTCTCATGTAGTATCTGTATGGCCTCCCAGTGCAGTCAGTGTTGACTACATGCAGAGAGCTGAGCCAGGTGGTGGAGTGAGACAAAGCAGCAAAAAGAACCCAGGTCTGCTCATTTCTGCCTGCCAGCATCATTTCACAAAGCCCCTGACCCTGTGACGACATGCAACTCTCTGGAAAGATGCCTTGAAGACAAAACAGGGCACAGGGCACCCCCACATCGCTTGCCTGAGTCACTACATTCCTTAAATGACCCCAGTCCTTGCCTTTTCTTACACATGAGATGTCTGATGGGATTAGTGATTATGCTTCTGTAATCCATAACCAGATGTACTCTTACACCTAAACCTTGATGAGATTCTGCTTGAATGTAACTTTTGAGCAAGTTTGATGTGATTTTGCACTGTACTGAACCCTACCACCTGTATATAAGCAGTGAGCTGAAATACTGTGCTGGAACAGTCTGACAGGACTGCTTGCTTATATGGTTACTACTTATAACCATTCGTCACGACTATTTTAAGACACGTTAGCAATAACTAAAGATAATTTAAAGTCTTGTTTTCTCCTTGAAACCTCTGAATGTATATATTTAGGATGTACAACCTGATGTTTTGATATACATTCTGAAATTATCACTATAATCAAGCTAATTAATATCTTCATTACCTCTACATAATTACCATTATGTATGTATTGTGTATGTATGTGTGATGAGAAGATATAAGATCTTTCTTAACAAATTACAAGTATGTAATACAGTACTGAACTGTCATCACCATGCTGGACATTGGATATCCAGAAATCGTTCATCTTGTATCACTGAAACTTTGTACCATTTGACCAATATCACTCCATTTCCCCCTTCCCTCAGCCCCTGGCAACCATCTTACCCTCTGCTTCTATGAATTGGACTCAGATTTCACATACAAGTGAGATGATCGTGCAGTATTTCTCTTTCTGTGTCTTGCCTATTTTAATTTTGCTCAGCATAATGTCCTCCATGTTCTGAATGGCAGGATTTCTTCCTTTTATAAGGCTGAGCAGTATGTAATTGTAATTTTATAAACCCTATCTTTATTCATCAAAGGACGTTGAGTAATGCTGCAATGAACATAGGAGTGCAGATATCTCTTTGCAACCTTGATTTCAATTCTTTTGGGTATATACCCAGATATTTCTATTTTCAATTTTTTGGGGGAACCTCCATATTGTTTTCCATAATTTACATCCCCAACAGCAGCATACAAGCGCTTCCTCTTCTCTTCATCCTCCCTAGCACTTATCTTTGACCTTTGATACGATTCATTCTACCAGGTGTGAGGCTGTATCTCCTGGTTTGATTAGCATTTCCGTCGTGACTGGAGATGTTGAGCACTTATTCATATACCTGTTAGCAATTTGAATTTCTTTTGAGAAGTGTCTATGTAGGTCCTTTGCCCATTTTAAAGTGGAATTATATTTTTGTTATTGAGTTGTATGAGTTCTTTCTATATTTTGGATTATTAGTCCCTAGCTGATTAATTATATGGAATGTGAATTACATCTCTGTAAAGCTGTCAACACCCCATTCCCTTCCCACCTCCCCTCATAAAAAGAAATAAAAGAATGTTCTATGGAGTCAGAAAGGTCTGGGTTCAAATTCCAGCATGACTGAAGCCCCCCACCTAGCCTGGGCCTCACCTTTATTCTGTAAAATGGGATGGTCTGGAAAGGTTGATGTAAAGTGCTGAGCATGGGTCCTGGTAAATGTTTTTTCTCAATAAATAGAAACATTGTTTTATGTTAACATTTTTGAAAAAGGAAAAGCAACAAAAATTAAAAAAACAGATAGGTGTGCCCTTTTGGACCCAGTTATTTACCTATATTTACAGCACAAGGGCTTTTTCTGCTGGATTGAATTAGAATCTTTGTATTTTAAATATTCCAAAAGGAAACAAGCAAGACCTTTGATGGATGGTCTACAAATAATATGACTAACATCTGAATAAGTCAATCCAAGATTCATGCTTCTAAACCAATCTGCCACCAGGTAAGAGTCGACTCAGTCCCATAAAAAATACGAAGCTGACTTCTATGTTGTTTTCATAGTTATGAAGGTAGCCTTTAGCTCAGTGAGTAGAGGCGGCTCTTTGTTTCCGCCCGTCAGTCCCATAGTGATACCACTGCCAGTTGTTTAATTACAACTCCCCTCCTGCCTATACCAAGAACTCCCAGATAATCTTATCAATGGAACTGAATCTTCAGTCAATACACTCTTCAGTAGGCTGCATCAGACAAATTTTTCCAAATGAAGAACAAATAAAAGTGATAACTACTTTCGTTCTTTTTGGGTACATCCTGATGGAATGAAAAAGATCTGGGCTGTAATTCAGAACACCTGAATTGTGTTGCCATCTCTATTCATCTAAAGTGGGGCCCTAAAATATTTCACTGAACCCCTCTTGGACTTCATTCATTCATATGCTCACTGGTAATATATCTACCTTGCTGACTTAATTGTCTTGAGAGAACTGAAGATCAAATGAAATGCAGTGTGGGGAAATACTTTGTAAACTGTAATGCTTCGTACAAGTGAGTTGTTATACTTTCTCTAATCTGAGGTACAACCTGTTCATCTTTAGACTGTGACAGAGGGAGTCTGAAGGCAGATAGATAGTTACATCAGTAAACTATATGAGAAGCTACTGAGCTAGAACATTTCTTTTTATATTTTTTCTGTTGTGTTCCATGACCTGATTTAGGATAAACACCTGACTCTCAACATCACTTTTTAAAAGGCACTTGCACTGGACATGGTGGCTCATGCCTATAATCCCGGCACTTTAGGAGGCCGAGGGGGATAGATCACTTGAGCCCAGGAGTTCAAGACCAGCCTGGGCAACATGGTGAAACCACCGTCTCTACAAAGAAAAAAAAAAGTAAAAATTAACTGAGCGTGGTAGCACACACCTGCAGTTCCAGCTACTGGCACTCCAGCCTGGGTGACACTGAGACCCTGTCTTGTGCGGGGCGGCGGGGGGGATGTTAAAAGGCACATGCTATATGAAACTGTGTGCGTGTGTGTGAATGTGTGTGTTACTGCTGTGGGCTGAATTGTGTCCCCTAAAAAAGAATGGTTGAAGTCCTACCCCCCAGTACCTCAGAATGTGACCTTATTTGGGGATAGTTTTTACAGAGACAATCATGTTAAAATGAAGTCATTATGGTGGGCACTAATCCAGTATGACTGGTGTCCTTATAAAAGGGGAAATTTGGACACAAACGCACACAGGGAGAAGGAGCACCATGTGAACATGAAGACAGAGCTTGGGGTGATGCATCCACAATCGGAATGCAAGATTGCTGGCAGACCCCACGAAGCTAGGGATCAGGCATGGAGCAGTGTCCCTTGCGGCCTTCAGAAGGAACCAACCCTGCCAACATCTTAATCTCAGACTTCTGGGCTCCCGAGCTGTGAGACAATACATTTCTGTTGTTTAAGCCACCAAGTTTGTGGCTGTGTTAACAGCAGCCCAAGCTAATTTTTTAAAGGATTATGTTTGCTTCAAAAGTGGAAACTGAAGTGATTTCAGATACTCTGTCTGGTCCTAGCTTATAGTTTCAGAGTTATTTTATAAGCTCACCTAATGTTCAGTGAAAATGTCTTTTCTGTTCTTTTCCATCTATAACTTATCTAAAAGCTCCAGTCAACTTTCATTATGATATTCTTAATCCCCTGCAGCCGAATGTCATCTCTCCGTCCTTGGGATCCCTAATGGCAGTTTGTTCCTCCCTTACTGTTACCTTAATCTTATATCTGCCAGTATTATTTGGATACTTTCATCCTTTTTTCTCAGAGCATAAACTCCTTGAAAAAGTTTGTTTTATATGTCAGTTTTCTGTTAAACATTTCTATTCCAGCATAATACTTCACACAAAATAGTATGTATTTACTGAATTGACACCAAGACATCTTTTGTAAAATTATTGCATGATTATTATATAATTACATATATATGTATATAGACAGAGCCTCGCTCTGTCACCCAGGCTGGAGTGCAATGGCGCAATCTCTGCTCACTGCAACCTCCGCCTCCTGAGTTCAAGTGATTCTCCTGCCTAAGCCTCCTGAGTGGCTGGGATTACAGGCACATGCCACCACGCCCAGCTAATTTTTTTTTTTTTTTTTTTTTTTTTTTTTTTTTTTTTTTTTTTTTTAGTAGGGACAGGGTTTCACCTTGTTGGTCAGACTGGTCTCGAACTCCTGAACTTGTGATTTGCCCACCTCGGCCTCCCAAAGTGCTGGGATTACAGGCATGAGCCACCATGCCTGGCCATAATTACATACACGATTATATCTAAAACGTAGTATCGTCTGAAATGTTACATATTTTAGTAATCAGAAACTCATGCTGTCACTGTCTGATCAGATTCTGCCCGCCCATCTTTCCCTGCTAATCTTGCAGTGACTCTGCTCAAAACAATAAGATCTCCATATTGTTCACGACAAAGGGGAAATCGATACATAAATGTCATGAGAAGATCAGAAAATACTCTCAGGTCCTACCTGGATGAGATAATGCACTCATTCTTCCATATCCCAGGGTTTGATGGTTCTGAGAAGGCAGTGGGGGTGAATTCACTGGCTGAAATTAGTCCATGTTACTCCTCCTGCTTAAGGCTTCCAGAAGCATGACATTCTGTGACATTTGAGCAAATAACCCAGAAGAAATAGCACAGTCAACAGTGAATCATGGATGACATTTATTTTATTTTAATTTTAATTTATTTTGAGACAGGGTCTCACTCTGTCACCCAGGCTGAAGTGCAGTGGTGCAATCATGTCTCATTGCAGCCTTGAACTTCTGGGCTCAAGCAATCCTCCTACCTCAGCCTCCTGAGTAGCTGGGACCACAGCCATGCGCCATCACATCTGGCTAATTTTTTATTTTTATTTTTTTTTCTAGAGACAGAGTCTCACTATGTCGCCCAGTCTGTTCAAACTTCTGGGCTCAAGCCATCCACCCACCTCAGCTTCCCAAAGTGTTGGGATTATAGGTGTGACCCATGTTTTAAAAAGCACCACTCAACTAGGTATATTATATATATATATATTTTTTAAACAGAGTCCCACTCTGTCACTCAGGTTGGAGTGCAGTGGTGTGATCTCGGCTCACTGCAGCCTCCACCTCCTGAGTTCAAGTGATTCTCCTGCCTCGGCCTCCTGAGTAGCTGGGATTACAGGCGTGTGCCACCACACCCAGCTAATTTTTTTATATTTTTAGTAGAGACAGGGTTTCGCTATGTTGGCCAGGCTGGTCTCAAACTCCTGGCCTCAAGTGATCCACCCGCCTCAGCCTCCCAAAGTGTTGGGATTACAGGCATGAGCCACTGCACCCGGCCAACTAGGTGTAGTACTGAACAGTACAAATAGGAAAGCAGGACTATTCTGATGATCATTCTGACTACTCCCTCCTATCTATCTATCTATCTATCTATCTATCTATCTATCTATCTATGCATCTATCTTTCTGCCTACCTACCTATCTACAGGATCTTCCTGTGTCACCCAGGCTGGAGTGCAGCGGTGTGATCACAGATCACCACAGCCTCGAACTCCTATGCTCAAGCAATTCTCCCACCTTAGCCTCCCAAGTAACTAGGACTACAGATACACGCCACCACACCCAGCTAATTTAAAAAATTTTTATAGCAACAGGGTCTCACTATGTTGCCCAGTCTGGTCTTAAACTTTTGGGCTCAAATGATCCTCCTGCCTTGGCCTCCCAAAGTCCTGGGATTATAGGCATTAACCACACCTGGCCAATTTTGTTTGTATTTTAAATGCTATTTGGGGCTTTCATAATCCAGAACATTGTGAGTATAGACTTGGCTAGACTGAGGTTCACTGTCCCTTCTTGATGATACCCTGGCAAATACTGTTTCTGGCGATGAGTTGGGCAGCCAGGTAGGGCACCCTCTGAAGCAGCACATCTGGAACAAGAAGAAACTTGGACTTCATCTGCGTTTCAAACAGAAGCTTTTGCCAGTAAGGAAATTCAAGGTGGACCAGAACCATGGAAAATGCTGAAAGGAGAGTTAGCTCAAGTGCCAAATGTCCCCATTGGCCTACACCTTGGCTCATGCTTGTTTGGGTTTGGGGCTGTGTGAGTTTGGGACTCCTGTTCTGCATTTATTCATTCAAGAAATATTTATCAAAGCCTGTTATGTGCAAGGGATGTGGACAAAGGAAAACACGTTTTTATTTTATTTTATATTTATTTTATTATTATTACTTTTTGAGATGGAGTTTCACTCTTGTTGCCCAGGCTGGAGTGCAATGGCACAGTCTCAGCTCACTGCAACCTCTGCCTTCTGGGTTCAAGCGATTCTCCTGCCTCAGCCTCCCAAGTAGCTGGGATTACAGGCGCCCGCCACCACACCCAGCTAATTTTTTTTTTTTTTGAGATGGAGTCTTGCTCTGTCACCCAGGCTGGAATGCAGTGGCATGATCTCGGCTCACTGCAACCTTCGCCTGCTGGGTTCAAGCAATTATCCTGCCTCAGCCTCCTGAGTAGCTGGGACTACAGGCATGCGCCACCATGCCCAGCTAATTTTTTGTATTTTTAGTAGAAACGGGGTTTCGCCATGCTGGCCAGGCTGGTCTTGAACTCCTGACCTTGTGATCCGCCCGCCTTGGCCTCCCAAAGTGCTGGGATTACAGGTGTGAGCTACCACACCTGGCCGCTAATTCTTGTATTTTTAGGAAAGATGGAATTTCACCATGTTGGCCAGGCTGGTCTTGAACTCCGGACCTCAGGTGATTCACCCGCCTCGGCCTCCCAAAGTGCTGGGATTTCAGGCATGAGCCACTGTGCCCGGCCACAAAACACATTTTTAAAATACTAATGTGGGAACATATACTAAGTGAGGAGGAGTGTCCCTACAGCAGGTATAGATTTGGCAAAGGAAGGCACCCAGTTGTCCTGTGCTTCCTGAGGAAATTGTCCCAAACAGTCCTTGTTGATTCCTTGTTTTCACTGGACCACCTCCCTCTTCTATGGTCTGAATGTGTCCCTCCCTACCTCAGATTCATAGATTGGAATGTAATCGCCAATGTGATAGTATTAAGAAGTGGAGCCTTTGGGAGGTGATTAGGTCATGAAGGCAGAGGCCTCATGGATAGGATTAGGGTCTTTATAAAAGGTCTTGAAGGAGTGGATTTGAACCATCCTGTCCCACCATGGGAGCAACAAGTCACCATCAATGAGGAACAGAGCCCTCGTCGGACACTGAACCTGTTGGCATCTCTTATTTTTTTTTATTTTTAGAGATGGTCTTGCTCTGTTGCCCAGGCTGGAGTGCAGTGGCGTGATCATAGCTGACTGCAGCCTCAAACTCCTGGGCTCAAGCAATCCTCCTGACTCAGCTTCCCAAGTAGCTGGAACTACAGGTGTGCACCACCATGGCTGGTTAATTTTCTTTTTATATTTGTAGAGACGGGGTCTCACAGCATTGCCCAGTTTGGTCTCAACCTCCTGGGCTCAAGTAATCCTCCTGCCTCAGGCTCCCGCAGTGCTGGGATTACATGCATGAACCACCATGCCCAGCCCCTACTGCCATCTTGATCTTGGACTTCCCAGCCTCCAGAACTGTGACCAATACATTTCTATTATTTATAATTACAGTCTGTGGTGTTTTGTTACAGCAGCATGGACTAAGATTCCCCTTCTTTTCCTTCACTGTGTCCTCCTTCCTCTCCTTGGTCCTTACTGTGGATGCAAGATTCATGAAATGCCCTCTCTTCCTACCCTTCCAAATATACACCTTGCCAGATCCCAGGAGCTATACAGCACACCCTGCCTCCTGCCATGGCCCCTCCATATCTCCCACCGCCTTGGGGCCCTTCAGCACTGTAGAAACGCTTGAAGCTTTCCTTCTACAGAGTGTGAAGTCTGGGATGATGTAATATATGGTGCTCTCATGGTGACTCTGGGCCTCTCAGCCTGTGAAGAAACATAAAAAAGTGTGAATTTCCGGGCATCCCCACAGACAGCAGGAATTCTTTGCAGTTTTAAGGAATCGAGCACCTCTGCCATTGACACCACTACACTTTTGGCTAAGCAAAGGTGTGCCCCCATAACACTAGCAGCACTAGAGTGGGGCTTCATGTTTAGATGGGTTGGGGGAGGGGGGAAGGGACACCTCCCACTGCTTTCAAAGGGAGCCCACAGAAGGGACACTGCTCAGAAACTACCTCAGCAGGGAGGGGCGGGGAAGAGGAGGAAGGAGGAGAAAACAGGGTGGAGTAGGGGGAGGAAGAGAGGGAGGACCTTGGGCAGAGCAGGGAAGCCAACCTGAGCAAACACAGCAGCCCGAGTGTTCCCAAGGCCAAAATGCTGAGAACGTCCACTCCTAATCTGTGTGGTGGTCTGCATTGCCGGGCCCCCTGGCTCTCTTCTGGCATTCTCTGCCTCTGCCTCATATTCTTGTTGGGCCAGGTGGGCTTGCTGCAGGGACACCCCCAGTGCCTGGATTACGGGCCCCCTTTCCAGCCCCCTCTGCACCTTGAGTTTTGCTCTGACTATGAGTCCTTCGGCTGCTGTGATCAGCACAAGGACCGCCGCATCGCTGCCCGGTACTGGGACATCATGGAATATTTTGATCTGAAGAGACATGAGCTGTGTGGAGATTACATTAAAGACATCCTTTGCCAGGTAGTGAAAAGTGCCTTCCAGCCCCAGGGGTTTGGGTGCTGGGCTGCATGGTGTGGGTCCTGAGCGGAGGGTGCTTTGGGAGCCCAGCCCTTTAGAAGTTCATGTGCCGGGTGCCTCATCTTGGAGCTGCCGGCTTTGGACACGCACACTGACATGAGTGTGTGCTGAATTTGGTCTCCATGGGTTCCCCAAAGCTCTCCCTCTGGGATTCTGCTGGCCCTGATTCTTCTCCAGGCTCCAGGAGAATGAGAGGGACACTCTTCCTGGAGCTCTCAGAGCAGCCATTATTTGCCACACTCCCTCTGTGGTGCATGGCAAATAATTATTTGCATCCTCTGCGGTGCTCAGAGAGCTAGGCACTTAAACCCGTGGAATTTACCGAGCGCGTTAAGGGAGGGAGTGGTGGCATCTGCTGGGGTCCAGTCCTTTTCATCTGGGTGATTTGTGCCAGGGCATCTCTGGCGTCACCCTGGCGGTGGCAGGGGTTGGAGACTCTCTCCAGAGTTCTGTCTGCCCAGCACTCCAGAGCTGGAAGAGAGAGATGCAAGCTGCTGAGTAGCAGTGACTCACAGAGTTTCTGCTTCTCCTGGTTGCCCAACAGCCAAAATCCACATGCCTGGGAGGCATCGTTTTGATTGAGCTCAGCCTGAAAACAAGACGGGTGTAGGCTGCACACACAGACTTTGTAGGAAGAGGGTGTTTGGGGGTTAATGGGGAGAGGTCAGCATTTGGAAAGCTGATAAAAGAGGCTGCCTGGGGAGGACCCCTCTAATGATGTTGGGGAGGAGAGGCAAGAAGTCCAGGCAGCCTTTTGAACTGAGACCCCCTGGGCTTGTCAGCACAATGACTTGGCTATCCACAGGCATCTGTTCATGACTCCTGGCGCCACTGTTCCTGAGCCTGCAGACCACTGTAACTCCCACATAGGGCGTGAAGTGGTTAACCGAGCTTCCCAGAGTCCAGGAGAGAATTACAGCTGAGCCTGGCCCAGAAAGTCAGCCACCTGGGTGGCACCGCCTGGGGCTGTCCTCTTAGACACCACTCCACAGCTGTTTCCTGGAGAATTAACTCTAGGATTCCCATTAGGGTAGAAGCTGAGCTTTTACAAGCAGCACTGAGAATGTTTATTTCTGAGATCATCCCTGGTAAAAATTTATACCCCTGACCCTTCCCTCTTGCATGAGGTTTCAGAAAGTCAAAGTCAGCAGCTCTGTTGTTTTAGGGATTTGAGGAATAAGAACAATTTCAGCCAAACAGTCCTACACGTGTTTATTTATTCACATTTATAAGGTCCTCTTTCTTCCCCAACGTATGTAGTGTGTACCCAGCAATGATTCTGCAGGCAGTTGTTATGATCCTCATTTTACTGATGAGGGCTCAAGAGTTTAGATGACTTACCCAAGGTAAAACAATCCTGGGGCACAGAGCCAGATGCTCAGGCTCCAAGTTTTGTGCCTTTTGATCACACCGTGCTAAAGTATAGTTACAGCAGCACTGGCTTGTTTACTTAACGGTTTTCTGAGCTCCCCAAACTATATGCTCCATTGGAAGAGAGACTTTGTGCATTTCGCTCACTGCTGCATCCCAATCAATGTAGAGAACGGTGCCTGGCACGTAAGACAGACTCAACAGGAGAGTCACATAGGACTTTTATTTATTTATTTATTTATTTATTTTTTGAGACAGAGTCTTACTCTGTCACTCAGGATGGAGTGCAGTGGCACGGTCTTGGCTGACTACAACCTCTGCCTCCCGGCTTCAAGCGATTCTCCTGTCTCAGCCTCCTGAGTACCTGGGACTACAGGCACATGACACCATGCCTGGGTTTTTTTATTTTTTTAATTTTTTTATTTTTAGTAGTGACAGGGTTTCACCATGTTGGCCAGGCTGGTCTTGAACTCCTGACCTTAGGTGATCTGCCCCCCTCATCCTCTCAAAGTGCTGGGATTACAGGCGTGAGCTACTGCGCCTGGCTAGAGACCTTATGGGCTTTGATTTTCTTCCCTTTGAAGTAGGGAAGTATCTGTTCATTTACTGAGCTAATTGAGTAGAAGCAAATTTGCAAACTCTAAATGGCTGCATGAGAGTGTGCCATAGTGATGGTTCTCTTTCCACAGCCCCCTTCTATTCTCTAGTATTGGATCCTTAATTCAGCCTCCCTTCTCCCTTTTTCCCAGTCTCCGAGAGTGGACAGAATGAGCAAGGGGACACTTAAGAGTGGGTCATGTTGCTTCTTGATAGCTGCTGTGATAAGTGTCTTAAATGGAAACAGACACCCCGAGGGGAGCCTGCGAATCTCTGAGCTCCTTCTTCCACTCTGCCCAATGACCGAAAGCTGACTCTGCAGCGTACAATCAGAGGAAATAAGAGAGAACAGGGAACTCACATATACATGAAAAATGCTGCTGGTCCTTTTGTGAAGCGATGGCAGCACAGAGGTGAATGAGATGGTTCTGCACAGGCTGGCTGGCTCAGGAGAGTCCTTAGTGATCAGAAGGGGGCTTCTGGGCCAATGGGTGAACTCTGCTCTAATGCACGGCTCCAAACGACACCCTTTGAATTGGGCTTTCTTACCTTCCTAATCTCAGTTGCCTCTGTCTTTCATCACTACTGGGAGTCGCTCGTCTGCTCACAATATTCTATTTTCCTCCTAAAAAATGTTATAGTCTAGGGAGGTCCAAGTAGCAGATACTCCTTTGAGCAAATAGTCCTTATATGTTTGTGTAAGGAGCAGGCATATTGCCCTATAGCCACAATTCAAATGTGTATAGGTTCCAGCATGGTACTTTGCATATATTAAACACTGAAATTTTTAAAATCAATAATTAAAGAAATTGCTAAACACCTAATCTCTGAGAGTGATACATCCAATGTCAATTCTGATAACTTTATTTTTCATTGTAAAATATTCCAAAAATATGGAAAAGCACAGAAAAATAATTAACACTGTATCTCCAACAACCAGATTTGAACAAATGTAAAATTTTTGCCAAATTGTTTCAGATTTGTATAAAGAAATAACATCTTGGTAGATATAGCATCCATAAGAAAATGAGGCTGGGCCGACATGGTGGCTCATGCCTGTAATCCCAGCACTTTGGGAGATCGAAGAGGCAGGAGAATCACTTGAGCCTAGGAGTTAGGAATCAGCCTGGGCAACATGGTGAGGCCGTTTCTATGAAAAATAAAATAAAATGAAAATTAAAAAATAAGAAAGAGATCTAGAAATTTAGTAATATCTTTTTGAAAAAATATTCATGCATCATTTAATAAAACTTTAAATGTCAAAAACTAAGCTGAAATGTTAGAGATAGTACAGTGAATATGAGAGATTTTCCCTGTTTTCTGCCTTCTAGGAGCATTAACTAGGTAGAAAATCACAGAGAAGAGTTTTAGCAGCAGTTGGTAACAAAAACTCCAAAATCCTGATTTTTTCCGCCTAGCACCATTTTTTCTTTCTGCTTGCTCAAAACTTGAGACAAGTGCCGGTGTGGCAGGTCTGATGCTGAGCCTGAGCTCCGCGTTCTTTTTTAGGAGTGCTCGCCCTACGCAGCCCACCTCTACGACGCCGAAAACACCCAGACGCCTCTCCGGAATCTCCCGGGCCTCTGCTCTGATTACTGCTCTGCCTTCCATTCTAACTGTCACTCAGCCATTTCCCTGCTGACCAATGACCGCGGCCTCCAGGAGTCTCATGGAAGGGACGGTACCCGCTTCTGCCACCTCCTGGACCTTCCTGACAAGGACTATTGCTTCCCTAATGTCCTGAGGAACGACTATCTCAACCGCCACCTGGGCATGGTGGCCCAAGATCCTCAGGGCTGCCTGCAGCTCTGCCTGAGCGAGGTGGCCAACGGGCTGAGGAACCCCGTCTCCATGGTCCATGCTGGGGACGGCACCCATCGCTTCTTTGTTGCCGAGCAGGTAGGAGTGGTGTGGGTCTACCTCCCTGATGGGAGTCGCCTGGAGCAACCCTTCCTGGACCTCAAGAACATCGTGTTGACCACCCCATGGATCGGGGATGAGAGAGGCTTCTTGGGGTTGGCTTTTCACCCCAAATTCCGCCACAATCGCAAGTTCTATATTTATTATTCGTGCCTGGACAAGAAGAAGGTAGAAAAGATCCGAATTAGTGAGATGAAGGTTTCTCGGGCTGATCCTAACAAAGCTGACCTGAAATCAGAGAGGTGAGAGGTACTCATGAGAGCCTACAGCTGTACTGTGTTCCGAAATAATGCCAACCAGGTCTGCGAGATAATAGAGGGGAACTTCACTGGTTTTAGAGCACTACTCGAACTGTTGAGAAAGGAGTCACTGTGGATTGAGAACGGCCCAAGTTAGCCTCTTGAGTTAAGGCTGTTTAATGGGATGTAGCCATCACCTTACAGTTACCCTAAATAAAGACATACTTTCCTGTCTTTACAAAGGGTAAGTAAGGACCAGCAGCCATAGGGGTCTGAGAAAGGATTATAGATAATATCAACATATGAAACATAATAGTAGCCTCTGATTATTATGTGCCATTAGATCCCAGGGCCTTTACTTTGAATGTGGGATTTCTTATTCTCACTGGAAGCTGTGGCACAAGGCCATCAAGCTATGGATGCATGGCCAGGTGAGGACTCAGTTTTAACTGACCCCAAGTTCATGCTCTTTCCACCCTACCACTCTGCCTTTGTTTTTCCTTCTTCTCCTTTCTCTCTTGTTTCTTTTCCCGTGGTAGACAGGTTGGAGGATTGCAAAGAGCATAAAGAACTGATAGATTAACCCCTCTTAAGTTACTCAAAAGAAGGGATGGAGCATTCTGGTAGGGCAGAGAGTAAGGGCAAGCCCTGGAAAAGGATGGTTGTTACCCTGGCTGGGTCCACAGCTCATTAAATCATGGTATGAAAGAAAAATGAGGCCAGGCATGGTGGCTCATGCCTGTAATCCCAACAGTTTGGGAAGCTGAGGCGGGCGGATCACTTGAGGTCAGGAGTTCAAGACCAGCCTGGCCAATATGGAAAAACCCTGTCTCTATCAAAAATTAGCCAGGCATGGTGGCACATGCCTGTAGTCCCAGCTACTCAGGAGGCCGAGGCAGGAGAATCGCATGAACCTGGGAGGCAGAAGTTGCAGTGAGCCAAGATCACGCCACTGCATGCCAACCTGGGTGACAGAGCAAGACTCCATCTCAAAAAAAAAAAAAAAAAAAAGCCAGATGTGGTGGGGTGGTAATCCCAGCTACTCGGGAGGCTCTCAGCTGAGGCAGGAGAATTGCTTGAACCTGGAGGTGGAGGTTGCAGTGAGGTGAGATTGCACCACAGCACTCCAGCTTGGATGCAGAGTGAGACTCTGTCTAAAAAAAAAAGACAAAGGAAAATGAGCCATGAAAGAGTTATACCAGGAAACAAGGGGCATCTCAGAGCCCCAAAGCTACTTGCTTTGTGATCCTTAAAAACTCAGAAGCAGGTCTTGGCTGGCTTGGCAAATCTCGGTGGCTTGGCCCAGTCATTTCTGGGTATCTCAAGAGGATGCAGCTTCAGCTTGTGTCAAATCCTAACGTGTGGTTTCTTTTTTCTCTTCCAGGGTCATCTTGGAGATTGAAGAACCAGCCTCAAACCATAATGGCGGACAACTTCTTTTTGGCCTGGATGGCTATATGTACATATTCACTGGGGACGGGGGACAGGCTGGAGATCCCTTTGGCCTGTTTGGAAATGCTCAGAACAAGTAAGCTGGATGGGGGCCGGGCCCTTGTCCCTTCAGAGTGAGCCCCTGGTGTGGTGTTTTTGCAGGGATGGCATCAAACTCAAATCACACACTGCAAGATGTAGTCTACTCCACTGAGGCAATGGGAGGAACATTTGGTTTTCTGTTCCATAAATTTCAGACATAGTATATTTTGGTAGTTAATATTATTGATGCTCAATACAACTGTCAGAGTGTTATGTAAAGGAGAATTCAGGATTTTAAAAATATATATATTAGCAGGTCATTATTCACCACACTAATCATCTAATTCAATTCAACTCAATAATATTATTGAACACCATGTTCCAGGTGCTGTGCTAGGCCCTGGAGACACATGAGAAGTTAACTACTGAGAGCCAATGTGTATTGGGTGCTTGCAGCTTGTCAGGCATTGGTCTAAGTACTTTACATTTGAGAAGGTAATTTTAGCAACCTTCAAGGGCAAGAATTTATATCTAATATCTATTTTGTTAATTGATATATCACCAGCACTCAGGACAGTGCCTGGCACAAGGGAGTCTTTCCATAATTACACATGGAATGAATGAATCCTATGAAGTATACATATAATAGTATCCATTTTACAGACAAGAAAATGGAGACACAGAGGTCGTACAATGAGTAAGTGGAAAAAACAGAATCCCAACCCACACAATACGGTGCCAGAGCCCAGTGATGCTGTCTTGCCTAGATAAAGGTCATGTGGTCCTTCTGCCCTTTGCACCCAGTAAGCAC
The DNA here is from genome assembly GCF_000001405.40 of Homo sapiens. Classification (NCBI taxonomy): domain Eukaryota; kingdom Metazoa; phylum Chordata; class Mammalia; order Primates; family Hominidae; genus Homo; species Homo sapiens. The sequence goes on along the minus strand of NC_000001.11, from coordinate 222,541,255 downwards.
TTGGCTTCTATTATTCCTAGTAATAAAAATATTGAGGTTAATAATAATACAAAGCTAACATTTGTCGAATACCTACTGTGATTCAAGAATTGCATTAAACGCTATATACACAGTAACTCATTTAACCCTTACATCACAACCACACCGCAAGGTAAATAATATGTATCTAGCTATATATTTTAAATAGAGATGGGGCCTCACTGTATTGCCTAGGCTGTTCTTGAACTCATGGCCTCAAGCTATCCGCCCACCTCAGCCTCCCAAAATGTGGGATTACAGGCATGAGCCACTGCACCTGGCCAATATATTAAAAAGAATAGCAGCCTCTGATTATCATGTGTTCATTAGATCCCAGACCCTTTACTTGAGCGTGAAATTTCTTATCCTCACAGGAAGCAGTGGCACAAGGCCATCAGTTACTCTCCTCTGACTTTCAAATGAGGAAAGTCAGCCCCAGAGACCACAGTCATTGGCAGAGCCTCTCAGAAGCTTCTATTCTGTTCTTTTAACTGACCACGTTGTTAAATAAACAATAAACAATATAACTAGCTTCTTGAAAAACTTTGTCATATTAGACCAAATCAGAGAGAAGCTGTGCTCATCATTAAAATAAGAATTGAAGCTGCAACTTGCTCAGGGTCACATGGACCAAGATCACATCAAACTTTTGCCTCGTAGTTCTCTTAGAGCCAAACATGGGGCAGTCTTAAATATCTTGTATAGATTTAAAAGAAAATCTTCAAGCTCATACTTGCGGGTACAAAAAAAGAAGGAAAATAAGAAGTCAAATCTTCCCATGGGATCCTTAGCAGTCTCTTGGCATCAGCTATGAGTCGGCCCTTCTGGGCGATCTCTTCCAGTCCTGTGGCTTTCCTTGCTTACCTCATTCTGCTTCTTGGCCTTCTTTCTTTCAGAAGTTCCCTGCTGGGAAAAGTTTTAAGGATCGATGTGAACAGGGCAGGCTCACATGGCAAGCGGTACCGAGTCCCCTCGGACAATCCATTTGTTTCTGAGCCAGGGGCCCACCCCGCCATCTATGCCTATGGGATCAGGAACATGTGGCGTTGTGCTGTGGACCGAGGGGACCCCATCACGCGCCAGGGCCGAGGCCGGATATTCTGTGGGGACGTGGGCCAGAACAGGTTTGAAGAGGTTGACCTCATTTTGAAAGGTGGAAACTATGGCTGGAGAGCAAAGGAAGGGTTTGCATGTTATGACAAAAAACTTTGTCACAATGCCTCTTTGGGTAAGTAAGAAGCTCTCTGGGTGATTTCTTGGATGAGTTGAGTGGGCTGGAGGTGGAGGTAGGGAATAAAACCTGAATGTCCTGCCCTGCAGGTCATTTAAATCACGCCTTGTTTGTGTCCTGTGGTGTAGTGCTTCTCCAACCGGTCCTCCAGCCACTCACTGGCACCAGAGACATCTTGGCAGTGGCTATTTTAAAAAAGTGAATTCCTAGACTCTGCCCTCGACCTAATGAATTTGAATTTTGGGTGGATTGGAGACATGAGATTGACCCAGGAATCTGTATTTTAAATAAGTTACCCACATTAATTTTAGGCATATTATTTTGAGAACCACTGGCAGACCAAAATTGATGTATGTTTTTATTTATTTCCCAACTGGGACAGGCCACTGAAATGATATTCTGCACATAGGCAAGTAAGAGGACACTTTCTTTTCTTTTTTTTTCTTTTCTTTCTTTCTTTTTTTTTTTTTTTTTTTTTTAGACAGAGTCTTGCTCTGTCACTGGGCTGGAGTGCAGTGGCATGATCTCAGCTCACTGCAACCTCCGACTCCCGGGTTCAAGTGATTCTCCTGTCTCAGCCCCCTGAGTAGCTGGGATTACAGGCATGCACCACCACTCCTACCTAATTTTTTTATTTTTAGTAGAGATGGGGTTTCACCATGTTGGCCAGGATGGTCTCGATCTCCTGACCTCGTGATCCGCCTGCCTCGGCCTCCCAAAGTGCTGGGATTACAGGTGTGAGTCACCGTGCCCGGCCCAGGACACTTTCTAAACACCAATAATCAAGGTGTACTTTAGAAACTCCACCTGGCTCAAAATTCTAGTGTTCTGACTCTATTACTTCTTCTTAGTCTTTTCTTGTCCTCTAACTTATAAAGCAGTCTTACAGACTGTGACAATATTTTCCATATCCTTAAACCTGGGTTTCTGCCATATCAACCTAGGGGGAAAACTTAGCCATGTGGATTTCCAGGTCACTGCCTCATAGATGGAGGGAATTTTTGGCTTCCTCTCTGCCTGCAGATAGCAGTTAAGTAGGAAGTTTGCAAATATTGTGGATGGCCTATTGAGAACAATAAACATGATTCACTTGCTTGCCTGTCCTACTGAAGACCAAGAGGTAAAGTGTTCTTTACTGAATTAGGCAACTGCATTAAAAAGTCCCCTTCTTCCTCCTTGAAGCTTTCAATTTTAGGCCACGACACTCACTCTCTTTCCTCTCTCCTGGACAGATGATGTTCTGCCAATCTATGCTTATGGCCATGCAGTGGGGAAGTCAGTCACTGGAGGTTATGTCTATCGTGGTTGTGAATCCCCAAATCTCAATGGCCTGTATATCTTTGGAGACTTCATGAGTGGGTAAGGAAGGACTGATGTCCCTTCTCCCTCTTTTTATTTTAATATTTTTACTGAGGTATAACTTACATATGGTGAAATATAATCACGTAAGAGCACAGGTGTTTGATGTTTTACAAATGTATGCACTCATATTACCACCAACCATATCAAGAGGCAGAACACTTCCATCACCCTAGAAGGCTCCTTCTTGTCTATTACCTCTCTCTCTCTCTCTCTCTCTCTCTGTCTCTCTCTCATACCAGGGGCTCACTTTAAAGGGACAGGGGCCCAGCTTCCATCCAGCTTACTTGTTCTGAGCATTTCCAAACATGCCAAAGGGATCGGGTCTCCAGCCTGTCCCCCGTCCCCAGTGAATATGTACATGTAGCCATCCAGGCCAAAAAGAAGTTGACATACATACACACACACACACACACACACACACACACACACACACACACACACACACACACCCCAGCCAGAGATAAGCACTCTCACCACAGCTTAGTTTTGCTTCTGGAACTTCATATATAAATGGAATAATTATAATATGTACTCTTCTTTTTGTGCTTGGCTTCTTTAATTTGGTAATGTCTGTGGGATTCATCAATGTTGTTCCATGTATCAGTAATTTGTCTTTTTTATTGCTTTGTAAAATTCAGTTGTATGAGTACACCACAATTTATTCATCTGTTCTCCGTGTTGCTGATGGACATTTTGGCTATTCCCAGTTATGAAATATTGTGAATAACATGGCTACTGTATTTTATAGTCTTCAGTGTAGAGATCTTGCATATTTACCTGTCTCTTAGTGTTTGATGTTATAGTAAATGTTATTTTGTTAAATTCCAGTTTCTGACTGTTAATTGTTAGAATATAGAATTTTTTTATATTGAGCTTATATCTGGCAACCTTGCTGAACTCTTTGTTCATTCTGATAGCTTTTTTGTAGATTCTACTGGATTTTCTATGTGGAACATAATTTTATTAGAAGGTCTGTGAATAGAGACACTTTTACTTTCTTTTTTTTTTTTTTTGAGATGGAGTCTCGCTCTGTCGGCCAGGCTGGAGTGCAGTGGTGCGATCTCGGCTCACTGCAAGCTCCACCTCCCGGGGTTCACGCCATTCTCCTGCCTCAGCCTCCTGAGTAGCTGGGACTACAGGCGCCTGCCACCACGCCCAGCTAATTTTTTGTATTTACTTTCTTTTTTTTTTTGAATTGAAGCCTGCTCTTATTTTTTAACTGGCTTATTGCTCTACGTTAATCTCAGTGCAGTGTTGAATAGAAATAGGGGAAAGCATTCATTTTCACCATCATATTGGTGTGATGTTACACAGTAACATCACACCAATATGATGTCAGCTGTAGGTGATTTCTATACACCCTTTATCAGGCTGGGGACATTTTCTTTTATTTCTAGTCCTTTGAAAATTTGTATTAGATATAGATGTTGGGTTTTGTCAAATGCTTCTTTTCATCTTTTGATGAATCATGTGGGCTTTTAAAATTTTTAGTTTCTTAATATGGTGAATTTCATTGATTGATTTAAAAATTGCTAGAGCAGTCTTGCATTCTGAGGAAAATACCACTTGGTCATAATGCCTTATCTTATTTATTTATTTATTTTTTGAAACAAGGTTTTGCTCTGTTATGCAAGCTGGACTGCAATGGCACGATCATAGCTCACTACAGCCTCAAACTCCTGGGCTCAAGTGATCCTCCCACCTCAGCCTCCCCAGTAGCTTGTGGCACCCAGCTAATTAAAAAAAATTTTTTTTTTTGTAGAGATGGAGTCTTACTATGTTGCCTAGGCTGGTCTTGAACTCCTGGCTTCAAGCTGTTCTCCCACCTTGGCCTCCCAAAGTGCTAGGATTACAGGCATGACTCACTGCCCGGCCCCATCCTTTTTACATATAGATGGATTTGATTTGCTGACATGTTGTTTGAAATTTTAAAATCTATGTGCATGAAGGAATAGTGAACTATAGTTTTTCTTTCTTGTAATATATTTGTCAGATTTGGAATCAGGGTAAACAGGCTTTACAGAATAAGTACTCCTGTTCAATTATCTGGAAGAGTTTGTGTAAAATAGGTATTATTTTTCCTTATGTGTTCTTCCTTCCAAGAAAAACCATCTGGGCCTGAAGTTTTCTATGTGAAAAGACTTTTAATTACAAATTTAATTTCTTTATTAGATTTAATTACTCAGCTTATCTATTTCTTTCTGAGTGAGCTTTGGTAGTCTGTGCCTTTCAAGGAATTTTTCCAGTTTGTCTACGTTGTCAAATGTTTTGGCATTCAGTTGTTCATAATATTCCTTTATTATTCTTTTAATATCTATAGAAACTATGGTGATGTCACTTGTCTTATTCTAGATACAGTTGGTAGTTGTGTCTTCTCTTTTTTTTAAATCAGTCTGGTTAGAGGTTTATCCATTTTATTGATCTTCTATAAGAACCAGCTTTTGTGTTCATTGATTTTTTTCCTGTTATTTTAATGTTTTTTTCTATTTCATTGATTTCTTCTCTTTTTTCTTCCTTCTGCTTGATTTGGATTTAATTTGCTCTTCTATTTCTAGTTTCTCAAGATGGAAGCTGAGATTATTGATCTGAGACCTTTCATCTTTTCTAATATATGTGTTTAGTGCTATAAATTTCCCCCCGAGTACTACTTTAGCAGTATCCTGTAAATGTTGATATATTGTGTTTTCATTGTTATTCAGTTAAAAATATTTTCTAATTTACCTTTTGATTTCTTTGTCCCATGAGTTATTTCAAAGTGTGCTATTAAGTTTCCAATTACCTGAAGATTTTCCAGAGATCTTTCTGCTATTGATTTCTATTTTAGATTTACTGTGGTCCCAGAACATATTGTATATGACTTGGGGGACTATCTTGGATTTTCTGGGTGGGTCCTAAATGAAATCACAAGTGTGTTTAGAAGAGGAAGGTAGGGGGAAATTTGAAGATGGGAGAGATAGAAGGTGATGCAACAACGATGGCAGAGGGAGAAAAGGTGACGTGATGTGGGGCCATGAGTCAAGGCATAGGGACGACCTTCAGAAGCTGGAAAGAGTGAGGGAACCGATTCTCCTCCAGAGCGTCTGGAGGGAGCACAGTCCTGCCAACACCTTGATCTTGGCTTAGTGAAGACCACTTCAGAGTTCTGGCAACCAAAACTATAAAAGAATAAGTGTATGTTGTTTTAAGCCACAAAGTTGTCGTAATTTGTAGTTGAGGTGATTTGTTACAGTGGCAATAAGAATGTTATCATTCCTAATGCTCTCAATTCCTTTGGGTAGATGCATGTTTCTATCTGATATCATTTTTCTTCTGTCTGAAGAACTTCCTTTAACATTTCTTGTCAATGGGGTCTATAGTGATGAATTGTTTTCACTTTTGGAGTCTTTATTTTGCCTTCATTTTTGAAAGATATTTTCACTAGGTATAGAAGTCTATGTTAACATGTTTTTTTCTTTGATTCTTTAGAGGCTGCGCCACTATTTTCTGGCTTGCACCATTCCAATGAGAAATCCGCTGCCAGACTTCTGTTTGTTCCTTCATATGTAATATATCATTTTTTTTCCTATGGCTGCTTTTTAAGATTTTCTCTTTATCATTAGTTTTGTGCAATTTCATTAAAATATGCCTTAGTTTGGTTTTCTTCATATTTCTGTGCTTAGAGTTTTTTGCAGTTATTGGATCTGTGAATTTATAGCTTTCAAGAAATATGGAACATTTTTGGCCATTATATCTTCAAATGTGTTTTCCTCTGTCCCCACTCCTTCTCTCCTTTTATTCAGAGGCTCTAATTACATGTATATTGGGCTGCTTAAAGTTGTTCCATAGTTCGCTGATGATCTATTTATGTTAAAAAATTTTCTCTGTGTTTTATTTTGGGTAGTTTCCATTGCTATGTCTTTAGTTCATGAATTGTTTCTTTTGTAATGTCTAGCCAGCCATTCATTCCATTGAGTGTGTGTGTGTGTGTGTGTGTGTAATCTCAATGTATTTTTCACCTCTAGAAACTTGATTTGGGTCTGCTCTGTATCTCTCATATCTCTCTGTAATTTTTTTTTTTTTTTTTTTTTAGAGATGGAGTCTCGCTCTGTCGCCCAGGCTGGAGTGCAGTGGCACGATCTCGGCTCACTGCAAGCTCCGCCTCCCGGGTTCACGCCCTTCTCCTGCCTCAGCCTCCTGAGTAGCTGGGACTACAGGCATCCGCCACCACGCCCAGCTAATTTTTGTATTTTTAGTAGAGACGGGGTTTAGAATCATTGTTTAAATGTTCTTGTCTGCTAATTTTAACATCTTCATCAGTTCTGTGTCACTTTCAATGGACAGATTTTACTCTTTATTATGGGTTGTATTCTCCTCCTTCTTTACTTGCCTCACAATTTTTGATTGGATGCCAGAAATATTAATTTAACTTAGTAGGTGCTGGATATTTTTGTATTCCTATAAATGATTTTGAATTTTGCTTGGAGACATAGTTAAGTTACTTGGAAGTAGTGTGATTCTTTCAGGTCTTGCTATTAATATTTGCTAAACAGATCCAAGGTAGTGCTTTTTCTAGTGCTTTCTATTCCTCACTACTGAATTCTACCTATACCCTGTGGTACTTATGCTATTCCTGATCTCAAGTAAATGCCAAGTACTTTTTCTTCTAATTCTTTCCTTTGTTTTAAAGTATTTTCTCACATGTATCTGCTGTTGAGTATACTGATGATTACTTCAGGGGAACCTTTTGCAGCTCTCTGGCATTCTTTCTCTGTGCAATTTTCTTCTCTTCAGTATCTGTCCTGCAATCTCTTACTGCATTGGTCTTCCTGGACTCTCAGCAATATCTTTTCAGCTCAAGGAGCCTGCTGGGCTTTGCCTGTATTTTCCCTCCCTGTGCTGGAAACTCTCAAGGTAGTATGCTGGAAAAATCATAGGGTTCACCTTGTTTGTTTCCTGTCTGTCAGAGAACACACTCCTCCATTGCCTGATCTTCAGTATATTTCAAGCCATTATTATTCTATCTTGTGCAGGTTTTGGAATGTTTAAGATGGGAAAGTAAATCTGGTCCCTGTTAGAAAAGATGTTCTATTTTCATGCTGCAATTCTTAGTTACAGAGATGGGGTAAAGTTACTAATTGGTCAGGTCCTTTATCATCACTTACTAGAGCTTTGGGATTTCATTGTTCTTCATGTTTTTCTCCCTACAACCTCCACTCACCACCCTGCCCCCATACACACATCATTTGGTTAATATGCAGTGATTCTTTTTCCTTTTCTTTTCTTTTTTTCTTTTTTTTTTTTGAGACAGAGTCTCCCTCTGTCACCCAGGCTGGAGTGCAGTGGTGCAATCTCGGCTCACCGCAACCTCTGCCTCCTGGGTTTAAGCAATTCTCATGCCTCAGCCTCCCAAGCAGCTGGAACTACAGGCACACAACACCACGCCCAGCTAATTTTTGTATTTTCGGTAGAGATGGGGTTTTGCCATGTTGGTCAGGCTGGTCTCGAACCCCTGGCCTCAGGTGATCCACCCGCCTCAGCCTCCCAAAGTGTTGGGATTACAGGCATAAGCCACTGCACCCATTCACAGGCAGTGATTCTTAATTGAGGTGTACTTATCAAAATCCCCTGGGTTTAGGATCTCTGTTTCCATAAAACTTTCCAGGTGATTCTGATGAGCACCCAGGGTCTAACCAACTTCCTTTCCCTTTTCTTCTAAAAACCTGCTTTTAGTTCAGATAGATGATAGAGGGATAGGAAGCATCTTTCTGCTACTGTATAAATATACAGCAATAATAATAACAGTTAGTAGTTTTTTTAACCCTTACTATGTGCCACACACATTGGTGAGATCTTTATGTATATTATTTTGTTTAACCTTCAAAATTCTCACCTATGGTAAAGTATGTTATCACTCCCCATTTTATGGATGAGGAATCTGAAGCTTAGAGATATTGGGCAACTACCCAAAGGTCACACAACTAATGAAAATAAGATCAGTCTTTTGTAGTGGTGCAGCCTACACAGCACGTCAAACTCTTTTTTTTTTTTTTGAGACAAAGTCTTGCTCTGTCACCCAGGCTGGAGTGTGCAGTGGCATGATCTTGGCTCACTGCAACCTCCACGTCCTGGGTTCAAGCATTTCTTGTGCCTCAGCCTCCCGAGTAGCTGGGACTATAGGTGTGCACCACCCTGCCTGGCTAATTTTTGTATTTTTAGTAGAGATGGGGGTTTCACCATGTTGGCCAGGCTGGTCGTGAACTCCTGACCTCAAGTGATCTGCCTGCCTTGTCCTCCAAAGTGCTGGGATTACAGGTGTGAGCCACTGGGCCTCGTCCAAACTCCTTTTATATAGAACATGAACTTCCACATCTAGGGCAAGTGGGTGATTGAAATATCTCTGAAGAAGCTTTTTGGTTGCTTGGAGGCAGGCTAGTTATTGATCTCTTAATGGGGGACTCAGTCCTAGTACTCAGGGATCTCTGATTCTAGGAGAAAAAGTATTCTGCAGAGTGGATATATGGATTCCTAAACATAAGGGTTTATTTTTTGTCTAGTCGACTTATGGCTTTGCAGGAAGATAGAAAAAACAAGAAATGGAAGAAGCAGGATCTTTGCCTGGGCAGCACCACGTCCTGTGCCTTCCCAGGGCTGATCAGCACCCATAGCAAGTTCATCATCTCCTTTGCTGAAGATGAAGCAGGTAACAAATGTACAGAGTTGTTTGATTTCTGCTTACTAGAACTCGGATAATCACAGGCATCAACTGAACGTTTATTTTAAATAGTAATTATCACTTCTACTATGATCACTATCGTTTAGTCATCTTTTATAATGTACTGGATACTATTCTAAGCACTTCACATTTTTTACCTTATTTCATAATCATAACACCCCCACGATATAATTATTTTTTATTTTTTCTTCTTTTTTTTGAGACAGAGTCTTGCTCTCTGTCTGCGGCGCCATCTCGGCTTACTGCAACCTCCGCTTCCAGAGTCCAAGCAATTCTCCTGCCTCAGCCTCCCAAGTAGCTGGGACTACAGGCGCCCGCCACCATGCCCAGCTAACGTTTGTATTTTTAGTAGAGACGGGGTTTTGCCGTGTTGGCCGTGCTGGTCTCAAATTCCTGACCTCAGGTGATCTGCCCGCCTCAGCCTCCCAAAGTGCTGAGATTACAGGCGTGAGCCACCGCGCCCGGCTCCATGATGTAATTATAATGCTCGTTTCACCAATGAAGAAACAGACTGAATATGCCAACTTACTCCTTCCTGATTGAACCACACAACTCACTGTGAGGGGAATATCTATTCTGAACCACAGTTTTAGGAATGTGGAAAGGGCCAACAGCGGGCCAGACTAAATGGGCAGCGGGTGTTTATGCTGCCGGTGCTGTCTGGGAAAGGGACCTCTGGTGATCATCTCACTGGTTGGGCCAGGTTCTTTCCTGACCTTGCCAAGAGTCTGTGAGAAAAGGAGAATTTTATTTATTTATTTAGAAACCTGAGAAAAAGGTAGACATCTAGGTAGGAGGTTGCTCAGTAGACAGACTAGGCACGTGTTAAGGGAATCAGTGAAGCATGATGTGCACGTGTACACATGAGCGAGAGAGACACAGAGAGACTCAGCTCTAATACATTTCCAAACATTTTATCATCAGAAAGCCGATTTTTAACTTCAGCTTTACATAAGTTATGTTTCACTCTGAAAGATAAGGTTTTCGAATTTTAAATATTTCTCTTTTTTTATGTGAGGACAGTGAACTTTTCAGTATTTGGCACGAGATATCACCATGTTTAAAGACAGAGATAATAAGGTGATCTCTCAGGGTCCCTTCCACATCTAGATTCTCTATAGGTGAAAAAAAAATAATTAAACAACAGAAAACAAAACAAATCAAAAAACACAAAAAATACACAAGAAAAGAAAAAATTTAAAAAAAAAGATTCTCTATAGGTATAAACCAGAGTCTCAAAGGATTCTGAAGTATTTGGTTTCTTTCCCCTCTGGGCCATGAGGTGGCTGCCTTGGGACCTTCACTTGAGTAGGATATAAAGAGACCCAGTCAGCTCCCGGACCCTTTCCTCTCAGCTAGCCGATGAACAGATAGTTTGAGATGAATGTTTTATAGGAGCAGAGGAAACTTCAAGAATTTTGGAAACTTCAAGTATTTTAACAGGAAAAAGTCTATGTGAGTTCCAAATTGGAAGTCCAAACATATGAAAAAGGAGAGAAACCACAGGCTGGCAGGATGATGGCCAGTGGAAAGTGAGTGACGTGAAAGCTGCAGGCGGTGGTGGAGCCTCTCCTCTGCCGGACACCCCTGTGTCCAGCACCACCCCAGAGATTGGAACCCCAGAGGCAGGCCTGCCCAGGGATTCTGGGCTGCCATCTTCTGTGGCTTGCTCCTCTTCAGGAGGCCACAGAGAACCTGGCTTTGGTGGCTTGGTTTGTTGTGCTTGCAGACTTCTCACCGTAGAAAACAGACAGCATAAAAAAAAAACAACAGTCATGGTACATCTGGCAAACAAAACACAGTCCTTGGCTGAATTTCATGGGGTAGACTTGCCAACGTGTTCCCAAGCCTTTACCCAAGGGCGGCCCTGAGGCTGATGAGGCTGTTCTTGAGGCAAATTATTTTTTTTTCCAGAGTTGCTTGCTCTTGTGTTTTTGCATAAACTGATTCATATTTTCTGCCCTTGCCATATTCTTTTCCTCTGAGAGGCATTTTTAGATCTGAGCCTTATTTCATTATTTTATTATCAGTCCACTGGCTTTAGGTAAGTCACTTTTTACTTGGAACTTGAGCTCTGCCTCACCTATGGCTGCACTTCACATCCTGGGTCCTGAGAGTTGATAGCTGGTATGAATTGCTGCTGAGTGACTGGCTGGTGTGGAGCTGCCCATTGCTGAGGTTTAATTGATGGGATTTCTGAAAGTTAGTCACTGAAGGGCATTCCCAAGAGGGCTGGTCAAATGAATTCTGTTTGCAGTAAATTTGTATAGCATGCATTTTTGTTTTAAATGGCATATTATAGTTTTTTTGTTTTTCTCCCCTAAGATGTATATTAAAAATATCAGTTGGATGCTACAGATGAAATTCACTTCTAGCATTGTTTTCTCCTAAAAATACAATGGGAAGTCTATGGAATGTGGAAGACATGTAATTTACACAAACTGCAGTCCAGTATAGGCATGGTTTTCAATTTTCTTTTTAGACTGAGAAGGCCTTTGCATGGTTTCGAGGGGCCCCTGCCTGTGTACACGTGGACCTTTCGTAGACACCACATTTATCTAATGGTAGAATCACTCTGGATGGTGCCTGGGCTTCCCATTCAGACAAAGCAAACTGACTCTAAAGGAGGGTGTGCCCTAGTTCATCAGATCTCTTACATGGGGAAGATTATACATCTAGTTTGTCAGTACACAAATCATAGTTTGTTAGGCAGCTGCTACCCTGTGTAGGGGCTATGCAAAGACCATGAGGCTCACACTTAGCACAAGACAAACGCTGGTCTCTGTTCTCCACAAAAAGCAGTTGTTTAGAGCTGTTGTGTGGTGGCTCATGCCTGTAATCCTACTGCTTTGGGAGGCTGAGCTGGGAGGATTGCTTGAGTGCAGGAGTTTGAGACCAGCCTGAGCAACATAGGGAAACCCCGTCTCTACAAAAAGTTTAAAAAATGATCCTGATGTGGTGGCATGCACCTGTAGTCCCAGCTGCTCAAAAGACTGAGGTGGAAGGTTTGCTTGAGCCCAGGAGGTTGAGGCTACAGTGAGCTGTGATTGTGCAGCTACACTCCAGTCAGCAACAGAGCAAGACCTTGTCTAAAAAAAAAAAAAAAAAAAAATTAGTTGTTTAAATAATTCAGAGCTGTATAAAGCTTTAGGTTTTTCAGAATTGCAACTTAATAGACATTTTCTTTCATAAAATTGAGAAAGAATTGTGTAAGGCACATGACAGCAAGTGAGTTTAATTCAGTGTAATGGCACAAACATTGGGTCAGACAGATAAGAAAGTAAAAATAACTACGATTATCGAACACTTTCTTTTTTTTTTTGAGACGGAGTCTCGCTCTGTTGCCTACTGCACTGGGAGTGTAGTGATGCGGTCTTGGCTCACTGCAACCTCTGCCTCCCAGATTCAAGTGATTCTCATGTCTCAGCCTCCCGCATAGCTGGGATCACAGGCGTGTGCCACCACGCCTGGATAATTTTTGTATTTTTAGTAGAGAGGGGGTTTTGCCATGTTGGCCAGGCTCATCTTGAACTCCTTACCTCAGGTGATCCACCTGCCTCAGCCTCCCAAAGTGTTGGGATTATAGGCATGAGCTACCGCGCCCGGCCTGGTTATCTAACACTTTCTAATTGAATACCTAACAATCACTTGAGGCATTGTGATCCCCATTTTACAAATGAATAAATATCTCGAGGGCTGTGCAGGTGAAGAGGTCTCCCAAGATAGCATGGAGAGGAACTGGTGTTATCAGAAATCAAATCAGACTTCTGGGACTCTCCACTGGGGCTCATGACCCCATAGCATAATGTCCCTCACAAATAACTAGAAAGCAATGTGGAATGAGGTAGTTACTGTGACAAAAGAACATTTCCCTGAGTTACAACTGGGAGAAATGGTAAGGAGCAGGGGGCTCTTTCTAAGAGTGTATTAGTCCGTTTTCACACTGCTGATAAAGACATACCTGAGACTGAGACTGGGTAATTTATAAAGAAAAAGAGGCTTAGTGGACTCACAGTTCCACATGGCTGGGAAGGCTTCACAATCATGGTGGAAGGTGAAAGGCACCTCTTACATGGTGGCAGACAAGAGAGAAAATGAGAGCCAAGAAAAAGGGATTTCCTCTTATAAAACTATATAAAACCATCGGAGCTCATGAGACTTATTCACTACCAGGAGAACAGTATGGGGGAAGCTGCCCCCATGATTCAATTATCTCCCATTGGGTCACTCCCACAACATGTGGGAATTATGGGAGCCAAATCATTCAAGATGAGATTTGGGTGGGGACACAGCCAAACCATATCAGAGAGATACAGGAGAGAGTGGGTAGAGGTGATTTTTGTGGGGCATGGAAAAGACCGAGAGGAGAAATGGAGAGTGGGGAGGGTCACCAGGAAATAAGGAACTCAAGGACAGAATGAAAGAGGAAAATGGGAGTGAGGCTGAAGGGAAACAAAAGGACTAAAGAAGGGGCAAAATAAAGCGATTGACAGATGGTCCTCAGCCTGCAGACTGTATATATCCAAGTGTTCACAGAGGAAAGAGGTGGGGAAGGAAATGGAGATTCACGGAGGTGAAGTTTCTGAGGGCAAGGAGGTGATAAGGGGGAAACCTGTTTGGTTTGATAAACAAACATACACGTGAAATTGCCTCTGCTAGGCCATACACTGAGCTAGTCTTTGGGGGGTTCAAAGATGGACTTTCTCCTCAAGGAGCTCACAGCCCAGCAGAGCTGATGCCAGTTAGGTTTCTGGGATTCCGTTCTTGGCGCTCACTGCATTTTAGGGCCATAACCTCTTTTTGACCATTTTCTGTGCATCCAACTCTGTGTCTCAGTGCTGCCTGATGTCCCATTATTGCCTGTCTATTTTTGTTGCCTTAGGGGAGCTGTATTTCCTGGCGACCTCTTACCCAAGTGCCTATGCACCACGTGGATCTATTTACAAGTTTGTTGACCCCTCAAGGTGAGATTTGATGTCATTTTCTTCTCAAATGCATTTTTCTCATTTCTTATCTCCATGGCAGGCCATAAAAACAGTCCTCATTGTCCCGAAGCAAACTCATGTTCTAGATGAAAAGCAGTTTGGACAAATAATGGCATAGGACAATGCATCTATAGCAATTATGGAATACTTGGGAAACGGTCTCTTTGCAGTTGGACATGAAGACCTTGAGCCTTTCTAGGGTTAGTCTAGGTCTGTGGCTTTTTTTTTTTTTTTTTTTTTTTGAGATGGAGTTTCACTCTTGTTGCCCAGGCTGGAGTGCAATGGTGCCATCTTGTCTCACCGCGACCTCCGCCTCCCAGGTTCAAGCGATATTCCTGCCTCAGCCTCCCAAGTAGCTGAGATTACAGGCATGCACCACCATAGCTAGCTAATTTTGTATTTTTAGTAGAGATGGGGTTTCTCCATGTTGGTCAGGCTGGTCTTGAACTCCCGACCTCAGGTGATTCACCTGCCTCGGTCTCCCAAAGTGCTGGGATTACAGGCGTAAGCCACCATGCCCAGCCTTTTTTTTTTTTTTTAATATGCTTCTGGAAATGTCTGTCTGAGGTCATCTAACAACAGGTGTACACCTCTGAGCACCTGAGTAAGTACTGCTCCCCTGTCCCCTGGGCTTGGTGCAGATCTCCAGGTCTTTGGCAAATACGTTTAACTGGCAGGTTCCTCAATAGCTCTACCTTTTCTGGAGTTTAGTGTTTATTCACTTGCTGGGCTGTATGCTGTTTCCTTCTGCTTCTTTGCCTATCTGTCTCAGAGGCTGACCAACCTCCACCAGCACAGGCAAAAGCCACAATACCACTTCCCACTTGAGAGGTGGTTGGGTCTGGGTCAGGTTATCTGCCCCAGGGAGGGTGATGCATTGTATCCATCCTGAGGAGTCTGGGCAGTGCACTGGATTTTTTTTTATTTTTATTTTTTATTTTTTATTTAATAGACACAGTCTCACTCTGTTTCCCAGGCTGGACTGCAGTGACACGATCTCGGCTCACTGCAACCTCTGCCTCCTGGGTTCAAGCTATTCATGTGCCTCAGCCTCCCAAGTCGCTGGCATTACAGGCATGCACCACCACACCCGACTAATTTTCGTATTTTCAGTAGAGACGGGGTTTTGCCATGTTGCCCAGGCTAGTCTCGAACTCCTGGCCTCAAGCGATCCACCTGCCTCAACCTCCCAAAGTGCTGGGATTACAGGTGTGTGCCACCATGCACCCTGCCCCAGTGCTCTAGATTTATCTAAAAATTATTGCCAAAGCAAGAAAATCTCCCCCTGAATTAGCTTACAGATAGACATGCAGAAGAAAATTTTCCCCTGAGGCTTATGTTACCCATATCTGGATTGGCATTCAGCAGACATGAGGCAAATAGGTCCAGCCACTGGTTAGGGCTTGGGGGGGCCAGCTCTATCTGAGCTTGTATTTGGCCACAGGGCTCTCAGTTTGTGTGTTCTCGGAAGTTCCTGGAAGAGGCTCCGTCCCTGAGGCTGTTCCCCGGGGTGATGTGTGGATGGTGGAGGGTGGATAGCCAAGGGGTGAATTTAATACTGGGCTGTTCCCACTGCTGGGTCTGCTTCTGTGCACTTCTCCTGGGTTTAGGGGATGGAGCAGACTCAGGGTCTTTAAAGTGCTTCTGATGGTTGACGATGCCTTGGTGGGGAGTTCTCTTTCCATTAACAGGCTTCCTATGTGAATCCATTTTTCTTTTCTTTGGCAGTTTTCTGATTCAGTTGGCAGGTAATTTAACTCCCCACTTTCACAAGAGCAGCTGTGAGAAGCCACACAGAAAGCACCCATAAAGCATTTTCACACTGAAGACATCCTTACTTATTCACCTTTTTTTTTTAAGTTGACATTTATGGAGTTACTCCTGTGTGCCAGGCACTGTACTAAGTGCTGTGCATGTGGGCTCTCATTTAATGCTGACAGAATTCCAACCAGGCAGGTTAACATCCTCACTCTATGGATAAAGAAACTGAAGGCTAGGTAAGTTAAATTACTTGCCCCAGGTACAGCTACTAAGAGGAGCCTGGAATAGGAACTCAGTTCTCTTTGTGGAGAGGTCATTTTAGGACTACTCCCTCCATTCAGTTATAATTATATCGAATCATATAGACTTTTTAAAGCTTCTATAAGTGGACCAGATTCTGCTCTGGTTACTTATTCAGCTTGTCTTTGCACGAAATGCACCAATCCCAGCATTTTGAGGGCACCTGGTTAATTTATGTATCCTTTTCTCCCTCCCATTTTTTCCTCCTACCCTTCCTTTAGGGGTAGCTAAATACAGTGGTTGAGAACATGGACTTGAGCCTGGGCTTGGAATCTTGGCTTTGCCACTGACTAACTATGTGGCCTTGGGCCTGTTTCTTAGCCTGTGCGAGCCTCAGTTTCCCCTCTGTAAAATGAGTATAATAATAGTACTTACTTCACAGGTTGTTAGGAAGACTCAATGAGTTAATATTTGCAAAGTATTTAGAATGGTGCCTAAGCACTACGTAAGTGTTTTTTAAATAAATACAATTACCTTTTTTTCCCTCCCACCTGGACTTGGGAGGATGGCAGTGAGAGATAGAGTTGGAGCAAGGCAGAGGCAGAGAAAGCAATGGGGACAGGCTGGGAAGTTCCAGCTCTGCTCTCTACAGTGGAAGTACTCTCTGTCCTCAAAGTCCCTTTTATTTCAGAAGATGCACCCGGGGACAAGCAGTTTAAGAATGTGTGTGTTACTAGGCAGAGAAGCTGGCATCGCCTGAGGGCTGTGCCTTGAGTTCTTGAAGACATTTTCTTTAAAGGGAGTCACCAGCACCACCATCAGAAGCAGCAGCAGAATCATCCTCATCATCATTTTCATCATCCTCATCTGTGAGCTCTTGTTATGTTCTGGGCACTGTTCCAAGCCAGATGGGAAACATTAGTTTTTGCATTTGATAGATGTGGAGACTGAGGCTTAGCAAGGTTTTTTGCCCCTGGTTACCAGGATGTGAACCCGTTTTGACTGCCACCATGCCCATACTCCTAACTCCTTCTCTGCACTGTCTCTCAAGGGCCTGAGGAGCCCTGTTCTGTCTGTGCCCTTTTACCTCACCTTCTGAGCTCATAGCATATTTCCTGTTACATCTACCCCATCCCCATGGATAAGTAAAGGCTGACCCCAATTCTTGCAAATATACGCCCTCTGGTAACCTTGATTTTCCGGTTGCATCTTCAGAGTCTTGCGTCCTCATGCTTTCTGTTTGTGTTTTTAGGCGAGCACCCCCAGGCAAGTGCAAATACAAGCCAGTGCCCGTGAGAACCAAGAGTAAGCGGATCCCGTTCAGACCACTCGCCAGTGAGTCCATCTTTGAGTCTTAGGCTCAGGCCTTGGTGTGGAGGCTAAGGCAGTGCCCTCAGCAAGCAGGCTATAATTCCCATGGTGGAGTCTTAGTTACCCCCTGAGGGAAACTAAGTCTATACGTCTCCTCTGCATAACAGAGGAGTTATGAGTGTAAGGATACCCATTTCTACTGTGACCGGTTTCCTCTAGTTATTCGTTCATTCATTCGTTTGTTGATTCATTCATTTAATCGTTCATGTATTCATTCATTTGGCATCATTCATTTCATACTTACTTTGTGGCAGGAACTATGCTAATCCCTAGGGATACAGCAATGAACACTTAAAGCCTATGACATGTAGGAGTTCAGAGTTAAATAGGAGTGGGGATGGGAAGTGCAGGCAAATAAAGAAATAAATGTAGCACTAATGTTCTGGTATAGAAGGATGCTCAGGGCACTTAGAGGGCCCCTAGAATGAGGAATGTTTCCTTGGGGCAGGGTGGGGAGTCAGGAAAGACTTACAGAGGAAGGATACTATCTTAAGGAAACTATTACAGAACCATGTATCACTGGAGTGACCCTTCTAAAAAAGTCATATATTTAGACCAAGGCCAGTTAGAGAATTAAAAGTATTAATAAGAATAATTTATATTAAAGAACTATAATGCAGTTATAGTTTTCTCTTATAGCTACTTTCTGGGACTTATATTTTTCACTAAATAAATACTGATTTCTCAGAGACAGTCTTGGACTTGCTAAAGGAACAATCAGAGAAAGCTGCTAGAAAATCTTCCAGTGCAACCTTAGCTTCTGGCCCAGCCCAGGGTTTGTCTGAGAAAGGCTCCTCCAAGAAGCTGGCTTCTCCTACAAGCAGCAAGAATACATTGCGAGGGCCTGGTACAAAGAAGAAAGCCAGAGTGGGGCCCCACGTCCGCCAGGGCAAGAGGAGGAAGAGCCTGAAAAGCCACAGTGGCAGGATGAGGCCATCAGCAGAGCAGAAGCGAGCTGGCAGAAGTCTCCCTTGACCTATTGGTCAAGGTGGCCGACAGGGTGACGTGAGAGAGGAGAGCCACCTCATCAAATGAAAGTCACTGCTGAATAAAGACCTTAGAAGTCTGGGAAGCCAGGGTAGAGGTGGGGCAGGGCGGTTTTCCTCTCCCTGGGAAATCTTGCTGTCTACTGAATAAATAAATGCACCTTCTCTGTATGCAGTGCTTCTGTGGGAGACCATATCCCAGATTGCTGGTGCACCTGGGTTATGGTAAGCACTAGTCCATGAGCCTGCTTGGAATCACACTGGATGTCTCCGTTTTGTCTTGTAAATGCCTACAACCTGAGGTAATAAATCAACATTTGCTCAAACTGGCACATATCCTTTGATATCCTGGATGTTTGTTTGACATTAGGAAATCTAGCATGCTGTACCACTCTTGCATAAGAACCATGCTTCACCTTCCTGCCTCACCCCAGGTCTAAGAGGAAGCCTGTGACAAGCTTACAAGGAAAGACCCTTTAAATGTGGTATCTCCTTTCCCCAGCCCAAAGCTCATGAAGTGAACAAGAGCAGGTTCAGTTCTGTACCTCCAGCACTTACTATCGTAATTGCCTGACAGGTTCTTCCTGTGTAGTGCACAGACAAAACCAATTCACTGAGACCACAGTATTGCAGTAGAGAAAGAGTTTAATTAACACAGAGCCTGCCAAGTAGAAGGATTGCAGTTATTACTCAAATCAGTCTCACAGAGAACTCAGAGGCTGGAGTTTTTATGGATAGTTTGGTGGGGGAGGGGCTAGGGAATATGAGCTGCTGATTGGTTGAGGATGAAATCATAGGGGTGTGAGGAACTGTCCTTGTGCACTGAGTCTGCCTCTGGATCGGGGCCACAGGACCTGTTGAGTGATGAATCACAAATCCGGTTAGGGTTAGTTGGTTTCCAGAATGCAACCATCTGAAAAACATCTCAAAAGACCAATCTTAGGTGCTACAATAGTGATGTTATCTATAGGAGCAACTGGAGAAGTCATAAATCTTGTGAACTCTGACCACATGACTCCTGAGCAGTAAGGGATTATAGAAACTATGCTTGCATTTTAGCAGAATTCAGGCCCTTCCCATTATCTAGTGGCCTTTCGTCAGTTTTACAAAGGCAGCTTCAGTCCCTGAGCAAGGAGGGAGTTTGTTTTAGGGAGGGACTATTATAATTCTTGCTTCAAAGTTAAACTATAAACTGAATTCCTCCCATGGTTAGCTTGGCCTCGGTCATGAATGAGCGAGGACAGCCAGCCCGTGAGGCTAGAGGCAAGAGGGAGTCAGCCATGCCAGGCTTCTCCCACTGTTATAATCTTTGCAAAGGAAGTTTCACTATTTGGCCTTATTATGCACATAGCATAATAAACTTAACTACATTTTATTTGAATACCTACTGTGTGCCAAGCTTATACCCTATCTTGAAACCTCAAAACCCTGCTCTTCTCTATTGCCATATAACCTCCACTGAAGATGAGAAAAGTGAAACTTTGTGAGGTTAAGTTACTGGATCACAGTGGTGTGAGGGAACAGGGAACAGTTCAGCTGGACTAGAATCAATTCCCTCTTGCAATCTGCTGTGCACCTGCCTTCATGGAGGCCCTCAATGAAGGATTGTGACTTTTGAACTATGTATTTGAGGAATGAAGAACTAAGGGAGGAAATGGTCCCTATTTTCATCAAGTTCTTCATATTATGCAAAACATCCAGAAGAGTGTAGACAATTTGGTTTAAAGAGAACAAAAGTGTAAAATACCAGGGTTGTTAACTTTTAAGGTCATATGATCACTGTTTTAGAAATGGTGCAGTCTCGGCTCACCGCAACTTCAGCCTCCTGGGTTCAAGTGATTCTCCTGCCTCAGCCTCCCAAGTAGCTGGGATTACAGGCATGCGCCACCACGCCTGGCTAATTTTTTCTTTTTTTTTTTTGAGACGGAGTTTCGCTGTTGTTACCCAGGCTGGAGTGCAATGGCACAATCTCGGCTCCCCACAATCTTTGCCTTTCGGGTTCAAGGGATTCTCCTGCCTCAGCCTCCCGAGTAGCTGGGCTTACAGGCATGTGCCACCACACCCGGCTAATGTTGTAGTTTTAGTAGAGACGGGGTTTCTCTGTGTTGGTTAGGCTGGTCTCAAACTCCTGACCTCAGGTGATCTACCCGCCTCGGCCTCTCAAAGTGCTGGGATCACAGGCATGAGCCATCACTCCTGGCCTAATTTTTGTATTTTTAGTAGAGAGAGGGTTTCACTCTGTTGGCCAGGCTGGTCTCGAATTCCTGACCTCAAGTTATCTGCCTGCCTCGGCCTCCCAAACTGTTGGAATTACAGGCGTGGGCCACCATGCCTGGCCAGCTCTATTTCTTTAAGCCTACATGTTTTGCACTTGTTAAAAGTATTTGAACATACAATTACTTAGCTTCCCTTGTTTACGCGTGAATTTTGTATAATCTTAAATATTTTTTCCAATCTAAGCTTTATTTTATCCCGTTTCTTCTATATTTGTATAACTTTAGGAGGCTATCTTCATTGAAAGTTTTTTCTCAAAAGCCTTAAGATAGAACATAGTTCTTGGCAGCAATTTGAAAGTTACTTGAGGAGGAGGGGAGACTTACAATGATGATTCAAATGAAGGAAACTAAAAAGTAATGAAGCAAGGCAGAGGAAAAAGCAGTATTCACTTGAGCACATCCCAAAAGAATAACATTTCAAATGTAACTGGAAAAAAGTATGCTGAAGTTCGCAATACAGAAATAATTATTAATAAGATAGCTTTAAAGCCCTGCTCAGCTTTTGAATGTTGGGAATTGACCCAGAGGTGGCTGTAACCTAAGATGGTTCCTTCAGTAATGACCATTTTTTCTTTTTCAAGATGATGATTATTCCCCACCTTCTAAGAGACAAAGACCAGCGAGCCACCACAGCCACCAGTCCCAGAACCCGCCAATGCTGGGGAACGGAAAATGAGGGAGTTCAACTCTGGTAAGTTCTCAGCGAAATCCATGACCTTTTCCTTTATCTTCTGGACTCTCAATGTGACTGATGAAAGTTACCACATGCTCTGCAGGGGGAAATGGTTTAGCATGTGTTACTACATCTTAATCACATCTTTGTAAAGCCAGGAGCATTTTACAAGTCACGTTACAGACATTGTTTAAACATAGTCTGTATTTACCAAAGTATAGGACGTTGTATCATCTCATATTAATTAGTCAGTTGGCTCAAAATTAGTGCTAATGACTTAGTAATTCAGTGATTTCTGTTAGCTTTAAAACCTTTATTTCAGAACTATTTCACCTCTTGGTTTTCATTTTTGCTGTGTGTTACTGCCTGCCGGCTGCTAATTTATTAACTCCCAGTGAATCATGTGTCCTGTGAAGGGACTGAATATTAGTGGCAATTTATGTTGATGATTTGTATTTTGAATAAATAGTTTGAATACATAGAACATTAAGCTTGTAAACATTTTGAAAATAGTATTTTAATATTCTACTGTGTCATAGTTACAATCATTGGATATATATTGAATTTATATGTACTTTAAGTTGTTATATGTTTATGGTCTTTAGCATTCTAACATGCAATTGTATATCTGTTAAGTCTTTTTTTTTTTCGAGATTAGACTGATTTATTGAGGCATCTGTTTGATGCCACATTAAGTGGCCCAGGCTTTGTGTAGGGGTTGAGGTAAAAGCAGGAAGAAGGGTGGTGAGAGGCGGGGTACCAGGATTAGGTTGGAATACCTGGGGGTGCTCTGAGGCTCCCCAAGTTTCCCTGGTCTTGGCCGGCTGTGCTGCTGGCCTGGGCATCTGATGGGCCTGCAAGGGTGGTCCAGGGGCTAGGGCAGGGACTTTGGAGTCACGCCATTGGCTTTGAATCCAGACTCCTACACTTGGTAGCTGTGAACTCTCCATGCCTCAGGGACCTGCAAAACTGAGCTCTGTCTGAGCCAGGTTCCATCCAGGCACTGCGGATCCATCCAGAGGGGCACTGCCTCAGGCTGCTCGCTATTCACTGCCTTCCCAAGCCGACCCTTGTCTCCTTCTAGGCCCTCACAATCCAGTGGAGGAGACGAAACTCATCTGCCTCTGTCCCTCTGGGCACGCCTCATGCCAGGTGCATCTGTGGACAGGGGCCATGCTCCTGGGCTTCCAAAGTTGGAGAAAGCTGCCAGGCTCAGGTGGGTACATCACAGCAGCTGCTGCCCTCTGAACACAGTGACAAAAGAACACTCTGGGCCTGGAGCCCTGGCCTGGGGCATTGGGCAAGGCTGTTGCACTTCTCTGATCCCATTTCCCCATCTGGAAAGTGCGCTGATTGTATCTCCCTGTGGGCACTGAGGGCTCAGTGTTAGTTCGAGAGCCAGCATCTGGGGTTTGGGCTGTAATTCCCCGTCAGCCCCATAGCTGCGGGGAACCAGGGACTTTGTTGGGATTACCCTAGGCATCAGTTTAGCTTCCTGCCCCTGGCTTGGGCTCAGCACCTGAAGTAGTCTAGGGGGTAGGTGGTCCTGGTGGGGGCTGGGGCTTTTACCCAGACTGAGGTCACACCCAGAGCCAGAAGTCTTGGTGCCTGCTCTGGGCAAAGGTGCCAGCCTGTGCGACAAGAGCGAAACTCTGTCTCCAAAACAAAAACAAAAAACCTTGCATCATTTCAAGGGGCTCACACCTCCCTAAGGGCCTGGTAATTGGCTGGCTCTGGCCTGCATCTGGCCCCGAGGGTGTAGGTAACACCCCACCTTACCTGGTTTCTTCCTGCCAGGGCCAATCTTCAGACCTCAGGACTTTGCAGCCTATCCCACCTCCCCTCTGGCCAGCCTTGAGCCCTTGTGGGTCCAGCACTTTTTCCAGGCTGTCTCCTGGTTGTCCTTCTGCCTCGAGGCCTGGCTCATGCTGCCCCCCCTCCCACTCTCCAAGACCCACAAGGACCACTCCACACCCAGCTCAGCCCCATCCCCTCAGATAGTCCTTTCTCTTTCCTCAGGTGGCCAGGTGCATATCTTGGTGTGAGGACCTTCACTGTATCTGGGAATGCCTACTGGTTACTTCGGTAACAGAGAACAAGGCATTTACCTGATATGAGTGTCTTGGTTCACTGTCTACATGGCTAGGGAGGGAATCAATAATAGGCTTTTCACTTGCTGCAAGGGCCAGTTCTCCTGGCCCCATGGCTCTAGGGATGGAGGACGCTGCAGGAGATGCAGCGCTCACTTCCCAGCTGAGGACTGTGGGTCATCTCAGGGCGATTTCACAGTCCCCACATGCCCCACCCCCTCAGCTCTGCAAATACCAAGCAGTGCAGCCTGCCTAGGGGATGATGGGCTCGAGAATGCCCAGGTAGTGCCCAGAGTGCCCCTCACCTAGCTGCTTCCACAGCTCTGTAGCAAGAGTTCTAACCTTTTTTGACCGTGAAGCCTGCTGAGAATAAGAGCTGTGGACTGTTTTCCCAGAAAGGCATGTGCATGCTCTCCACACAAAACCTTTCGTCGTGGCCAAGCACAGTGGCTCATGTAATCCCAGAACTTTGGGAGGCGGAGCCAGTCGGATCACCTGAGGTCAGGAGTTCAAGACCAGCCTGCCCAACATGGCGAAACCCTGTCTCTACTAAAAATACAAAAAATTAGCCAGGCGTGGTGGCAGCCACCTGTAATCCCAGCTACTCCGGAGGCTGAGGCAGGAGAATCACTTGAACCTGGGAGGCGCAGGTTGTAGTGTGGTGAGATCACGCCACTGCACTCCAGCCTGGGCGACAGGAGCGAAACTCTGTCTCAAAAAACAAAACAAAACAAAACAAAACAAAACCTTGCATCCTTTCAGGGGGCTCACACCTCCCTAAGGGCCCAGTAATTAAACCCTTTGGGCCTGAGGGTAAGAAACTTTGTCTCAGTTCTTCCCCGAGTGATCAGCCCAGGGGTAAGGAAGGAGAAGCCAGAAAGCAGGACCCATGAGAAGGGCCCCCTCCTGGAGTTTGAGGCCCACTCCCTCCTGCCCCTGCCTGTCCTCTGTCCAGGACTCCTCCCTGCTCTGCCCCACTCCTGGGGCCATAACCATGGGGAGCTGTGGTTTTCTACAGGCCCCTGGGCACAAAGTGGGCAGGCTCACCTGGAGGCGATCAGAGTAACATGGCAGGAAGTGAGGGGGAAAACCGCCCTGGAACTGCACCTCTCTGCCCCCTGACGTCACTGGCGTGCACTCCTCCCTCCCCTCACTCAGGCAGTGGCATGAGTTCCATGTGAGCGCTGTCCTGCTCCCTCTGCTGCCTCTTTTTTTTCTTGGGGCTGCCATAACACTTTCCCTTCCCCAGCCCTGCCAACCTGGTGGGACATTGGGCTTCCCTCTCACAGGGTCCTGGGGACAGGCCCATCCTTTATCATACCCACAGAGAGACCCTTTTTTTCTTCAGGACCTGGGGAGCAGCCAGGTTCCATGAGTTAAATGCAGATCTGAACCAAGCTGGGATTGGGATACACACTCTCCTCTACTGAAAAGTAGCTAGGGATTCCAACTAGGTGAGAAGGAGAGTGGGGCAGAGCCAGACCAGACAAGGACTGATCACCTGGAAAAAGCCTGCCATCAAAGGTCTTGGCAAATGCTGGGTGCAGTGGCTCACTCCTGTAATCCCAGCACTTTGCGGGGCTGAGACAGGTGGACTACTTGAGGCAAGGAGTTCGAGTCCAGCCTGGGCAACATGGCAAAACCCCATCTCTACTAGAAATACAAAAATTAGCTAGGCATGCTACACTCCTGTAATCCCAGCTACTCAGGAGACTGAGGCAGGAGAATCACTTGAACTGGGGAGGCAGAGGTCGAAGTGAGCCGAGATTGTGCCCCTGCACTCCAGTCTGGGAGACAGAGTGAAACTGGCCTCAAAAAAAAAAAAAAGAATATGGCCTTGGCAGAGAGGGGCCAGCCCAGCAGTGCCTTCCCTTGGGTTTCTCCTGGGTAGGCCTCTGCCATGAGGAGGTGCTTCCTTCTGCCTGTCCATGGCCCACAGCAATGGAATGTCTGCTTCTGGGGGTTGGGTGGGAGACTGCTGGCAGAACTGGAAACCTTCAGGTGGGGTTTTTTTGTTTTGTTTTGTTTTCGAGATGGAGCGTCACTCTGTCACCCAGGCTGGAGTGCAGTGGTGGAATCTCAGTTCACTGCAACCTCTGCCCCACTGGGTTCAAACAATTCTCCTGTCTCAGCTTCCTGAGTAGCTGAGATTACAGGCATGTGCCACCATGCCCGGCTAGTTTTTGTACTTTTTGTATAGATGGCATTTCACCATTTTGGCTGGGCTGGTCTCGAACTCCTGACCTCAAGTGATCCACCCACCTCGGCCTCCCAAAGTGCTGGGATTACAGGCATGAGCCACTGAGCCCAGCCCCTTCAGGGGGGGTTTTGAGGCTTCACTACAATACTAGTTTCCTGTGGCTGCTGCAACAAATTACCACACACTTAGTGACTTAAAACAACCAAAATGTATTCCCTTACAGGTCTGAAGGCCAGAATTCTACAGTAAGTCCTACTGAGTCAAGGTGGGAGCAGGGTCGGTGGCTTCCGAGGCTCTGCGGGAGAATCCGTTTCCTGGCCGTAGAGGTGGCCTGCACTCCTCAGCTTGTGCTGCCCGTCTCGAATGACTGGAGTTTCCTGCTTCTGTCACTACACCTCCCACCCTCTCCATCACCTGCTCTGCTCTTTTAAGGATCCGAGTGAGTACATCAACCCCAAAAGCCAAAGACCCTTAACTTCATTATATCTGTAAAGCCCCTTTTGCCATATAAGGTCATGTTCACCAGTTCCCGGGATTAGGATATGGGCATCTTGGGGGCATCAGCCTGCTACAGCTAGGCTGCAAAACTGTTACACCCTCCTGGTGTTTCAATGATTGGGAGAAAAAGGGTTGGCATTTTTTGCTTAGGGGTCCCTCTTAAACTTGTATCTGTAAGGTCGGGGGTCCCTCTTAACCTTGTGTTTTTGTTTTTGTTTTTTTGAGGTGGAGTCTTGCTCTGTCATCCAGGCTGGCAGTGGCGTGATCTTGGCTCACTGCAATGTGTGCCTCCTGGGTTCAGGTGATTCTCCTGCCTCAGCCTCCTGAGTAGCTGGGACTACAGGCGCCCGCCACCATGCCCTGCTGTTTTGTATTTTTGGTAGGGACGGGGTGGGGGTGGGGCTAGGGAGGGGGGTTTTGGCTATGTTGCCCTGAGCTCAAAGCGATCCGCCTGCCTCTGCTGCCAAAGTGCTGGGATTACAGGCCTGCACCACTGCACCCGGCTGCTGTAAAGTCTTATTTCACACAGCTGAGACATGTTTTAGGAAGTTTGCTAAAAGACCCCTGGAGACCGCCTCATTGTGACCTCCCTGTTATTGTGTTTAATTTGATTGAACTTTTCTGCCCTCCTGCTTTTCAGCTTCTCTAATAGTCTCCCATTAAACCAATTCTAAGAACCACCAAAAAGGGGAAATTTTTTCTTGAAAGCAGTAAAATGATGTGGACTGTTAGAATGTAAAATATATGAAATAAGTCATTATACGTTAGTGCTGCTCTGACATAGGGACGTATTATTGAGAAGCAACTTTTGCTTGATTTTCAGAGAAATGGAATCATCGTATCGCTGATCTACGTAAACAAATTGAAGAATTGTCTGAAAGAAAATATGGTATGTCTAAACTGGAAAAGTCCTGTAATCTTATGTTCATGGGTGTTTACACAATGGAGTTACTGTTCATCATGGGGGTACCGTGGACAAGCCCAGGGCTGCCGGCGAGTCATGCCATCCTTACACGTTTCTCCCTGTAAGGTGCTTTGTAGTGTCTACACACTTTGTTTCTAGATTGCTGCAAAGCTGAGGAAAGTTGTATTTCTTTAGTTATTAGTTAGCATTTCTTTTAAACTTTCAGTATGGAGATTGGAAATTTATTTACATATTTTTTGCAAAGCCCTGGATCTTAGGGATTTCATTGAATTATTTATTTATTTTTTTTGAGACGGAGCCTCACTCTGTCGCCCAGGCTGGAGTGCAGTGGCACGATCTCGGCTCACTGCAACCTCTGCCTCCCGGGTTCAAGCAGTTCTCTGCCTCAGCCTCCCGAGCAGCTAGGATTACAGGCACCAGCCACCACGCCTGGCTGATTTTTGTATTTTTAGTAGAGACAGGGTTTCATGATCTTGGCTAGGCTGGTCTTGAACTGCTGACCTCCTGATCCACTCACCTCAGCCTCCCAAAGTGCTGGGATTACAGGTGTGAGCCGCCACGCCTGGCCAAATATTATTTTTTTAAATGAGTTGTTTCTCTCAGTCTGCTTTGTTAAATTTGGAATTTATCTGGGCGCGGTGGCTCACACCTGTAATCCCAGCACTTTGGGAGGCCAAGGCAGGCAGATATCTAGGTCGGGAGTTCGAGACCAGCCTGACCAACATGGAGAAACCCCGTCTCTACTAAAAATACAAAATTAGACGGGTGTGGTGGCGCATGTCTGTAATCCCAGCTATTCGGGAGGCCAAGGCAGGAGAATCGCGTGAACCAGGAGGCAGAGGTTGCGGTGAGCCGAGGTTGCACCATTGCACTCTAGCCTGGGCAAAAAGAGCAAAACTCCATCTCAAAATAAATAAATAAATAAAATGTTCAGTACTCACCAAGGTGCCCCTATTGTCTCTACTTTTATCTTGATGCATCACTGAATTGATGTTAGATTTCAAATTCATCATTTCCCTTATACTATTCTATCCTGAAGCCACCTTTATATAGTGATGAAAGAAATTAGCGATTTGTTATTATCCTCTCTCTGTTGGTACACATCAAATGCTCACCTAAAAAGAGCAACAACCAGTGGAAAACACATGATGTTTTTATTTGGGTGACTATTTACTTGTAACCTACTAGCAAACTATAAAATTGTATGATATGCAGAATTTTAACTGAATTGCTTTAAGTGAACATTTAAACATGATAAACAATATTGATGGTATTTATGTTAATATACTTAAAATGAACATTTTTCTTCATCATGAGTAATATAACCTACTCCTCAATGAAAATCTAGCATTAAATTTGCTAATGAATTCAATAACATTTCCATAATATTTTTAGTTACATGCTTAAGGTTCTCTTAGTGTTTCTCCCACTTTTTAATAGCTTATGCCTTTTTCGCCTTTGGTTTTTTTTGGTTCATTTTAAAGCAAAAATCTCACAACATGTGATATCTGGAAACACTGTAACCTAGTGGTAAGACCATAGGCCCTGGGGACACAGGCTGGCCACATCTCTTCTCCTGTCTGAGCTTTAGTATCCTCTTTTGTGGTCATGAGAACTGAAGATCTGTCCTGAAGATTTGATAAGATAGTAAAGTGCTTCACATAATACCAGACATATAAATACACAGTAAATGCTTCCTCCTTATATTTTTATTGATTGATTGATTGAGACAGAATCTTGCTCTCTTGCCCAGGCTGGAATGCAGTGGCGTGATCATGGTTTCTGCAACCTCCACCTCCTGGGTTCAGGCGATTCTCCTGCCTCAGCCTCCCGAGTAGCTGGGATTACAGGTGCCTGCCACCATGCCCAGCTAATTATTGTACTTTTAGTACAGACGGGGTTTTACCATGTTGGCCAGGCTGGTCTCGAACTCCTGACCTCATGATCTGCCTGCCTCGGCCTCCCAAACTGCTGGGATTACAGGTGTGAGCCACTGTGCCCAGCCTGTCTTTTCTCTTCACACTCGCAGTTCATGATGAAATATTAAATATGTACTAGTGGATATTACTTTGCTGAATATTGCCTAGTGAATATTAAGTATTTATTCTCACCTTTCAGACATGAACTTATGAATTCAACAGGTGAAGATTTACAACTTGATAAATCAGCTTTGTGAGGTACGTCTTCAGTCTTAAGTCAGATTAGAAGATTATGTGAGGTAATTAACACTTAACATTGATTTAACGGTAGCTTCCACATGAAATAGTATGCCTCTAAGTATTAATTATGTCCTAGGACAGGAGAATTCATGTTGTCAAAATTCTCATACTCTCTAGAACAATAAACTCATTTTCTTTTTATTAGTAAATATTGCATTTATGGGTAGACAAAACTGAAAGAACAATATTTGTTCCACTTTTGAGATGCAAGATTCATCTGGCATAATGCATTGAACAGGTTATTATTGAAGTCTACACCAGTCAACTGAATAAGCATTCATCAAATGTCCATGATATGCAGGACATAAGTTTTCTTTTAGAGTATGGAACCATGCATATTATCTTTTAATTAGATGATTTAGTTAGATATGTTTTTAAAGAACTAGAAATATAATTGATTTTCTTGTTTTGGCTCTGGAGTGGAGTGGGGATGAAACAGAATGGATTCACACTGTTTAGATTTACTAAAATGGAAGGATTGCAGCAAGATCATATCCCTAGTCTCCCCATAGCAAATGTCACCTGCTAGCTGTTTTTTTTTTTTTTTTTTTTTGGAGGTTGAAGTTTTGTTCTGTCGCCCACGCTGGAATGCAGTGGTATGATCTCAGCTCATGGCAAGCTCACCTCCTGGGTTCAAGCAATTCTCCCTGCCTCAGCCTCCTAAGTAGCTGGGATTACAGGCCTCTGCCACCACGCCTGCCTAATTTTTGTATTTGTAGTAGAGTTGGGGTTTCACCATGTTGGCCAGGCTGGCCTTGAACTCCTGACTTCAGGAGATTCACCCGCCTCAGCCTCCCAAAGTGCTGGGATTATGGGTGTGTAGCACTGCACTTGGATTTAATGGGATATTTCACTACAGACTTTGGTAAACAGAATATTAGCATTTTTGGTGTTCTTTTTATTTTACTCATACTATTTTTCTTTGGACTCAATCACAATAACAGAATTAAAGATCAAAGTGTAAAAGTTAAAGACCAGTACAGATTCAATAATTATTCTTTTCTACATACTGTGTTTAAATGATATCCCTTTTTCTTTTTGTTCTTATAGCTCGAGCTGTAAAAGCCGAAGGTCTGGTGATGATCCCATACCCTTTTTTCCAGTCTCATGTTGAAGATTTTTATGTAGAAGGCCTTCCCAAAGGAATTTTTTTTTTTTTTGAGATAGAGTTTTCACTCTTATTGCCCAGGCTGGGGTGCAATGGCGCAACCTTGCTGGTCACTGCAACCTCTGCCTCCTGGGTTCAAGAAATTCTCCTGCCTTAGCCTCCCAAGTCGCTGGGATTACAGGTGCCCACCACCACACCAGGCTAATTTTTGTATTTTTAGTGGAGATGGGGTTTCACCATGTTGGCCGGGCCAGTCTCGAACTCCTGACGTCAAGTGATCTTCTCGCCTCGGCCTCCCAAAGTGCTGAGATTACAGACGTGAACCCATGCCTGGCCAGGAATTTTGTTTTTTAGGAAGGCTTTCTACTAATGGAATTCCTGGCCTTGAGAGGATGTTACTTTCGAAGGAAAGGATTTTTTTGCTATTAAAAGGTAAGATTCCTGGATTCTTATTGGACTGTTATCTCTGTTATGAGTAATCCATCTTTAGTCATTCACCACTAGGGTTGTATTTAATTAAGTCTGAGTTATTTTATGGTGGTTTTGTTTTGTTTTTACCGAATTTTGTTCTCATTGCCGTGGCTTGAGGGCAATGGCGTGATCTCGGGTCACCACATTCTCTGCCTTCCAGGTTCAAGCAATTCTCCTGTCTCAGCCTCCTGAGTAGCTGGATTTACAGGCATGCGCCACCATGCCTGGCTAATTTTTTGTATTTTTAGTAGAGATGGTGTTTCACCATGTTGACCAGGCTGGTCTAGAACTCCTGACCTTGGGTGATCCACCCGCCTCGGCCTCCCAAAGTGCTGGGATTACAGGCATGAGCCACTGCGCCCAGCCTGGGCCTGCTTCTTTCTCTTTTTCTTTTTTTTTCATTAGCAGCTTAAAATTGGTGCCTTATTCAGACACAAGCAAAAGGACATTAGCCCAGCTTTGGAAATAGGTGAGAGCCCATATATGATTTTCCTAGTTTCTCCTCCCCCTTTGCTTTTTGCTCTCTTGTTAGTATATTAATTGTTTTCACTCTCTGAATCTTTTTTCCCCATTTCTTTGGCAGACATTTTTACTTGTCTTGGAAGAGTAGGTGAAGAGCTGTTTTTAGGACTCTTTGAAAGGGTACAGTATGGGTGACAGTCTTGGCTAATGGTAACATCCAGGGAGCTGGGGTCAGCGTGAGCTGGAATCAGTTCAAATTAGCAAAGCACTGGCACTCAGTGGCAGGAATACAAGTGACTGCAAAGTGTTGAACACATCTGGAAAGGGATACTGACATCATCCTCAGAATCTGTGGGGAGTTCACATAGCCAGTTAAGACCCATTCCTCTTTGACCCTATAAAGATTCTTTAAAGAATAATACCCTTAGTGGTTTTCTAGCCAGCTTGCCTGCTCATTTATCTTTGAGGATGACATGCCTTGTGGAGCTCCACAGGCCCCAGAGGGGTACGGATTCTGCATTTGAAAGTGCTGAAGCTGAGAGACTGGGTCTTGGTGGACCCCAAGAGGTCTGTTTCTCCTCTACTTATTGTTTCTTTTTTTCCCAGCAGCTGGCATTGCTGTTTAAATGGGTTGTTCTTTGCTGTTTTAAGTTGTTTCATAGTGGTGTGTCAGGATTTGGGTTTTCTTAATACTTTCCAAGCTGGTGACTTGAGTGGTGGTTAGGGAGGAACTGTTTTAGGGCTGTTCTGGAGCTATTGAGGTCAGGTGTCTAGATACTCCCAGCTTGTCTGTTGAGGAGAATGCTGTTCTCATTGTGCTGCCTTTGGTGGTGCTGTGTGTGGCTCTTTAGATGTGAGTGGAGGTGAGCTGGGGGAGTTAATGAGATCTTTTTAAGGTGCTTTTGATAAAGTAGCCTGCACTACAGGATTCACTGTGACTTTTTTCCTTAACCTATGCATTTCTCTCTGCTAGCTTTTGCTGTCTTTCTCATGCCTTTGATTTTCCCAGCTCCTCTTAGTTGAATTAACCTAAGTGCTCTGCTATGGTTTAAATGTGTCCCCCAAAGTTTATGTGCTGGAAACTCAATCCTCAATGCAACAGTTGGGATGTGGGGCCTAATAAAATAGCCTTCATGAATGAGTTAATGTTGTTATTGTGGTAATAGATTAGTAATCACAGAGTGGGCTTATTATAAAACAGAGTTCAGCCCTTTTGCCCTCTTGCCTTCTTGCACTCTCTTTTCCTTCTGCCTTCTGTAGTGGGATGATGCGGCAAGAAGACCCTTACCAGATGCAGGCCCCTCAACCTTGGACTTCCTAACATCCAGAACTGTTAAGAAATAAAATTTATTCCTTTCCTTTCCTTTTCTTCCTCCTTTCCCTTCTCCTCCCTTTTCTTCCCTTCCCCTCCCTCCCTCTCTCTCTCCCTCCCTCCCTCCCTCCTTCCCTCCCTTCCTCCTTCCCTCTTTCTCTTTCCCTTCCTTCCTTTCCTTCTTTTCCTTCCTTCCTTTCCTTCCCTCCTTCCCTCCTTCCTTCCTTTTTTCTTTCCTTCCTTTTTTCCTTTTTATAAATTATGCAGTCTGTGGTATTCTTGTATAGAAGCATGAAATGGACAAAGACTCCATTTTCAAGAGCAAGCACTTTTGTAGTTTCTGAGCGAATTATGACTGCAAAGGAAGTTCTATAGGTAGCCTCAGATCCACTACCTAGGAAGCATGCTACCAAGCAGACCTAGGATCTAGGATTTGATCAAGTGCTGGGCAACATGATACCTCTGCAATTTAGCACCTCCCTATATACCTCCAGTTGGCTCAGCCCATCAGGGCTAAAACTACCCCTCATATCCTGGTGTCTCTTGTAGGCAGAAGCCTTGCCTAAACCCTAAGCTGCTTGGCTCACATTCTGTCTTGTGCTTTTTTTGTAGGGGGTTCAAATATACACAAAAGAAATATGTTGAACCTCCATGCACCCAACCCGCAGATTAAGCAGTTACCTCCATTTTTCCAGATTTGTTTCGTCTGCTTCAATCTCCCTAAAAATTTATGTTTGTACAGGAAAGACTGAATAAATAGCTAATTCTCCACCCTACCTCTCATCTTAAGTCACTTTTCAGAGTAGTAAGTTAGTGACCTAGTAACCTTCCCTCTAATGACCAGTAGTTTTTTTTCTGAATACCATTATGAACTCATAGATTATTGTTTGCATTTGATGTATTTCAGGCCATTGCAGTCTTTATTGTTTTGGATGCTTACATTGTCTCATCTAGGTTAATAATTATCTCTTCAAGTTGACTTTCATGTCTTTTTGACGTGATCCTGTTGGACTTTGATGGCTTCCTTGCTTTCTGGCAAAAAAGATGTTCCAGGATCAATATACTGCACCATACATGGAGTCAGCCATTTCTCTAGGGAACCTTGATTCCTTTTAGTAGAGAACACAGTTTGAGGTCTTGGACTGAATGACTTTTGTGAACCTCCTCTCCTGAGACTACAGCCTGCATCCCTGCATATAGCCCATTTGGAGCTCTTGCTGGGCACCAACAGATCTCCTAAAACTGCTATATAGTTCTGCCTCACTCTTACAAAGATTCATCTCTTGAGAGTTTTGTGCTCTACCCCCAGATGTGGTCTTTCTGGTTCTGAAGCTTTTGCTCCAGTCACCCTGAATTTTGCCAGCCCTATGCATGCTATACCTTGGATTGCCAACTTGCCCTCACTGAAGCCAGTTTCTCTGGTTAGAATAGTTGCCCAAACCCATGCCTAATACTCTAGTAAACAAGGTTCTACCTGGGCTTAGGTTAACTTTTGCTCCTTTGGGCCCTGTGTTCTACCAGCATTCCATTTATCTGAAACTCTCCCTCACCTTAAGAACTTATCTGTTCTTTAATGATTTACTGCTGCTTCCTGGGTTTGAAAGAACCCAGTTCAGGAGTTTCTGTTTTAGTTTGAGATCTTATAGGCCTGTCTCATCAGGTTGGTGTCAGCCCAGCTAGGATTAGGCAGAATTGGGTGGGGGCTGTAGTGCATTTTTGGCACAGCATGTACCTGTCTGACTAATTCCCTGTCTTTTCTTTCCTGTTGCAATTCATGGGTCTTAGCATCTTCTGAATGGTGTTTAGTGGGTCATCCTGTTGATTTCCTGCTAGGGATTAGCATACTCTGGCTCTGTATAATTGGCCAAGGGACTTAAGGATAGATGAAGGGCTGCAGTTTTGTTAAATGGAACAATATGAAGAGATGGCATTGTAAAAAAAAAAAAAGCTTGGCAGCAGGGCCCATTTGAATGGTTGGTCCTTGGCTCCTTTGTTGATATAGGCAGATCCTTGATGGGAATTTGGAATGATCCCAAATATTGTAGATCACTGGTACATCAAGTCATCCTCAAGGTTGTCTGTGTAACAGTCTTGAATGATATTTTGTCAGTCTTTGGAGATTCTCTGTATAGGGTTTAATCATTTAGTTATTTCAGTTGAGCCTGTTTAGTTTCTTTGCAAGGAGATAAGAAATGTGAAAGAGATGCAGACATTAGGGAAAAAAAGTCAGGAGCCTTGTTTCCCCACCCTCTACTTGGGTTCTGGAACTAGACTCATAGGTGAGTAGTGAGGAGCTGGGCCCAAGCACATTAATCCTAGATCTAGCTCTGCTTTGTGCTCGCTCCAGTTCTTGTATCAAATTCACTTCAAGCCACCCAGAGTAGTATGTAGAGGAGTCATTCAGGACCATGCATATACTTCATTGTATCAAATGGGAAATCCAGTAATTTATAGCCTATTGTTTCTGGAGCCTGGAGATGGCTCTGCATAAGATTTGCTGAAGCAAATTTTATTACATTAGAAGAGAACCTAGCTGGCTGCATCCTACACTGGAAGCTTTTAGATGCTAATAAGGAGGTCATGTAAAGGTCACAGAATGACTCTGGAATCCATTCCCCACCAAGAAAGAATAATGACATTCTATGTTGGCCTCTTTTCATTTCCCTTTGATTTTGAGTAATAAATTCTCTCCTCACTTCCCAGCTGAACTGTTTGGGAGTCTCTATTCCCTAGAAAGACTCTGGTCACATACCCATCAGATTAAATTAGGTGAAAACTCTTTGGCCTTCATGAATGTTGAAGGATTTCAAAGGGCTAATGGAAATTCCCTCTAGAAGTAACTGCAACCTCCGCCTTCCGGGTTCAAGCGATTTTCCTGCCTCAGCCTCCCGAGTAGCTGGGATTACAGTTGTCCACCACCATGCCCAACTAATTTTTGTATTTTTAGTAGAGACGGGGTTTCACCATGTTGGCCAGGCTGATCTAGAACTTTTGACCTCAGGTGATCCGCCCGCCTCAGCCTCCCAAAGTGCTGGGATTACAGGCGTGATCCACCGCGCCCAGTTAAACTTCAGTTTTTCATGTTCCATGCATAGGTCAGGGTCTTAGGGAGTGATTCATTCTAGCAGAACTCCCTGGATTTTAAGGCAGATGTTCCATTTATTAATTGACAAAGGAGGCATATTTCTCCCCTGGTAACCCAAAGATTTAGGTCATTTTCCCAGAGACTCCATTTCCACTGTGAGGGTTCTTGGAAAACTAAGCAGAGGATGAGGAAAAGTCTGTGAACAAGCTTGCTGGTCTCTCCCTGTCCTACAAAAGAGCATACCTCTTCTGTAACCAGAAGGCCCTTTTGATTAGTCAAGGCTGGACAGACTGAGATTGTGTGTGTGTGTGTGTGTGTGTGTGTGTGTGTGTGTGTGTGTGTGTGTCTTGAGACAGGGTCTCACTCTGTCACCCAGGCTGGAGTGCAGTGGTGAGATCAGAGCTCACTGCAGCTTCCACTTCCTGGGCTCAAGCGATCCTCCTATTTCAGCCTCCAGAGTAGCTGGGACTATACGAATGTTTTACCGCACCCAGTTCATTTTCTAATTTTTTGTAGAGATGAGGTTTCACTGTGTTGCTCAGGCTGGTCTTGAACTCCTGGCCTCACGGAATCCTCCTGCCTTAGTCTCCCAGTGGGCTGGGATTATAGGTATGAGCCACCTCACCTGACCTGCGACAATTTTTCAACAATGTAACTTCTCTTTTACAGAGCCACCTAAGCTGAAGATTCCCTTGAGAACAAGTACTGTCCTGCGGTTTCATGGCCTTTCTTCCATTTGTGGTTCTTGCGAAGTGGAATTTAAATGACATCTTATCAAGATGGATAAACCCTAGTTTCCCAGTGCTGGAATATAGAAAATGGATGGACAAGTAAATCCCACTCAGCACCCATAGTCCAGGCATGGGGACCTCAACACACCTGAGCCCCAGACATCACCTTTCATTGTGAGTAGCTCTGAGATGACACTTCTGCTGTTCCCAATTCCAGCATTAATTGGATTAGATAGTTATTTTATGAAGAATTTTCATATGCCACAATCCTGACCATATCTTCAAGTGAACAGAAAAATTCTATTAAAAAGTCAACCTTCTGTCTCACTCTGTTGCCCAGACTGGAGTGCAGTGGTGCAATTATGGCTCACAGCAGCCTCAACCTCCTGGGCTCAAGCAATCCTCCTGCCTCAGCCTCACAAGTAGCTGGGACTACAGGTGCTTGTCACCACACCTCACTAATTTTCCCATTTGTGTTATATGTGGATTCCACAGGACTGACTTCGAAAACTTGAGTATGCGTGGATTTTGGTATACACAGAAATGGGAGAGCTGGAACTAATCCCCCCATATACCAAGGGACAAATTGTATCTGTTTTTACAATTATACAGTAGGAGACATTATGTTCCATGACAATGGTAATTTTTAATGACAGTTTTTAATTGAGTGAAATTACCATAAAAATAATAATAGTAGCAGCTAATATTTACTGAGCTGTTACTAGGTGCATATAAATAGCATAGATTTTTAAATTCTCCATAATTCTTCATTATTTCACTTAACCACTCTATCTTACATTACTCATGCTTGCCTCAGTAGCACACATACTTAAGTTGGAACAATAGAGAGATTGGCACGGCCTCTGTGAAAGAATGACATGCAAATTTGTGAAGCATTCCATATTTTTTTTAAAAAAGAGAAAAAAATTACTCCCAGATTTTCACTGTGTTTGTGCATATGACCTTTTGTTTAGGTTGAATTATATCCAAAGATGAAATTTCCAGAAGTGAGATTACTGTGAGTCACAGGGCATGAGCATTCTTATTACCCTTGATGTGAATTGCAAAGCTTTCAGGCATGGTGGCTGTCAGCCTGTAATTCCAGCACTTTGGGAGGCTGAGGTGGGAGGATTGCTTGAGGCCAGGAGTTGGAGGAGGCAGTATAATGAGGCACTGTCTGTATGATTTAAAAAAAATTTCCAAGCTTTATGCTGGAAGGCTTATATACATTTTAAACACCACTAATACTACAAGAAAATGGCCATTTCACTGCACCTTCGCCCACACAGGTATTATAATTTAACAAGTTATTTTCTGTGTGATAAATGAAAGACCTGATATTATTACTTTGTCACCCATTCTTTTTTCTTTTTTTGTGATGCAGTCTCGCTCTGTCGACCAGGCTGGAGTGCAGTGGTGTGATCTCGGCTCACTGCAACCTGTGCCTCCCAGGTTCAAGTGATTCTCCTGCCTCAGCCTTCTGAGTAGCTGGGATTACAGGCACATGCCACCATGCCCCGCTAATTTTTGTATTTTTAGTAGAAACGTGGTTTCACCATGTTGATCAGGCTGGTCTCGAACTCCTGACCTCGTGATCTACCCGCCTCGGCCTCCCAAAGTGCTTGATTACAGCTGTGAGCCATGCGCCCAGCCTATTTGTCACATATTTTATCTTTCCTTATGTTAGCTTATTAGCTTTATTTCTTTATTGTCCTTTTTTTTTTTTTTTTGAGATGAAGTCTCGCTCTGTCTCCTAGGCTTCAGTGTAGTGGCACAGTCTCAACTCACTGCAGCCTTGACCTCCTAGGCTCAGGTGATCCTTCCGCCTCAGTAGTTGGGACTATAGGCACATGCCACTATGCCTGGCCAATTATTTTTATTTTTTTATTTTTACTAGAGACGAGGTCTTGCTTTGTTTCTTAGGCTGGTCTGGAACTCCTGGCCTCAAGCAATCCCCCCACCACCCCCTCCCAAAATACTGGTATTATAAGCATGAGCCACCATGCCTGGGGTATCTGTGTCTTTTCCATTTATTTATAGAGTTACTTTGTCTTTTACTAATTCAATGATCTGTTTAATCTTTTATTAAATTATAAAAATAATAAATACTTTTAAATAAGTGAAAAATGTCCTTCACTCTTTAGACCCATAATCTTATCTCAGGAAATAATTGCAATTGAGAAAATGGGCCATATCCTTCAAGATACATACATGGTGATTGAACATCACTTCATATTTTCATATTTCATGGACATTTGTGCCAATACCTATTGATCTATCTTAATCCTTTTCATGGTTGCATAATATTTTATTATATGGATGTATCACAATTTACCAGTACCAGTCAACTGCTGGAGGCATTTAGGCTCCTTCTAATATTTGCTTTGAGCTCTTTATATAATTAAAAATTAACCCCCTCAGCCAGGTGTGGCAGCTCACACCTGTAATCCCAGCATTTTGGAAGGCTGAGGTGAGAGAACTGCCTGAGTGTAGGAGATCACCACCAACCTGGTCAACATAGTGACACTTTGTCTCTACTAAAAATTAAAAAAAAAAAATGAGCTACATGTTGCAGTGCACACCTGTAGTCCCAGCTACTGGGGAGGCTAAGACTGGAGGATCACTTGAGTCTAGAAGGTTGAGGCTGCAGTAAGCTATGATCACACCATTGCACTTTAGCTTTGCTAAGAGCAAGACTGCATTTCTTAAACAAAATAAAAATTAGATGGGAATATTGCTCAAGCCCTGGAGGTTGAGGCTGCAGTTAACTGTGATTGCACCACTGCAGTCCAGCCTAGGCGATAGAGCAAGACCCTTTCTCTAAAAATAAAATAAAATAAAAATTAACCTTCTATCATATTTCCCAGTAGCACCTTCCCTCCTACATTTCTCCTAGAAGCCCTTAAATTTTGTTTTTCACATATCGTTTAAAACTTTTAAGTGCTGATGTCTGTCTGTGTCATCCCTCTTTTTTTTTTTTTTAAAATGTCTTTTTGTCACTTCTAGCTGGACCTACCATGAAAGACTTCTGAATCCAGGAAGAGAAACTGGCTGGGCAACATGTTATTCAGGTACAAAAAGACTTGGACTGTAACTCAAAAATGATCAAATAATAGTGCATGCATCAAGTGCAATGGGAAGCTCTTCTGGAGAGGGAGAGAAGCTTCCAGTTAAGGTGACATTGAAGCCAAGTCCTGTAAGATAAGGAAGAGTTGTATGAGAGTGGGGAGGGAAGGGGGAGGTGGAGGGATGGGGATTGGGCTGGGATGGGATGGAGTGAGCTGCCCAGGCAGGGAAACCAGCACTATACAGACCTGAACAATGAAGATGGCACATTTTGTTCAGGGAATGGTGAATTAAGTGTGGCAGAAATGCTTTGTAGAGACAATAATTTGCTTGTATGGAATTTTGCCCAAGAGACCTCATTACAGTTTCTAATTTTTTGATGTTATCATGCATCACTGCCCTTGTCAGATAGTATCATGATCACAATAACATCAAGCATAATATTTCATTGATTCTCACAAAAACAGTTGGGTGCCACAGTTATCCCCATTATATGCACAAAATGATGAAGACTTGGGGTTAATGAGTGATTTGCCCAAGCTCACCTGAATATTAAGACTGAGTCAAATGTTAGTCTGGTCTGACTTTAATGCTTGCCTTGTTCATGAGCACCATGCATTGCCTCTCCTATGCAGTTAAGCAGGTAGACAGGTGAGAGAAGAGCCCGTGTGATATCGGGGGAAATTCACCCCGATATTTCATGTAGGTTCTTTTCTATTTTCCCTGAGTGTCGGCCGGTCTGAGAAATAAAGGGAAAGAGCACAAAAGAGAGAAATTTTAAAGCTGGGTGTCCAGGGGAGACATCACATGTCAGCAGGTTCCATGATGCCCCGCAAGCCGCAAAACCAACAAGTTTTTATTAGTGATTTTCAAAAGGGGAGGGAGTGTACGAATAGGGTGTGGGTCACAGAGATCACATGCTTCACAAGGTAATAAAATATCACAAGGCAAATGGAGGCAGGGCAAGATCACAGGACCACAGGACCGGGGCGAAATTAAAATTGCTAATGAAGTTTCGGGCACGCATTGTCATTGATAACATCTTATCAGGAGAAAGGGTTTGAGAGCAGACAACCCATCTGACCAAAATTTATTAGGCGGGAATTTCCTTGTCCTGATAAGCCTGGGAGCGCCACGCGAGCCCAGGGCTTATTTCTTCCCTTATCTACGACTGTAAAAGACAGCCGTCCCCAAAGCGGCCATTTCAGAGGCCTCCCCTTAGGGACGCATTCTCTTTCTCAGGGATGTTCTTTGCTGAGAAAAAGAATTCAGCAATATTTCTCCTATTTGCTTTTGAAAGAAGAGAAATATGGCTCTGTTCCACCCGGCCCACAGGCAGCCAGAGTTTAAGGTTATCTCCCTTGTTCCCTGAAATTGCTGTTATCCTGTTCTTTTTTCAAGGTGCCCAGGTTTCATACTGTTTAAACAGCTTGTGCAGTTAACGCAATTATCACAGGGTCCTGCGGGGACATTCATCCTCAGCTTACGAAGATGACTGGATTAAGAGATTAAAGTAAAGACAGGCATAGGAAATCACAAGGGTATTGATTAGGGAAGTGATAAGTGTCCGTGAAATCTTCACAATTTATGTTCAGAGATTGCAGTAAAGACAGGCCCAAGAAATTATAGAAGTATTAATTTGGGGAACTAATAAATGTCCATGAAATCTTCACAATTTATGTTCTTCTGCCGTGGCTTCAGCCGGTCCCTCCGTTTGGG
The DNA here is from genome assembly GCF_000001405.40 of Homo sapiens. NCBI lineage: Eukaryota > Metazoa > Chordata > Mammalia > Primates > Hominidae > Homo > Homo sapiens. The sequence goes on along the minus strand of NC_000001.11, from coordinate 222,499,754 downwards.
GTCTCTGACTTCCCGCAACACGTTTCTCTCTACTCACAGACTTCTGACCAAATGTGTGTGCAGAGTTTCTACACCAGTTCTCCAACTCTCTGGATACCAACCGCGTATCCCACAATTCCATTCTGACACTACCTAGAGTTAGCGCAGAACCCACAGGTTAGGGGCTCAGTCCCACAAGACCACCCTCACTTCAGATGCCAGTTGCAAGTCCTAGGTTGTCACCTGTATTTTGACCAACCAGTTAGAAATCAGGGTTTCCCATGACCCTCTTCTTGAGTTTAATTATTTACTAGAACAACTCACAGAACTTAGAAAAGCAGGTTTTTTTCTTTTCTTTTTAAGAGACAGTGCCTCGCTCTGTTGTCCAGGCTGGTGTGCAGTGGTGCAATCATAGCTCATTGAAGCCTCAACCTCCAGGGCTCAAGTGATTCTCCTGCTGCAGCCTCTCAAGTAGCTGGAATTACAGGGTTCCCACCACCACATTTGGCTAATTTCTTTTATTTTTTGTATAGATGGGGTCTTCTTATGTTGCCCAGACTGGTCTCAAATTCCTAGGCTCAAGTGATTCCGCCCACCTCTGCCTCCCAAAGTGCTGGGATTATGGGCATGAGCCAGCGCATCTGGCCACCTTATTTTCTATTACTGGCTCAATGTAATGGCTGCATCTCAGGAACAGCCAATGAAAGAGATGCACAGGACAAGGTAAGTGGGGAGGGGCACAGAGCTTCCATGCCCTCTGTTGGGCACACTACCCTCCCAGGACCTCCTTGTGTTTAGCAACACAGAAGCTCTCCAAACCCTGCTGTTTGGGTTTTTATGGAGGCATGATTGATAAAATCATTGGCCATTGGTAGTTGAGTCAATCTCCAGTTCCTTTTGCCTCCTGGAGTTCAGCAGGTGAGGCTGAAAGTTCCAAGCCTCAAAAAATGTGGTTGGGGCCAGGTGCAGTGGCTCACTCCTGTAATTCTAGCAGTTTGGAAGGCTGAGGCACATGGACCACTTGAGGTCAGGAGTTTGAGACCAGCCTGACCAACATGGTGAAACCCCGTTTCTACTAAAAATAACAACAATTAGCTAGGCGTTGTGGCACATCCCTATAATTCCAGCTACTCGGGAGGCCGAGGCAGGAGAATTGCTTGAACCCGGGAGGTGGAGGTTGTAGTGAGCTGAGATTGTGCCATTGCACTCCAGCCTGGGCTACAAGAGCCAAACTCCGTTTTAAAAAAAAAATGTGGTTGCTTTCTCTGGCAGCTAGCCCTCCTCCTGAAGCAGTCTAGGAGCTTGCAGCCACCCTGTTAGCTCAACAGCATCCCACATGCATTCTTACCATGCTGCAGATCTGAAAGACCTTAGAGGCCCTTGTGTCAGGAACCTGGGACTAAGACTAAATATCAAAACAGAAAATGCTTCTATTACCTCTGTCACGAAGGGCTTTATAAGAGCTTTGGAAGCTCTATGCCAGGAACCAGGGGCAGAGACCAAATGTATATTTCTTTTCTTATATTGGAGACAGAGTCTCACTCTGCCACTGAGGCTGGAGTGCAGTGATGTGATCATAGCTCACTGCAGCCTTGACCTCCTAGGCTAAAGCAATCCTCCCACCTTAGCCTCTCCAGTAGCTGGAACTACAGGCGTGCATCACCATGTCCAGCTGATTTTAATTTTAATTTTGTAAAGGCAGGGTCTTCCTATTTTCCCCAGGCTGATCTCTAACTCTTGGCCTCAAGCAATCCTTCCTCTTTGGCCTCCCAACATGTTGGGATTACAGATGGGAGCCCCCATACCCACCAATCACAAGGATCTTTATAAGAGAAGGAGGTAGGAGAGTCAGAATTAGAGAAAGTGATGTGGTAATGGAAGAAGAGGTCAGAGAGGGAGATTTGAAGATGCTGCACTTCTGGCCTTGAATATGGAGTCACGAGGTAAGTCAAGGAATGGGGGTGGCTTCTAGAAGCTGGAAAAGGCAAAGGAGCACATTCTGTCTAGAGCCTCCCCCAGAAGGAATGCAGCCCCTCTGACACCTTGACTTTAGCCTTAATAGACCTAGTTGGGCTTCTGGCCCCCAGAACTGTAAGATGGTAGATTTGTGGTGTTTGATGCCACTAAATGTAGGGTACTTTGTTGTAGCAACAACAAAAAATGAACATGAAGCTGGGACCTCATGTTACAGTTGCTCACGCCTGTAATCCCAGAACTTTAGGAGGCTGAGGTGGGAGGATCGCTTAAGCCCAGGAGCTTAAGACCAGCCTGGGCAACATAATGAGACCTCATGTCTAAAAAAATTTTTTTTAAAAGGCCAGGCGCAGTGGCTCATGCCTGTAATCCCAGCACTTTGGGAGGCCGAGGAGGGTGGATCACGAGGTCAGAAGTTCAAGACCAGCCTAGCCAAGATGGTGAAACCCCATCTGTACTAAAAATACAAACATTAGCCAGGTGTGGTGGTGGGTGCCTGTAATCCCAGCTACTCGGGAGGCAGAGAATCACTTGAACCCAAAAGGCAGACATTGCAGTGAGCCAAGATCGCACCCTTACACTTCAGCCTGGGCGACTGAGACTCCGTCTCAAAAAAAAAAAAAAAAAAAAAAAAAAGCCATGTGTTGTGGCATGCAGCTGTAGTCTCAGTTCCTAGGGTGGCTGAGGCGGGAGGATTGTTTAAGCCTGGGAGGTTGAAGTTGCTGTGAGCTGTGATTGCACCAGTGTACTCCAGCCTAGGCAATAAAGCAAGACCTTGTTTCAAAAAGAAAGAAAGAAAGAAATGAGCATGGTGGGAATGGGGACAGATGGCAATGTTAAGTAGAGCGGTCAGGGTTGGCCTCATAAGTGAATATTGAGCAAAAGTTTGAAGCAGGTGATGGAGCTGGCCAAGGTGCTGAGGGAAGAGCATTGTAGGCTGAGTCAACAGGATAAAGGCATTAGGAGGAAACTCTCTGGTGTGTCTGAGGCTCTGGAAGGAGGCCAGTGGAGCAAAGAGATAGAGGGAGCGAAGTCAGCGAGGAGGCCAGGGAGTTGCTGGGCTGGGATCGGTACAGATCGTGTAAGCCCTGGGACGCTATTGCTGGGGCTTTGGCTTTTACTCTGACTAAAATGGGAACCACCGAGGGCTTCTGAGCAGAGAGGCGACGTGATCTGTCTCCTGATTTAAAAGCACGACCTGGCTGCCAAGTTGAGAAAGACTATGGGAAGATTTGGGTAGAAGCATGGGGGCCAAGCTGTGGCAACATCCCGGTGGGAGATGATAGTGATCCTGACCGTGTTCACGGTGGTGGTGAGAGATGGTCAGAGCCTGGATACATGTTGAAGTCAGTAGGATTTCCTGACAGACTGGATGTGAGCTGTGAGAGAAGGCAGTGGTCAACGTTGAGTTTGATTCTGATGGAATTATTAAGTAATTTTAAAAAACACTACTGCCTTTCCCAATCCTACCAAGTAAAGGATGCTAGATAAAAGAAATCTCAAGTTAGGCCAGGTGCAGTGGCTCACACCTATAGTTCCAACAGTTTGAGAGGCAGAGATGGGAGTATGTTTTAAGGCCATGAGTTTGAGAGCAGCCTGGGCAACACAGCAAGATCTCCTCTCTACAAAAATAAAAAAAATAAATTTAATAAAATAAATATAGCCAGGCATGATGTACCTATGGCCCCAGTTACTCATGTGGCTGAGATGGGCAGATCTCTTGATTCTAGGAGTTTGAGGCCAGCTTGGGCAACATAGCAAGACTTCTCTCTCTACAAAAATGAAAAAAATGCCTGACATGGTGGTACTTGCCTGTATTCCCAGGTATGGGGGCAGCTGAGGCAGGAGCATCTCTTGAGCCCAGTTGGTCAAGGTTGCAGTGAGCTATGATTATACCACTGCACTCCATCCTGGGTGACAGAGTGGGACCCTGCCTCAAAATACAAATACAAATGAAATCTCAAGTCAGACCAGTCCCTTCTAGGCTATGTAGGCCTTGTAACCACATAGCTGCATGATCGGGTTTGTGTGGCTGTGGATGAGGAGACCCCTGTCCAATTGTTGGCTATGTAATCAGTTTATTTTTCAATATAGTAATCAAATATATTTCATCATACTTGATGGTCTCAGATATGTGTGGATTTTGGAATTCCCCTTGGAACAGGTTGTAACATCTTATTGGCTCCATAATTCCATAATTTTTTAAATCTGATCAGTTTTTAATAAGATCAGAATTGATATTAGACTACTTAATCAGTTTTGTTAATGAGAAAATGAAATTGTGTTGTTTGCATTTTATCCAAGATGGGTGTCATATTGGCTAAATCTCATCAATACTTGAACAAATGCAAAATTAGAGCTTCTTTATCATGAAACACGATGTAATTCTTGAAGAAGATGCCATTTCTTTTTTTTCTTTTTTTTTTTTAAGATAAGAGTCTTTCTCTTGTCACCCAGGCTGGAGTGCAATGGTGCGATTTTGGCTCACTGCAACCTTCACCTTCTGGGTTCAAGCAATTCTCCTGCCTCAGCCTCCCGAGTAGCTGAGATTACAGGCGCCCGCCACCATACCCAGCTAATTTTTGTATTTTTAGTAGAGATGGGGTTTCACCATGTTGGCCAGGCTCCTCTGGAGCTCCTGACCTCAGGCAATCTGCCTGCCTCAGCCTCCCAAAATTCAAGGAGTACAGATGTGAGCAACCACGCCCGGCCTCCATTTCTTTTTTGTAGTCTTTAATAAACAGCTGCTATCATTGCAGACTTGCTATTTAGGCACTTAGGAATTTTTCACTAGAAGGCATGCAAATAAAGACCATGGGCATTTGTAATGAATTTAGCATTCATTCTTTGACTACATGACTGTCCCCAGAGCTGTAACTTTATTGAATTTTTTAGAAGCCATTTAGCTAGCAACTGAGCCTAACCAGCCACTCACCGTCATTATTCAGTGCTCCTTTATTATTGTCTATTTCTCCTCCAACTTGGCTACACTCACAAAGTGATAAAAACTTGCATTTGTTTTCTTTCCTTTTCAGAGACAGCGTCTTGCTCTGTTGCTCAGGCTACAGTACAGTGACATGATCATGGTTCACTGTAGCCTCAAACTCCTGGGCTCAAGCGGTTCTCTCACTTCAGTCTCCCAAGTAGCTGGGACTACAGACGTGCCACCATGTCCAGCTAATTTTTTATCATAGAGACGGGATCTTGCCACGTTGTTCCGACTGGGCTCAAAACTCCTGACCTCAAGTGGTCCTCCTGCCTCAGCCTCCCAAAGTGCTGGGATTACAGGCAGGCATGACCACTTGTGCCCAGCCCCCTATTATTATTATTTTAAATAATAGCTTTATTAAAATATTCACATACCATTCACTTTATTTATTGAAATCTGCAATTCAGTAGGTTTTAGAATATTCACAGAGCTGTGCATCGATCACCACAGTCACTTTTAGAACCTTTCATTACCCTATAGAGAAATCCATACCCCTCAGCCACTACCTCCTACTCTCCCCACCTACCTTCACTCCCAGCCTTAGGCAACCATTGATTAATTTTTTTGTCACTATAGATTTGCCTAATCTGGACAAATAGAATTGTACAATATGTGATCTTTTGTGGCTTTTTTTCCCTCTTAGCACAGTGTTTTCAAAGTTCCTTTATGTCATAGTGTGTATCAATATTTCATTCCTTCTATGGCAGTATTCCATGGTAGAGACACACTGCATTTTGTTTATCTGTTCATCAGTTGGTGGATATTTGGGTTGTTTCCGTGTATTCCATGTATTGGTCATTATGAATAATGCTGCTATGAAGATTGTTATACAAGTTTTTGTGTGGACATATATTTTTATTTTTCTGGGATATATGCCTAGGAGTGAAATTGTTGCATTATAGGATGACTGTACATTTAGCCTTTTGAGAAACTGCCAGACTGTTTTCTAACGTGGCTACACCAGTTGGGTGCAATGGCTCACACCTGTAATCCCAGCTACTCAGGAGGCTCAGCTAGGAGGATGGCTTGAGCCCATGAATTCAAGACCAGCCTGGGCAAGATAGTGAAACCCTGTGTTGATTTTTTAAAAATCCAATTAAAATGACAGGAAAAGAAATACCCAAACAAAATGGTTACACGATTTTATGTTCCCACCAGTAATGTATGTGGGTTCCAATTCCTCCACATCTTCACTGACATTTTTTTTTTTCTAGATAGGGGCTTGCTCTGTCTCTCAGGCCGCAGTGCAGTGATGCCATCACAGTTCACTGCAGCCTTGACCTCCCAGGCACAAGTGATTCTCTCATCTCAGCCTCCTGAGTAGCTGAAAATTACAGGTGTACGCCACCATGCCTGGCTAATTTTTATATTTTTTTGTAGTGATGGGATTTTACCATGTTGCCCAGGCTGGTCTCATACTCCTGGCCTCAAGTGATCTGCGCACCTCAGCCTCCATAAATTCTGGAATTACAGGCTGCCACCATGCCCGGCCTTCACCAACATTTGCCATTATCTGTTTTTTTTTCTTCCTTTATACCTTAAAGCAGTATAAGAACAAGTGTCTTCAATTATAGGAAACAGTATAATCCCAGGGCATTGGGAGGCTAAGACAGGAAGATGTCTTGATGCCAGGAGTTTTTTTTGTTGTTGTTGTTTTTGTTTTTGTTATTGTTGTTGTTGTTGTCACCCAGGGTGACTCTGTCACCCAGCGTGGAGTGCAGTGATGGGGTCCACTGCAACCTCCTCCTCCCAGGTTCAGGTGATTCTCCTGCCTCAGCCTCCCGAGTAGGTGAGACTACAGGTACACGCCACTACTGCCCAGCTAATTTTTGTATTTTTGATAGAGTCAGAGTTTCACCATGTTGGCCAGGCTGGTCTCGAACTCCAGACTTTGGGTGATTTGCCTGCCTTAGCTTCCCAAAGTGCTGGGATTACAAGCATGAGCCACCATGCCCAGCCTGATGCCAGGAGTTTTAGACTAGCCTGGGCAACCTAGCAAGACCTTGTCTCTACAGAATATTTAAAAATTAGCCAAATGTGGTGGTGCCTGTGTATAGTCTCTCTCCCTCTCTCTTTTTTTTTTCTTTCTAACTTTTTGTGACATGGTCTGGCTCTGTCACCCAGGCTGAAGTGCAGTGGTGTGATCATGGGTCACTGCAGCCTGAAACTCCTGGGATCAAGTGATCAATCCTCCCACCTCATCCTACCAAGTAGTAGGGACCACAGGTGTATGCCACCCAGGTCTTGCTATGTTGCCCAGGCTGGTCTTGAGCTCCTGGCCTCAAGCAATCCTCTCACCTTGGCCCCCCACAGTGCAAGGATTACAGGTATGAGCCACCATGTCTGGCCCCTGCCCTGCCTATTGAGAACCAAAAGGAGGATCCAAATTCTCCTTAGCTCAACTCGAGCCATTTCCTGATTGCTTCATCAGCAAGGAGCTGGTTATTGGGCTGTCCAGGCCTCCCAAGCAGCACAGAAATGAGGTGAAGGAGTTTTCCTGCTGCTCCACTCTGTAAGGAGTTGGAGGGTGATGTTTACTCGTTTGCAGAGACAGATGCCTTGTAGGCACCTCAGGATGGAGAGGACCCTGATTCCAATGTCCTTTTTTTCTTTAGAAACAGGACCTTGCCCTGTCACTCAGGATGGAGTTCAGTGGTCCTATCATGGCTCATTATAGCCTCAAACTCCCAGGCTCAAGCAATCCTACCATGTCAGCCTTCCCAGTAGCTGGGACTACAGGTAAGCATCGTGACACTCAGTGAATTTTGTTTTTATTTTGTTGTAGAGATGGGACCTCAGTATGTTGCCACGGCTGACCTTGAACTCCTGCACTCAAGGGATTTTCCTGCCCTGGCCTCCCAAAGTATTGGTATTACAGGCATGAGCCATTGTGCCCACCGTCTCTGGTTCTTAACCTTCTGCCTCCCTCTTCCAGTTTTAAAGAATGCTTGTAATTACATGGGATCTCCTAGATACTCCAGGATAATCTTGTTTTAAGGTCAGCTGATGAGCAACATTAATTTTATCTGCACTCTTAATTCCCCCTTCCTATGTAATTGTGCTGTGTAACATAGGACATGAGCAATTGGTGGCGGTGGGGCTTATTACTTTGGCCACCACAGTAACTATTTTATGCCAGGTACTCAGCTAAGCACTGGTGAATTAAGCATGAATAACACACACTCCCTAATCTCCATCCATTCATGGGAGGAGCACTTCACCTGCCATGCTCCTGAGAATCTCGGGAGTCATAGAAGTCTTCTATGAGGAGGTGATGCCAAAGCAGACAAGTGACAGAGGAGTCAAAGCTAGCTAGGAAGGGAGTAGAGGTTTAAGGGGAAGCATATTATAAGCAGAGGATATTACCCACTTCAGAGACTCCCAGAGGAGAAAGAGTGTGCGTTGAAGGGGCAGATGAGGCTCAGTTGGACTCCATAGCAGATGAAATGGAGAGGGGCAAGCAGTGAGGCTGCCTTGCAAGGCAGGGCAGAGCAGGGGCTGTTAAGGAGTTTGGACTTAATCCCTGAGGCAAGGAGAAGTGATGTAAATGGAGGAGTAACATGATGAGATTCATGGATTAGAGACATGGCTCAGGCTGCTGTAGAGAAGGCACCAGGGAGAGCAGATGGCTCAATGGGTGTGCAGGAGACCTCTCACTGAGTTTAGGGAGAGGTTTTTAAAACAGAAGAAGTTTGAGTAATTTAAATGATGATGGGAAGGAGCTAAAAGTGGGGGATAGGTTAAAGATACAGGAAAGTGGGAGGAAGAACTGACAAGTGAGGTTCCAGAGACGGCAGGAGAAGAGGAGATTCCCATAGGGGGATTAACACTTTCTTTTCTTTTTTCTTTCTAAGACAGGGTCTCACTCTGTCGCCCAGGCTGGAGTGCAGTGACACAATCTTGGCTCACTGTAGTGTAGACTTCCCAGGCTCAAGGGATTTCTCCCACCCCAGACTCCCAAGTAGCTGGAACTACGGGTGTGCACCACCACCACACCTGGCTAACGTTTCTTTTTTTGGTAGACACAGAGTCTCACTATTTAGCACTGATTGGTCTCCAACTCCTGGCCTCAAGCGATCCTCCTGCCTAGGCTTCCCAAATTGCTGGGATTACAGGCATGAGCCACAATGACTGGCCTCTGCTAGTTCCGTATTCTCTAGAGTTGTCTTTACTTTGTGCTAGTGTGTCCCTCATTGTGCTGATCCTCTGTAAAAATTAATACCTTTTTTTATTTTTCGAGATGGAGTTTCACTCTTGTTGCCCAGGCTGGAGTGCAATGGCGCTATCTCGGCTCAGCGCAACCTCCACCTGCCGGGTTCAGGCGATTCTCCTGCCTCAGCCTCCCGGGTAGTTGGGATTACAGGCATGTGCCACCATGCCCAGCTAATTTTAGTAGAGATGGGGTTTCTCCATGCTGGTCAGGCTGGTCTCGAACTCCTGACCTCAGGTGATCTGTCTGCCTTGGCCTCCCAATGTGCTGGGATTACAGGCATGAGCCATTGTGCCTGGCCAAAATTAATACTTTTTATATTAAATTTACATATATATATACGTTTTTTCTTTTTGATACTGGGTCTCACACTGTCACCCAGGCTGGAGTACAGTGGCACAACCTCTGCTCACTGCAGCCTCCACCTGCCAGGCTCAAGCAATGCTCCTGCCTCAGCTTCCCGAGTAGCTGGGATTACAGGTAAGTGCCACCACACCCAGCTGATTTTTGTGTTTTTTGTAGAGACGAGGTTTCACCATGTTTCCCAGACTGTTCTGAAACTCCTGAGCTCAAAGCAGTCCACCCACCTTGGCCTCCCAAAGTGCTGGGATTACAGGTGTGAGCCATCTTGCTCATTCTAGTTTAAACTTTTGAGTGGTTTGTGTCTCCTGATTGGACTCCTACAAATACAGAATTGATGCTAGGAAGGGTACCAGGAGATAGACGCACACAGATGGGATTTGGGAATAGGTTTGGTTATCCAAGGAGCAGTGCTGAGCTCCTTGCTAATGGGATATGGGAGGCTGGTGATTTCCAGAAAGTGACCTCACAATGACTCAAGCTACCACATACTGTTGATTGTGAAATGCCAGTTGAAGCATATGTCCTGCGAGCTTAGGGGTGCTACAAGTTGACCACAGCAGCAGTAAAGATGACTCTGAAGAATGGCATGGGATGGATCCTTTCGAATGCATTTGAGCAGCGGTCTCCAACCACAGGGCCACAGAGCTGGAGGTGAGCAGCAGGTGAGTGAAGGGAAACTTCATCTGTATTTCTAGCCCCTCCCATCGCTTGCATGACCACCTGAGCTCCATGTCCTGTCAGATCAGCAGCAGCATTAGATTCTCATAGGAGCACAAACTCTGTTGTGAAGTGTGCATGCGAGGGATCTAGGTTGTGTACTCCTTTTTTTTTTTTTTTTTTTTTTTTAACTTTTTTTTTAATTTTTATTTTTTTTATTGATCATTCTTGGGTGTTTCTCGCAGAGGGGGATTTGGCAGGGTCATAGGACAATAGTGGAGGGAAGGTTGGCAGATAAACAAGTGAACAAAGGTCTCTGGTTTTCCTAGGCAGAGGACCCTGCGGCCTTCCGCAGTGTTTGTGTCCCTGGGTACTTGAGATTAGGGAGTGGTGATGATTCTTAACGAGCATGCTGCCTTCAAGCATCTGTTTAACAAAGCACATCTTGCACCGCCCTTAATCCATTTAACCCTGAGTGGACACAGCACATGTTTCAGAGAGCACAGGGTTGGGGGTAAGGTCACCGATCAACAGGATCCCAAGGCAGAAGAATTTATCTTAGTACAGAACAAAATGAAAAGTCTCCCATGTCTACTTCTTTCTACACAGACACGGCAACCATCCGATTTCTCAATCTTTTCCCCACCTTTCCCCCCTTTCTATTCCACAAAACCGCCATTGTCATCCCGGCCCGTTCTCAATGAGCTGTTGGGTACACCTCCCAGACGAGGTGGTGGCTGGGCAGAGGGGCTCCTCACTTCCCAGTAGGGGTGGCCGGGCAGAGGCGCCCCTCACCTCCCGGACGGGGCGGCTGGCCGGGCGGGGGGCTGACCCCCCCACCTCCCTCCCGGACGGGGCGGCTGGCCGGGCGGGGGGCTGACCCCCCCACCTCCCTCCCGGACGGGGCGGCTGGCTGGGCAGAGGGGCTCCTCACTTCCCAGTAGGGGCGGCCGGGCAGAGGCGCCCCTCACCTCCTGGACGGGGCGGCTGGCCGGGCGGGGGGCTGACCCCCCCACCTCCCTCCCGGACGGGTCGGCTGGCCGGGCGGGGGGCTGAGCCCCCCACCTCCCTCCCGGACGGGGTGGCTGGCCCGGCAGAGGGGCTCCTCACTTCCCAGTAGGGGCGGCTGGGCAGAGGCGCCCCTCACCTCCCGGACGGGGCGGCTGGCCGGGCGGGGGGCTGACCCCACCTCCCTCCCAGACGGGGCGGCTGGCCGGGCGGGGGGCTGAACCCCCCCACCTCCCTCCCGGACGTGGGGCTGACACCCCCACCTCCCTCCCGGACGGGGTGGCTGGCCGGGCGGGGGGCTGACCCCCCCACCTCCCTCCTGGACGGGGCGGCTGGCCGGGCGGGGGGCTGACCCCCCCACCTCCCTCCCGGACGGGGCGGCTGGCCGGGTGGGGGGCTGACTCCCCCACCTCCCTCCTGGACAGGGTGGCTGGCCAGGCAGAGGGGCTCCTCACTTCCCAGTAGGGGCGGCTGGGCAGAGGCGCCCCTCACCTCCCGGACGGGGCGGCTGGCCGGGCAGGGGGCTGACCCCCCCACCTCCCTCCCGGACGGGGCGGCTGGCCGGGCGGGGGGCTGACCGCCCCCACCTCCCTCCCGGATGGGGGGCTGACCCCCCCACCTCCCTCCTGGATGGGGCGGCTGGCCGGGTGGGGGGCTGACCCCCCCCACCTCCCTCCCGGACGGGGCGGCTGCCGGGCGGAGACGCTCCTCACTTCCCAGACGGGGTGGCTGCCGGGCAGAGGGACTCCTCACTTCTCAGACGGGGCGGCTGCCGGGCGGAGGGGCTCCTCACTTCTCAGATGGGGCGGATGCTGGGCGGAGGGTCTCCTCACTTCTCAGACGGGGCGGCTGGGCAGAGACGCTCCTCACCTCCCAGACGGGGTCGCCGCCGGGCAGAGGCGCTCCTCACATCCCAGATGGGGCGGCGGGGCAGAGGCTCTCCCCACATCTCAGACGATGGGCGGCCGGGCAGAGACGCTCCTCACTTCCCAGATGGGATTGCTGCCGGTAAGAGGCGCTCCTCACTTCCTAGATGGGATGGCGGCCGGGCAGAGACGCTCCTCACTTTCCAGACTGGGCAGCCAGGCAGAGGGGCTCCTCACGTCCCAGACGATGGGCGGCCAGGCAGAGACGCTCCTTACTTCCCAGACGGGGTGGTGGCCGGGCAGAGGCTGCAATCTCGGCACTTTGGGAGGCCAAGGCAGGCGGCTGGGAGATGGAGGTTGTAGCGAGCTGAGATCACGCCACTGCACTCCAGCCTGGGCACCATTGAGCACTGAGTGAACCAGACTCCGTCTGCAATCCCGGCACCTCGGGAGGCCAAGGCTGGCGGATCACTCGCGGTTAGGAGCTGGAGACCAGCCCGGCCAACACAGCGAAACCCCGTCTCCACCAAAAAAGTACGAAAACCAGTCAGGCGTGGTGGCGCGCGCCTGCAATTGCAGGCACTCGGCAGGCTGAGGCAGGAGAATCAGGCAGGGAGGTTGCAGTGAGCCGAGATGGCAGCAGTACAGTCCAGCTTCGGCTCGGCATCAGAGGGAGACCGTGGAAAGAGAGGGAGAGGGAGACCGAGAGGGAGAGGGGAGAGGGGAGAGGGGAGAGGGAGAGGCAGAGGCAGAGGCAGTACAGTCCAGCTTCGGCTCGGCATCAGAGGGAGACCGTGGAAAGAAAGGGAGAGGGAGACCGAGAGGGAGAGGGGAGAGGGGAGAGGGGAGAGGGGAGAGGGGAGAGGGGAGAGGGAGAGGCAGAGGCAGGGGCAGGGGCCTGTGTACTCCTTATGAGAATCTAATGCCTGATATTCTGTTACTGTCTCCCATCACCCCAGATGAACAGTCTAGTTGCAGGAAAACAAGCTCAGAGATCCCACTGAGTCTACGTTATAGTGAGTTGTAGAATCATTTCATTATATATTACTATGTAGTAATAATAGAAATAAAGTGCACAATATATGTAATGCACTTGAATCATCCTGAAATTATTCCCTCACTCCCAGTCTGTGGAAAAATTGTCTTCCACACATTCACTCTGTTTTTTGGTAGAGGCAGGGTCTTAATATATTGCCCAGGCTGATCTCAAACTCCTGGCCTCAAGTAATATACCTCTCTCAGCCTCCCAAAGTGCTGAGATTACAGGCATAAGCCACCACCCTCAACCAAGACTTTCTTAAACCAAATAAAAATTAAGTGAGATTACTTGAGCCCAGGTGGTCAAGGCTGCAGTGAGCCTGATTGCACCACTGCACTCCAGCCTAGGTGACAGAATGAGACTCTCTCAAAAAATAAAATAAAATACAAATTAACCCTTTATGACATTCCCAGTAACTTTCCCTCCTAAGTGTTCCCCACAAGTCTTTGAATTCTGTTTAATTTTCACATAACATTTAAGACATTTAAGAACTTATGTCTGTCTGTGTCATCCCTTTATGTCAAAAGATGTCTTTTTGTCACTTCCAGCTGGATCTACCATGAAAGACTTCTGAATCCAGGAAGAGAGACTGACTGGGCAACATGTTATTCAGGTACAAAAAGATTTGGACTGTAACTTAAAAATGATCAAATAATAGTGCATGCATCAAGTGCAATGGGAAGCTCTTCTGGAGAGTGAGAGAAGCTTCCAGTTAAGGTGACATTGAAGCCAAGTCCTGAAAGATGAGGAAGAGTTGTATGAGAGTGGGGAGGGAAGGGGGAGGTGGAGGGATGGGGAATGGGCTGGGATGGGATAGCGCAAACTGCCCGGGAAGGGAAACCAGCACTGTACAGATCTGAACAACGAAGATGGCATATTTTGTTCAGGGAATGGTGAATTAAGTGTGGCAGGAATGCTTTGTAGACACAGTAATTTGCTTATATGGAATTTTGCCTGAGAGACCTCATTGCAGTTTCTGATTTTTTGATGTCATCATCCATCACTGTCCTTGTCAAATAGTTTGGAATAGGTATAATGATCACAATAACCCCAAGCGTAATATTTCGTTAATTCTCACAGAATCACAGGTAGGTGCCACAGTTATCCCCATTTTATGAATGGAGTGATGAAGCCTTAGGAATAATGAATGATTTGCCCAAGCTCACCTGGATGTTAAGACTGAGTCAAATGTTGGGTTTGGCCTGACTTTAATGTTTGCTTTGTTCATGAGCACCACATATTGCCTCTCCTATGCAGTTAAGCAGGTAGGTGACAGAAAAGCCCATGTTTGTCTCTACTCACACACTTCCGACTGAATGTATGTATGGAGTTTCTACACCAAATTCTTCAGTGCTCTGGATATTAACTGGGTATCTCATGACTTTATTCTGACACTACCTGGAGTTAGCACAGACCCCACAAGTTAGGGGCTCAGTCCCACGAGGCCATCCTCACCTCAGATGCCAATGGCAAGTCTTAAGTTGTCACTGTACTTTTGACCAACCTGTTACCAATCAGGGGTTCCCATAACTGTCTTCTTGAGTTTAATAATTTGCTAGAACAGTTTATGGAACTCAGAAAAACAGTTTATTTTCTTTTTTTCTGAGAGAGAGGGTCTTATTTTGTTGCCCAGGCTGGTGTGCAATGGTGCAGTCATAGCTCATTGCAGCCTTGATTGTCTGGGCTCCAGTGGTTCTCCCACCTCAGCCTCCCTAGTAGCTGAGACTACATGCCTGCACCACCACATCTGGCTAGTTTCTTTTATTTTTTGTATAGATGGGGTCTTGTTGTGTTGGCCAGACTGGCCACAAATTCCTGGTCTCAAGTGATCCTCCCACCTCAGCCTCTGAAAGTGCTGGGATTACAGATGTGAGCCACCACATCTGGCCAGTTCATTTCTTATTACTGGTTCATTGTGAAGGATACATCTCAGAAACAGTCAATGAAAGAGACATGCATGCTGGATGCAGTGGCTCATGCCTGTAATCTCAGCACTTTGGGAGGCCAAGGTGGGAGGATCGCTTAAACTCAGGAGTTTGAGACCAGCCTGGGCAACATGGTGAAAACCTGTCTCTATAAAAAATTAAAAAATAATAATAATAACTGGTGTGGTGGTGTGCACCTAGAGTTCCAACTACTAGGGAAGCTGAGATGAGAGGATACCTTGAGCTGGGGACTGGGGAGGCTTAGGTTACAGTAAGCTGAGGTTGTGCCACTGCACTCTAGCTTGGACAAAAGAGCCTGATCCTGTCTCAAAAAAAAGAAAGATACCCAGGGCAAGTTAAGTTCGGAGGGGCACAGAGCTCCCATGCCCTCTGTCGAACATGCGACCCTCCCAGCATCTCCTGTGTCCAGCAACCCTGAAAGCTCTGCAAACCCCGTTCAGGGTGTTTATGGAGGCTTTATTATGCAAGCATGAGTGATAAAATCTTTGGCTGTTGGTGATTAAGTCAGTCTCCAGCCCCTCCTCCTCCTGGAGTTCAGTGCATGAGGCTGAAAGTTCCAAGCCTCTTATCATGTGGTTGCATGGTAATCAGCCCTCCTCTGGAAGAAATTTAGGAGCTTGCAGTCACCCAGTCATCTCAACAACATCCCCAAATGCATTCTTACCATGCTGGAGATCCCAAAGTTCTTAGAGGCTCTTGTGTTAGAAACCTGGGACCAAGACCAAATATTAAAACAAAAGATGTTCCTGTCACATCTATCACTGAGGTCTTTGTAAGAGCTTTAGAAGCTCTGTGCCACGAACCAGGGACAGAGATTAAATATATATTTCTTTTCTTTTTTTTGAGACAGAATCTCCTGTGTCATCCAGGCTGGAGTGCAGTGATGTGATCATAGCTCACTATAGCTTTGGCCTCCTGAGATCAAGCAATCCTCCCATCTCAACCTCCCAAGTAGCTAGGACTACACATGCATGTCACCCATGCCCAGCTCATTTTTGTAGAGTCAGAGTTTCTCCATGGTGGCCAGGTTGGCCATGTTGGCCAGATGGGGTCTTCTTTTGTTGCCCAGGCTGGCCACAAATTCCTGGGCTCAAGTGATCCTCCCACCTCGTCCTTGTAGAGATGAGATTTAGTTATGTTGTCCAGGCTGATCTCAAACTCCTGGGCTAAATCGATGGTCTCACCTCAGCCTTTCAAGTAGCTGGGACTACAGGCGCATACCACCATGTCGGGCTAATATTTATTTTTATTTTTTTCTAGAGGTGGGGGTCTCACTGTGTTTTTCATGCTAGTTTCAAACTTCAGGCCTCAGGTGTTCCTCCTGCCTTGACCTCCCAAAGTGTTGGGATTCTGGGTGGGAGCCACCATGCCCAGCAATCACAAGGGTCTTTATAAAAGAAAGAGAGTAGGAGATTCAGAATTGGAGCAGGAGATGTGGTGATGAAAGCAGAGGTAAGAGAGGGAGATTTGAAGATGCTTCACCTCTGGCTTTGAAGATGGAGTCAGGGGCTATGATCCAAGGAATGGGGGTGGCTTCTAGAAGCTGGAAAAGCCAAGGGAACATATTAGAGTCTCCAGAAGGAATGCAGCCCTGCTGACACCTTGACTTTAGCCTTAATAGACCTAGTTTGGGTTTCTGGCCCCTAGAACTGTAAGATGGTAGATTTGTGGTGTTTTAAGCCACTAAATGTAGGAAACTGCAAACTATGTTGCAGCAGCAAGAAGAAATGAACATGAAGCCAGGCATGATGGCTCATGCTGGTAATCCCAGCACTTTAGGAATTTAGGCAGGAGGATCACTTGAGGCCAGGAGTTCAAGACCAGTCTGGGCAACATAGTAAGACCTTGTCTCTACAAAAAATGAAAAAATTGGCCAGGCGTGGTGGCTCACGCCTGTAATTCCAGCACTTTGGGGGGCCGAAGCGGGCAGATTACCTGAGGTCAGGAGTTCGAGACCAGCCTGGCCAACATTGTGAAACCCTGGCTCTACTAAAAATACAAAAATTAGCTGGGCGTGGTGGCATGCACCTGTAATCCCAGCTACTTGGAAGGCTGAGGCAGGAGAATCACTTGAATCTGGGAGGTGGAGTTTGCAGTGAGCCGGGATCGCACCGTTACACTACAGCCTGGGCAAGAAGAGTGAAACTCTGTCTCAAAATAAAATAAAATACTAAAAAATTTAGCCAGGCATGGTGGCATGAACCTGGAGTCCCAGGTACTCAGGAGGCTGAGGTGGGAGGATCGCTTGAGCCTGGAAATTTGAGGTTGCAGTGAGCTGTGATTTCGCCACTGCACTCCAGCCTTGGTGACAGTGAGATCTTGAAAAAAAGAAAGAAGAAAGTAAAGAAAGAAGAAATGAGCATGGTGGGCATGGGGACAGATGGCAATGTTAAATAGAATGGTCAGGGGTGGCCTCCTAAGTGAAAGTTGAGTAAAGACTTGAAGGAGGGGAAGGAGTTGGCCAAGGTGCTGAGGGAAGAGGATTGTAGGCAGAAACAATAGAATAAACTGTCTGAGGTGTGTCTCCGGCTCTGGAAGGAGGCCCAAGGAGCAGATGGAGAGAGGGAGAGAATTAGGGGAGGGAGCCAGGGAGTTGCTGGGTGGGGATCAGTACAGATCACATAAGCCCTGGGAGGTTATTGGTGGGGCTTTGGCTTTTACTCTGACTCAGATGGGAACTGCGGGAGGGTTCTGAGCAGAGAGGCGACATGATCTGTCTCCCGATTTAAAAGCATTCTCTGGCTGCTGAGTTGAGAAAGACTGTGGGAAGATGTGATAGAAGCATGGGGGCCAAGCTTTGGCAACATCCAGGCGGGAGATGATGGTGGTCCTGACCAGGGTCGTGGTGGTGTTGAGAGATGGTCAGAGGGGAGAAGTAGGGGAGGAGGCCAGGGAGTTGCTGGGTGGGGATCTTTAGTACATGTCGAAGACAGTCAACAGGATTTCCTGACAGACTGGATATGGGGTGTGAGAGAAGGCAGGGGTCAAGGTTGAGTTTGATTGTTACTGAAATTATTAAGTAATTTTAAAAAACACTACTGCCTTTCCCAATCCTACCAAGTATGGGATGCTAGATTAAAGAAATCTCTTCAGGCTCATTGCAGTGGCTCATGCCTGTAGTCCCAGCTGTTTGGTAAGCAGAGGTGCGAGTATCTTTTAAGGGCAGGTGTTCAAGACCAGCCTGGACAACACAGCAAGATCTGCTCTTTACAAAAATATTTTTCAAAATTAAATAAATGTAGCTAGGCATGGTGATGTGTACTTGTAGTTTCAGCTACTCAGGAGGCTGAAGTGGGCAGATCTCTTGAGGTCAGGAGTTTGAGGCCAGCTTGGGCAACATAGCAAGACCCCTCACTCTACAAAAAAATTAAAAAAATAACCAGGCACGGTGACACTCAACTGTACTACCAGCTACTGGGGAGCTGAGGCAGGAAGATGGCTTGAGCCCAGGAGGTCGAGGCTACAGCGAGCTGTAAGTGCACAGCTGCACTCCAGTCTGGGTGACAGAGCAGGACCTGTCTCACAATACAAATAAAAATACAAGTAAAATAATATCTCAAGTCAGAGCCTTTTGGCTCTGCAGCCCTTGCAACCCCTCAGCCATGCAGTGGGGTTTGCGTCCCTGGGAATGAGGAGACCCCTGCCTGGTGTTGTTGCCTGACTAATCAGTGTTTTAAAACATATACTAATTGGGGTGGGCTCGGTGGCTCACACCTGTAATCCCAGCACTTAGGGAGACCCAGGCGGGTGGATCACCTGAGGTCAAGAGTTCAAGACCAGTGTTGCCAACGTGGCGAAACTCCTTCTCTACTAAGAAAATACAATAATTGGCTGGACATGGTAGTGGGCGCCTGTAATCCCAGCTACTTGGGAGGCTGAGGTAGGAGAATCGCTTGAACCTGCGGGGTGGAGGTTGCAATGAGCTGAGATTGAGCCACTTCACTCCAGCCTGGGCAAAAGAACAAGACTTTGTCTCAAAGAAAAAAAAAAAGTATTATATCAACATGTAATGGTTTTATTATTAATATGTAATGAATATTAAATATTTCTAAAATCTTATATCAACATGTAATGGCTTTAATATGTGATGAATAATATTTAAAAAATTGTGTCTTATTTTCTAGTTTTAATATAATTATCTACAGAAAGAAATAGTCTTAGAGATCTTCAATAAAGTTAAAAACGGTAAAGGGATGTTTTTACCCAAAAGATTGAGAATTTCTAGTTTAGAAATATTCAGAGTAAGCCACATACAACTTGCTACTTGAACTATTTTTTTCTTTGTTTTTTATTTCAGGAGATGGGGGTCTCACCCTGTCACCCAGGCTTGAGTACAGTAGTGCTATCACAGCTCACTGCAGCCTTGAACTCCTGGGCTAAGGATCCTCCTACCTGAGCCTCCTGAGTAGCTAGGACTGTAGGCATACATGACGATACTTGGCTAATTTTTAAATTGTTTTGTAGACATGGGGTCTCACTTTGTTGGCCAGGCTGGTGTCAAACTAATGGCCTCAAGTGACCCTTCCACCCCTGCCTCCCATCCTCGAGGCATGTGCCACCACAAGGAGCACTTGTTCAATTTTCTAAAGAAAAAATTTCTAAAGTAAGGCTGTGGGATGATGGCAGGAAGACAAAAGAAAAACAGAAGAATAAGTTAAAATGACTTATTCACACATATTCTTTTGACAGCAAGAAGAACTTTTAGTATATACATTCCTTACAAACAAACAAAAGGCAGATAAACAATGTTGTATAGGAACTTCAACACACACTGTACAATATTCCCACTTTGCTGACATAAGTTATGGAAATTTCGTGGTTTACTTGAGTGTCGCTACCAGTATTTTGCTTCTCTGATGATTTTTATCAACTTCCTCATCTGTTAACTTCTCTCCAAGGTATGTCATGTCACAACATACTGCCGCTGCACGAACATGGCCAGCGTCTTCCTATTAAACATGTAGAATGCTTTCCTAGTTTCTCTTTTTACTCTCTGACTTTGTGTTTTGCATTTTCCTTTTATTGTCAGAAACTCCAGAAAGTCAATCGTACTAATTTATCACGATTTGCTTTATTAATTTATACTTTGCTTATATGGAATTTTGCCCAACAGACCTCATTACAATTTCTAACCTGTTTTATTTTGTTTTTTTTTTCTGAGACAGGGTCTCCCTCTGTTGTCCAAGGCTGGAGTGTAGTAGTGCTATCGCAGCTGACTGCAGCCTCAACCTTCCAGGCTGAAGCGATCCTCCCACCTCAACCTCCCACGTGGCTGAGACTACAGGTGCTTGCCACTATGCCCAACTAATATTTGGAATTTTCGTATACGTGGATTCCAGAGGGGTGACAGCGAAACGTGAGTAAGCATGGATTTTGGTATATGCAGAGATGGGGGGCTGGAACTAATTCTGTATACTGAGGGACGGCAACTGTGTATGTTTTTACAATTACGCTGTAGGATACATACTGTTGCATAGCCTTGAAAATAATAATTTTTAATTGAGTGGAATAATAATAATATTGATAAAAGTAGCAGCTGGCCAGGTGTGGTGGCTCACACTGGTAATCGCAACACTTTGGGAGGCTGAGGCAGGAGGATGGCTTGAGGCCAAGAGTTTGCAATAGGCCTTGGAAACAAAGGGGGAGTCACCATCCCTACAGAAAAATACGCGAATTAGCCTAGTGTGGTGGCATGTTCCTGTAGTCCCAGCTACTTGGGAGGCTGAGGTGGGAGGATCACTTGAGCCCAGGGAGGCTGAGACTGCAGTGAGTCATGATCAGGCCTCTGCACTCCAGCTTGGGTGACAGAGTGAGACCCTGTCTCAAAACAACAAAAAAGTAGCAGCTAACATCAACTGACCTTTTATACCAGGTGCCTATTGATATCATAGTTTAATTTCTTATAACTGTTTCTTATTTCACTTACCAACTCTGTCTTCAGTTACTCCCAGATTTTTACTGTGTTTGTACAGATGACCTTTTGTTTAGATTGAATTGTCTCCCCAGAAGTAAGATTACTGTGAGACATGGTGAATGGACATTCTCATTACCCTTGATGTAAATTGACAGGGTTTTGGGTGCCTCCCAGCTATAATCTTAGCACTTTGGGAGGCTAAGAGAGGAGGATTGCTTGAGGCCAAGAGTTGGAGGAGGCAGCATGGCAGTATGGTGAGACCCTGTCTCCATTATTTTAAAAAATTGACAAGCTTTACCCGGGAAGGCTTATACACAATTTAAACACCCCTCATAGTATAAGAAAGTGCCCATTTCACTGCACCTTTGCCAGCACAGGGTATTATAATTTAGTAAGTCATTTTTTGTTTGATTATTTTAAATAGATAAAAGACCTCATATTACTTTACTTGTCACATTTCAACATCTTTCCTTAGCTTATTAGCTCTATTTCTTTTCTGTCTGTAAATGGTTGTTGTTGTTTTGTTCTTTGAGACAGGGTCTTGCTCTGTCACCAGGCTGGACTGTAGTGGCATAATCATGCCTTGCCGCAGCCTTGACCTCCCAGGCTCAAACTTCAGCATTCCGAGTAGCTGGGACTACAGGTGTGCACCACCACTCCCAGCTAACTTTTTTCTTTTTTTTGGATAGAGACAGGGTCTCACTGTGTTGTCCAGACCGTCTCTAGCTCCTGGCCTTAAGCAATCCTCCTGCATTAGCTTCTCAAATTGCTGGAATTTCAGGCATGAGCCACCATGCCTGGCCTGGGCTAGTCCTGTATTCTCTAGAGTTCTCTTTACTTTGTGCTAGCCAATCTCTCATTATGCTGTTCACCTGTTATAATGAATAATTCTCCGTATTAAATTTTACCACTTTAAACTTTTGAGTGGTTTATGCTTCCTGATTGGACTCTGACTAATATGTTAGGAAGGGTCCCAGGAGATAAACCCACACAGATGGGATTTGGGCATAGGTTTGGTTTCCCAGGGGGCAGTGCTGAGCTCTTTGCCAGTGGGAAATGGGATGCTGGTGATTTCCAGGAAGCGACCTCACAATGACTCAAGCTACCACTTACTGTTGATTGTGACGAAATGCCAGCTGAGGCACATGCCTTGGGAGCTAAGTGGTTGCTGCCCTTGACCACTATGAAGACTGGTGTGGGAAGGGTCGCTTTGGATGCACTTGAGCAGGGGTCCCCAACCCCTGAGCCATGGAGCTGTAAGGAGCCACACGGCAGGAGGTGAGTGGTGTCGAGTGAGGGAGTGAGGAAAGCTTCGTCTGTATTTACAGCCACTCCCCTTTGCTCACATTCCCACCTGAGCTCCACCTTCTCAGATCAGCAGCAGCATTAGATTCTCATAGGAGAACGCACCCTGTTGTGAACCGTGCATGTGAGGGATCTAGGTTGCGCTGTCCTTATGAGAATCTAATACCTATTGATCTGTCACTTTCTCCCATCACGCTCAGGTGGGACCATCCAGTTGCAGGAAAACAAGCTTAACATGCCCACTGATTCTACATTATGGTGAGTTCTATAATTATTTTATTATATATTACAGTGTAATAATGGAAATAAAGCACCTAATAAATGTAAATGTGCTTAAATCTTTTGTCCCAGCTCCTACCTCCCGGCAGCCTCTCCAGGCCCAGAACTTTCTCCAGTCAGCCTCTACAGACCAAGCTCATGACTCACAATGGCCTATTTAGGCCCATACCCTACCTCACGGCAGTCTCCGCAGATGAGCCTACTGCCTCACAACAGCCTCCACAGGCACAGCTCCATCGTTACAATGGCCTCTTTAGACCCAGCTCCTGCCTCCCAGCCTTCTCTCCAGGCCCTGAACTTTCTCAAGTCGACCTCACCAGGCCCAGTTCATGCTTCTTTGCAGCCTCTCCAGGCCCAGCTCCTGCATCTTGGTGGCCCCTCCAGGCCCAGCCTCTGCCTCCCGTCGGCCTCTACAGTCCCAACATCTGCCTCACAGCAGATTCTTCAGGCCCAGCATCTGCCTCACTGTGGACCCCCCAAGCCAAGCTCCCAACCTTTCAGCAGCTTCTACACACCCAGCTCCTGCCACCCAGTGGCCTCTCTAGGCCAAGCTCATGCTTCACAAGGGCCTTTGCAGGCCCAACTTTTGTCTCATGGCAACCTTCCCTGGCCAGATTCCTGCTTGTCTCCCAGCAGCCTAGACAGGCCCAGGTCTTGCCTCACACTGGCCTCTCTACATCCAGCTCATGCCTCACGTTGGCCTCTCCAGGCCCAACTCCTGTCCCAGGACGTCATCTCCGGGCCCAAAACTTACTCAAGTCAGACTCTCTGGTCCCAACTGCTGCCTTCTGGTGGCCTATGAAGGCCCAAAATCTCCTCAAGTTGACCTCTCCAGGCCCAGCTCCTGCCTCCTGTCAGCATCTACAGGCCCAACCTCTGCCTCATGGGGTCTTCTCCAGGCCCACCTCTTCCTCTTGGCTGGGTCTACAGGCACAACTGCTGCCTCACAACAGCCTTTTTTGGCCCAGTTCCTGTCCAGCTCATGGCGGCCAATGTAGGCCCAAAACTTCCTCAAGTCAAACTCTCCAGGCCCACCTTCTGCTTCCCGGTGGCATGAACAGGCCCAGCTTTGACTTGAGAACAGCCTCTGCAGGCCCTGCTCTTGCCTCCCAGGGGCTTTTTCCAGGCCCAGCTCTTGCCTCATGGCAGCTGCCCGAGGCCAAATTTCTGCTTGCCTGCCAGCAGCCTCAACAGGCACAGCTCCTCCCTCACAGTGGCCCATTTAGTCCCAACTCATGACTGTCGGGCCATTTCCAGGCCTAGTGCCTGCCTCGTGGCTGACTCTTGAAGCCCAAAACTTCCTCAAATCAGCCTTTTGCCCAACTTCTGTCTACTGTCGGACTCTACAGGC
Organism: Homo sapiens; assembly: GCF_000001405.40. Lineage (NCBI taxonomy): Eukaryota > Metazoa > Chordata > Mammalia > Primates > Hominidae > Homo > Homo sapiens. The sequence goes on along the minus strand of NC_000001.11, from coordinate 222,475,874 downwards.
CAGCCTCTGCCTCACAGTGGACCCTCCAGACCCAGATGGTGTCTCACTGTGGCATCCTCAGGTGAAGCTCCTGCCTTTCTGCAGCCTCTACAGGCCCAGCTCCTGCCTTGCAGTGGCCTCTTTAGGCCAAGCTCATGCCCCATGGCGACTTTTCCAGGCACAGCTTTTGCCTTTTGCAGCCTGTCCAGGCCCAGAATGTCCTTAACTCAGCATCTCCAGGACGAGCTCATCCTCCCAGTGCGTCTACAGGCCCGTCTCCTGCCTCACAACCTCCTTTGGCCCAACTCCTGCTGAGCAGCTGGCAGCCTCTCTAGGCCACAGACTTCTTAAGGTAAAGCTTTTCAGGCCCACCTTTGGCCTCCCGGCAGCCTCAGCAATCAAACTATTCCCTCACTGCGGCCACCGAAAGCCAAGTTTCTCCCTGCCTCACGGCATCCTCCGAAAACTGAGCATTTGCCTCACGGTGGCCTCCCCAGGCCACGAATCTGCCTGCCTCCCAGGCAGCTGCTGCCTCACAATGGTCTCTTTAGGCCCAGTTCATGCTAAAAGATGGACTCTCCAGGCACAGCTCTTGCCTCCTGGCAGCCTCTGCAGGCCCAAATTCTCCAAAAGATGGCCTCTCCTAACTCAGCTCCTGCCTCATGTCGGCCTACACAGGCCCAGACTCTTACCACACAGTAGACCCTCCAGGCCCACCACTTGCCTGATCATAGCCTCCTAAGGCCAAGCTCCTGCCTTTCGGCAGCCTCTACAGGCCAAGCTCCTGCCTCGCAATTGCCTTTGTAGGCCAAGATCATGCCGTGAAGTGGCCTTTCCTAGCCTAACTTTTGCTTTTTGATGCATACTCCAGTCCCAAAACTTCCTCCAGTCAGCCGGTCCAGGCCAAGCTCTTCCTCCCAAAGGCTTCTGCAGGCCAAAATCGTCGTGAAGTCACCCTCTGCAGGCCTAGCTCCTGCGTCCGAGTGCTGTGTAGGCCAAGCTAATGCCTCACAGCACACTTTTGAGGCTGAGCGTTTCCTTTTGTGCATCCTCTCCAAGCCCTGAACTTACTCCAGTTGGCCTCTCCAGACCAAGCTCTCCCTCCCAGTGGCCTCTACAGGCCAAAATTGTCCTCAGGTCAGCCTCTCCAGGGCCAACTCCTAGCTACCGGTGGCTTCTGCGGCCAAAATCGACCTCAAGTCAGCCTCTTCACACCCAGCTCTTGCCTCTGAGTGGCCTCTCCAGGAGCAAAACTTTCTCAAGTCGGCCTCTCCATGCCCAGCCTCCTGCTTCCCGAGGGCATGTACAGGCCCAGCCTCTGCCTCACAGCAGACTCTTCACACCCAGCTCTTCCCTGTCTGCGGCCTCTCCAGTCCAAAGCTGCTCCTGCCTTTTGGCAGCTTGTACAGGTCCAGCTCCTCCCTCACGGTGACCTCTTTCGGCCCAACTCATGCCTCTTGCAACGTGCCGAAGTGTCAGCTCCTGCCTCACACTGGCCTGTTGAGGCCCAGCTCATGCCTCTCGTGGCCTCAACGGGCCCATCCCCTCCCTGTTGGCGGCCTCTACAGGCCCGGCCTCTACCTCACAGTGGGCTCTCCAGGCCCACCTCTTCCTCACCCTGGCCTCCTGGGGCAATGCTCCTCCCTCTCGGGAGCCTCTGCGGGCCCAGCTCCTGCCTCCCAGTGGCCTCTGTAGGCCAAGCCCGTGCCTCAGGGCAGACTTTCCAGGCCTAGCGTTTGCTGCTTTGCATCTTCTCCAGGCCCTGGACTTCCTCCAGTCGGCCTCTCCAGGCCCAGCTCTTCCTCTCAGCGCCTCTGCAGGCCCAGACTGTTGTCAAGTCGGCCTCCCCAGGCCCAGCTCCGGCCTCTCGGCGGCCTCTCTGGATGCAAAAGTTCCTCGAGTCAGCCTCTCCAGGCCCAGCTCCTCCTGCCTCCCAGTGGCCTCTTTCAGCCCAGCCCAGCTCATGCCTCCTGGCGGCCTTCCCAGGCCCTGCTTTTGACTTTTGGTGGCCTCTGCAGGCCTCGACAAGGCCCGGCCTCCTGCCTCCCGAAGGCCTGCACAGGCCCAGCCTCTGCCTCACAGCAGACTCTCCACGCCCAGCTAGCTCTCGCCTCACTGCGGCCTCCCGAGTCCAAAGCTCCTGCCTCTCGGCCGCTTCGGCAGGCCCAGCTCCTGCCTGCCAGTGGCCTCTTCAGGCCCATGGGGCTCATTCCTCACAACGGCCTTTCCAGGCCCAGTTTTTCCCTTCCGGTGGCCTCTCCGGGCCCAGAACCTCCTCAAGTCGGCCTCTCCAGACCCACTTGCACCCTCCGGGCGTCCTCTCCGGACCCAGCTCTTCCTCACGGCTGCGTCTCCAGGCCCGACTCCTGCCTCTCAACAACCTCTTTGGACTCAGTGCCTACCCATCTCCTGGCGGCCTTGGTCGGCCCACAGCTTCCTCAAGCCAAGCTCCCCAGGCCCAGGTCAGGCCTCACGGTGGCCTCTCCAGGATGAGCTCCTGCCCTCCGATGGCATCTGCAGGCCCCAAATGGTCTCCGGTCGGTGGGCTCCTCCATGCCAAGCTTGGGCCTCCCGGCGGCCTCTGCAGGCCCAAGTCGTCCTCAAGTTGGCCTGGAATTGGGCCTGGAAGAGCAGCAAGTCGGCCTCCCCGGGCCCAGCTCCATCCTCTCGGCGGCCTCTCCAGGTGCAAAACTTCCTCGAGTCAGCCTCTCCAGGCCCAGCTCCTCCTGCCTCCCAGTGGCCTCTTTCAGCCCAGCCCAGCTCATGGCTCTCGGTGGCCTTCCCAGGCCCCGCTTTTGACTTTTGGCGGCCTCTTCAGGTCCAGAACTTGACCTCCAGTGGGCCTTTGCAGGCCCGGCCTCCTGCCTCTCAAAGGCCTGCATGGGCCCGGCCTCGGCCTCGGCCTCACAGCGGACTCTCCACGCCCAGCTAGCTCTCACCTCACTGCGGCCTCCCGAGTCCAAAGCTCCTGCCTCTCGGCCGCTTGGGCAGGCCCAGCTCCCGCCTGCCAGTGGCCTCTTCAGGCCCATGGGGCTCATTCCTCACAACAACCTTTCCAGGCCCAGTTTTTCCCTTCCGGCGGCCTCTCCGGGCCCAGAACCTCCTCAAGTCGGCCTCTCCAGACCCACTTGCAGCCTCCTGGCGTCCTCTCCAGGCCCAGCTCTTCTTCCCTGCTGTGTCTCCAGGCCCGACTCTGGCCTCCCAACAACGTCTTTGGACTCAGCTCCTGCCCAGCTCCCAGCGGCCCTGGTAGGCCCACAACTTCCCAAAGCCAAGCTCCGCAGGCCCAGCTCAGGCCTCACGGTGGCCTCTCCAGGCTCAGCTCCTGCTCTCCGATGGCATCTGCAGGCCCCAAACAGCCTCCGGTCGGTGGGCTCCTCTAGGCCCAGCTTGGGCCTCCTGGCAGCCTCTGTAGGCCCAAGTCGTCCTCAAGTCAGCCTGGAATTGGGCCTGGAAGAGCAGCAAGTCGGCCTCCCCGGGCCCAGCTCCGTCCTCTCGGCGGCCTCTCCAGGTGCAAAACTTCCTCGAGTCAGCCTCTCCAGGCCCAGCTCCTCCTGCCTCCCAGTGGTCTCTTTCAGCCCAGCCCAGCTCATGGCTCTCGGCGGCCTTCCCAGGCCCCGCTTTTGACTTTTGGTGGCCTCTTCAGGCCCAGAACTTGACCTCCAGTGGGCCTTTGCAGGCCCGGCCTCCTGCCTCTCAAAGGCCTGCATGGGCCCGGCCTCGGCCTCACAGCGGACTCTCCACGCCCAGCTAGCTCTCGCCTCACTGCGGCCTCCCCAGTCCAAAGCTCCTGCCTTTCGGCCACTTCGGCAGGTCCAGCTCCTGCCTGCCAGTGGCCTCTTTAGGCCCAGCTCATTCCTCACAACGGCCTTCCCAGGCCCCGTTTTTCCCTTCCGGCAGCCTCTTGGCCTCTAATTTGTTTATCTTTTGTGTATAAATCCCAAAATATTAAATTTTGGAATATTTCCACCATTATATAAATATTTTGGTCGGTAATTTATTTGGAGTGAGTTTCTGCACCATGCCCGAATTTTTTATTTTATTTTCCTTGTTATTTGGTGTTAAACAGGTTTAATGACGGTCATGGCAACTTTTTGGCACAATGAAAAATATCGCCCATGATCAACGTGTTCTGCTCTGGGGAAGGGGGCAAAGGCAGGGTGAATCACTTTCTTAAAAAGTATAGCTCAAGTTGGGAGTGCAGAGGGAATGGGGAGAAAACCCTCCCGCTGCCTGTGTCGAAGTGCAGGAGCCCCCACCCCCATACTCACCTGAGTCCAGCCCCTCTGGGGAAAGAAGGGGTGCATGAACTACCCCTAGTCCACAGGCGCTTCCCTGTGGCCCAAGGCCCTCTTCACACTCCATCTTGTAGCCCCAGCAGGAGCTATTTTCCGAAAAGTGAAAAGCTCTGAAGGTCCCACAATTCATGGTATGTACAGGGGCTCGGAGGAGGGAAACTGCCCAGCTTTCCCCTGGCACAGCTGCAGGGGTAGGGGGTATAGATAAGAGGAGCAGGCCTTGGCCAGGCGTGGTGGCTCACGCCTGTAATCCCAGCACTTTGGGAGGTGGAGGCAGGCGGATCACGATGTCAGGAGATCGAAATCAGCCTGGCCAAGATGATGAAGCCCCGTCTGTACTAAAAATACAAAAATTAGCCGGACGTGGTAGCGTGCACCTGTAATCCTAGCTACCTGGAAGGCTGAGGCAGGAGAATGGCGGGAACCCGGCGGGAAGAGGTTGCAGTGAGCCAAGATTGCACCACTGCATTCCAGCCTGGGCGACAGAGGAAGACTCGGTCTCAAAAAAAAAAAAAAAAAAAAAAAGAGGCAGGCCTTATTCCATCCCAAACTGAAAGGATTAAATGGCTTTACCTGGGAGAAGATAACCATCCTGCCCTCCATTGCTACCCCCACATACTGTCCATGTTCTCAGGGGATACTGTGAGTCCTGGGATCTTCTTTGGGGTCGCCCACCTGCCTGTGGTAGTTATGGAGACCCCCAGGTGTTGAGGCAGGGCTGGGGTGTCCCCTTCCAACCAGGCTGTCAAGGCCCCAACTCTGGGGCAGAGCAGTGGCAGGGCAGCCAGGGTTGCGCCAGAGCCTGAGCAGGGTGAGGTGGGGTCAGGCAGGGCTGGGAGTCAGGGCAGGGGCAGCAGCAGTGGACCCGCTATGCACACATCTTCTTCTCCAACGTTTGTGTGCAGAACATCCTGCCCATGCTGCCCCAGCAGCTTCAGTTGGCACCTGCCCCAGTCCAGCCTCTGGGAACCATGCAGCGGCCCCCAGCGGCCCTGCACCCACCACCAGCATCCGTTTCACCTGCAGTTGAAGATCCGTGAGGTGCCCAGAAGATCATGCAGTCATCAGTCCCACGGAGCAGCCCGTGAGGCTGAGGCTCCTCCCACTGGACCGCCCCCCAACTGGCACCACTGCTGCCCCGCCCCTACTCTCAGCCTCACGTGACTCTCGGGCAGAGGCAGTGGTGGGGCAGCCAGGGCAGCGTCAAGAGTCTGAGCCAGGTGAGGTCCGGTCAGGACCCCCACAGGGCTGGGAGTCAGGGCAGGGGCAGAACAAACCTTGGAGGGGAAGATGTGTGCATAGTGGGCCTGGAGGGCAACTGTGGCCTAGTGGACAGGAAGAAGCAGTGGGCCTGGAAGAGCTGCATGATCAGGGCCGGCACTGGTCCAGGGCGCGTGCAGTGAAGAGGACAGCGCCTTCTCGGTCTCCGGTTCCCTGAGCCTGTCCTCGGCTTCTCCACCTGTACAGGCAAAGGGGAAGCTGTCCCCATCACACATGGCACACTTGGGGGTGTTGGGCTTTGGACTGCAGCTGGAGCATCTTCTCATCTTGCATCTGGGCGTGGTGGGGTCCTCCAGTGTGGGGGAATCCATGTCCGTGGGGTTCCCTCTGCCCTGACCCTGAAAGCCCAGTCAGTTTCTCTTCAGGCTCTGCCCCCCCGGGTGGCTCAGCCCAGCTCCTGCCTAGGAAAGCCTTAGTGTTGGGAGGGACCCTGATGACTGAGGAGCCTGGTAGCTCCAGGTCGCCCACACTTTCTGGTCTCTTGCACCAGAAGGTGGCAGGATCCATTGGGAGGAAACAGGTCACCTTGGAAGGCGTCCCTGGGCCCCCATCCCCAGGGGTAGGGGTCATAGGGGGCCCGCTCTGCTGCCTTGACCAGACTCCTGGGCTTTGAAGGCTCCTGGGCCCAGTAAGAAGGAGGTGGGTGCCAAGGTTGAGGAGGAAGCATCCGAGTATGTGTAGGAGGAGGACAGGGTGGGACCATAGACTTTGCCAAAAGCTGCAGGTGGATCGGGGGACCCTGGGGGCTCAGGATCCAGCAAGGGGCGGCAGGAGTAAAGGAGGAAGGAATGACAGGTGCAAATACCTTCCCACCAAAGCCCTTGTTGCCCTCTGGCTCCTCCCCAGAGTTGTCCCCACTCTCAGTCGGTCACCCACTCCTTGAACTTGAGATCGGTGTCAGTGGTGCTAAAGCCATCATCAGCAATGACATCATCACCCCCTCCTCCTCATGGATGACCGTGTGCTCCTCGTCACTCGCTATGTCCTCACTGGCCATGTGCTGGGAATGAGCAGCTCAGGTGGGCAGCAGCAGGGCTGCCCACGGGTCACCTCCCTCACCAGGGGCTGCAAAGTGGCCTGGAGCTCCATGCTGAGTAGAAGGCTTTGGGCCAGAGTATGATGCAGTGCCAGACACCACCTGTGTCAGTTCCCGTAGTGCCTGACGGTCTATTTCCCTGCCGTCCAGGCTGTGTACCCCGCTGTGGGAGAAGGCTTGGGCCAGGCTGAGCCAGGTTTCCTGACTGTGTGCAGCCGTTCTGCCCCACAGAAGCTGCTCCTTGGTATCCGAGCTCTGGAGTGTTTGGGCTGCAACTGACAGGAGTTCAGAGGACACCCCAGGGGCAGTGGCAGTGCCTGTCTCTGATATGCTCCGCTCCCACGAGCCCTTGTTACACTCCTGCTAGCCCCTGGCTTGTGGGCTTGGCCTCTGAGCTGGACTTCTTTCGGTCCTTGTTGCAAGTGGGCCACCTTCACCTGGAAGGCCAGGTCGTGGTATTTCTGCGTCTCATTGGGCCCCAGGGTGTACCACCGCTCGCTCAGCATCTGGCTGATGGTCCGGTTATAGTGGTTGGGGTGACCCTGGTGCGCCCTGCCAGGGCCTGGTGCCGCTTGCTGAAGATCATGACCGGCACTCATGGGCCACCGGATGTGGTCCTTGTCCCATTTGTTGGGGCTGCGTCCATCCTTCTCAGAAGATGAGTCCTGTTCCTTGCGCAGGCACTGAGGGACTGGGCCTGACATCATCTGAGTGGTAGAGGCAACTGGGTGTCAGGAGACATGATGGAGAGGAAAGCATCATCATGGTCATTCTCTGTGTCACTGTCCAGCAGGGACTCCCCTGAGGGGCCCAGGGCTCCTCCTCTGTGGTGGGAGGTGAGCTTTTACCAGGTTCCACCACCCCCAAAGTGTGTGGGGTTGCGGGCCCTGGGCTTTCAGGGCAGGTGGCTCCAGGGGGCCGCCCAGGGTCAACACTCCCTGTCCCACCTGGTGGACGCTTATGAGCAACAGCTGCCAACTTGGCAGGTTGTTTTCTCTGGTTGGAGGCCACTGAGTGACTGGCAGGTTGCTGGGCCTCATGTGGCTGCAGGGAGGGGTCAGGAAGGGGATGGAGTACCAGGGGAACACGGCCACAGAGTGACCTTCCACATTCCTCCACACGAACATGCTGACGCCACGGGAGGCCTCACTGAACGCAGGCCTGGGGGCCGAGTTATAATTGGGCATACTCTGGATAGATTTTTTTTTAAAGACTTAGAAGCAGGTTCCATGTTTTTACTTTAGGTAACCTTACCTAACAAGAATCCATCAAACCTCTGATTCTTTTTATCTTGTTCTGTCTTTATGGAAGATGCTAAACACCAGTCATCGTGTTCTGCAGATCATTTTTTTGGATCATCTTTAAGTCTTCTTCCTTCGCCTTTTTCATAGTTTTATTTTTCCTTGCCTACCTTTGTAGTGCTTATGAATACTCTCTAGAATCGAAATGAACTTCAGAGTCTAACCAACTTGATATTTCACACTTTTAGCTTCTCCTCCGATGAAGACAGCAACTTAAAGGTGGAGGGGATTAACCCAGGGTTGTTTTGTTGAAAGAGCTGAAAACCCCAGGCCAGTTTGAGGAGATTGGATCTAACCTCTGGACTAAATGTTTGAGCCATTCTGCTTTCTTTACTCATACGGTCTTTCTTCAAATACATGTGGCAAAAATACAGTCTGGACTGGAAGTGTTTGAGCTGGGGGAAAGTGCTCAAAATTCATGTATCAACTTAAAGGACCACACGCACCAAATTCAAGGCATTTGAAGCACTGGTTTTGCATTGGTGGGTAGTGCGTGGGTCTAGAACGGGAAACTGAATGGGACCTCTCAAATGTTGGAAAGGTCGGGGAGAGGCAGAGTGTTTTTCTCTAGCAAGTGGCTTTATTTTCTGGAAGGATGCCTGATGGTGCTGGTGAGTCTTCCTGGAAGGGTCTAGGACTGTTAGAAAACAATCTCTAGGACATAGAAAAGCCAAAATGTATTCCTTTTCCTTACAGCCTAAGGTGTTGAAAAGTTTGGAAAGTTGAAAAATACACACATGCAGGTACTTGCTCTTTCTAGAGATCAGCCAATGTCAGGGGAAGGGAGAGGAATGATGACGACTAGCAATGACTGGAGGGAGATGGGATTAGAGCGCTTCAAAAACCTCTCTTTCTTACTACTTTGTTACTTGATGACCAAGTAACTCAGAGTAAGTAGTCCTGGTACTAAGGTATTCAAGGATCCGAAATGGCTTTGCTAAAAGGCATTCGGTGTGTTAGTAAAGGGCTAATACTTTTGCGATAATATGGGTATTTGTCTTGCATCAGTGGGTCCTATGTCCTCAAGGCACTGTGAACACTTCACCTTCACAGCATTGCTCCAGTAGATATCCTGACCACAGAGGGACAAAATAATTAACAAAATATGAGGGTGTTGAGTGTGTTTTCCTAGATCTAAAATACTGCAAGCCAAAACAGTCTTACAGTTGCCAAAAGCGAACTCAGTTTAAGAAACACATTCCCTGTAGTGGTTCACACCTGTAATCTCTGCACTTTGGGAGGCCGTGGCAGGTGGATCACTTAAAGCCAGGCATTCGAGACCAGCCCGGCCAACATGGCAAAATCCTGTCTACTAAAAATGCAAAAAATTAGCTGGGCATGGTGGCAGGCACCTGTAATCCCAGCTATTTGGGAGGCTGAGGCAAGAGAATTGCTTGAACCTGGGAGGTGGAGGTTGCAGTGAGCTGAAATCACGCCACTGCACTCAACCCTGGGCGACAGAGGGAGACTCCCTTTCAAAAAAAAACAAAAAAACAAACAAAAAACAATAACAACAACAAAGAAAAAGAAAAAAAAAGGAAATACATTCCCTTGCTTTGTAGAGCTTGTTGGGGAGATATTTAATTTCATTTCAACGAAGGTTGTGCTTACTGCTTGTCAGGCACAGTACTGACTCCGGGGAGACCCAGAGATGAAAGAGACTTTCTCTGGCTATTACAGTTTACTTAGTGGGAGCCAGATTAAGAATTAACTTAAACACAAGGTCAGAGGACTCTGGGTCCCTAACCTGCACCATCTAACAGAAAGATAAATGAAAGCTGCAGATGGGGGCCACAAATGTAACCTAAAATTTTCTAATAGGCACATTAAAAAAATAGTTAATTGTAATTATACAATTATTTTTATAATTATTTTAATTATACTATATTTTATATAATCCAATATATCCAAAATATTATTTCAACATGGAATCAATTCAAAAATTACTAGTGAGATGGCTTACATCCTGTTTCGGTTTCAAGTCTTTTAAATCTCATGTGTATTTTACTCTTTCAGGACATGGCCATTTGGTCTAGCCACATTTCAAGCACCCAGCGGCCACACGCGGCTTGTGGCGACCTCACACACAGTCCTTTATCAAGCTCTGGCCCTCAGATCTGGGAAAAGAAATCCTGGGTTGGAAAAATTCATGTGTTCAGAAAAAAGGCTCTTGGCACTTTCCTCTGGTGACTCTGTAGTCACGCGCCATTGAGGAATTCAGAGAAAACACGGAGAGTCAGAAAGGCTGCAAACACTGGCTTCCCAAGCAACCCGGGACTATTTTGGGGAGTAGCCTCGGAAGGGGCAGGACATTGGAGCCAGGCCGGGCTATGGGGCCTGGGCTGCCACGTGTCAGCCACAGAAACGGCTAGCATTCGGGCCACGCTGGCGGCGCTCTCGGCCCCGGCGGGGCGTGGAGAAGCGCAGCCGCTAGCCTCCGGTGAGGCGATGGGGAGCGGTGCCACAGCGCCGCCCGCCGGCCACGCGCCGTAACTGCAGGCGCAGCGCCGCTTCGGCCTGTCCTGTTAGCCAGCAGCCGAGTTGACGGCCAAGGCCGCCGCCTCCAGCTGGTTTTAATTGAGGGGATGGTGCCTGTGTGCAGGACGTTGAATACGAGCCCATGGAGCCTCCAATTCCAGTACTCCGGCCTGCAGGTCCAGGTAATACTGGGGCTGCCGGGCCAGTTTCCCCCTCCTCCTGCCCTTGCCTGCTTTTTGTTGGGGGACTAGGATTTTGTCTTCTGGGTCACTTCTAAAGCACGTTAAGGATGGTCATCATTTGTATTTCAGGAGAACTAATGTTTAGCTCTGCTAGGAGTAACATTTTCGGAAATCACGTTTTCCATTTTGGACTCTATTCTGTATTTAAATGCTATGGATTAAAATAAAAGTAAGCCAACAGGAGGCCCCAGCGAGGATCGAACTCGCGACCCCTGGTTTACAAGACCAGTGCTCTAACCACTGAGCTATGGAGCCCACGTGAGGCGTTGTTTTCAGGAATTCACAGATCTTACCAACAACATTGGTTTATATGGCGGTCCGTGAGAATTTGACCCCATGTGTGTATTATCAATGGTACTTATAAAAGGCTATGAAATGCCAAAGAAAAATGCTTACAACATGATGATAAGTGGAAAACACTGAAGCCTCAAATCATATGTTTGTGATTACAATACACTAAATCATACCTAACTTATGCATACAGACAAGGGCTGGGAGGGAAAGTGCAAAAATGAAATGGTGTTCTGGTCATATTTTCAGTGGTATGTTTACTCTCAATAAATCTTTCAATCTTGCTTCCTTGATAAATTGTATCAAGTTTGGTACTTTCAGGGAAGTGGGAAGTTATGGGGGTGTCTTTGTTCTCATAAACTAAGTTACTGGTTTTGGATGAATTAATTGCTTCAACACATATTTACTGAGTACTCAAATAATGCTAGATGAGGCAGAGTGAACAAGCAAAGCTCTGCCTCTGCTGCTTTGTTTGTTTTTCTTTTTTCTTTCTTTCTTCCTTTTTTTTTTTTTTTAGACAGAGTCTCGCACTGTTGCCTGGGCTGGAGTGCTATGGTGTGATCTTGGCTCACTGCAACCTCTGCCTCCCAGGTTCAAGCCATTCTCCTGCCTCAGCCTCCCAAGTAGCTGGGACCACAGGTGTGCACCACCACGCCCAGCTAATTTTTGTGGTTTTAGTAGAGACGGGGTTTCACCATATTGGCTAGGATGGTCTTGATCTCTTGACCTCGTGATCCGCCCACCTTGGCCTCCCAAGGTGCTGGGATTACAGGTGTGAGCCACCGCACCCGGTCCCTGTTTTTTTTTTTAATGGTCGGGATCACTATGCTTCATTCCCTTTTGATTAATGAACCATTTACTGAAGGAATGAAGTCATGGCCACAACATGATCCATTAGTGCATTAAAGAGAGAATGAAGATCATGCTCACCAAGTGGGCTGCAGGCATCTCTCCCTCATCTCCAAGCTTTGGCTTACATCCACTCTCTCAGTGAGAGCTGTCCTGATCCCCTGTTTACAGCTGCACCATCCTCCTTATTCTGCTCTTTTTACTCCATACTACTTAACCTTCTTTTGTAGTAGATAATGCGCTTATTGTTTTTTATTCTTCATGTATCTCTCCCTAATAGAATATCAGCTCTTTGAGGGCTAAGGCTTTGATCTGTTTTATTCACTGTTGTCTTCTCAACACCAGAATACTCTCTGGCTCATAGTAGATGCTCAACAAATGTTGAAATGAATGACATCTCTGATGATGCTCATTTAGTAAATTAAGAGAAAAGAGAAATCAGGGAAGTGCTTTGGGAGCTGTCTTCTCATCATTTTGCCTTATATTCACTTGCGTTGCCTCTCCGTCTACATTGGAATTTTGCATCACCCTTCGATTCTGCAGCTTATCTGGTTCTCTCCTTCTCCTGCTTCCCCGGCCCATTGCTCTGAGATTTACTGCCTGTCGTCCCTCCTCAGCTCCGGGAACCTTCAGTGCCTTCTCACTGTACTCTGGGTAAAGGTCAAACTCCTCAGTAATTTCATCTTTCATATACAAACTTTCCCTCCCTCTCAAGCTACCTGCAGGTACTTTCATCTCTCATCGCACATGGTTCCTTCCACCTGAAACATATAAGCCTGATTTTAATGTCTTATGTTGTCTTGGCAAGAGCCTTAGAGAGCTGGCTTATTTTCCATCTCAGAGGCGATTTTGAGGAGTGTATTAGTTTGCTAGGGCTGCTGTAACAAAATACCTCACACTAGGTGACTTAAACAACAGAACTGTATTATCTTCTAGCTCTGGAGGCTAGAAGTATGAAATCAAGGTGTTGATAGGGCTGGTTCCTTCTGAGGGCAGTGAAGGAAGGATCTCCTTGGCTTGTAGATGGCCATTTTCTCCTTGTGTCTCCTCACATCATCTTCCCTCTATGTATAGCTCTGTATCCAAATTTCTCCTTTTTATAAGGACACCAGTCAGATTGGGTTAGGGCCCACCCTACTGACCTCACTTTAACTTGATTACCTATGAAAAGACTCTTTCCAAATAAGGTCACATTCTTAGGGACTGGGTCTTAGGACTTCAACAAATGAATTTTGAATTTCCCTTCTTCCATTCCCTTGAGTTGGCACAGCACCACCCTCGACCCCTCCTCCCAATACTGATGCACGTTATCTCCCAGCAGCAGGAGGTAGCATGTGATAGACAAATGGAACCTCTCCTCTTTTCAATTCCAATTTCTGTACTGTAAGAAAAAGGACACAAAGTTAAATGGTAAGATGAAATAAAGATAAAGTAGACATCCTATAAAGACTGTAAAATGGAGGTGATAATTTTGGCCTCTCTGTTTCAGAGCATTTTGAGGGATTCAACACAATAGTGAACCTGAGAGTGCTAGGAAACTGTGAAATGCCAGAAACGAACATAAAAGGGAATGTTCTTCAAAGGTTGAGCATTTACTTCTGGTCTATGGTCAACCCTCAGCAGAAAACCACGTGGAGAGATTCCAGCTTCTGGCACTGCCAGGAGGGAAGGCATCCCACGGTCCAGTTTTGTTGGGAGGGAAAGGAGATGAAAACTAGTAAGTCCCAGCCACATCCCTCAGCTGTTTTGTGTGTTAAAGGGACTTCTTTTTGCCTTAAGAAGATAGTTGCTTTGCTTTCTCACCTCCTTCACCCTCATTCTGTCCTTTGTCCCCTGCCTACATCCTCTCCCCTTCCCCATAGAATCCCTGGTATCCCTGAGGTGGTGGGAAACAGAAGACAGCCCAGGAAGGCTCTCCCACCCACTTGGTGTAGGGGCTGTCTGGCTCTCCTCTGAGTCATTGTCCCACGTGCATCCTCTCCTCCTGGGAGCAGACCTTCTACTGTCCTGTCCAAAGTCAGACTCAAGGTCAGAGGGTATGAGGATGTAAGGGCCAGAAGGAACCTTTGAGCTTATCTAGTGCCAGAAAAAAGCTGCGACTTCATGAGAAGAAGGAACTTGAACTTCATCATGGGTGAAATGATGTGCTAGGAACATTTCTAATCTTTTCTACTAGCTATTTTGAAATATACAATACATTATTGATAATTATAGTCACCCTACTGTGCCATCGAACACTAGAACTTATTCCTTCTATCTAACTGTATGTTTGTACCCATTGACCAACTGTATTAGTCTGTTCTCATGCTGCTATACAGAGCTGCCCGAGACTGAGTAGTTTACAAAGGGAAGAGATTTGATTGACTCACTGTTCCACAGGGCTAGGGAGGCCTCAGGAATTTACAATCATGGCAGAAGGGGAAGCAAACAAGCAAACATGTCCTTCACATGGCAGCAGGAAGGAGGAGTGCCGAGCAAAACTGGGGAAAAGCCCCTTATAAAACTATTGGATCTCATGAGAACTCACTCACTATCACGAGAATAGCATGAGGGTAATCATCTCCATGATTCAGTGACCTCCCATGAGGTCCCTCCCCCAACACATGGGGATTATAATTTGGATTACAACTCAAGATGAGATTTGGGTGGGGACACAGAACCAGAGTATATCACCAACCTCTCTTCAGTCCCCCTTCCCAGCCTCTGAAAATTACTTAACTTTTGAAGCTCCTGTTCACCTGGGAAGTGGAGCTAGGAGGGTACACACTTTCAGGATATAATGTGCTGCTGGGTGCAAAGAGGTCAGCACAGGTCCAGCCTCACCTCCCTTCAGGGACTGCCCACCTGGACCTGTGCGGCCAGGTTCACTTTCCTGCCTGCCCTTCGATTATGGTAGAGGAGCTTTATCTCTCCCCAGTGAGAGCCCTCTTTTTTTTTTTTTTTTTTTTTTTTTTTTTTTTTTTTTTTTTTTTTTTTTTTATGAGACAGAGTCTTGCTCTTGTCGCCCAGGCTTGAGTGCAGTGGCATGATCTCAGCTCGCTGCAACCTCTGCCTCTGGGTTCAAGCAATTATCCTGCCTAAGCCTCCTGAGTAGCTGGGATTACAGATGCCTGCCACCATGCCCGGCTGATTTTTGTACTTTTAGTAAAGACGAGGTTTTGCCATGTTGGTCAGGCTGGCCTCAAACTTTTGACTACAGGTGATCTGCTCACCTCGGCCTCCCAAAGTGCTGGGATTACAGGCATGAGCCACCAAGCCTGGCCCAGTCCTCTCTTCCCTCTGAGGACCCCTGCAGGACCACTATGCCCTTTATCCCTGGGACACTCAACCTCTCATGCTCAACTGGATCCTTCCCGTCTGCTTCTGTGTCTCTCTCGTGGAAAATAAAATAAAATAAAATAAAAACTGCCCTTCAACTCCAGTGAGTTGTCCCCACACATTCACTCTGACCCTTACCTTTCACACATTCCACTTGCCCCATCTGTCTTCTGGCCCTACAGCTCCACCAAAATGACCCTCATTGGCACTAGGTAAGCTCTATGTGGGTGAAGCCTTGGTGTCTTGGCAGCACGTGGTGCCGATGACTGCTTTTCCTCCTAAAACTCTCTCTTCCACTGCCTTCCTGACCCATACATACCCCAAGGGCCTGCCCACCTCCCAGGAACCCACTTCTCAGCTTTGCAGACTCACCTTCCATGAGAGCAGAGGGTGAGCACACAAGGCCCTGGGGGCCAGCCTGCTCATGTCTCAGTTCTGGCTCTGCTCCGCCAGTTTGGGGATTAAGTGATCAGCCAATCCTGATGCGGTCTCTGCTCTAGCCAAGCATACAGACTAGTAGGAAAACAGACATTATTCAGAAAATGGGTGGACTGTGGGGACCAGTGCTAAGGAAGAGGAACAGGCAGTACAGTCTACTCAGATTCCTCATTTATAAAATGGGAATGATGATGGTAATAACTATAATACCATCTCATGTGGGGACTTGTGAAGAATAAATGAAATGAAGCATGTAAACACTTTATGCAGAGCCTCGCATCTGGAGAGTAGTAAGTGATATAAATTACTTTTATTGTTAGTTGTATCTTAGAGTGCTGCACGAAGCTCTCCTGTTGTAGAAATAGGGGTGACAGGAGGCATAGAAAAGGGTGAAGAATATGGGACTCATAAGGCCAAAGCTTCTCTCAGTCACCTGCTGAGTGAGACATTAACACTCTTCTTTGGGAGCTGAAATAGAAGCCAGTGAGTCATGTTCAGAAAGGGGAGATTCTCTCACCTCCGGAAAAGCTACAGATTAGAATTAACCTTATTAAAGTCAAACAGGGCAAGCATTCAACGAGGCTAAGGAGAAGATAGTCTTTCAGTAGACACAGCTGTCTTCTGTCATGTTCCCTGCTCTTTGCAGCTTTTGGTAGAAGTTTCCAACCCATATGTACCACAGGAGAGTGGGATGGGATTTCAATACTTCTTGGTGGTAGAATGAGATGCTGGGAATGGTCAGTTCAGGGACTGCAGGACAGTTGAGACAGTCAGAAAGTTCCAGGAAATTAATCAAGGCTTTTGGGACAGCCTTATGAGACAGAGAAACTAGCCACCCCCCAGAATGGATCCCAGTAAGGGAGAAAAGAATGGCTTCTGATCCTGGGAGAGTTGGGACCTAAGTTAGAAAAACAGAACTGAAGGGTCTTACTGTTCATCAGCCTCATGGGTATCCATTCTGGCTGTCCTATTAGAGTCACCTGCGGGTTTTAAAAATATCATTGCCTGGGACCCAGAGATTCTAGTTTAAATGATTTGGGGTTGGGCTTAAGCATTCCATTTGAAAACTATCAGGCTGTTCTCACATTGCTATAAAACAACACCTGAGACTAGGTTATCCATAAAGAAAAGAGGTTTTGTTGGCTCACAGATCTGCAGGCTGTAAAGGAAACATGATGCTGGCAACTGCTTAGCTTCTGGGGAGGCCTCAGGAAATTTACAATTATGGTGGAAGGCAAAGTGGGTGCAGATATGTCTTACATGGCAGGAGCAGGAGCAACAGAGAAAGGGGCGGTGCTACACACTTTTAAACAACCAGATCTTATGAGATCTCACTCACTGTCTTGAGGACAGCACCAAGGGGGAAATCTGACCTCATGATCCAATCACCTCCCACCAGGCCCCACCTCCAACACTGGGGATTACAATTCAACATGAGATTTGGGTGGGGACACAGATCTAAACCATATAATTCCACCCCTGGCACTTCTCCCAATCTTATTTCCTTCTCACATTTCAAAATACAATAATGCCTCCCCAACAGTCCCCCAAAGCCTTAACTCATTCTAATATTAACTCAAAATTCCAAAGTTCAAAGTCTCATCTGAGACAAGGCAAGTTCCTTCCACCTATGAGCCTAAAAAATAAAAAAGAAGTTATTTGCTTCAAGATACAATGAGGATACTAGCATTGGGTAAACATTCCCATTTCAAAAGGGACGAATCTGCCAAAAGAAAGGAACTACAGGCCCCATGCGAGTCCAAAACCCAGCAGGGCAGTCATTAAAACTTAAAGCTCCAAAATAAACTCTTTTGACTCCATGTCTCACATGCAGGTCACATTGGTGTGAGGAGTGCTCTCCCCAGGCCTTGGGCAGCTCTGCCTCTATGACTTTGCAGGGTTCAGCCTCCATGGTTGCTCTCACAGGGTGGCATTGACTGTGGCTTTTCCAGGCACATAGTGCAAGCTGTTGGTGGCTCTAACATTCTGGGGTCTGGAGGACGGTGGCTCTCTTTGTGCAGCTCCACTAAGCAGTACCCCAGTGGGGACTCTTTGTGGAGGCTCCAACTCAACATTTCTCCTTCATACTGCCCTAGTAGAGGTTCTCCATGAGGCTTCTGCCCCTGCTGCAGGCTTCTGCCTGGACATCCAGGCTTTTCTATATATCCTCTGAAATCTAGGTGGAGGCTCCCAAGCCTCAATCCTTGCACTCTGTGCACCTGCAGGCTTAATATCACATGGAAATTGCCAAGGCTTATGACTTGCACCCTCTGAAGCAGTGGCCTGTACTATATCCCTTTGAGCCATGCCTGAAGTTGGAGTGGCTGGGATGTGGAGAGCAGTGTCCTGAGGCTGCATAGGGCAGCAGAGTCCCCGGGCCTAACCCATAAAAGCATTCTTTCCTCCTAGGTCCCTGGGCCTATGATGGGAGGGGCTGCTGCAAAGGTCTCTGAAATGCCTTTGAGGCCTTTTCTCCATTGCCTTGGCTATTAGCACTTGGATCCTTTATATTTATGCAAATTTCTGCAGCCTGCTTAAATTCCTCCCTGAAAACGGGCTTTTCTTTTCTACCACACAGCCAAGCTGCAAATTTTCCAAACTTTTATGCTCTGTTTCCCATTTAAATATCAGTTCCAACTTCAGGTCATTTCTTTGCTCATACATATGAGCATAGGCTGTTAGAAGCAGCCAGGTCACATCTTGAACACTTTACTGCTTAGAAATTTCTTCTGCCAGATATCCTAAATTACCACTCTCAAGTTCAAAGTCCCACAGATCTCTAGAGCAGGGGCATAATGCAGCTAAGCTGTCTGATAAGGCATAGCAAAGGTTACCTTTACTCATTCCCAATAAGTTCCTCATTTCCATCTGAGACATCTTCAGGCTGGACTTCACTGTCCACGTCACTGTCAGCATTTTAATCACAACCATTAAACAACTCTCTAGGATGTTCCAAACCTTCCCTCAACTTCCTGTCTTCTAGCCCTCCACATTCTTCCAACCTCTGCCTATTTCCCAGTTTCAAAGTTGCTTTCACATTTTTGGGTATCTTTATAGCAATATCCTACTCCTGGTACCAATTTTCTGTATTAGGCTATTCTCATATTGCCACAAACAAACACCCAAGATTGGGTAATTTATAAAGAAAAGAGGTTTAATTGGCTCATGGTTCCACAGACTGTACAGGAAGCACAATGCTGGCATCTGCTTGGCTTCTGGGAAGACCTCAGGAAACTTACAATTATGGCAGAAGGCAAATGGGGAGCAGATATGTCTTCACGGTAGGAGCAGGAGCAAAAGAGAAAGAGAAGGGAGGTGCCACATACTTTTAAACAACCAGATCTCATGAGAACTCAGTATCTTGAGGACAGTACCAAGGGGGAAATCTGCCCCCATGATCCAATCCCACCTCACACCAGGCCCCACCTCCAACATTGGGGATTACATGAGATTTGGGTGGGGACACAGATCCAAACCATGGCAAAAAGCTACCCAAGTGATTTTAATGTGCAGCCAGAGTTGAGTACCATTGCTCTGACAAAATTTTTTATCTTATATATGAACAAGAAGAGACTTCAAGAGCTTAAGTAACTGACCCCAAATAAAGGCCATACAGTCAATTACTGGCCAAGACTCTGGCCCGCTCTATTCCCCTATTGGAAAACCTCCACAGCAGTCACACTTTGGGTCAATTTCTTACAGAGGATAGCTACAGTCTTTATGTCTTTAAATCTAAATCTAGATATATTATTTGAATAGTGCTAGCATACTCTGGCAGAACTTTTGAGAGTGAGGACTGTTCCAGAACTATCTGTGCTATGTGACCTCAGGATCTGGAGGTGGTGACAGGCTCAGATTTTACAGTCAGGAAAGTCTGGTTTCAAATGGTAGTTCAGCCACTGACAGCTCTGCACCCTTGGCCAAGTTACTTGGCATCTCTGATCTTCAGTTTCCTTGTAATGTGAATGTTTTGTCAACACAGACTGGTTTCTTGGTTGTGAAGACTAAATAAGATAAGGCCATAAAAGTCTCAGCACGTAATTAGTGCCTTTTAGGAAGCCGATGACTTATCCATTAGCTGGTGGTGCAATTTTACCTTTTAAATGATAGCAGTACTAGTAATTATTACTGTTGTTGTTCTTCTTATATTCCATGTATTTGCCTTCCAGATAGGTGGTTCTTAAGCAGAGGTGATTTTGTACCCCCAGGAAACATTTGGCAATGTCTATAGGTATTTTGATTGTTATAACAGGGGTGGAGGTTTGGGGACAGTGGTGGGGTGCCAGTGACACCAGTGGGTAGAGGCCAAGGATACTACTAAATGCTCATAATGCGCAGGCAGCCTCCCAACAACAAAGACCTATCTGACCCGATGGTGCGAAGGTCAAGAGACTCTGCTGTAGATATCTGTAAGTAATTGGGAGCTTGAGGGCCCAGAGCCACTGGGTGGTGACAGGATGATAATTCTCAATTTTTGCTATTGTGTGGCAAGGGGGCAATGTGTTTAGGGGGTTGCAAACAGCTCCATGTCTACTCTCAATCACCACAGAGGAAGGACTTTCCAACTCTTTACATATGAGTTGCTGTGGTAACCGGTAAGTAATAACCCTGGGGTTTATACTCCTTAGAGGTGCTGTGAGGATAATCTTGCACCTAAAGTTTAGAAACACTGGTATCAAAGCCTAAAGAAGACAAGACGATTGCATCAGATCCCACAGGAGGGCTGTCTTTCTCCATGCTTGTGTTTTGGGCCCCTGGGGGTTGCATCAGCCTCCTCACTCATGAGCTCATCATTTATAAATGACAGCCGCCAAAGTCGGGAAGTATGAAACAGTTGCCAAATGGAGAACTTGCTCAGCTTTCTTGCTGGAGCCCTGTGTCTTAACTTACTTATATTAAAAAATAAAAGGAGCACAATTCTGCTAGGCAAGCTCTGCTATGTGAGAAGGGAAGAATACATGCAGAACTTCTCGTTGAGAGCACAGAACATTTTCGTGTCTGTCGAGATCACCGTGGTTGCTGAACGTGGCCGCTGTTGAGCAAGTGGTCAGTAGGTGGCGCTAAGTCATCGCCGAGAGGACGCTCCTGTCCTAGACCTGAGTTACTGTCAGTCTTGGAGCGCGCACACCCCAGAGTGAAAAATATAGTAACAGGAAAGATTTAGTTCTTAAAATAAGTCAGCAGCTCAGCGAAGCAGATACTACCTCGGCAGGTACATTTTCTTTCTTGAACTGATGGAAAAGGGCATTTACTGCCTACAGGCTTCTGGCTACAGAAATCAAACAATCAAAATATTCAATTAAATGAAACCAGCAGCAGGCCTGGCCCCAGAAGAGAATGAGAACCAGCTGGGCTCAGCCCTATGTCTGGGATCCGGTACCGACGTTCCTCTGTACTGACACGTCCGGAGCCAATGTCGAGTCACGAGTCACCCAGGCACGGTTTTCTCTCTCCAGTGAAGGCTTTGGGTGCTGAGATGTGCAGTTGTAACGTGTAGCATGGAGACCATTTTAGTGATCTAGCTGGCTCTTCTTAAATTATGGGAGTCCTGGCCGTACATGTAGGTGAGGACGCCACCTTTCCCACCTACGTGAGAAGGTAGGAGAGTGGAGATCCCTTGAGGCGCTGGAACAGGAGTGTTGTCATGGTGATGGGGCCAGTCACAGGGCTCACCAGTCCCTTTGGCGGAGTCTCTGCCTCAATTGTAAGGGAATTTGGAATCACTGGATCAGATGCAAGTTCACAGTCATGTTGCCACTTTTTTCCACAATCTATAGCCCCCACCGTGAAAGCTCCAGTGGGTCATGCTTTAGAAAGGGGAGGGAGGTAAAGAGTGGGTGGGGGGCTTTGAATCCAATAGTCCTGTATCCCAGCTCTGCCACCAGTGAGCTCTGTGACCTTGCAAATGCCATTTTGCTTAAGCTTCAAAGCTCTCCTCTGTAAAATATGCATAGAATGGGCAGGAGGGCTGCCAATGAGCTGCTTGAAATGAGTTCACATCTCTTGGAAGCAGAGAAAGCTTACAACTAAAGTGGCCAGACAGCCATATGTGATCTTAGAAGAACTGTTGAACCCAGAGAGAGGCCTCGAAAATGGAGATGGGCAAATGCCATTCCCACCATGCGAATCCCTTTCCCATTTTTGCTTGTGGCTGCCCAGACTCGGTCCCTACCCACGCTTAATAAATTCTTACAATTTATTCTCCTGCCCTTCAGCTTGACTTGTAATAATGTAATGATGGCTATCAGGGTTGGAACAGCAAGCACGATACCAGCACTTTAGGAAGATTAGTTTCCTCTATTTAATGCTCATGACTACCTGCAAGGTAAGTGTTGTCACACCGGGTACAGATGAGGAAATGAAGGCAAATCTCTGCGCAAAGTCCTGGGTGGGTGGGCTGGAGAGTTGGGAGCCTGACTCGGGTTTATCTGAGAAAACAAGTGGGCAGGAAACTCAACTGCTCCACATGAGATGCAGAAGTTCTGCCATTTTTTTCTCAGATTATAAAGTGTCAGAGGCTGCTCTGGAAAAAAAAGGTGCAATGAATTCTTGTTCAATCATTAATGGTGCTTCAAAGGACATACAGGCCCATGCACACATCCTTCTATGTAGGTACAGAGAATTATTTTTATCCTGAGTTGCACACATTTATTATGTTATTAATAGCATGGACTCAACTGGGTGTCCCACAGAGTGACTCTTCTAATGACTGGTTAGGAAATTTGACAGCAAGTAAGAGGGCGGTGAGCCTGCTTTCTGGTCTGGGCCTGAGTGACCCCCCATCTTCCTCCATTTGGTTGAGAACAGGCTACAGGTCAGACCTCAGCCACTGGGATACTGAACCAGGGCTTCCTGGACCAGCGCCTCTTTAGGGTTGAACACTCACCTTCCTGCAGTACAAAGCAGTGGGCAGTCTCGAGTGCCCTTCTGAGGTCAGCCTGTTGGGGTGTAAATGGTTCTTGAAATGCATCTGATTTCCAGCTTGTTAGCATCTCATTGTCTCCCTTAGAGTTTCAGCCTCCCTTAGAGTCCTCACACCTTGTCAAGACAGATGCTTCCTGGAACAGGATCTCTGAGCTGTGGAATGGAAAGTACCTTTATCATCTTTGCCTGTCTCCTAACAGGTTTGTCCCTTGTCATTCTATGTCAGTTTCAGGTAGGGTGGCAGGAGAAGGGAATTTGTTGAGAGCCCACCGTGCTTCAGGTACATATTAGGTGCCTTATATACATTATCTCACTTAATACTCAAAACCCCCCTGTCAGGTAGCTGTAATTAGCTCTGACTTAGAAGTTTCTAACCATGCAACTTGCAAATGTTGTACCTGGGATTTAAAGCTCAGATCTGAGCTCTTCCTAGTACATCTTACTCTTGAAATGTGTGCTTTAATACATTTATTTAATCATCTTTTTTGCAAAAAGGACTGTGCTAGGCAATCTAGAGTGAGGCATGGTTCTTGTCCTT
Organism: Homo sapiens; assembly: GCF_000001405.40. Taxonomy (NCBI): domain Eukaryota; kingdom Metazoa; phylum Chordata; class Mammalia; order Primates; family Hominidae; genus Homo; species Homo sapiens. The sequence goes on along the minus strand of NC_000001.11, from coordinate 222,452,901 downwards.
AGGGAACTCCAGTACCATTGTGGGAGGAAGATTCACACAGACGGAAGTTAATGAATAATGTGAAGAAATGTCACACATGTCCAGTGAGAAGAAATGATGTGTGCTACAGGACTTCAACTGAGGAAGGGATGCCTGCGTGGTCAGAGGAGGCTCATGGAAAAGGTAGGATATGAATTCGTTTTTGAAACATGAATAAGATTTGGGTGGGGGCAGAGATGGGACACATTACACTTGCAGTGAACCCACCTGGTGTGTTCTGAGAATAGAGCAGCTTCATGATGGGAATAGGGGTGGAAGAGCGATCCCTTTGGGGTGGGAGACTTAATGCCAGGTTCTGGAATTTGGACTTCGTCCTGAAGGCAATGGGGGAACTACCAGCATTTTCTGATTGGGGTGGGGAGTAGGTAATGACTTGAGAAAAGTAGAACTTTTAGAAATACTAATGAGGAAACAAATGGTAGAAAGGATTGGTGAAAAGAGAGACTAGGGAGGAGGGAAAAAGGGAGAAGACTTAGGAAGCTGATCATTTGCCCATCATGTAAGTGCCAAGTAATATGCTAAGAAACTTTGTGTCACCTATAATCTCGTATCCTCAGCCGGTCCTTATGCAACATCTATTATTATCCCAGGTTCGTAAGATGATCATGTGTCACTACCACCCAACAAACCTGTTTTCTCTTCTTCCTGGGAATACAGCTAGACCAAATATTCCAGGCTCTTTAGGTGTGGCCATGGGTATCCCTTCCAGGCCTGGCTTATACAATCTCCCTGGGCAATCTCTCCTCCTCTTCCCCTGTCTGCTGAATGTTGATGAGCAAGGTGACCATTGTGGCTAGCTACTGGGGGCTTGTCTTTGCCCTGCTTCATCCTCTGGATTCCAACAGGGACCCCAGGCCCTTGCCTTAGCAGGGAAGGGACAGGAGGCAGCAGAGACCAGTGTCTGGACATCAGTGATTGTAGCTTCAAGGGGAGCATTGGAGTCTCTCACAGGCTGATCCATGGACTGCAGGTGCCACCTTATCTGTACTCAGGGTATTTGGAGAAGGGAATTATGGAAAGAGACTGGTCATCCTGCTGCTCTGGGCAGGTAGGGGCTCAGTGTGGTTATGGTTTGAAAATTAAAACAAACATCTTTTACCTTTTTTTTTTTTTTGAGATGAAGTCTTGCTCTGTCACCCTGACTAGAGTGCAGTGGCACGATCTCGGCTCACTGCCTCCCAGGTTCAAGTGATTCTCCAAGATGTGATAATTTAGTTACCAAATGACGGCAGTGAGAATGAAAATCAAGGGACAAAAGATGATCAATACTATGGGGTGAATAAATTACTACATTTGGTGATTGATTCAAGATTTAAGATGTCACGAGTATAGCTTAGAGATAAGTGATTAGGGATCTAAGGGAGGAGTTCAAGAAAACTCTCTGCTCGTCCCAAGCCAAACTCCCTATGTGTGCTATGGTTCCTAAACCCTCCCTCCAATCAAGTGTTTGCTTCTACAATTACTTCTTTTTCCCTGACATCTTCACATTTTCCTTCTCCCCTGGCTCATACTCATCAGCATATAAATATGCTGGAATCTCCTAACATAAAACGCCTCATGTTAGACTTAGTTTTAACTCCTGCTCCATTTCTCTGCTCCTGTTTCTCTTAAAGCTCCTGAGAAGGGCTGTGTGCTCTTGCTGTGTCTGCTTCATCCCTCACTTCCCATTCTCTCACGGGTTCCCTCCCATGCACCACTGAAACTACCCTTGTCTCCTCTTTCGAGCTCCAGGTTGCCAAAGCCAATGGCCGATGCTGTCTTCACCCTACTGGGGCCCTGGGCTCCGCCGACTCTTCTAGGGATGTTTCTTTGCTTTGCTTCTGGGAAAGTGCACTCCTGATTTTCTTCTAACTTTCAGGCAGCAACAGCTCCTTCTGTCTCCAGGCTGCCTTTTTGTTTTTTTTTTCTGTTTTTGGTTTGTTTGTTTGTTTTTGAGATGGTGTCTCACTCTGTTGCCCAGGCTGGAGTGCAATGGTGTGATCTTGGCTCACTGCAACCTCCGCCTCCGGGTTCAAGTGATTCTCCTGTCTCAGCCTCCCAAGTAGCTGGGATTATAGGTGTGTGCCACTACTCCTGGCTAATTTTTGTATTTTTAGTAGAGACGGGGTTTCACCATGTTGGCCAGGCTGGTCTCGAACTCCTGACCTCAGGTGATCCACCTCCCTCAGCCTCCCAAAGTGTTGGGATTACAGGCGTGAGCCACCACACCTGGCCCAGGTGTGGTGCCTTTTCATTCTCCTCCAAATCTCTGAATGTCGACACATCCCGGGACAGGTCCCCTGCTTCTTTTCTTTCTCCAGGTTCCCTTACTGAATGAGCTCATCTTGACCCAGAGTGTTCAATATCTGTGTGAAACACTATAAACTCCTAAAATGGTAAGAAAAAGAAAAGAAAATGGAGGCCTCCCCGCCATGATCTCCTAAGCCTGTTGTATTTTTGTTCATAGCGTTCATCACCACCTGATGTAATATTTTATGTTTATTTTTGGCTTACCGTGTGGGTTCCCCCATCCATGAGGACAGCGGCCCTGTCCTGTTCAATGCTGCAGCCCCCGCCCCTGGGCAATGCCCACACAGGGTGGGCACCCAGTCTGTTCTTGTGGGATATGTGACAGAACAGAGCCTGGCTCCTGATGAGGAATGTGAGTCAAGGGACAAGCTGGTTTGGGAAACTGGAGACTGATCCTGTGTTGGGCCTGCTGAGCTGCAGGCCACCCAGGTGGAGTTCCACATGCCGCTGGACATTCCAGGCTGCAGCCTGGGGGAGGCCTGAGTTGGAGATGTGTGTCCTCGTTAAGGTGCTGCTGGGCTGGGCATGGTGGCTCACGCCTATAATCCCAGCACTTTGGGAGGCCAAGGTGGGTGGATCATTTGAGATCAGGAGTTGGAGACCAGCCTGGCCAACATGGTGAAACCCCATCTCTACTGAAAATATAAAAATTACCCGGGTGTGGTGGCACATGCCTGTAATCCCAGCTACTCAGGAGGCTGAGGCAGGAGAATCGCTTCAACCTGGGAGGCGGAAGTTGCAGTGAGCTGAGATTGTGCCACTGTACTCCAGCCTGGGCTACAGAGTGAGGCTCCATCTCAAAAAAAAAAAAAAAAAAAAGTTGCTGCTGAAGCCAAAGGGTGTGTGAGCCCCTAGGACCTAGGGGATCAGCAGCTGGGGCCTGAAGTTTGGGAAATGAGGTGCAGGTTGGGGCTGAGGAACAATGGGAGCACAGAGATGTTATCTTGTCTGGGAAAGAAGGCAAGAGGTTCAAAACAGATGGGCTGGCTAGCAGTTTGAAACATTGTAGAAAATCAAATAAAATGCGCTGAATTTGGTAATTAGGTCATTGGAGAATGCAGCTGAGTGGAGCAGAACTGATGATATTTCAGGAGCTTCAAATATTGGAGTATTGCAGGCTATTGTGACGGGGGTTTGATAAGAGAAGGAAAGCAAGGTATAGGATGGCAGTCTAAGGGGGCAGCAGTGTGTGTGATAGGAAAGGTGTTTTGTCCCTTAACGTTGGGGAGGCCTGGGTATATGTGACACCCTGCTCATCAGAGCTTCTGAAGACCTAGGGTACACAGATGAGCAAAACCAACAAATTCATATAACAGATTATTTACATCAACAAGTAATATATATGCACTGGCCTAAAGAAATCAACAAATTTATATACCACAGCATTAAAACAATGTTCTGCTGGGTGCAGTGGGTCACACCTGTGATTGCAATCCTTTGGGAGGAGAGGAAGGAATATCACTTGAGCTCAGGAGTTTGAGACCAGCTTGGGCAACATAGTAAGACCCCCATCTCTGCAAAAAATAAAATAAAATAAAAATGTTAGCTGGGCATGGTGGCACACACCTGTGGTCCCAGCTACTCAGGAGGCTGAGACAGGAGGATCTCTTGAGCACAGGAAGGCTGCAGTGAACCATGATCATGCCACTGCACTCCAGCCTGGGTGACAAAGCAAGATGCTGTCTCAACAAAACAAAACAAAATAACCAAAATACCCCCCAAAACAGTGTTCTGTAACTAACAGATTAGCTCTATGGTTGATTATAATCTAAGTTCTTAACAAATTGATGATATTTATGAATCTTAGCCACACCCAACAGCTGAATTTTCTCCTAGAGTTGTTAGGAGCTCAGGTGTGAAACTGTTTCAGATTACAACTTCATTACCAATTTGACCCAAAAGACTCTTTTCTGAGAGAGGGGGTCCACCCAGCAGGAATTTTCTCACTTGATTGAGAGTAAGGTGTTAAGGCCAAACACTCTCACTTAGAGATAAATTGATCAGTGAAATGGATGTGCGGGTTTTGATTCATTCATACCAGGGCTTACTCATTAAGCCAATATGTGCCTCATCTATTGAATTCCTACTATATGCCATACCCTTTAAAAGACATTGTGGATGATCCAAAGAGGAATTAAAAATGGTGATCTCTGTCCACAGGAAGACATGAAAATGCCTAACATTTTTGTAAGCTCTTTGCTTTGCAAATCCTTTCTCACGTGTGATCTGAGAGATGAGTTTTATTATTATCTTAGTTTTTGTCTGGGCACAGCAGCTTATGCTTGTAATCCCATTGTTTTGGGAGGCTGAGGCAGGAGGATTGCTTGAGCCCAGGAGTTCAAAGCTTCAGTGAGCCATGATTGCACCACTGTACTCCAGCCTGGGCAACAGAGCAAGATCCTGCCTGTCTTTCTGAAAAATCAAGAAAAACCTAAACCAAAAATTACCTTAGCTTTTATAGTTGAGGTTAAGTAAACTGCTTAAGTTTGTGCAGGAGTAGAGATTGTCCTAATAAGTGGAAGAGGGGAAAAGGCTGGAGGGAGGAAAGCAAGATTGGGGAAGTCAGAACCAGGGGAGGATAACCTGAGCCCAGGAAAGAGGGCCTTTGGAAGGGAGAGTGGTTGGTCTTCTCAGATGTGGTGGAAGGAAAAAGGATGGGGATAAAGTGGAGGAAATGGGGACATTCATTCTGTGGCCCCCAAATCATGGTGAAATGTGAGATGAGATGGTAAGCTTTATGAGAGAGTGAGAGTTTTAGGGAGGGCAAGGCAGGTTTCACCCCAGCACTGTGGGCAGTGGGAAGGCCTCAGCAGAACCACAGGGAGTCTGGTGGCAGTTAGGTGCTTGGATTCACTAGAAGCTCGGTGACCCTGGAGCAGGGATGGGGGAGCAGCATTCAGGACTGCAAACGGGCACTGGGTTCTTCCCTTTTTCTTGATTATTAGATCCTATGGTGAAGACATTGGGTTTTCTCATTTAAAAAAATTATGTGTTGGTTTGTGCAGTGCATAAACTAAGTACAAAATAATTTTTGTAGACGGTTCAATTTATGGTCTCCTAGCTACCTTTTAAAAACAGGCTCTGGTGATGAGAAGCCCAGAGAGCTGCTTTTTCCTGCTTTTCATCCTAAGTTTTCCTTTATTCATTCCACACTATTTAATGACTTCACACTCAGTGTGAGAGATGATGCTGTGGGAAACATAAAAATGAATCAGACACTGGTTCTGTCCTCAGGAAGCTTTAAGCTATGATTTGAACTTAAAAGGATTAAGTGCTAAAAGAGAGGAAAAAATGAAGTGAGGAGGAGGGGATGGTCACGTCCATGGGGGATAACTGGAAAAGCTTCATGGAGAGTTGGGCCTTGAAAGAGTTTGGGTTTGGCCCTGCAGAGGAAAGTGTGCTCTAGCTGCACTCAGTAGGTGTTTATTGAATGAATGAATAAAAGCTGAATGTGATGTCACCTAGTAAGGTGATCAGAAAGGAGGACCGAGTCCAGATAAAGATAACAACAAGCTTGTAACACATATCATGCCCCAGACACTGTTCAAACACACTTTTATATATTGTTAACTTGATCCTCATGACAGCCCTGTGACACAGGGGCCATGATTTCCAAGTTTACGGATGAGGAGACTGGCCCAGAGAGGATAAGTAACTTGCCCAAACGTTCACAGTTTGTGAGTGGTGAGCAGAGCTTCGACTCTTGGCCACGTTATTGGAAGACTGATGTCAAGAAGTAAGCATCCTTCCTGTACTTTTGTCTGCTATCATCAGCCTGATCCACAGACCTGAATGCACAAGCCCTCACCTCCACTTTGATCTCATTACTGTATGCATCCTCTCTCTGGTTAATGCCTCCCATGCCTATGCTCACTCTCTTTCCCAGGCTGGAGATGGCATTGGGAGGCTGCAGGTGGCACCAGGGACCTCATGGGCAGAATCCCAGGGGAGCACAGGCTATTGCTGGGCAGCTCACTGCAGACTCAGGCAGTGAGTGGTAATTGCAAATAACTACAGCAACGGGTCTTAGTTTAACCTTGCTCATTTCCAGAGTTCCGCGTTTTTGATTTTGTAGACTTTGCAGCATGGTATTAATGCCAAAATAATTTGGATAAATATAAGCCCCGCAAACTCCTTGGCCTATGGTCAAGTTTTTCCTTTTCTGTGGCTAGTTTTTTATATGCACTGATGAATAGGCCAATCTGTGTGCCGATATTAATAAGATTCACCACAGCGATGAAAATGCTTCATCATGCCTCTGCAGGTCAGAACTTGGGGATGGGGTACTGAATCGACAGGAACAACACTGACGTGTGTCAAAGGACTTGTGTCTGGAAAAGGAAAGGGAACCTAAGAGGGTCCCATGTATTTGGTGTATATTATAACAGCTTATGCTGGACCTATGTCAAGGCACAAGGACCTTCTGACATCTAAGACCTGGTAACATCACTCCATCTGGCTTTATGATTGGGCTTTAACAGTGACCACCAACATGAGGACCCACCATATGCCAGGAACAGGGCATGATATTGGAGAGCTACCAATGCCTGAGGCTTGGACCCTGCCTCGGGGGAACCCAGCTTCGCAGAAAAGATAGTTACATAAATGCACGACTCATGCTGCCATGTGCATGGACTGTCCCAGAGGTGGGTATAGGGTGCTCAGGAACACAGATGAGGGGACATGAGGAGGGAGGGAGGGCTGAGATGGCTACAGAGAGGAGCTGACCATTGAAGGATGGTGATATGGTTTGGATATTTGTCCCCTCCAAATCTCATGTTGAAATATGATCTCCAGTGTGTTGGAGATGGGGCATAGCGGGAGGTGTTGGGTCATGGAGGTGGCTTTCTCAAGAATGGCTTAGTGCCATCTCCATGGTGATAAGTGAGGTTTTGCTCTATTAGTTCATGCAAGAGCTATTTGTTAAAAGGAGTCTGGCACCTCCTCCTCTCTGTCTTATTCTCTCTCTTGCCTTGTGACACACCTGCTTCCCCTTCACCTTCTGCCATGACTGTAAGCATCCTGAGGCCCTCACCAGAAGCAGTTGTTGGCATTGTGCTTCTTGTACTGTCTGCAGAAACATGAGTCCAAATAAACATCTTTTCTTTATAAACTGCTCAGCCTCAGATATTCCTTTGAAATGCAAAATGGACTAACACAGACGGGTAAATGTGATTGATTTTGTGTTAGTGGATTTACTATTTAGTTTGAAGGGTCTGCTTGGGATAGTATGATGTTCTACATGAAGTGACTGGGTGAAAGACAGATATTCATACGCAGATTTATCACAATTTTTGTAGTCTGAGTGCCACAGTTTCCTCATGACTCTTGCCACTCTCCCTCACCCCAACCTCCAAGGACCAAGAGTCAGGTGATCCTAGTGGTTTGATTCCCACTTCTGTGGTGCAGAGGGCTGGACTCAGGCATGAGTGACCCAAGGAAGGCGGGGCCCTTGTCTCCAGAGTCTTGTCTAGAGCTTGGTTTCTACCTCCCTGGAATGGCTATGAGGAAATTGGTGAGGGAGTCCCCTAGAGAGTACCTAGCTACCTCCATCCTAGTCTCTCAACTCTAATAGGATTGGCACTGCTCTAGGCCCTGGGATATTACTAAGAGTAGAGGAATGCAGCTGGAGAGAGCTGGGAAGGGGAAACAAAGATGTGCAGAGGGGGATTTTGATGCCGAGCCTTGGTAACATTAACCCTTATTTTCAAAGCCCCTTTTCTTTCCCACTCATCCACCTCTCCAGGTCGACACATGTGTGCTGTGCATCTGACCTAGCAGCAGGATTAAGTGTGCCCCTGGATTCAGGGCACAGAGGTGTAGGTGAGCTGTCTGACATTCTCATCTGCATGAAGGGATAAACTGTGCTTGAATCTAATCCACAAACGAAAGTGTAAAGCTATTAGGCGGGACTCTAGGCAGGACTTTATTGGACAAAAGTGTCTGTGGTGGCTCTTCATACCTGATAGATAGTTTTGGAAAGACTGAGTGTGCATATTAATTCTCTTCCTCTACAAAATGAAACCTACTTGCCAGCAGTATTGGCTTGTTTCACAACAGGCCAGGATCTACACTGATGAATAGAAGTGATGATCATAGAATTCAATTTTGGGCTAAACTACATGCTTGGGGAGGCTGCACCCTCCTCTGGTGGTAGTTTGCTCTCTGGCTCAACTGCTCTGGGCTCTGGTCCTTTGTTCCTTTCTTTGCCAATTGGTGATGGAAATCTGTAGCCTGCTTTTTTTTTTTTTTTTTTTTAACAAGGGCATGCAAAGTTAATAAGATGGCTGAAAATTTCTCTGCAGCTACAAATTGGCCCAGGAATCTCTATTTGGTGTAAATTCATATGTGGAGCATAAAATCAGACAGAAACCTAAAAAGTGTTTGGCCATTTACCCCTCTACTTTTATTTTTGGCTTCAGTGCCTTCCAGAGAAGCAAGTGCCGAGGAATATCGGCAGGGATGTGAGTGGCAAAGGCTCAGGCAGTATGTAGTGCTTGAGGGTCCATATCTAGGAAAATGCAAGGGTTGGGATAAGCAGTCCTTTTATAGAGTAGTTTTGGGGAAGAAAATTGATTCTGGATTCTCTTTTTTTCGTGATGGTTTTCCTAAAGGGAAATAATGGCCAATTACAGACTCCAGAAGAAGAGATCATTTGAGTAGCTGTGGCATCTAACTGCTATTTTCTCTTTATTTTAAAGCATCATTTTCTAAATGGCAAACCACAGAACATTACTGAGTGATGTTCCATGATAAGAGTTTTGTGGTCATGGTGGCCTGGGAAGCCTGAAAAGTGTAGTACGTCTTAGAGATTTACAGCTCACATTAGCAGATTAAAAACTCTGAGAAGTCCTGCAGAGAAGAAATGGGTTTACATTTGTTTAACCAAGTACTTCCCAAACTTATTTGACTGTGAAATTCTTTTAACGCATGTTACATCTACACTTTAGAACCTGAGTTAAAGTGAAGGGGAGTAGCATTGACTGAGCTTCTTCCATTTCAGGAACTCTGCCAGATGCTTCATAGACGTTATCTTCTTTCTTATATTGGCTTTCTGAGCTATGGATTTTCATTCCCATTTTAAAGATAAAGACACCAAGGTTTAGCAAGGTCATGGAGCTTGTTCAAGGTTACCCAGCTAGCAAGTGGTGGAGCTGAGATTTGAACCTTGGTAAAGGTGTGACTTCAAATCATATTCCCTTTTCAGCATGCCACCCTTCCTAATGCCTCTCCCATTTCTAACCAAGGAGGCGGGAAGCGGTGGGTGGGAAACACTAAGAGACTTAATTTGGGGGCCAGTCAGGTGCAAATTTGACACATTTTTTTCTTCTCTGTGGATGCAGTCAAGATCATCCAGCTTGTAGGAATCTCTCTCTGCCAAGAGACATGCTTGAAAGGTAGTCAGGCCCCATAAATTCGAGAATGATTGTGATGAAGAGCCAGCTGTCCTTGGGCCTGGAGCACGGTGATGTTTAGATGGAATAACAGAGGCCCATGGCTTTTATTATGATCCTTCCACTTTGAGTAATTCTTTCATCAAGTTGTCCCCCTTCTCATCTGTTGAAGCTCTGGTGGGTTATGAAATGTATCCCACAGAAGACCCTGAATAGCTAAAGCAACCCTAAGCCAAAACAACAAAGCTGAAGGCATCATACTACCCATATGAAAGAAGAGTTTTCCACAGAAACCAGCAGGATAAAAATGTCTGGTGAAGCATCTGATGTCCTGTGGCTGCCCCTAGTTTGTGGTCACCCACCCTCAGGCACCCCACATGACAGCTGCCTCTGCCTAAGAGCCCTCAGGGGTTGGTGGCTGGTCTAGGGCTCATGGAGCTGGCTACAGGGCTGGGGTCCTCAGGCTTGTGGCCTGAGAGATGAGGACACCGCCACTCACAAGAAGTCAGGATCAGAGGCCCTGCTATAGTGCAGGGAGCTCTCCATCCTTCTGACTCTCTCCCAGCCTGTTGTTGACCTTCCTGGTGTTATGAAGGGACTTTGCCACCAAACCTGACTTCACCTCACAGTTTAAAAGGTTTACTTCATGGGGCCTGCCATAGAAGCCTATCTTAAACGAGAGGTTTCACAGAGAAGAGTCAGGGCGTGATAAGCATCCTTCGTGGCTTCCCTCTGTGCTCTGAAAAGGAGGGCAGGACCACACACCTCTGGCTGAATAATGCTGGTCTTGGGAGAGATTTGAAGAATTCAGTAGCAAGACCGTGGCCTTGGTCAATGCATGCAATTCACCTAAGATACTTGTTGTGCTGGCTGGGACTCAGAGACCAATAAAATAAAGATGAACAAAATAAAATACTTCTGTTCTCAAGGAGATTAGCCTTCTGGGAGGACACATGTGAGCATGTAATTGCCAAACAGTGTAGCAAATGCTTTGTGAGAGGGACTTTCAAAGTGGGGAGGCAGAGGGTGGTCAGTGAGACCAGAGAGTGAGGGTCTGAGAAGGTGTCACAGCTGATCTTGGAAGTGGGAACTTCTTGTTGGACAAAAGGGCAGGGAGGGAGAGAAGGGCATCCCAGGCAGAGGTAATGGTGCGTGCAAAAGCAATTACGAGATTTCCATGGCTAGTGAGAATTGGAGAGGAGCTTCCCTAGGTGGAAAACACTAGCTACTGGATGCAGGCTGGCAGTGGGGACTGGAAAGGAGAAAGGAAGACCACAGGCCATGGATCCAAGGGGTAGGGGAGAGTATCTCAGCACATCCAAATACCTTTACTGTAGTAGATGTCACCCGGAGTCACTCTACAGAGAACCAGGTTATCTTCGGGAGAGTATCCTGGGCTAGTTCTTGTGCATAGGGTAGGAGATTTAAAATTTCATCCTCAATCTCCTTTCCTGGAATGACAGTTGGGAGGGGTTGATGGGGTCTCTGCTCAGCCTTTCACAAAGCCAGGCACTGGCGCATACAGTTGAACATTAACTTGACTGCTCACCATCCCAACCAGGCAGCTTGGATGGGGTGGCAGGATCTTTACTTCTTCCTGAACCTTTGGGGCAGACAAGTCAGGCCTTTTCTCAGCTGTGGTTGAGTGGCCTTCCTGCGGGGTCTGAATACCAGCTCTATCCCAGCTTCAGGTTGCAGACTGAGGTGGAGAATGTCCCCATTGTGTGCGGGAAAGGAATTCTGTGGAGCTGTCAGGGCCTGAATATATACAGTGACCCACACTGCAATATGTCGAGTTGCTATCAAAAAGAAAACAAGGGAGATCTCCAGGTCTGCCAAGATGTCACACCTCATAGATTTAAAGCTGGACAAAGTGACTTGCTGACCTCCGTACTACTCACTGGGGGCACATCTGTCTTCCCCTTATATAATCCTCCAGTCTCTCATTGACATTCCAGCTGGTGAAGCTTTGCTGATAAATACTGGGCCTGAGCCTGTGGGTCACATGAGAAGCTCTGCCTGCCGTACAAGGCCTCTGCATCTCCGGAGCAGAATGCTTGAGAATTCTGTTTGCTTTTTTCTATTTGTCTTAATCACTCCCAGTGATTTTCATCAGGGTTTCTGTGGAATAATAACGTAGAAAAATGTTATAGAAGAGAACCAGGGGATGGTGATGACAAATATCAGCTCTGTGGCCTAATGGATTCCTCCTTGTGCTTTGAATAGAGGACACTCGTCAAGTCCTCTGAGAAGGGAGGGGGACTTTTGAACCAGTTGGGGTGAGCAGGTGGAACTGGGGGCTGAGATAGATTGAGAATGACTAGGTGAGTAGAGAAAATGAGCATATGGGCCTGTGAGTAAAGGGTGGGAGAGAAGGGTAAGGTCCTGGGTACAACAAGGCCATGCAGAAAGGAGGCTGGAAAAGGGGGAAATATACATTACAGGTGAAGTCCAGAATCTTCGTCTCACCCCAGGTGCTTCCTCTAGAGAGCAGGTGTAGGGAAGGAGGTATGTTTTCCTTTAGGGCTCTTTTTCAAAGCCTCTAGAAGAAGTCAGGCTACAGTGTAGGAGGATGGCCATGAACCTTTAGAAAGATCTGCCTGGGGGCTTGTCCCAAATCAGCAGTGTTCTATGAACGAAGTTTTCCTTTTTCTCCTCCTTCCCTCTCCCTCCTCTTCCACTCTGCCCCCACTCTTTCTTGCACTCCTGCATAACTCCAGGTTTGAGAGAAAAATCTGCACTTGTTCCCACCCCTAAACATGAGGTTTCATTATTTCAAAGCTGAGCTTCTGATGTGAGCAACTTAAGGTTTCTGATGATGGGCTGGTGAGCGCGTACTTCTCCGCTCTGGGTAGGAGAGGTGGTGAGAATGGGTTAGAAGCTCTCTTTTCTGTCCAGTCTCTTCCAAGCTGTCAATATCTAGTTATGAAGGGCTGGGGGAGTTCAGGAGCTGCGGAGCAGCCACAGCCATTGTTGGAAGGGGGTGGTGTGAATGTCATCGACTGTTGGGAGAGAGGGCAGGTGTGTCACATGCAACATTGAGTCAGGGTTTCGTCCCATTCCCTGGTGAGATGGATGAGAAATTGTGATGTGAAAGTAGAATCCCGGGTTACTCAAGGCTCTGGGTTGTCTGTAATCTGTCCTTGCTTGGGATCATCATGGCGGTGGCCACCTGGCTGTGTGAAAGGCAGGCAGGGGCCCAGGTGCCTCCAGCAACTTGCTTCCGATTATGGTTTGGCCAAGGAAAGCTGTTCTGCAGCCCCTGATTAGAATAATTCACTGCTCTCTCTGCATGATTAAATCAAGAGCCCAGGTTGCTTATCCAGAGGGGTGATCGATCACCCAAATTCTCCACTTCCTTTCACTTTCTGCTTTTTCAAACACACACTCAGATTAACAAACTTGGAAAACCAACAAAAGACAAAAAAGGAAACAGCCTGGATGCAAATCATAAGCACTCAGAATAAAAATGGTTTTCTTCCACAGGACCCCTCTGTATTGACTGACAATGCCCCTCCACCCCCACTCTCTTTCCACATTAAGGTAATTATGTTGAAAGCTGGAATTTTCACTGTAGGAAGCTGGAGTCCCACTTTTGAGATGGTTCTGTGAGAAGGTTGGGAAAAGGTGATCTGGCCTAGGCTAGGGGAATATTAACTTGGGGGCAGCAGAGACAGAACTGGTTCCTTTGCTTCCCACTGGGAATGGGGGGACGAGGGAGGGGAGGAAAACACAGTTAACAACTAAGTGTGTGGCTGGAGAGAGGAGAGGCTGCAGTCCCTCAGCTCAAAATGAGGCCCTTGGGCAAATGGGTGTCCTTGCCCTTGAACTTGGCCTTTCCGTTCCATTCATTTCTACCATTCTGCCCTTTAAAAGTGCAATTGATAATTGGGATGTTCTAAATTTTTTAGTGCTGGGCAAGTCCTGGTGGCCTTGTCCTTGTTACAGCTTTGGATGCAGGAATACAGGATTTATGCAAGGGAGCTATATTATTTAACATAACAACGGAAAAATATTTCAGAAACATTTTATATTAATAGTAAATCCCTTAAATATATCTTAGCTCCCTGAAAACTCCTATGTTAGAGTCATAAAACTTCTAGGAATCACATATATCCATCCATTATAACAGCAGTCTGTTAAAATGGTTTTGATGCATGCAAATCTGATCTCTCCCCTGTGACATGGTATTGTTGGGGCAGGAGGAACTAATATTTGTTTATTTCTACCATGGCTGGGTGCTTCGTATCTTCATATTTCTTATCTTACTTAGTCTACCCAATCTGTGCCCTACCCCCATGCAGGTTGGTTTTATCTGTACTGTGCAGGTGAGGAAAATGAGGCTCAGCATGTGGGCGACCTGTCCAGTTTAATCAGGGTTAAGGGACAGGAGTTAAGAAGGTTCAGTGCTGGGATCTGAGCCCAGACCAGCCTTACTTGGAAGGTTTTGTTCTTTCCACCACCCCATGCCATCTTCCTATGGCTTTGGTTCTTGTTTTAAAGGTCACAAACACAAAACATTCCATCTTTTCAGGTCAGGTGTGCCAAAGTTCCAGGCTTGGCATTGGACTCTTGGCCTCTGCGGATGCCTTCGAGGTGAGGCCGTGATTTGGGTATATGCCCCCCTGCCGCTCACAGCTGTGGGCTAAGTTGGGTTGAGAGGGCAGGTGGCACAGAAGGTGGATAATTGATTTTTATGAATATTCATTTGAGGTTACTTCTCCATCTGCTCTCTTGCAATTTCAAAATGGCCAATGAGTACTGAACATGAGCAAGCTTGTCTCTCTCCTTCTAGGTCACTCGTTGACCACTAGAGGATCAGGGCTGAGCATGAATAGAGAGGGCTGGGCCAATGGTCTGGGCTTGGGGCTTTTCCAAATTGCATATTTTTAATTGTATTGAGCTCTTTGGAACCATGTGATGAATTGATTCCTAGGTGGCCATCTGCACAGAAATGCAGGGCTGCTTGCAGAAGGACTGGGAGGCGGTGATGCCCGAGTTTTGCAGCTGAGCCATTGGGCAGCTCTCAGGAGGGAAGGGCTCATAGGGTCACTGATAATAGTCTATGATGGAGAGAAAGAACCATAAAGTGCAGAGGGCTCATTAGTTTTATGGATCTGGCTCAAATAATATAACATTTTAGTCCCTTGTGTAAAATCCAGGCTAAGTACCAAATAGAAATGTCTTATTGGACCCATCGTCATTGCCTCTTGAGGGAGGGAAAATCTGGTGACCCTTTCACTATGGTTCAGGGGTTCAAAGTGAATAAGTTTATGTTAAACTCATGTCTGTGCCATAGAAAAGGCTGTGTGCCTGGTATTCTATCAACAATAACTGAACATTGTGTGACTGTTTCTCCTATCTATAAAATCTGACAGTTATGTGTGTGTGTATATATATATATACACTATATATATCTACTATATATATCTACTGTGTGTGTATATATATATATATATATATATATATATATATATATATATATATAGTAGAGATAGGCTCTTGCTGTGTTTTCAAGGCTGGTCTTGAACTCCTGGACTCAAGCAATCCTCCCACCTTGGCCTCCCAATGTGCTGAGATTATGGGCATGAGCCACTGTGCCCAGCAGAAATGTGATAATTGCTATTCCTAATAATGACTCCTCAGGACAGAAATGTCTTAAATGGGCCTCTGTATCATCACAGATAGACAAATCATGTTCATTAAAGTTTTAATGTAAAACACATTTCATACGGTACCAATTCTTTGAAAATTGTTACTCTTTGTGTTGTATATTTAGGAATACTCTAAATGTTGAGATAATAGTACAATTTTGGCCACAATGAATAATATATAGCTTCTTTTATGTATTCTTTCAACATTAATTCATTTATTATTTATAGTTAACTCATTCTTTCTTTACACAGTGCCTGGCATATAGTATACAATCAATAACATTCAGATTTTATTATTATTATTATTATTTTTTGTTTTGAGATGGAGTCTCACTCACTCTGTTGCCCAGGCTTGAGTGCAGTGGCAGGATCTTGGCTCACTGCAACCTCTGCCTCTCGGGCTCAAGTGATTCTCTTGCCTCAGCCTCCCGAGTAGCTGGGATTACAGACATGAGCCACCACACCAGGCTGATTTTTTCTATTTTTAGTAGAGATGGGGTTTCACCATGTTGGCCAGGCTGGTCTCGAACTCCTGACCTCAGGTGATCCACCCGCTTCAGACTCCCAAAGTGCTGGGATTACAGGTGTGAGCCACCAGTCCCTACCTAGATTTTATTATTTTAACAAGAGCATGAATTAAGCAAGAGTCTCGGCACTATGACAGGTGCAGGAGTGCTGAGTAGGACTCAGCTAGTGCTAGGGTAGAACTTAGGTCTAGTGTGAGCGACAGGCAAGAAAACTATGCAATGAGTGCCTCAGTAGAGGCCACAGAGGAGGAGCACCTTTCCTGGACTTGAGGGGCTCAGGGAGTCTGAAGGATAAGTAGGTATCATCCAGGCAAATGGGAGGGGTGGCTGAGGGAGTGTCATCTGCCTGAAGGTGAGAAAGTGAGTATTATATTCCTAAAGGGTGGTGGCTCCCCTGGAGAAAGACCACTGACCTCTGTTTCTAAATGACCCTGTTATAGCCCGAGCCTTTCCTTTAGAGGAACTCTGTCTACCCCGGTGGTTTTCAACTGGGGAGATTTTGCTGCTTTTTCCCCCTTTTCCATCCTTTACCTCTGGAGAAATTGGGCAATATCTGGAGACATTTTTGGTTGTTGCTAGTGGAGGGGTTGGGGGGCTCTTGGAGTCTAGTGGGTATTGGTCAGAGCTGCTGCTAAACCTAACAGTGCACAGGACAGCCGCGTGCCCCCCAGCTGGACTGCCAGGAATTACTCAGTCCGAAATGTCAATAGTATTGCCGCTAAGAAACTCTGGTGTGCACTCAATCTCTACACTAATTTTGGCCTGCACATCCTTTAATGAGGGAGCACTCTTAGTAGGAAGTAAGAGGTGCACCCCCTGGGCTGGATAGTGGGTGGATCAAGAGCCTTTTCTCAGGTCCATCTGCTGGGTGTTGAAGAAGGGATTTTCTCCCCTCAGTTCACGTTCCTCTTGCTGCTAATACAGAGCAGTTGGTTGACAATTAAAACGGATCGAGGCTGGGTGGGGTGGCTCACACCTGTAATCCCAGCACTTTGGGAGGCTGAGGCAGGAGGATCACTTGAGGTCAGGAGTGTGAAATCAGCCTGGGCAACATAAGGAGACCTTGGTTTTACTAAAAAAAAAAAAAGAAAAGAAAAAAAATTAGCCATGTGTGGTGGTGCACAGCTGTAGTCCTAGCTACTTGGGAGGCTGAGGTGGGAGGGTCACTTGAGCCTGGGAGATAGAGGCGTCAGTGAGCCATGATTGTACCACTGCACTCCAGCCTGGGCAACCAAGTGATACCGTTTCCAAAAAAACAAAATAAAATAAACTGGATTGAGATAGAAGCTGCTGCCTTCCAATGGCATTTTAGCCAATAATCAGCCTGAAGAGTTTTTGTATAATAGAGATAATAATATCATATAGGGTGATTGCACAAAGTAAAGGACATAACATATGTGAGGTGTTTAGAATGGGACCTCCGTAAGTGCTGCTGGTTTTTATTGTCTTTACTTAGAGTGATGGCTTCTTTGATGTGTCAATTCGGCTAGGCTACAGTTCTCATTTATTCAATCAAACAGTAATCTAGGTCTTACTCTGAAGGTATTTTGCAGATGTAACTAGTGCTCTTAACCAGGTGATTTTAAGTAGGGGAGATTACTCAGGATAACCTGGGTGGGCCTGACTGAATTGCGTGGAAGGTCTTAAAAACAGGGCTGAGTCTTCCCCAAGTAAAAGAAGGAATTCTGCTTATGGAGGACAACTTTGGCCTGTGCACATGACCTTGACCTGAG
Source organism: Homo sapiens (assembly GCF_000001405.40). Taxonomy (NCBI): domain Eukaryota; kingdom Metazoa; phylum Chordata; class Mammalia; order Primates; family Hominidae; genus Homo; species Homo sapiens. Next base: position 222,435,265 of record NC_000001.11, on the reverse strand, counting down.
ATCTTCCTTCCTGACTACCTGCCCTGGGAATATCAGACTTGCTTAGCCGGCCTCCACAACTATGTAAGCAATTTCTTGTAATAAATCTCCTAATATATGTATCTCCTACTGGTTCTGCTTCTCTAGTTGAATCTTGACCGAGACAATTAGAATCCGTAGTATTTTATGTCTTCTTGGTAGGAGGTATTTCAAGGTCCTTGAAACATGTTTAAAAACAGTTTCTGCTCAAACCTCTGTTCCCTCCCACTTCGAGGAAAGAGATGATTCTCACAGGACTCTCAGACTAAAATGCAATCTCTTTTAGTCAGTCCTTCAGGATTTGAGGCCAGAAGGTAGACTGCATGTGGAATTGGTCTGACTGGTTAAGTGGACAGGACCCCATACCCTCTGTAAACTCCTATCTAAAAATAGGTTTCAGGGACAACTTACTTATGTTGTTCTGCTTTCTACTTATGGTTCTGCTTTCTAATGAGGATGGATCCCAAGTTGAAGCATTTACTGTATTTATAGGGCTGGGTGATGAGGGGGCAGATGCAAGTTAGAGTGAATCTTTTCTAATACATACAGGTGAAGAGAAGCAGAGGAAGGGCTGGGGAGAAGGAGCCCATGGGGGAAAAGGGGGTGGCTGTACAAGGAGAATTTCATGGGAAAGAATAGAAAAGTATGCAAGGGATTTTAAAGAAAGTTTGCTACAGTATGAGAATGTAAACCTTCTTTCCCATCTTCCTATATAATCTTCACTGAAGTTTTTTTATTAGTAAATTGTGAAGTTTGATCAATTTCTGGGTGTATTAAAGTGTAGAGCCCCACTGCAAGGTGAGTGTATGGTATGATAGAGGCTTCCTATGGGACCCAGTCACCTATGGCCTAGAAAGCTATTGAGGATGCACATTACATAGTTTTGGTACATTAGTTAAAAATGCTTATTTATGATAAAGTAGCTCATTCATGGATTCCTCATAGATTTATCGCACTGTCCTTGGCTCTGCTAGTTACTGGGTATGTGTCTGAGAATAAAACTGCCATGAGAGTTATGGTTTGGCTTGAGAAACAGGATACAGATAAATAACAGACGATTATAATATAATGTGGTGTGATGAAAAGGCAAGTTAGAGGAAACTATGGGGGCCATGAGAGCATACAACCTGAACCTGAGGGGTCAGGGGCTTGTTCCCAGGGGCTTGTTATCACTCTTTTATTTAGATATTTCTCTTGTTGGAAGTTTCATATGGACCTTGTACCTTGAAATGAAGTTGGGGCTTTATGTGAGGCTAAGGCCTTTAATGTCATTTCTAGTGGAAAAATCATTCACTGTGAAGACCTTTGCTATGCACCCCCCAACACTCCAATTAATATGTTGATTCCTGACCCCCAAGGTAATGATATTAGGAATGATATTAGGAGGTGGGACCTTTGGGAAGTGATTATGTCATGAGGGCAAAGCCCTCATGAATAGGATTAGTGCTCTTATAAAAGAGTCCTGAGGAAGCTGGTTTGCCTCTACCACCATCTGAGGACACAGCAAGAACACAGGTATTTGAACCAGGAAGCAGGAGGCCCTCTGTAGACACCACATTTGCTAGCACCTTGATCTTGGACTTCCCAGTCCCTAGAGCTGTGAGAAATAAATTTCTGTTGTTTATAAGCCACCTAATTTATGCTATTATTAAATGGCCACCCACATGGACTAAGACAAAATCCCAAGTAGAAACAGTAAGAGAAATCTAGCTTTCTAGCCATTCTGTACATACAGGTTAAGGGTGGTACATTATAAATTACAAAAATTATGGAGGACTTGAATGGCACCAGCATTGACCTGATGTCAAACCAAACAATAACAGAATTTAAAGGCAACCCTTAAAGCCTGAGAGACATTTTAAGAACAAATACAAGGAAAGCCTTCACAGAGTTTATTTTTTGGAACTTTTATTCTCTAAAATGTATCACACACTGAAATTATAGAAAAGTTCAAGACCTCGGACAAATAAATGTCTGATGGATTCATAATAGGCTATTAAGGAAATCTAGGGCTATTTAGAATAAATCACATTATTATTAAGTTTTGACATCATGGAAGGTTTAAAATGCCTCAATGAAACTATCAGAGGGAGACACTGGCAGAGATGGATTAGGAGACCCAAAATTACAATGCTCTTTCCCTTATATCCCTTAGAGGGTATCCTAAATGACATGTGTTTTTGTTTGTACAAACACTCTCTTGAACTCTTCTTTTTTCCTTCCTGAAGAAAGGCATATAGCAGCAGAGAACTGTGACTAACTGCACACAGCAAGCAGGTTTGTTACCTGTCTCACTGCCCATTTCTCCTGCCATATTTACCCATACATTCTCTGTCTTTTTTTCTTTGCTTCTTTTTTTCAGACCTTGATTCCATACAACTACCTTAAAAACATCATCAGTGCCTGCTGGTTTATTCCTTTCAGAGCTCTGAACTCGAATCTTGAGTTCATCATCGTGGGAGTTTCTTTCACATATGTTAGAATGGGAGTCAGCCAGTGAAACAATAGCTCATCATTTGATATGGCCTTTAGATGAATCTATCTGTCCATGGAAGTCTTGTATGTTGATTGTGTCAGGACATGGACCACAATTCTCCAGGAAAAAACTATGGAAAAGGGCTCTGGCTGAGTGGGGAATTGGCTGTGTTATGTCATCTTGTTTTTTGGGGAACTGCTTTCCTAACCTGCAGGGACTAGAGAACCAGTTATTCAGCCAACTCTTCTTTCCAGTTAGTTTCCCTGACTCATCTAGGTGATCACTGTTGTGTTTTAAGGTATATTCTGGTCAAAAGTTTCAAGATTGTTGGCACAGTTTTTTATGTCCCTTTGTCCTGTGCAAATATTATGTCATAATTTGGTGAATTGCAGGAACAGGCAGAATTATCAGGGAGTGGTGGTGAAGGTGATCTTGAGGCTCTCCCCTGAGACCTTCTTGAACTCTTTTCTCCCACCTGCTCCTGGCTACTCTCTGCCTTAGGTGGGTTTGGCCTAGCATCTTCATCTGCCTTCAGGAGAATTGCATCAAAACCCTACTGTCTACTACCCATCCCTCAGAGTAGTCTGTAGCCTTGGTCTGCCTAGGAGTCTGCCTTATTACTTCTGTCCTGTTATTAATGGGCTCTCTAAGTTCTGGTGCTTTTATTTAAAATGGAGAGAAGAACTTGAGTAAGGAAGGCATGCAGGTGAGACACCAGACAAGGTGAAGCAGGAGTCTTCAGATGGGGCAGGGTGGGAAGTGACTTCTAATTCCTTACTATTTGATTCTAAGATTCAAATGACAACTTATTATTTTTCTACATAACTTCTAAATTTGTTGTCATTATGTGAGTTGAGTAAAAGATAAAATGTCCTTAATTTCCCTTCTTCCGGAAAGCTTGTGCTTACCTGACTGTTAGAGCAACTGAATCTCTCTTCTTAAATAAATTTTAGAAACTTTTGGCAACTTATTCGGTAGGCTAAAGGAAAATTACTATCTTGTTTTTTTTTTTTTTTTTTTTTTTTGAGACAAAGTCTCGCTCTGTTGCCCAGGCTGGAGTGCAGTGGCGCGATCTCGGCTCACTGCAAGCTCCGCCTCCCGGGTTCACGCCATTCTCCTGCCTCAGCCTCCCCAGTAGCTGGGACTACAGGCACCTGCCCCCATGCCTAGCTAATTTTTTTTTGTATTTTTAGTAGAGATGGGGTTTCACCTTGTTAGTCAGGATGGTCTCGATCTCCTGACCTCGTGATCTGCCCACCTTGGCCTCCCAAAGTGCTGGGATTACAGACGTGAGCCACCGCTCCCAGCTACAATCTTGTTTTTTTGAGACAGGGTCTCACTCTTTTACCCAGGCTGGAGTGCGGTGATGTGATCACGGATCACTGCAGCCTTGACCTCCTGGGCTCAGGCAAGCCTCTCACCTCAGTCTGCAGAGTAGCTGGTCCCACAGGTGCATGCCATTATGCCCTACTAATTTTAAAAATTATTTTTAGATATGGGGTCTTGCTACATTGCCCAGGCTGGTCTCGAACTCCTGGACTCAGGTTATCCTCTTATCTCAGCCTCCCAGAGTGCTGGCATTACAGGCAAGAGCCACTGTGCCCAGCTGAAAATTACAAAACTAATACAGGCCATTGTAATATGTGAAACAATGCAAGGATATAAGTTTTAAAAAGCTGTTAATATTCTATCTAGTACCCAGTCCCCTCAAATCCTATTGTCATGAATAACCAGTGTTAAAGCCTGATGTGTATATACTTCACCATCCTTCTTCATGCTCGTATAGGCCCATACAAGCATACATGACATACATGCCTAGATTTCCCCCTCAAACATGAGCTCCTAACTGTATAATATCCTCCACCTTCCATTTTTCCCCCTAAAAATGTACCACGGGCATCCCTCTCCCTCTGGATGAGTAGATGTCTCTAACCCTGTTGTGTCCAATGCAGTGGCCACTAGCTGCAGATGGCTACTGAGCATTTGAAATGTAGCCAATCCTGATTTCTAGGTTTAGTGTGAAAATAAAAAAGAATGTACAATAGCTCATTTATAATTTTTATGTTGATTATAGGTTGAAAGAATATTTTGAATATATTGAATTAAATGCAATATTATTGTTAATCTAGATTTTACGTATTTCCTTTTATTTTTAAAACATGTGGCTACTAGAAGATTTAAAGTTACTTGCATCATGTTTGTGTTGGACAACACTGCTCTAACCCATTCTTTATAATGGTGCATTATATTCCTCATAACTTCTTGTAAATATTAGTAAATTGGTGATGTATTTCTATAGCAAAAGTATTTTGTTTGAAACTCTTTCCATGGAGAATTCTTAATCTGAGTATCAAGGTCTAGAAAAGTGGCAATTTGTTTTTGAAGACCACACCAAAGCTGTCATAGCTAATGCAAAAGACACATTCCTAATTGCATTTTTTTTTTTTAAGACAGGTCTTGCTCTGGATGGAGTGCAGTGGTGATCTTGGCTCACTGTAACCTCTGTGATGTGGTTTGGCTCTGTGTTCCCATTCAAATCTCACTTTGAATTGTATTCTCTATAATCCCCATGTGTCAAGGGTGGGACCAGGTGGAGGTAATTGAATCATGGGGGTGGTTTCCCCTAAGCTATTCTTGTGATAATGAGTGAGTCTCGTGAAATCTGATGGTTTTATGAGTCTGATATTTCCCCTGCTTCACTCACTCTGTCCTGCCACCCTGTGAAGAAGGTGCCTGCTTCTCCTTTGCCTTCTGCCATGACGGTTAAGTTTCCTGAGGCCTTCCCAGCAATGTGGAACCGTGAGTCAATTAAATCTCTTTCCTTTATACATTACCCAGTCTTGGGTATGTCTTTATTAGCAGCACAAGAATGGACTAATTCACTCTGCCTCCCTGGTTCAAAGATTCTCATGCCTCAGCCTCCCAACTAGCTGGGATTACAGGTGCACGCCACCATGCCCAGCTAATTTTTGTGTATTTTGTAGAGTTGGAGTCTTGCCATGTTGCCCATGCTGGTCTTGAACTCCTGAGCTCAAGTGATATCATATACCATATACGATAGCATATATGGTATTTGGTTTTCCATTCCTGAGTTACTTAGAATAATGGCCTCCAGCTCCCTCCAAGTTGCTGCAAAAGACATTATTTTGTTCTCTTTTATGATTGAGTAGTGTTCCATGGTATATATATATATATATATATATATATATATACACACCACATTTTCTTTATTCACATTGCTTGATGGGCACTTAGGTTGGTTCCCTACATTTGCAATTGTGAATTGTGCTGTGATAAACATATGCATGTAGGTGTCTTTTTGATGTAATGACTTCCTTTCATTTGGGTAGATACCCAGTAGTGGGATTGCTGAATCAGATGGTAGACCTACTCTTAGTTGTTTAAGGAATCTCCATACTGTTTACCATAGAGGATGTACTAATTCACGTTCCCACCAGCAGTGTGTAAGTGTTCCCTTTTCACCATATCTATGCCAACATCTATTGTATTTTGACTTTTAAAAATGGCCATTCTGGCTGGGGTAAGGTGGTATCTCATTGTGGTTGTAATTTACATTTCCCTGATGATTCGTGATGTTGAGCATTTTTTTTCATATGTTTATTGGCCATTTGTATATCTCCTTTTGTGAAATGTCTATTCATGTCATTTGTCCGTTTTTTTTGGATGGGATTATTTGTGTTTTCTTGCTGATTTGTTTGAGTTCCTTGTAGATTATGGATATTCGTCCTTTGTCGGATGCATAGCCTGCAAATATTTTCTCACATTCTGTGGGTTGTCCACTTACTCTGATTGTTTCTTTTGCTGTGCAGTAGCTTTTTTTAGTTTAATTGGGTCTCATTTATTTATTTTTGTTGCACTTGCTTTTAGGGCCTTAGTCATAAATTCTTTGCCTAGACCAATGTCCAGAAGAATTTTTCTTAGGTTTTCTTCTAGAAATTTTTACTGTTTCAGGTCTTAGATTTAAGACTTTGATCCATCTTGAGGTGATTTTTTTAATATGGTAGAGATAGAGATCCAGTTTTATTCTTCTACATGTGGCTATCCAGTTTCCCCAGCATCATTAATTGAATAGGGTATCCTTTCCCCAATTGATGTTTTCGTATGATGTGTTGAAGATCAGTTGGTTGTAATTTTTCAGCTTTATTTCTGCATTCTCTATTCTGTTCCATTGGTCTATGTATCTAATTTTATACCAGCACCATGCCGTTTATATATAACCTTGTATAATAATTTAAAGTCAGATAATATGCCTCCAGATTTGTTCTTTTTGCTTACTATTATTTTAGCTATTTGAGCTCCTTTTTGGTTCCATATGAATTTTAGGATTGTTTTTTCTAATTATGAGACAAATGATGTTGGTATTTTGATAGAAATTGCATTGAATTTGTGGATTGCTTTGGGCAGTATGGTTGTTTTCACAATGTTGATTCTTTCAATCCATGAGCATGGGATGTATTTCCATTCATTTGTGTCATCTATGATTTCTAGAATTTGGCTGTGAATCCATCTGGCTCTGGGTTTTTTGTTGTTGTTGTTGGCAAGTTTTTAAATTACTGATTCATTCTCACTACTTGTTATTGATCTGTTCAATATTTCTATTTCTTCATGATTCAAGCTAGGAGGGTTGTATGTTTCAGGAATTTATTCATTTCCTCTAGATTTTCTTTTCTTTTCTTCCTTTCTTTTTTATTTTTTTAGACAGAGTCTTGCTCTGTCACCCAGGCTGGAGTGCAGTGGCATGATCTTGGCTCATTGCAACCTCCACCTCCTGAGTTTGAGTGATTCTCATGCCTCAGCCTCCTGAGTAGCTGGGATTACAGGCATGTGCCACTATGCCCAGCTGATTTTTTTGTATTTTTAGTAGAGATGGGGTTTCGTTATGTTGGCCAGGCTGGCTTTTAACTCCTGGCCTCACTGATATGCCTGTCTCAGCCTCCCAAAGTGCTGGGATTACAGATGTGAGCCACTGTGCCTGATCTCTAGATTTTCTAGTTTGTGGGCATGGAGATGTTCATAATAGTCTTGAATAATCTTTTGTATTTCTGTGGTGTTGATTGTAATGTCTCTATTTTCATTTCTAATTGAACTTATTTAAATTTTGTCTCCTCTTGTTTCATTTAGCTAATGGTCTATCAATTTTGTTTATCTTTTCAAAAAACCAACTTTTTGTTTCATTGATCTTTTGTTTGTTTGAGATGGAGTCTGGCTCTGTTGCCCAGGCTGAAGTGCAGTCGCATAATCTTGGCTCACTGCAATCTCTACCTTCTGGGTTCAAGCAATTCTCCTGCTTCAGCTTCCCAAGTAGCTGGGATTACAGGCATGAGCCACCATGGCTGGCTAATTTCTGTCTTTTTAGTAGAGATGGGGTTTCACCATGTTGGCCAGGCTGGTCTTGAACTCCTGACCTCAGGTGATCCACCCACCTTGGCCTCCCAAAGTGATGGGATTACAGGCATGAGCCACTGCACCCAGGCTGTTTTTGTTTTTGTTTTTTTTTTCTGTTTGTTTTGCTTTCGATCTCACTTAGTTCTGCTCTGATCCTTGTTATTTCTTTTCTTCTGCTAGTTTTGGGTTTGATTTGTTCTTATTTCTCTAGTTCCTTGAGGTGTGACATTAGGTTGTCAATTTGTGATCTTTCAGACTTTTTGATGTAGGCAGTTCCTTTCCTCTTAGCATGCTTTTGCTGTATCAGAGAGGTTGTGATAACTTGTGTCACTATTGTCATTCATTTCAAAAAACTTATACATTTCTGTCTGGATTTCATTGTTGACACAAAAATCATTCAGGAGCAGATTATTTAATTTCTATATATTTGTATAGTTTTGGGGTTCCTTTAGGAGTTAATTTCTGATTTTTATTCCACTGTGGTCTGAGAAGATACTAGGTATGAGTTCTGTTTTTAAAATTTATTGAGACCTGTTTTGTGGCCTATCATATGGTCTATTTTAGAGAGTGTTCCATGAGCTGATAAGAAGAATGTATATTCTGCAGTTCTTGGGTAGAATGTTCTGTATATATCTGTTAAGTCCATTTGTTCTAAGTGCAGTTTAAGTCCAGTGTTTTTTTGTTGACTTTGTGCCTCAATGATCAGTCTGGTGTTGTCATTGGATCACTAGACTCAATGATCCGTCTAGTTTTGAAGTCCCCCACTATTATTGTGTTGCTTTCTCTTTTCTTAAGTCTAGTAGTAATTGTTTAATCTGGGAGCTCCAGAGTTAGATGCATATGTATTTAGGATTGTAACATTTTCTTGTTGCATTGACCCATTGATTCTCTTACCATTATATAATGACCTGCTTTGACTTTTTTTTTTTTAAACTGTTGTTGATTTAAAGTCTGTTTTTTCTAAGAATAGCCACTCCTGCTTGCTTTTGATTTTTATTTGCATGGAATATCTTTTTCCACTCCTTTACCTTGAATCTATAAGAATCCTCACATGTTAGGTGAGTCTCTTGAAGACAGCAGATATTTGGTTTGTGACTTTTAAAAATCTATTCTGCTTAGTTGTATCTTTTAAGTGGAGCATTTAGGCCATTTACATTCAATGTTAACATTGAGATGTGAGGTGCTGTTCCAGTCATCATGTTGTTACCTAGTTACTTTTTTCCTTCATTGTGTTATTATTTTCTAGGCTCTGTGAGTTTTATGCCTTCAGGAGGTTTTACTGTGGCACACATCAATCTTTTATTTTAAGATTTATAACCCATTTTTAGCATTTCTTGTAGGGCTGGTCTGATAGTGACAAATTCCCTCAGCATTTGCTCGTCTGAAAAAGACTTTATTTCTCCTTCATTTATGAAACTTAGTTTTGCTGAATAGAAAATTCTGGGCTGACAGTTATTCTGTTTAAGGAGGCTAAAGATAGGACCCAGATCACTTGTGTCTTGTAAGGTTTATGCTGAGCAAATCATACTTTAGAATCAGAGGACCTGGGCTGAAGTTTGGCCTCAGCCATTTAAAAGCTGAGAGATCTTGGGTAAGTAATTTAATCTTTCTGGACTTTGAATTTCTCATTTAGTGAAATGAGATAAAATGACTTCCCATATAACATTCTTTTCTTCCATGCCATTATGCCTCTTAAAGTTGATGAGAGAAACTGATGATTTGAAATTAATCAACTAAGACAATAAATTATTTTAGATTCTATTATTAAAAGTGTAGTCAATTTTAATAAAATATGCATAGTAATGTCATAAATATATGTATCATTTTATTTCAACTGAATTGTATTGTGTTCCTGGTTCCTCTATTTTGGGGTCATGGATACAACCGGCTCAGCCTTGCTCACTGTTGTATAATTAGTAGTGGAGATAGGTCCAGGTTCTTAGTCTTGTCTTTAATTTTGTTTCCTGTTCTTTACAATACACCATTACACTTGTTTTCCAGTAGCTTCTAGCCTTCTTTATGCATTTTAGTGACTAAATCCTTCCAAGAAGGAAAACTGTTTTAAAGTTGAAAATGTGGAGAATATAAATCTTGTACATAAAGTTTGGCTATAACATAGGGAAATATTTATAAGCAGGAAATTTACCCTAATGACTATTACAGAAGGTCTCACATCCATTAGTAGCAGTCTTCTTTGGGGATTCTGGCTGCCCTGTGCAGGGGTCCTCACTTTTAGGCTTCAGTGTCTCTCTGTGATGCTGTAGGCTAGAAGAGAAGGAGGGTTGCTTCATAGTCAACAGAGAACATCAGCTTAGTGACTCCTGAATTGGCTTTGGCTGACTGTCCAGGGTTAATGACCTTGTTGCAAAGACTGTGTCAGTCACTTGGACAGGACTGGATGACTCCCATCAAGCAGGCCAGGCAAATTTCAAAGCTCCAGAACTGTGCCTCTTAGGGAGAAAGAAAAAGTAGAGGGAGGTACATCAGAGATTCTTGTTGGGCCAATAAATGCATATGTGTGTGCGTGTGTGTGTGTATGTGTCCCTCACTAGAAATGCTCAGGTTACTTTTGGCTACCAGCAAAGGCCACACTACTCTAAAAGACTATGTATGCCAGATGGTTATATCCCAGAGGCCATCAAGTCCTCCAAGAAGAAACTGAGCTATCAGAACTCTGATGGTCCTGTGGCTGACTGCACTTTCCCAGAGTTTCACATTATTCATTCCCAGAAAGTAATTTTAGTTGATTGCCTTGTGGTCTTTTTGAATGAGGCATTTTAAGAAATAGGAGAAAATTGAAAGGATTGGCTCACCATCAAAATATATCCCTGCTGAATGCTCCTAAGGGCAGTGCAACTGCCAATTTGGGATGGAAACTTGTTGGAATTTCTCTCTGGAGGTTTTTAATGCAAGGCTAGACAACTGTCTTTCTTGGTCCATTTAGTTGGATGCCTGCCTGGGACAGGAGTATCAGATGACCTTGCAGTCCCTTCCAGTACTGACTTTTTGTGATTAGGTGGTAGATCCATGAGGCTATATTAGTTAGGCTGAGGATTTTACCTGTCCTGCCTGTCTGCTTTAATTTTGGGCCCATTGTCTCTTAATTTTGTCTCTCTAAGCAAATCTAAAATTATTTGAGGTCTGGGATGCCACCTTGTGCTTCTTTCATCTTCTCCATAGAGTAGACATAGGGTGGAGAAAACTTTTGGAGCAGGCTTGTAGAGGAGATGGTGTCCAGGGAGATGGGAGCAAGGTCCCAGGTGGAAGGTTGACTATTACTGGGGAGAAGGATACCAGATTTTCTGAGTTTGGAGGGAAGGAATCAAAATTGCTGTGGCTGTATATTATGGACTGAATGTATGTGTCCCCCACCACCGACCAAATTCATATGTTGAAACCTTAACCCCTAGTGCGGTTGTATTTGGAGTAAGGAAGTAATTAAAGCTAACTTGGGTCATAAAGGTGGGGCTCTTATCTGATAGGATTAATGTCCTATTTATAAGAAGTGACACCAAAGCATTGCACTCTCTGTGTGCACATGTGTTGAGGAAAGGCTATGTGAGGGCATAGTGAGAAGGTGGTTATCTGAAAGCCAAAAAACAAACTCTCATCAGGAGTTCAACCATGCTAGAACCTTGATCTTGAACTTTCCAACCTCCAGAACTATGAGAAAACAATTCTGTTGTTTAAGCCACACAGTCTGTGGTATTTTGTTATGGTAGCTTGAGCAGACTAATACTCTGTATATATAAGTTAATAGATAGGCAAGAGAAGGTGAGGGAGAGCACATTTTATAATAGCGGTTTTGTTGATAAAGCGTGAGGCAAGATCATCTATGGAAAGAGAAGAATCTAAGGGCTGAGTAGGAAATAGATGGTAAACATTTGAAATAATTTTTGTGGGGAATAGAAGAGGGTGTTGACCAATGACAAATCAAAGGCTTGTTGGTTAATGCCAGAGGCTCAGATGAACTTGGAATCCATGAATATGCAGTGGAGCCAATCCTGTGAAATACTGGGTCTTTCTCAGCAGTGTATCTGGTAGACATAGGGATAGGAATTGGAGCATTGATTCAGGATTGGGATTTTCCTGAGGAATATGGTAGAAAAATAGGGACCCAAAGTAATCAAAGTTCGAAGACAGAGAAGAGTTCAAACAATCCATCCAGAGATGTAGCATTGGCAGGAAAGAAAAAGTGCTGCTGGTTGGAAAAAAAAAAAAAAAAAAGAAAAAAAGAAATTGGAGGAGTCAAGGAACGAGAATACCCTGTGAGGCCAGGAAGCAAGTATAGTAGGAATAAGGAAATGAGAGAACTCAGAAGACTGGAAAATATGGCCAAGAAGTAGAATATCAGGGTTCGGGATTGTTGGGTGATGACAAAACCCAGCCAGAGTGTGGCCATGAGGAGGGATGGTCCAAATGCAGTACGGCAGCACTTCCAATCTTTTTGGCACCAGGGACTGGTTTCATGGAAGACATTTTTTCCATGGACTCGGGTTGGGGATGGTTTCAGGGTGATTCAAGCGCATTACATTTACTGTGCACTTTACTTCTATTATTATTATACTGTAATATATAATGAAATAATTATACAACTCACCATAATGTAGAATTGGTGGGAGCCCTGAGTTTGTTTTCCTGAAACTAGATGGTCCCATCTGGGGGTGATGGGAGATAGTGATAGATCACCGGGCATTAGATTCTCATAAGGAGCATGCAACCTAGATCACTCACATGCACAGTTCACAATGAGGTTCACATTCCTATGAGAATCCAATGCTGCCACTGATCTGAGAGCAGACAGAGCTCAGGTGGTAATGCGAGTGATGGCGAGTGGCTGTAAACAAAGATGAAGCTTTGCTTGCTCACGCCTGCTGCTTACCTCCTGCTGTGTGGCCCATTTCCTAACAGGCCACGGATGGATACCAGTCCATGGCCTGGGGATTGAGGACCCATGCAGTAGAGTAACTGTGAATAGTTAGGAAGACTCGTGAATTTCAAGAACTCATTGTTGGAAGGGTCATCACATGAGTGATTTATCTTCATGGACATGCTTATCAGCTAGGATTTGGTTAGGAGTAAGGGTGGAAAGAACTGTGAGTGAGGTCTCGAAGAACTATGATGTGGGGAGCACACAGTGCTTTGACGGTCCATAAGTGGACCTCGTAACCCAGATTTGGGAGTTAGGTCAGACTTCTGGGGGAACTGATAGCTAACATGAACCCTCAAAGATGAATGAGGTTAGTCAGGGAAGGGAGAGGCAGAGCAGGGAAGAGAGTGATGAGAGAGGAGTATTATTCCACATAGAAGGAAGTAAAGTGTTCAATAGATGAATGTTTTATAAAGTGCCTAGGTTCATAAAATAAAAGCTAATCTGGAGATATGGAACCTATTATTAAATAAAATAGTCTATAGCTTAGTAATCCTCTTCACTTACAGTCGCTCCTATGATGTTATTTTTAATTTTTAAAACTTAAAAAATTAATGCAGGCTTTTGGGGACTGCACTCCACATCCTTACATTCACAACAGATTATGAAACCATTTGGTTTATGGAAGGAGAGGAAATGTTCCCCACGACCTGTCTTCCTCACACACTGCATGACTTAGCCCTTTCTCTCCAGATTCATTTTCAATTATAGAACAAGTGTACTTTTATTCTACATGGCTGAGTTGCAAAAGACAAGACATGGACTGGTAAAGCAGAGGAGAACAAACAGTGAAAGATGAATAATATACCCAAGAGCATTTTGACTTGTGCTTTGATGAGATGTAAATGGTGGGGGGGAAGACATTCTCAGTATTCATATTTGACAATTTTTTGAAAGTATTCATATTTGCATGTGTAAATAGTCACATGCTAAATGCAAATTAAGAAAAGAGAGCAGCACTCACAGAAGAGAGCCAAAATGTCTGCAAAGAAAAGTAAAGTCAAAAGAAGCCAACTCTATTTCAACTAAGTATCCCAGGTCATAAATTATTTCCAAGGAGATTTTTCTAACTGACACATTGGACTTGGAACCTATGCACCTTTTCCCACCTTCTTCTCACTGTGAAAAGGGGCTGGAGGTGGTGCAGTGTGAAGAGTTCAGGCTTTGAATCAAGATGGAATTGAGCCTACATTCTGACTCTGTCGTGCTGTTGGTGAGCAGTGTGACCTTGAGCACGTGTTCAAACTTCTCTGAGCCTCCATTTCAGCATCAGTAGAAGAAAAAGCAAAAACTTAAGTTAAAATGGGGATGTGAAGATTGGAAATCATGTATGTAAAGTACTAAGAACAATATCTGATACAGAGGAGGCATCCAATAAATGGCAGCAATTAGCTACTACTGGTACTACTACTAGCACTGTCTTCAATAAATGAATCTGCACAATAGAGGCAGTGCCTGCAGGGGATGTTTAATATGTGTATGCTGCACTCTTAATAAATTCTTGCCTTAAAAACAATTCAAAATGCAAATAGTACCTCTGCAGTGCTGTGCGCAGAGCCAGACTTCCTCTAGGGTTATGTCTAAAAGACACTTTTTGGTAAACTTATGTATATGTGTGTGTTTGTGTGGGTGGGGTCTTGGGGAGACAGGAAGGTGGTTGAGAGGCTGGGAGTGGCTTCCTTCCTCTAAGAACACACTTTTGAAGTCTAGCACTGCAGGACTTCTCTCAAACTGACTTAGAGAAATAATCCAACCCTAGTAGCATTGCACAAATGCCACTGGGATCCATTTTTCAGAGGGAAGATAGTGGCTCTCTTGGCAGTATCCCTAGCTCTTTCTTTGAAGAAGGGCTTGGAGAAGAAGTCATCAGAGTGGTTGGCATAAGGGCTGTGATCTGCTGGAAGGGAGATTAAGTGCCAGGCCTTCTTGGAAGAGCCCCTGTGTTACAAGTTGTGGGGGGGCTTTACTGTTCACCTTCCTGGTTTAAGCAATGGCACATATCCAGCTGTACTGCATGCAGTATGGCTTTCACTTCTAATTGTGCACCTGTCCTGAATAGATGCAAAGGAGCTTCCATCTTCTTGCTTGATAAACAAATTAAGTGATGTTTAGACTTGACTTGTTTGCATAGAATCTAGTGCATACATTTTTAAGTGTATAATTCCTGTTCTGATGCCCCTGGAAATAAGAAAAGCAAATTTGCTGTATTAGAAAAGCTTCAAGGAAAGGTGTCACTAGGATAATATAGCAGGGATCAAGGTACAATGGAGGAGATAAGGTGAATATTGGTTTGGTGATTTTGGAACTGGGAAGCACAATCTCTGGAAGGACAGGCTTTCTTTTTTTTTTTTTTTTTTCTCTTCAGTAAACACAGTTCAATTTCTAGGAAAATCCCTGAGAAAGCTGTGAGCACATCTTCTTTGGACTTCCTGAGGATAGAACTTCATCTGCTTGGAATGAAAGAAGGAAGCCTACCTATGGGCAGGGAGATTGATTAAGTAACTGCTAGTCTCACGCTGTACCCAACTGAGTCCCTATTAAAGAGTAAAGTGGCACATTTTAAACAAAGTATTTAAAAATATTTAGATGAGCAGATTTCTGGAGCCATACAACTAGCAAAGTATTTATATTGTCCTAATCCACTTAAGTAAACCTGGCTCATATTGGCAAATGCATACTAGTAATTGACAAGATGCTACCACAGGTATAGACACTGGAAGATTTATCCTGGTTGAGTAACATCTTTTTTGGCCTGAAACCTTTATTCCATTGCTGGCTGAAGGCTCAGGACTGACAGCCTGGTTTGACATCCATTTCTAGCTAGGTCTTGGCACCACCCCCGCTTCACCCCACAAAGACATGAAATATGAATCTCCTTGCTGACCTCACCACTATCACTTTCTCCTGTCCTCTATAGCCCCATCCTGGGCCCCAAGGAACTGAATAATGGGACCACCTGGCATCTTGTCCCATATAACTCTACTCTGTTAGAGGAGACAGAGTTGTGTTAACCTCTTGGAGCTAATATCTCTGTTAAGAGAAGAACAATTAGAAAATTTATAATGCCTATTACTGTTTTCTAAAACAAGGGTATTCATCTTCTTTATAGATTTAGGAAAATAAAATTATACTTCTCATTCTGCCAGTTACATTTAAATTTGCAAGATATTGCATATCAATGCAGGGAATTGAGTTCAGCAAGCCTACTTTCAAAGCTAACAGTTCTAATGATAAGTCCTTTTAATTGAAAATTTAACTGAACTTCACTAGTTGATCACAGACATAATCCTTTAGCAAACAGAACATTGCATCTAACTTCTTTTTGCCTCTTGACTATGCCTTGAAGAAGTGAGAGATTCTGAGATCCAGTCTCTTCCCATCGTGAGAGTTGACTATGGGCATCTACTGCAATCTCATTTACAGAAAAGAAATTCCTGGGAGAGGTAATTTTGTTCCACAAAGTTCTAATCGTAATTATTCTGCTCACTAAAAATGAATATGATAATGAGAACTGTGCCAGGTCTGTGAAGGACATCATCCATCAATCAATCCATCATCATTATCATCATCATCATGTCATTGAAACCACTTTGTCTCATCTCAAAGTTCACAAAACAATATTTCATGAGTGATCTTGTTTGATTCTTCTGACAATCTCAGAGGTAGGCAGGTTAGGCATCATTTATCCTCATTTTGCAGATAAATAAACTGTGACCCAAAGAGGTTGAGACTTGCTTGAGTTCTCACAGCTAGAAAGTGTCATGGCTTTCAAAGAAACAAGCTCTTTGAAATCTCAGTCTATCCTTTCACTGTGGTGCCATTCTGCATTGAAAGTGTGTATTTTAACAATGCAAGGGTCCTGGAGGGGCTTTGTAAGGCTGATAAATCATCCTACAAAATGCCTTAGAACCCATCAACATTATTATCTCTTCATTTGTTGATCACAGTCTTTGGATGGGGAATCTAGCCTATTAACACTGAGCATCCCTCAGTTGTGTCCCGCATTACAGTGAGAGGGGTTCATTGTTGTGATGTGAAGCCTGCTGCTTTGGGGTATGGTCCCTGACAGGTCACTAGCTACCCAAGCCAGGAGAGGCAAGAAAACAGGACCATCATTTACTATGAATCTTTATCGTGGCTCTATATTCCATGAACTTTGTGTATGCAGCTAATAATTATAGAATGAAAACAGTATTTTCAGGGAAATTAAGCCACTATGGGCAAAAGAGAAAATGGATTTACAAATAACAGTTACATGATAATAATGATGATGATACATATTGCTACATCTTTTACTCCAGACCAAAGATGATAGAACATGGCATTATATTGCTCGCTGCTGCCCACACCACCTTAAAAACAATAATGTAAATGGCTGGAAAGAGCCCTGAGTTGGCAGTCAGCAGTATTCTGGTTCTCCTTGCCAAGTGTCTTCAACTATAACTATCTTTACCTATCCTTTGCACATTTCTCTACTTCACCTTGCTTTCCCCACCTGTAAAATTAGGATAATTTTGCCTAGACTTCATCCTCTATAACAGGATGGATGAACCATATTGCAGATGTGACGCACTTGAAGGAACTATTGGATAGACAAGATGATAACAAACATCTCTGGCTGCTTGGGCATGTGAGAGGGAATATTTGGGAGATATCATTAGTTGATATTTTATAATATTTTATGAAGTATTTTCAAATGGATTCTTCCTTTGTGTGTCCCAAACTATTATATGTGCCTGCCTTTTACACATCAGGAAATGGAGGCTCTTGCTCAGGTCCTATAACTGGTAAAACACAGAGTTGCATATAGCTTCTGACTCTGGAACACTTATCCTTATCCCTGCATGATGCTCCTCCTCTTATGTAAGGCCCAGGTTAAGTCTTGGACTTTATCCCAATTTAAGTATTCTGTGTTTTGGCCAACTGCGTGGGTGTTTCATTTCTGTGTTCTCTGTTTCACTACAGTATGGGAAAGTTTATCTTTCACTTTTGTTTTTGGGCGGGAGGAACAGCTCCCCAGTTGGGGTCTGAGCCCCTGCACTGGGCAGTAACACAAGACTCAAGAAGCTTCTCACATAGCATCATTATCAACGCCAGAGTACAGTCTTTAATGCTATCTCATGACCAATATCATAAAGGTAACTGCGATTCTACCATGCCTTAGGTGAGAGATGAGGAGTAAACAGAGTGTTGGTTCATGGCACCCAAACCTTTGGGTTTACCCTCATCTTTCATTGTAATATTGTTTTATTAAGAATAAAATTGGAAACAATCTACATGTCCATCAAGAGGGATGGGTTAATATCTCATAGAATTGTTGAAGGGCTTGAAGACTAAATACATATAAGGTCTTAGAATAATGCCTAGCACATGTTAAATGCTCAATCCATGTTAGCTATTATTTTTAGAGTTATGAATAAAGAGGAATGACTATATTTGAACTCTGCCAGAACCACATGTCTATACACAGAATAAACTCAGGGCTTTATTTCCAGGTCTGCCTTCACTTGAGCCTAAAGTGATAGGTGATGACAGGACTCAGGCTCAATGATTCTGCCTGTCTCTTTCCCCTTCATGACTACAGATGGCAACCACTTTGTCTTTTAGTAAGGTAGAAGATGTTGTGAAGGTCAGGTAAATGGCATTTCCAAACTGTTTATTTCAGATTGAGGACAAACTAAGTATGACATAATAAAAATTTTATCTGGCCTTGTCTCTTGTCCCTAGTTCTTGGCACAGAGATTCAGAAACCTTCAGAATTTCCTGAGTGATAGGCATATCCTTTCTGTGCTAGATAGCTTCAAGGTGGAGACTAGTCACCAGAAAAACCCAGCATGTGGTTAGGGGGTTGGAGCTTTGGAACAGCTTGACTCTGAGGAAGAGAAGGGGCTGAAGATTGAGTTCAATCATGTGGCCAATGATTTAGTCAATCATACCTTTGTAATCAAACCCCAGTGAAAACTATGGCCACTAATGCTATGAAGCTTCCTGGTTGATGAATGCATTGATGGGCCAAGGGTGATGTGCTCTGATTCCACAGGAAGAGGACATGGAATTCCTGCACTCTTCCCCAGACCTTACCCTATCTGAATCCTTTGTAATAAAACTGTAATGATAAGCATAGCACTTTCCTGAGTTCTGTGAGTCATTCTAGCAAATTATCAAATGTGAAAAGATCATGGGAAGCCTTGAATTTGTGGCCAGCTCATCAGAAGTGTGGGTGGCCTGGGGATTCCCAGAATTTGTGGCTGCCGTATGAAGTAAGGGCAATCTTGTGGAGGACTGAGGCTTTACACCTGTGGAGTCTGATGCTAACTCTGAGTGATTAGTC
Organism: Homo sapiens; assembly: GCF_000001405.40. NCBI lineage: Eukaryota > Metazoa > Chordata > Mammalia > Primates > Hominidae > Homo > Homo sapiens. The sequence goes on along the minus strand of NC_000001.11, from coordinate 222,416,104 downwards.
TCAGAATTGAATTATATTGTAGTATACCCAGTTAGGGTGGAAAGAGAGTACGCAGTCACCTGGTTTAACCAATCATTAGCAAAATCTCATATTCTCTCTTCCATCATCTGAAAAGCCTCATTTCACTACCATTGTTATCTAGGACAGAGTAACCCAAACCAGAGGCTGGAAATATCTGGCTGTTACCATGCACCCTATTGCCCTCACTTGTTCTCATCCTATGCCCTTTGATGCTTGTGAAAAATTATGAGCAAAAATGATGGCAAAACCACTTAAATGCCATCATTTTTTCATTTGTACTCAGGAATTCTGCTCACGCATCACATGCAGTCTTTCTTGGTGTACAAATTGCGGTAATTGGTTTTCCTCATTTTCTTTCTTCCCACTGACTTTCCTCGACTAGGGACCACCAAGGACACATCCTTTCTGAATAACAATTTCACTTCCAAGACCGCCCAATCTGTCAGACTTGGAGCTCACACAAAAGTTTAAATGCAACTCATTAATTTTAAGACACTTAACTCTTCCTCACTGCTTAGATTTTTAAGGAATGCAAATTGCACTTTATTTCAAAGCTGGAAAAAGCAACCAAAAAAGTGCCAAGAATGATCTTGACTGGTTTTAAGTAATTGTTAAAGGAAGACATATAAGCATTCTGACCACGGATTAAACAGCACCCCGGGAGAATCAGAGATCTTGCTCTGTGTCCTGATGCAGAGGTTTTCTTTCCTTCTTTCAACTTGATTATCCATCTGCAAACCAGAGACCATTTCCCATTACCAGCAGCATATTCCAGCATTTCCTCCTGTCAAATTAAATTGGTGTGGATTTAGGAAATGCAGACCCATTCCAATAATAAGCATAACAAGACAATATAAGAAATACAAATATGTTAGCAAATATATCTAATGCACAAGCACCTCAAGGCCAGATAGGTACAGGCTTTCAGAATATGCATGGATTCCAATTATATTGGTCTGTATGACTCTCCTCAGGAAATGAGGTAGAGACAATGGCAAACCATACTTACGAAGACCACACAGAATTTGAACATCTTATAGGTGAAAAGATCTTCTTACCCGTGAATCCTGTTTATAACCCTATTACCTCCAATAAACAGTCATCCAGCTTCTGCTAGAATAGTCAAAATATAGCCAAGGGTATCATGGGCTTCTGGAGTGGCCCACTCTTAGCTAGATAGACAGCTTTAATAGTTACATGGGCTGTTGTCCATTAGTTGTTCTATTGCTCTGTTCACAATCCTTCCTGCAGACGTACATGCAACACTTTGGAAGCCTTCCCTATTTTTATCCCATTTGGGATCCTGACCTGGCCATTACTCGTTTTGTCATGGCCTAAGCCTCCGGCTGTATCCTCTGCTGAGGATGGGCCACAAGCAGGGATTTGGTGGTGAAGGGATGGGAAGGAGGTTACACAGAGAGGGTAAAAACATTTAGGGAATCACTACTTACGCTAAGGCAATGGTGCTTACAAGAATCCTTGGGTAAGTATGCCCAATGTTACAGCCACAATGCATTGAAATCAGAAAATACTACAATTAATTTCTATAGCTTTTAGGAAACATTTTAATTCTTACCACACATATGTTCCTGCATTTTTAACAGGAGAGAGTGTAATTACTGAATGGCCATTCATTACAGAGGACATCAATAATGCATTGGATTTTGCAATATTTTCCCTAGTGCTATCATTGTAGTGATAGATTGTAAGTCTAAGCAGATTCAGTAATGCTACTGGGATTTATGAGAACATAATGTGTTTAGAAGGGCCTGGAAGTAAACTCTTCACACAGGGGTGAGAGAAGGAGGTTGTCATGATGGTGGTGAGGGGATGGTAACTCTGCTATTCTAATAAGACTTTAGAAATATAGACTGTACCCCGGATCCTTAATTAGCCATCTGCTTTCTCTGCCTTTTTGCATCTCCAGAGAATTGTTGCAAGTATTTGTATTTCTATTTTTAATGAGGTAGGATGAAACAAAAAGCTGGTTTGTGTTGATGTTTATGGGAAAAGTAGAAATTGGAGTAGAGTTTTGGTGCTAATATATTTCATGGGACCAACGGGCCAAATATATTTTGATCATTTGAATGACTGTTTTTACTTATTGACTTGAATCTAATGAGACAGACTCAATTTCATTTAATTAAAGCATTTATGGAGTGTCTACTGTGCATAAAGCACATGGCAGTTGGTGTGGGTGAACCCATCAGAATAGCTTTAACACAGAGCAGTATAAATAAGTAACATCCATAAGAGGAGTTAAAAGTACCATTTGGGGTCAAAGGAAGAAGAGATCATATTTATCTAGTGTTTCAACTGGATTCTCATGAGAAAAGAGCCTGAGGCAGAATTCTGTATGCTAATAGTTTACTAGGAATGCAACATCAAGGAAGCAACAGTGAGGCAAAAAAAAAAAAAAAAAAAAAGTGAGGCAGGAAGGGAGAGAAAATGCAAGGCAGTGCATCATCAAGCTGATTACAGCTTCCTACAAATCCAGATGTTTGCTCAGTCACATGGGCCGTCTCCAGAGAGAATGCATGGGACAGTTATCTCTCTGTCATAGACAAGGAAGAGGGAACAATTTGTTTGCTGGCTTTTGCCTCTCTCCTGTCTCTCATTAGTCTGAGTCTGCTTCATGAACACTGACTTCTTCACAGTTTTGGGTTGTGTTACTTAGCCGTCTAGGAGGTTTCTGGGGAGGCCAGAGCCTCAATAGGTCCAGTCAGTCCAGTGCACAGGGATGGTCAGTTGGTGTCTGTTGGTGCTTCTTGGTTTGTGGTGGCAGCAGTGGTGGCTTGCAATTTGTGATTATTAAAACAACATGAGCTGCCACTAAGGTCATTCTGGCCTGAGAGTAAGGTGGGTGGGTAAGGCTGGGAGTGAGGAGATAGGGCTGAGAGAATCCACGGTGCTCCGTATCTATACAGTTAGGATTAGGAAAAGCTTTAGAGAGAAGATAACTTATAAGATCGCACTTAAAATGACAGGTAAGATTTTGATAGGCAGAGATAGAAAGGATGTTGGTACTTATATTTGAATCAAGCAAAGGCACGTTTTGGTTGAGGGCACACTGAGCAGTCAGTCCACTTCGCTTCAACTGTAAGATACGTTTAGAGGAGAATGGAAGAGAATATTGGAAATGTAGACAGGTTTGAGCAGGAAAGGCCTTGACAGCAAGTATATCAGTCAGTTATTGCTGCATAAGAAACACAAAATCTTAAATCTTAATGGCATATAACAATAAGCCCATATTTCTTGCATATCTGCTGGTCAGTTGAAGTGGTTCTCCTTCAGGCTGCAGGTCTGTGGGTTGGCTGGGCAGCTCAGCTCTATACACATTCATTCTGGGGTCCAGGCTGAAGGGGCAGGAGGTCTCTGGGGGAAGCTCTTCTCATGGCAATGGCAGAAACTCAAGAGGGTTTGTCCAACCACATAAGCACACTTCAAGCTGCTACTTGTGTTATGTTTAGTAACATAGCATTGTCCTGAGAAAGTCACATGGCTAAGGCTAAAGTTGGTGGAGTCATGAATATATCCTGTCCTATGAGATCATGGCAAGGATTCTTTACTTTCCTTCAGGGAAGTAAAGAATTGTGACCAGTAATTCAATATAGTAGAGTCAGGATGAGACACTTATAGACTCAAGGACAAGAACAATATTTCATTCATTATGTTTGTTCTTCTAGTCCCAAGCACAGTGCCTAAAACATAGTAGGTGCTCAATGTTTGCTTAACGCATGAATGAATTAATACCAACCACCCTGCATTCAGCACTGTCGTAAGCATTGTAAATTGAGTTTGTGGCCTACCTCTTTGAGAATTGTCTCCAGATTAGGCTTTAAGATATATAAAACTCATATTCAACTAGATTAAAACACTTATTTCAAGATAATTTTTCCAGAACTTTGCTTTTCCGTGTCCTTTTCTTACTCAAGAAACAATTATATCTTTTCAGTGGCCTTGTCAAAGATTAGTTGAACATATATGCTTGAGTTCATTCTGGGATTTGCATTCTGTTCCATTGGTTTGTTTTCTGTTTTTATGCCCAGTACCATACTGTTTTTATTACTCTTGCTTTATGATTAACTTGAAATCAGGAAGTGGGATGCCTCCAACTTTGTTTTTCTTTCCCAAGATTGTTTTGCCTACTCAGGGTCTTTTGTGGTTCCATACACATTTAAGAATTTTTTTCCATATATATACGATGGAATATTATTCAACCTTAAATAAGAAGAAAATTCTGCCATTTTTGGCAACCTAGATGCACAAGAGGACATTATGCTAAGTGAAATGAACCAGACAGAGAAAGAAAAATACAGTATATTCTATTTATATGTGGAATCTAAAAAGAAAAAAATCAAATATACAGAAACAGAGAAGTAGAAAGGTGGTTACCAGGGGTTGGGGAAGGAGAAAATAGTGTGACATAGGTTGAAGGGCACAAAGATGCAGTTATATCAGATGAAGAAGTCTAGAGATCAAATGTACAGCATGAGAACTGTAGTTAATAATATTGTATCATATACTGGAAATTTGCTCAGAGTGTAGATTTTAGGTTCTCTTACTACACACACACATGAAAGGTAACTAGGTGAGATTATGGATATGCTAATTTACTTGACTTTAGTAATCACTTCACTATGTATATGTATATCAAAACATTATGTTGTACACCTTAAATATATGTAATAAGAAACAAGATATAACCTCTTTTCCATTACCTTGTCAAGCTTCACATTTCTCTGCCTGACTTTCCTTAATCTGACTTTATTGTCCAATGCTCCTGACATAAACTGTCCTTACCAGTCACACCCTGTCTTGGCTGTTCCATTCCCTTCCTCTCCCTCCCTGCCCTTGATCCCTATTATGGTGTCTTCTTCCTCAGTGCCTCTGCCCAGAGGGCTGACTTTGTGAGGGATGCCTTTTTATCTCAGGTCCATCCATATACTGTTTACCCTTCTGGTTTGGCTAAATATCTTCTTTCCCCTGTAAAACCTTCTGTGACTGGAACATCTTAACTCTATTGCTCAATAATTGTCTCTTGTTGGTTAATCCCATTTGCCCAATCAGTTTGTGAATGGTTTCAAGGCAGGGCCCAAATCTTTTGCTGCTTTGGGTCTCTCTCACAGTGTCCAGCATGGTGCTTGATGCACAGTAGATAAATAATAAATAAGTACCAATGGACTGATCCTATATGCACCATGTCCATATCTGATAAACTTGGCTATTGACCATCTTGTGTGCATTAGAAATAGACCCTTGGCAGCAAGAGAGCCTTCTACCTATATGTGGCATCCACCCAGTTGACCTGAGATAGCCCCTGCATCAGTAATTGGCAACTTCTTTTTTTTTTTTTTTTTTTTTTGAGATAGAGTCTCACTCTGTCACCATGCTGGAGTTCAGTGGCGCGATCTCGGCTCACTGCAACCTCTGCCTCCTGGGTTCAAGCGATCCTCCTGCATCAGCCTCCCGAGTAGCTGGGACTACAGGCGGGCACCGCCACCACACCTGGCTAATTTTTGTATTTTTAGTAGAGACAGGGTTTCACCATGTTGCCCAGGATGGTCTCGAACACTTGATCTCATGATCTGCCCGCCTCGGCCTGCCAAAGTGCTGGGATTACAGGTGTGAGCCACCACACCTGGCCAATTGGCAATTTTTGGTGGGTGATGAGTCCATCTCTTCATAGTGTATTATTTAGAAGCCCCATGATTTAGTGGCTTTAAGAAAAGAGGCTGAAAAACCACCATGGCTCGTGTATACCTATGTAACAAACCTGCACGTTCTGCACATGTAATCCAGAACTTAAAGTATAATAAAAAAAAAAAAAAAAGAGAAAAGAAAAGAGGCTGAAAAAGCAGGGCAAGGACTTGGCACCCCCTGCAAGTGAACCTGTGGGAGCATGCCTGCCCCCTCTGCTGGGGCTAAGAGGATGTAGGAGATTATGTCGTCCAAACCTTGAGAAGAATGCCCATTCTCCTTTGGGCTAGGTGTTTCTGCTTGTTCATTATGCAAAGGAAGTATGAAAATAATAGGTTGGTTTTTATTTCTCCCTCTGAAACCATGAAAACAGTGACCATATAGTTCCATCTCTGCCTGGGATAGAAAGGAGACATTGACATTGTCCTTTTTTTTTTTTGAGAGATGCGGTCTTGCTATGTTGCCCAAGCTGGTCTTGAACTCCTGGCTTCAAGTGATCCTCTAGCACTGGCCTCACAAAATGTTGGGATTATAGGCATGAGCAACCATGTCTGGCCCTGATATTGTCCTTTGTGGTGAGGAAGACTCAATTTTTCTTTTACCACCTCCTAAGCTCTACTGATTCAGGGGCTGTCTGAGTGAAGCTATCATTTCAAAGGACCATTATGCTGCTTAGAAGTCTGAATAAAAGCATTAACTCTGCTTCCTCTGTGTTTTATATGCTATTTACAACAACCAGTAGTTTTGCATCTCCTTGTAGATTCCGGATATTAGCCCTTTGTCAGATGGGTAGATTGCAAAATTTTTCTCTCATTCTGTAGGTTGCCTGTTCACTCTGATGATAGTTTCTTTTGCTGTGCAGAAGCTCTTTAGTTTAATTAGACCTCATTTGTCTATTTTGTCTTTTGTTGCCATTGCTTTTGGTGTTTTGGTCATGAAGTCTTTGCCCGTGCCTATATCCTGAATGGTATTGCCTAGGTTTTCTTCCAGAGTTTTTATGGTTTTAGGTCTTACATTTAAGTCTTTAATCCATCTTGAATTAATTTTTGTGTAAGGTGTAAGGAAGGGATCCAGTTTCAGCTTTCTACATATGGCTGGCTAGTTTTCCTAGCACCATATATTAAATAGGGAATCCTTTCCCCATTGCTTGTTTTTGTCAGGTTTGTCAAAGATCAGATGGTTGTAGATGTGTGGCATTATTTCTGAGGGCTCTATTCTGTTCCATTGGTCTATCTCTCTGTTTTGGTATCAGTACCATGCTGTTTTGGTTACCGTAGCCTTGTAGTATAGTTTGAAGTCAGGTAGCGTGATGCCTCAGCTTTGTTCTTTTTGCTTAGTATTGTCTTGGCTATGCAGGCTCTTTTTTGGTTCCATATGAACTTTAAAGTTGTTTTTTCCAATCCTGTTAAGAAAGTCATTGGTAGCTTGATGGGGATGGCATTGAATCTATAAATTACCTTGGGAAGTATGGCCATTTTCATGATATTGATTCTTCCTATCCATGAGCATGGAATGTTCTTCCATTTGTTTGTGTCCTCTTTTATTTTGTTGAGCAGTGGTTTGTAGTTCTCCTTGAAGAGGTCCTTCACAACCCTTGTAAGTTGGATTCCTAGGTATTTTATTCTCTTTGGAGCAATTGTGAATGGGAGTTCACTCATGATATGGCTCTCTGTCTGTTACTGGTGTATAGGAATGCTTGTGATTTTTGCACACTGATTTTGTATCCAGAGACTTTGCTGAAGTTTCCTATCAGCTTAAGGAGATTTTGGGCTGAGACTATGGGGTTTTCTAAATATACAATCATGTCATTTGCAAACAGAAACAATTTGACTTCCTCTCTTCCTAACTGAATACCCTTTATTTCTTTCTCTTGCCTGATTTCCCTGGCCAGAACTTCCAACACTATGTTGAGTAGGAGTGGTGAGAGAGAGCATCCTGGTCTTGTATCGGTTTTCAAAGGGAATGGTTCCAGCTTTTGCCCACTCAGTATGATATTGGTTGTGGGTTTTTCATAAATAGCTCCTATTATTTTGAGATATGTTCCATCAATACTTTGTTTATTGAGAGTTTTTAGCATGAAGTGCTGCTGAATTTTATGAAAGGACTTTTCTGAATCTATTGAGATAATCATGTGGTTTTTGTCGTTGATTCTGTTTATGTGATGGATTGTGTTTATTGATTTGCATATGTTGAACCAGCCTTGCATCCCAGGGATGAAGCCAACTTGATCATGGTGGATAAACTTTTTGATGTGCTGCTGGATTCGGTTTGCCAGTATATTATTGAGGATTTTCACATCGATGTTCATCTGGGATATTGGTCTAAAATTCTCTTTTTTTGTTATGTTTCTGCCAGGCTTTGGTATCAGGATGATGCTGGCCTCATAAAATGAGTTAGGGAGGATTCCCTCATTTTCTATTGATTGGAATAGTTTCAGAAGGAATGGTACCAGCTCCTCTTTGTACCTCTGGTAGAATTTGGCTGTGTATCCATCTGTTCCTGGACTTTTTTTTATTGCCTCAATTTCAGAACCTGTTATCGGTCTATTCAGCGATTCAACTTCTTCCTGGTTTAGACTTGGGATGGTGTATGTGTCCAGGAATTTATTCATTTCTTCTAGATTTTCTAGTTTATTTGCTTAGAGGTGTTTATAGTATTATCTGATGGTAGTTTGTATTTTCAGGGAATCGGTGGTGATATCCCCCTTATCATTTTTTATTGCGTCTATTTGATTCTTCTCTCTTTTCTTCTTTATTAGCCCTGCTAGGTCTATCAATTTTGTTGATCTTTTCCAAAAACCAGCTCCTGGATTCATTGATTTTTTGAAGGTTTTTTTTGTCTCTATCTTCTTCAGTTCTGCTCTGATGTTAGTTATTTCTTGCCTTCTGCTAGCTTTTGAATTTGTTTGCTCTTGCTTCTCTAGTTCTTTTAATTGTGATGTTAGGGTGTCGATTTTAGATCTTTCCTGCTTTCTCTTGTGGGCACTTAGTGCTATAAATTTCCCTCTACACACTGCTTTAAATGTGTCCCAGAGATTCTGGTATGTTGTGTCTTTGTTCACATTGGTTTCAAAGAACATCTTTATTTCTGCCTTCATTTCGTTATGTACCCAGTAGTCATTCAGGAGCAGGTTGTTCAGTTTCCATGTAGTTGTGTGGTTTCGAGTGAAGTTCTTAATCCTGAGTTCTAATTTGATTGCATTGTGGTCTGAGAGACAGTGTGTTGTGCTTTCTGTTCTTTTACGTTTGCTGAGGAGTGTTTTACTTCCAATTATGGGATCAATTTTAGAATAAGTGCGATGTGGTGCTGAGAAGAATGTATATTCTGTTGATTTGAGGTGGAGAGTTCTGTAGAAGTCTATTAGTTCTGCTTGGTGCAGAGCTGAGTTCGTCCTGGATATCCTTGATAACCTTTTGTCTTGTTGATCTGTCTAATATTGACAGTGGGGTGTTAAATTCTCCCATTATTATTGTGTGGGAGTCTAAGTCTCTTTGTAGGTCTCTAAGGACTTGCTTTATGAACCTGGGTGCTCCTGTATTGGGTGCATATATATTTAGGACAGTTAGCTCTTGTTGAATTGATCTCTTTACCATTATATAATGGCCTTCTTTGTCTCTTTTGATCTTTGTTGGTTTAAAGTCTGTTTTATCAGAGGCTAGGATTGCAACCCCTGCTTTTTATTTGTTTTCCATTTGCTTGGTAGATCTTCCTCTATCCCTTTATTTTGAGGCTATGTGTGTCTCTGCATGTGAGATGGGTGTCCTGAATACAGCACACTGATGGGTCTTGACTCTTTATCCATTTGCCAGTCTGTGTCTTTTAATTGGGGCATTTGGTCCATTTACATTTAAGGTTAATATTGTTATATGTGAATTTGATCCTGTCATTATGCTGTTAGCTGGTTATTTTGCCTGTTAGTTGATGCAGCAAACCACCATGGCACATGTATATCTATGTAACAAAGCTGCACGTTCTGCACATGTATCCTGGAACTTAAAATTAAAAAAATAACATTTTGGATGACATAGGGAAAATCTAAGAAGACATAAAGGAACCAAATCTTTAGTCAATAAACAAAGGTAAAATCATTAAAAAAAAAAAAGAATGCACATCATTTGCATCCTTCAAGTGCAAAAATTCCCCTATTCTGGCACACCCTCTGTGTTTTCAGTTCGTATCTATGCAATCACTTTTTTCTGTTAAAAAGAGGCTCAGGCAGTCTAAGAATGTGCAGAAGAATGAGATACCTAGCCCAAGCCTGTACTACCCTGCAACTCCCCCAGGTGTGTGTCCTCTCTTCATGATGATGAAGGTGACATTTCCCTCACCTTCCCTTGATGTAATCATCACCTTGACTTTTATGATAGACATTTTCTTGCTTTCATGTATAATTTTACCACCTACATATTTATCCCTAAGCAAAATAGTATAGTTTTGCCTGTTTTTGAAATTGACATATATTTTTAAAATTGATATATATACAGGACTCATCCTGTATATCTTATGCTGCTAGCACCAAGAAAATAAACCTACTCAGTAAATGTTGATTAAATAAATATCCAAATAGCTGGAAAAAAATAAAAATTGCTCATATTAAAAATGGATAATGGTGGGTATCAAATGATATTTAAATTTATTATCTATACTTAAAAAGGAATACGGCTATTGTAGAATATTAATATTTACAATACTCCATAATTGACACCCTTTGTGACCCTGAACTTATCGTAGAGAATTTTAGATGTCAACTGAAAAAGTGAAGGATACAAAGATTTTCAAAAATCTTTTAGGGAGCATGTGAATGAAAGTTTGAAGAGAAACCACCTGGTCATAAGGAAACCACCTGGCATCAAATAGGAACATAAAATTTTTATTTTGATATTTACTTCTAATACAGGATTTGCACATAAATGGCATCATGCTATTTCCCCTTCAGTACCAATGGCAGATATTGGTAATTGATCACAGAATTTTCTTCTAGAGCCTGGAAATGACCTCAGTATTTCAACACACTGCTTCAGTCAATCACTACCAGTGGATCAAGTTGGCACATACTTTAATTTAAAGGTTTCTCAAACGAAACTTCTCTGAAACCTCTGGTAGAGTGGAACTGCTTCCATTTAAGTATGAGGTGGTCCTCTGGAGCACTCCCGGCTCCTTCTTATTCCCACAGGTTGCTGATGGGAGAGCTGGAAAGATTTGTCTACATGGAGGGTTGTGAAAATCAAGCCCCACCTCTCAGATTTATGGCTGCAATCTGCTGCTGACTACCAGCTGTATGGTACTCACCTCATATGACTGCAAAGTCAAGTATCCCATTTCTGGAACTTTATTTCCCACTCCCCTTTCCAACATTACGCACATTCTTGGTCCCCTGTGGGACTCCCCCTCGCCCCAGCTGAAAACCCGAAGTGAAAGTAGTTCTCAGAAAGCCAGAAGTAGTTCTCAGAGACTCGGAAGTAGTTCATGAAGAGTCTTCTGGGGACTGTGTTTCACCTGTCTGTGTGATTGCTTGCTTTTGAAAGGAGGCTATCTGGTGACTAAGACCAAGAACAGACTGTATTTTTTAACATTTTGGACCTGGTGACTCTCAACCCTTATCTACTTGTGACAATAATGACATTAAACTTTCACTGTCTCAGTGGCCCTATCTATAAAATGGGACTACTTCTTTTATCTTAAGGAAACATTGAAAGGCAAACAAGGGTATATACATTTAATATTCAATTAAAACCAGATTCAAACCCCACATAATATTAATATAACCTTTTCCTGCTGGACAAGCCATGAGTATAAGTAGACGCTGGGGAGTTTTGCCCATTTGGACTCGAGTAGCAGATACAGGGATCCTAAGAGGTGCCAAAAGGAGTAGTTCAGGAGCAAATTTCCATGGCACCTAGGCATTTGTGGGTGGACATCTGATGGCAAGTGCCTTATCATTAATAGAACAAGCAGGCATATCATATCATATGTATGCAGATATATAGAGATATATATTCAAATATATATAATGGAAACTACTATACTTGGAAGAAGCAAAAGGCAACCTAAGTACAAAAATTCTCACGAGGCATCACAAATCATTAAAAATTATGAGATTGTGATTAGTTATTACACATTATCCTTGCATTTCAAACTACCCTAAATAGACTTGATCTAGATATATAAACATGTTTAGAAAAACTGAAATGTGAGATGAATGGAAAGATTAGACCCTAAATTCATGAGAATGGTCTTGTGACTATGGATGCCTGTGTGTGCATGTGTGCTTGGGTGTATGTGTGGGAATACACAGGGGTGTCTCGAGGGAATGAGAGAGGCAGAAGATGGCCTATAAAGGCACTTCATCTTTTATTCTGTTTTATTTCTTTTTACCATTTAGAGTCACATATAACAAAATGGTTTATATAGTTAAAAAATTCTAAAAATTTTTGTATTTTTTATATTTCCTTAAATAAAAATTATAACAAAAAACCTCAGTTGTGACAAAGCATTCCTAAATATCCATTGTGTTTTGTTCAACTTGCTACTTGCTGTAGTCATCTTCTTAGAGCTTCCTGTATCTATTTGACTCCATACCTTGCCTTTGTGAGCTTGTTTTTGATGACCACTTGGGACATTCTTTCTCTTTTAGAGGAATTTCAGTCATTGGAAAGACTTGGCCCTGTAAGACTGAGTTGCTGGGAATGCGTTGCACCCAGCTTCCTTTCTGGAAGATGGAGAGGCTCAGAAGCAGGTGGCTGCCTCAGGTTAGAACAGTGTAGAGTCCCCATTTGCCCTTGCTTTTTGTGTCTTTACCAAAAATCATGGAGTGTCTTGATTGCTCTGTGACTCAACCAGCTGCAGGATTTTCCCAGCAGGCTTGAACCCAAATCAGGGTTTTGAATATTCCCAGGCACTGATAAAGGTATCTAGATTTACTAGAAAAAAACCTGACCCTGACCCAGACCCTGACCCACATTCCTTAAACACTCATGTAAACTCCACACCCTGAACTCCTGCTGCAGACATGTCTAAGTAGAACACCACTTTTCTCTTACTGTTCATTGCCAGGACTGCTGTAGTCTTCTGTAAGTTCCCCTAATAAATGCTTTGGATTGATCACCTTAGTGTTCAATGCTTCTTTCTTTGGAATCCAAACGAACTCCATCTCAGGACAGTTTGGGGCTTTCTTTTGTGGAGATTCCACTGCCGCTGCTTTTGGGACTCTAGCCATGGGTTCAGTGGGACAAAACAAATAGCGTATATTAGGTGTCTAAGAAAGAGTGTTCTGCTCATGTAAGTGTAGATATGTGAGTGTAGACATCACTCCTTCTGGGTCAAATCTCCTGGGGTTTTTCAGGGCTTGGTCTGGAGAATGGGAAACTCTCATCTCTTTCATGTCTGAAGGGCTTGTCTGTCTGGAGCTAACTTTGCTTGAGCTTTAATCAGAATTTAAATAAATGCTTTCACCAAAGACATCTGCAGTATGATGGACACACAGGATGATTTGGGACTAAAACTGGTTTTAGCAAATAATAGTTTAGAGAGATGCTATCTCTGAGTGGGGAGGTGGTGGCTGGAGTAGATGACCTTGCAAAGTACTTTCACAGATAAGAGTTTCAGAGTTGGAAGGGACCTAAATGGAAGACAAATTCTCTAATCCAATCTTCTCATTATACAAATGAGAAAACTTCAGCCCAGAAAGGTTGAAGTGACTTTCTTCAGGTCACACTGCTAGTTTGTGGCCAGCCAGGGTACTGAACATAAATATGACACTGAAGAGACAGGATTTGTGAATCCATCTGTTACCACTTCGCCTTTTTTATTTAGCAGAATCCATTGTGTCTACATTAGCAATGTTATATTAATATGGACTATTAAATGGAATGTGGAAATAACCTCATTAGGGAGAAGTGGACATTATAATGGTATCTATTAAAATGAGTTTTCTCATCTGTAAAATGAGAGTATTGCAGTAGATGAACTTTAAATTCCTTCCTCTTTGAAAGTCTCTGAGTTGATGAGATCCTGCTTGTGTGATTAAAGATACAGGTGCTAAATTTAGACGCTTCTTAGGCCCACCTCTTGGCGAGAAGGGAGTACTTGAGTTGGAGTCTGTAGACTGAGTCCTACCTGTGCCACTTATTTGTCTTGTCACCATGGGTGAGTCACCTTTCTTAACTCAGTTTTCTCTTCTGTAAATTGGGAGTAATGATGTCTGCCTTTTACCTCATGGGTTCCTCCTCTGAATCATGAAGCACAGAAAATGATATAAGTGATTATTTTCTCAATTCTTTTAAAGGTGGTACATAGATAGTACCATGCACAGAAGAGAGTTAATTCATTATGTATTATGTATATGCATGTATGTATGTATGAAGGTGTTTGCCTTAGGGCATTAGGGCTAACTTTCTCCTGGAATCTCAGTTGAGCAGGGCCACTGAACAACTGTGCAGCACACTGGACAACATGTACAATGATAAAAATGTAAGGGATTATTTTCCTTTGTATTCAGCTGTTAATCTCTGTTAATTACATACACAAATCCCTGCCTGGAGAGTACGGGTGAGGGCCTCATGGTTCCTTATTCTAAAAATGAGGTGGTATAACACTGCATCCATGGGGGCAGGTTATGGGTGGTACAGTGCGGGGAACTCTTTGCTCCTTATCATTCTAATAGAAATTTCTAATAGTGTCTCATAGTGGCTTCATTCTCCCCAAATTCACTCCTTTCCATGTAGCACTTACAGAGTAAGAGGCTACCCAGATTTGGGGTTGGCTGGGAAATCAAGTAAGGCTCATAGGTAAGGTTGAGGAACTCTCTGAGTCATAGAATTCTTTCATGAAGCTCTTAGAGCAAGTACCTCAATGGTTCTTGTGTGGGCATGATCCTAGATTAGGTGACTTGAAAAATAATCATTGCTACTAGTTACTGATGCTTTCAATGTGTCAGGCTCTGTGCTGAGCACTTTTCATATATTATCTAATTTGATCCTTAGAATAAGTTGGAGATGTAGACATTAAAATGGTCACTTTACAAATATAGTGATGGCCAAGCTCTTTCTCAAATAATACTATTAGTTCATTGCTAATAGCTAGTGGATAGGGCCATAGCATGTCACAACTCCATTGGGGGGGTGGGGGATGGGGGATGATCATTCACATTGTATTCTCCGTGAATCTTATGCCTTTAGGTAAAAGTGTGAATGGTGCTCACTGGAAAGTGTGAATGGTGCTCGCTGGAGCTGTGCAAAAGCCTGAAGAATGGAAGAAGTGAGGTATGAATTCAACTCCATCTGACCCTAAGTTCTGTTCTGAGCCACTGTGGCCCATGCTGTCCCTTCACCACGAAGGATTGTTCTAAGTGTTGATGGGGTGGGAGTGGGTGGCACTTCCTGCATCTCAATCCATGTGTGATCTAGGTGTGAAGCCTGGTCAAGCTGGGCCATTGAGAGAGCCACTTCTGACCTCAGCAGGGGACTTTGCTAGACAGATTGATGAGTGACAGCATGGGTAGGGAGTGTTTATTGGTGTGTGTGTTAACTGTGGTTCCATCTGAGAGGTCTGTGATTTTTAAGGTGAAAGATCAGAAAACCTTAGGATCAGGACTGGGAGCCCCCCTTAAGTGAACTATCTCCTTATCTCCATGTCTCTGACTACAACTGTGTGTGTGTGTGTGTGTGTGTGTGCACGCGTGCGCTCGTGCATGTGTGTATTGTGTGAGTAGTGCAGGAGGATGTGCAAGGGGCACCTCTCCATGGTTGCCTCTCTCTGGCTGGCCAAGTGGGTATATTCTCTGCAGGGTGGGGAAGGACTCATAAAGTCTGCGCTCCACTTTTCTGAGTGACCATGTGGAGCTGAGAACAAAGAACAAGATTGGGAGTCAGAAGACGTGGGTATTGGCAAATGGTGAACCTGTATGAATTCTAGTCCCCTTAGAAAAAAAAGGTAAGGAAGATGATGTTACTCATTTCACCGGACAAATGTGGAGCTCTGGCTTTTACACCGTCTGGGAAAAGCCATCTGTAAGCCATGCCTTGGAAGGGAAAGAGGCTTTAGTGCTTTTTACCATTGTTGTGGTTATTTGAAAGAATTTTTCTAGCCAGAAGCCCCTTTCTCATTGAATCTTCACTGTCACATAGACTCTCAAACTTACATACCTTATTGAAGGTGCCTACCCTCCCTAGAATTAACTTTCAGTAATACATTGTTCTAATTATGCATTTCTGTTTAATGCAGTTAAAAGAAACTGAATTTTTCTATTAGTTCTCCATGCTCATTAAAGATCTCTCTCTTTTTAACACATCACATTTGGATTGGGTCTGATTTTGGAGATTATAGAAGAAAAGAAGCTGTGCAAAGCATGGCTGTTATCTTATATACTGGGTGAATCACCAATGCAGTTATATCATATGCTGGCCACATTGCATCTGTGCTCTGTATGCAGGGCTGGCTCCTTGCTGGCTTTTTGGAGGTGTTAGTTTTGATCCACAATTCTCCTGGTCAGAATTAAAGTTATTTCACAGGGGGATGGGGAGAATGAGCAAGCTAAATTTCACAAAGTACAGCTAGATAATTCTCATTTCCACCTGGAAAAGGACAAAAGGTCCTTATATTCTACCCCTTCCATCAGTTCATGGTCAAATGCCTGTCTTCTGGGTGGCACCTCAGGTGAGTTCATGGGTGGATGTGCTACTCTTCTGGATGGATGTGGCTGGTGGTTGTGGGGTAGAATTGTGCAACCCAAGTCTAGTTGTGTGTTCTTCTTCCCTCACATTTTCTAGAAGTTTTTACAAACACCAGCAGTTTTGTATGACTGTGGAGCTATGTAGGAGCCACACCATTGGAGGGAAGGAGCACAGGAGAGACAACTTCTCAAAGCTCATTTCCTTGAACAGCTACCTCCATACCTAAACCTTGGAGATGTGCAAAGAAGTTCATAACCATATCCTGACTTCTACAGAAAACCAGCTGAAGAGTTATCTCTCCAGCCTTTTAAGAATGAGGTCATCAATCTGAAACCAAATCTCTGTGCTTACAAACTGAGCATATGTCCTTCATGTAAGGTACTCTAGGCAGATGCTGCTGAAGGGAGGGAAGTCTCCAGAAACTTTCTGCCCTGAGTGATTACCTCTGCTTCTTGGGGTTAAGACATCCTCTGCCTGGTACCATCAGAATATCAATACTTCAAGGTCTTCATAAGTAAAGTGGCTCTAGGCAGACATGGCCTCTGTTTGAAAAGCTGTGGGTGGGATCAAGGAGCTATGTGGTCCAGTTGCCAGCCCCTTGGGTGGGAAGGTCTCAGAAGAAGGGCAGTGGGGCAGATGGATCAGATCAGTACAGAGAACTGACCTTGGCTCCTGATCCATGGCTTTGCCTGGGTTGACAAGGGCTTGTGGAAACTTTCACTGGGGAAATGTGAAGGCTGGCATTAGGGTGTCTTTGATGGTGCTATATTTCAAACAGTGTCATTCCACTCCTTTCCCAGTTTATGAGGTCAAATGCCATTAGGGATTTTCAGCATTCAGGTACTCATGTTTATTGTTATGATTATAATTATCAGATAGAGGCAATACAGTGACCACTTATTGGCACACAGTCTCTGAACTGCTTGGGTTCTACCACTCATTAGCTTTGTGATCTTTGGCAAGTTAGCCTTTCTGGGCCTCTGTTTATTCATCTTTCAAATAAGGATAATAGTACTATTATCAAATGAGGAAATAGTACCTATTTCAAAGGGTTGTTGGGAGTGTTAAATAAATTAATCCATGGAAAATGCTTAGAAGAGCATTTTACATGTAGCAAATGCTCAATAAATTTTTCTTATAATGATGATCATCCTTTCTGGTATGCTCCATGTGGCTTTGACCCCACCATACTCTAAACAGTGTGGACAGGGACTATGGCTGTTTTATATAGTCTGAGCACCTAGCACAGTTGTTTTTTTCATTTAAGAAATATTTATTGATCACTGATTTTATGCCAGGCATGGTTCCAGGTGTGGGGATCAACAGTGAGTAAAGGCAGACTTGGCCCCTGCTCTTGAAGAGCCTGTAGTCCTGATGCACCCTTGCTGCTCACTAAATATTTGTTGAAACAAAGGGATTATACTACTGGTGTGTCTCTGTAAATGCAATATCTGTAGGGTAAGTGAAAAGAGCTGACACTTTGGTGTCAGAGAGATCTGAGTTCAAATCCCTACTTAGCAACTTTCCGGCTGTGTGACTTTAGGGAAGCTTCTTGATTTTTCCATTCATCAGTTTTCTCATCTGCAAAATGGACAGCACAATAATACCACCTCATACGTTTGTTTTCAGTAATAAATGAAAAAAATGCTGAGTATGAAAACATCCCCTGCCCTCCTCTAGACTGAACACCTGTTACTTGGGGCACTATTCTCCCTGCTCCTCTAGAGCTTCTGTGCTAGTAAAGTGTAGCAGAATCTGCAAATCTGAAGATTAACACTAAATAAATTAACTAATTCATTCATTAATTCCTTCATTCAACCAATACTCAGTGAACTCCTACTAGGCTAGGATTGTCCCAGGCACTGGATACATTGCAGTGGACAAACAAAATCCTTGCCCTCAAGTAACTTATATTCTAAGGGGATACAAGTAACGAAAGAAAATGAATACTATAATTCATGCAATGTTAAGTGCAATGAAGAAAATGGTGAGAAAACACAGTTTCTCAAATGGTAATAACTTTTATTTGGCTCATGGAAGGGGATCATGTCCTGGTATTTTGGTTGGGACATTCTTCAACATTCTTCTCTCTTTTGTGTCCCTTCTGGGGATGGACATGCTCAACTTTGCCCTGCCACCAGGGCCCAGTGTATCCATTTGGGTGCTTGTTGATTGACAGATTCTTTATTTTTTATTTTTTTTATTATTATACTTTAAGTTTTAGGGTACATGTGCACAATGTGCAGGTTAGTTACATATGTATACATGTGACATGCTGGTGCGCTGCACCCACTAACTCATCATCTAGCATTAGGTATATCTCCCAATGCTATCCCTCCCCCCTCCCCCCACCCCACAACAGTCCCCAGAGTGTGATGTACCCCTTCCTGTGTCCATGTCTTCTCATTGTTCAATTCCCACCTATGAGTGAGAATGTTCGGTGTTTGGTTTTTTGTTCTTGCGATAGTTTACTGAGAATGATGATTTCCAATTTCATCCATGTCCCTACAAAGGACATGAACTCATCATTTTTTATGGCTGCATAGTATTCCATGGTGTATATGTGCCACATTTTCTTAATCCAGTCTATCATTGTTGGACATTTGGGTTGGTTCCAAGTCTTTGCTATTGTGAATAGTGCCGCAATAAACATATGTGTGCATGTGTCTTTATAGCAGCATGATTTATAATCCTTTGGGTATATACCCAGTAATGGGATGGATGGGTCAAATGGTATTTCTGGTTCTAGATCTCTGAGGAATTGCCACACTGACTTCCACAATGGTTGAACTAGTTTACAGTCCCAGCAACAGTGTAAAAGTGTTCCTATTTCTCCACATCCTCTCCAGCACCTGTTGTTTCCTGACTTTTTAATGATTGCCATTCTAACTGGTGTGAGATGATATCTCATTGTGGTTTTGATTTGCATTTCTCTGATGGCCAGTGATGGTGAGCATTTTTTCATGTGTTTTTTGGCTGCATAAATGTCTTCTTTTGAGAAGTGTGTGTTCATGTCCTTCACCCACTTTTTGATGGGGTTGTTTGTTTTTTTCTTGTAAATTTGTTTGAGTTCATTGTAGATTCTGGATATTAGCCCTTTGTCAGATGAGTAGGTTGTGAAAATTTTCTCGCATTTTGTGGGTTGCCTGTTTACTCTGATGGTAGTTTCTTTTGCTGTGCAGAAGCTCTTTAGTTTAATTAGATCCCATTTGTCAATTTTGGCTTTTGTTGCCATTGCTTGTGGTGTTTTAGACATGAAGTCCTTGCCCATGCCTATGTCCTGAATGGTAATGACTAGGTTTTCTTCTAGGGTTTTTATGGTTTTAGGTCTAACATTTAAGTCTTTAATCCATCTTGAATTGATTTTTGTATAAGGTGTAAGGAAGGGATCCAGTTTCAGCTTTTTACATGTGGCTAGCCAGTTTTCCCAGCACCAATTATTAAGTAGGGAATCCTTTCCCCGTTGCTTGTTTTTCTCAGGTTTGTCAAAGATCAGATAGTTGTAGATATGCGGCATTATTTCTGAGGGCTCTGTTCTGTTCCATTGATCTATATCTCTGTTTTGGTACCAGTACCATGCTGTTTTGGTTACTGTAGCCTTGTAGTATAGTTTGAAGTCAGGTAGTGTGATGCCTCCAGCTTTGTTCTTTTGGCTTAGGATCGACTTGGTGACGCGGGCTCTTTTTTTGGTTCCATATGAACTTTAAAGTAGTTTTTTCCAATTCTGTGAAGAAAGTGATTGGTAGCTTGATGGGGATGGCATTGAATCTATAAATTACCTTGGGCAGTATGGCCATTTTCACAATATTGATTCTTCCTACCCATGAGCATGGAATGTTCTTCCATTTGTTTGTATCCTCTTTTATTTCATTGAGCAGTGGTTTCTAGTTCTCCTTGAAGAGGTCCTTCACGTCCCTTGTAAGGTGGATTCCTACGTATTTTATTCTCTTTGAAGCAATTGTGAATGGGAGTTCACTCATGATTTGGCTCTCTGTTTGTCTGTTACTGGTGTATAAGAATGCTTGTGATTTTTGTACATTGATTTTGTATCCTGAGACTTTGCTGAAGTTGCTTATCAGCTTAAGGAGATTTTGGGCTGAGACAATGGGGTTTTCTAGATATGCAATCATGTCGTCTGCAAACAGGGACAATTTGACTTCCTCTTTTCCTAATTGAATACCCTTTATTTCCTTCTCCTGCCTAATTGCCCTGGCCAGAACTTCCAACACTATGTTGAATAGGAGTGGTGAGAGAGGGCATCCCTGTCTTGTGCCAGTTTTTAAAGGGAATGCTTCCAGTTTTTGCCCATTCAGTATGATATTGGCTGTGGGTTTGTCGTAGATAGCTCTTATTATTTTGAGATATGGATTGACAGATTCTTTATCCCTAGGGTATTCTTTAATTTTCTGGAAGGTTCGCACAGATTTACTGCAAACCAGGGGTCTCACTGGTATACTCCACGTCAAGGGTAGAAGTTACAGCCTCATCCTGGGAAGGTGACCCTGGGAGAGTGTAAGCTTCCCAGGTTTGCACAATGGTAGAAAGAGTGTCTGAGGTGAAAGAGAAAGATAGGTGCCCTTTGCAAGTCCTGTGCTGTATGAGGGGAAAGGTAAGGGGAATGGAAAGAGGAGATGCTAACTCTTGGTCTTCTTCCCTCATGAATCTAAAGGTTTTTACTCATATCTTATTATGTGTTTAATGACAGTCTTCCCACAACATCTGTCTGCTTGTTCACTGCTGTACTTGATAAATGTTTGTTGAATTGAATTGAGTTTCATTCTTTTAGGGATACTATTATTAAATGGGAATTGTGTGTGGAGGCTGCAGTTATTCCATGAGATGTTTATTGGATGAACCCTCTCACAGGTCGGGGTCTCCAGGAAATAGAGACAGAGATGGAGTTCGGCTTTCAGGATGTTTGTTACGGAATGCTCTTGGCATCAACACCCATGCAAAGGAGGGGAGAGGGAGCATATTTGGTTAGAAGAAGATGTCAGAAGATGTCATACTCCCATATAGGTCCAACAGCAGCCACAGCTGACCCTTTGGGGAGCTCTAGACGTAAAATGGCTCTTCACTGTTGTATCACTCATCTATTGCTACATAACATTTACCTCAAAACTTACTTCACCATTTCTGTGGGTCAGGAATCTGAGCATAGCCTAGCTGGGCCCTCTGTCTCAGGCACTCTCACAAGGCTGCAATCAAGGTGTCAGCTGTGGGCTGTGGTCTCACATAGAGTGGGGAGGATTTGTTCCAAGCTCACCCATGTGGTCATTGGCAGGTTTCATTTCCTCACAGGCTATTGGCTGGAAGACTTAGTTCCTTACAAGCTGTTGGCTGGAGGCCCCCCTCTGTTCCTTGCCATCTGGGCCTCATCATAGAGCATCTCACGAACTGTTAGAAGGGCAAGTGAGTATATCAGTGAGAGAGAGAGTGAGAGCAAACAAGATGGCAGTCACCTTTTTTGTAAGTTAGTCATGGAAATGACATTCTATCATGTAAGCAACATTCTATTTATTAGGAACAAGTCACTAGTTCCAGCCCACAGGGGATTCCAAACAGGTCTGAATCCCAAGTTGGGCTGAGATAGCCTTTATATCCTTGTGTGGATCAGTCACTGGATGTGGGCTACGTGGATAGGTGCTTGGCCTTGGGTGAAGCAGCTGTCTGCAACTGAGGCAGTCCTTGAAGACTGACAGTCGAAGGCTTTCTGCTGATAGCACTTCCAGCAGCTGCAGCAGTAAGTTCTTCACTGAAGGGGGATTGGAGAGGCACATCTTCATGTGTACCACAAGCCCCATTCCATATTCAGACTGCAGACAACCATGTATGTAAAGTTTGGCTTAGTGGCCAATTCTGTTGCTCCATGAGCGAGAGAAAGAAAGGGAACGAGGGACAGTTTCTTTTTGGTATTTATATTCACAAGGAATAGTTGTCCTTGATTGTATTCCTTTTTAAAAATTTTCCTCTTTTTCGACCCCAGGTTGAAATTTTCTCTGAATGTTAAATAGAAATCCTATCTGGAAATAAAGTTGTGCTGTAACCATAAATCACCTCAGGCCATGGGTGTGAGGCCTAGGGTGGGGCCTCATTCAGTCACACTTCTCTTAGGAGTCTTTGGGGTTGCATCTCTGTAGGTCAAGGACAGTGCAGGAGCCTGAGTTCCCCCTTTCTCGTCCTGCTTTCCTTATCATTCATCTCTGATATAGTTTGGATATTTGTCTCCTCCAAATCACATGTTGAAATGTAATCCCCAGTGTGGGAGGTGGGGCCTGATGGGAAGTGTTTGGGGTCATGAGGGTAGATCCTTCATGAATGGCTTGGTGCTATCCTCACCACAGTGAGTTCTCAAGAGATGTGGTTGTTTAAAATAGTGTGGTACCTCCTCCTGCCTTACTCCCTCTCTGGCTGTGTGACCCACCTGCTCCCCCTTTGTCTTCTGCCATGATTGTTAGTTTCCTGAGGCACTCACAACAAACATAGATGCCAGCACCACGCTTCCTGTACACCCTGCAGAACCGTGTGCCAATTAAACCTCTTTTCTTTAATAAATTACTCAGCCTCAGGTATTTCTTCATGGTGACACAAGAATGGACTAATACAATCTCCCATCCCTTCTTTTCATTTCTCATTGTAAACTTATACCCTTTGGAGACCTTGAATTGTAAAATCAAAGAGTCTATGGAAACTCTAAGGTGACTTACCCTTTTTGATTTTACAGTTCAAAGAGGGTAAGTCACCTTAGAGTTTCCACAGAAGCAGAGCCCAAGATGGGGATTCTTCTGCAAGTAGGGGCGTGTGTTCAGGAAAATGAATAGGGCAGGGGAAAATACTATGTAATAATGAGATCGCCACTGGCCACTAGCTGCAGTCTATCTCACAGGGAGCTCACAGAGTCGATCTCTCTGCAAAGCAGGGAGTCCAGCCTTTTGTACCTCTGTGCTAGTTAGTCATTGGCTAAGGTTTGCAGTGTGGGGATGTTTGGGGTGAGCAGGGGGCTAGTCTTTTGATGAGTATTCTCCCAAGAATGGGACTGAGAGGGTTTATCAGCCAATACTCTTAGCTCAGTTGCTGGGGAGATGGATGCATCACTAGGAAAAACTTAGGCAAAGTGGCTGGGGTGAGGCACCAAAATGCATCTACCACATTTCTTTCCTATGTGGAGTCTTTTCACTAACTTTTATTCCCAGGGCTAATTATTTTTTAATGGAGTAATGGGAAGAATAGTCCTGGGAGTCACCTACAGATTGGAATCAAATTCTTATTCTTTGAAAATTGGCTGCCTTGGATACATTCTTTAACTTAAAAAATTTATTATTATTATTGTTATTCTTTTAAATATAGCATCTCACTATGTTGCCCAGGCTAAACTTGAACTCCTAGGCTCAAGTATTCTTCCCACCTCAGCCTCCGGAGTAGCTGGGATTATAGGTGTGTACCACCAAGCCTGGCTTAACTTTTTAAGCCTCAGTTTTCCTGTCTGAGAAATGGATTTGATAACATTTACCTCATAGGGTTGTGGTGAGGACTGACAGGTGACATTTGTTAAATGCTTATCATAGTGCTTTCCCTTTCTTTCCCCTTTTTTCCTTTTTGCAGCTAAACAGAACAACCTCTAATTTTCCTGCACAGCCCTGCCCTTCAGAGGTTTTTTTTTTTTTTTTTTTTTTTTTTTTTTGACAAAGACTTGCTCTGTTGCCCAGCCTGGAGTGCAGTGGCAGGATCTCAGTTTACTGCAATCTCTGCCTCCCAGGTTCAAGCAATTCTCATGCCTCAGCCTCCTGAGTAGCTGGGACTACAAGTGTGCACCACCATGCCTGCCTAATTTTTGTATTTTTAGTAGAGACAGGATTTTGCCATGTTGGCCAGGCTGGTCTCAAACTCCTGACCTCAAGTGAACTGCTTGCTTTGGCCTCCCAAAGTGCTAGGATTACAGGCGTGAGCCACCATGCCTGGCCTCTTCAGCGTTCTAAAGGCTGTTGTGCTGCTCCTCTCAGCCTTCTACTTTCCTTGATGATGATCCCCTTTCCTTTTGCTCAAGTCACAGCCCTCCGGTACCTGCAGTGTGCTCGGTGTTCTCTGGGTGAGTTCCAGTTCATCACTCTCTCTCTTACAAAGATGCACTCAAAACTCAACAGGCTTCCATCCCTGGGTGGTCTGACAGGACCTGGGCAGCAAAACTGCACTGCTGTCTGGGTCATATACTAAACTCTTCAGCGATGCTATCCAAGATTGCATTTGCGTTTTGACAACTTTAAAGGCTGCAGTTATAAGTAGCAAGAAGATTTAGAGCTCTTCAGGGTCTGCTAGAACATTGCCCTGACTCTTTCCCAGATGTCTACAGAGATTTTTGGGCTCCCTTTCCTCAAGGTTTCCTCGCTCAGGCAGCTTGGAGCTGCATATCAACCGAATATCGCACGTGTCAGAGCCAGCTCTCTTCCTTCATGGACTTGTGTATGTCAGCCTGGGTTGTAGAACTAAAATATATACCAGGAATAGTCTACAGTGATGATAATGAAATCACTGGGAGCTTTTAAAGCTATGCAAGCTGACCTGGATGATTCTGATAGGCCTCTTAGAATCTGGGCATATATAGTTTGTACAAGCTCCCCAGGTAACTTACTAAGCTATTGTCCCCACCTTGAGATTCACTGCTCTGCAGCTTCTGTTTGTTGAAATAGGAGCTTTCCTACCTAGGTACTAAAAATCCACCTGCAGATGGACCAGATGTTGTTATAAATCCCCTGAAGCATCTGAATCTTTGCAATGGCTCTAAAGCCTCGGCTCTTTCCAAGGACAAGTGGCATTGCCAGTCCTCCAATCTCTGTGATTTATATTTGCTTCTCCCCTTTTATTAGCCCCCTTCCTGGCAAAAAACGCCACCTTTTGCCAGATGCCTGGAGCCTGGGTGGGCTGCCTGGCAATGCAGGCCTTTCTGTCTCCCCCATCAACCCCATTCAGGTCCATCCCAGGAGGGGAATCTCTCACTTTTCAAAGAATAAATCTGTCAAAGAGGCAACATTTCCAGAGCAGTAAATCTTGGCTGTGTGTGGCAGCATGGCTGTGTGCATATAGCTGAAATCTGTGCCCTGTGTGTATATCTGTGTGTCTGAGAGAAGAGAGCCATGCTGATAGCATTACAGGAGAGGGCCTTTTAATTTCAAAAGAGTCAAGATCACAAGAGGGAAGAACATGCTCAGGGAAGCAAGTGGGGCACCAAACTGCTGGGAGAAATGGGCTAGAGCTGAAGGAAGAGGCATGCTGGGCAGAAAGTGTTCCCACAGTTTGGTTTGCTGCCCAGGACTAGCAGAGAGAAGGAGATGATGCATAAGAGTACAATTCCACAGTAGCCACAGACCGTCAGAAGGAGGCCCCCCCGCTTCCTTGGTAAGGTCTCTCTGATGCTTTTTGGGGTGGTGGAAGAGACTCCTGGCCTCCTCTCACCATTCAGCAACTGGGTTTTGTTTTCTTAAACACAACATTATATTTCCTCTATCCTGTCCAGAAGAAATGGCCAGAAGAGAGCCCTGGAGAAGAATCTCAATCGAGTTTAACTCTCCAAAGAGTTTCCTGAAAAGTTGTGAATGAAAATAAAACCCTTTCAACCAACAAACAGTGAATTCACTAACCAACCCCAAACAGAAACCAGATTCGTGGAGATGGTAAAATCTCTGGGCTGAAATCTAGCTTATTGGCTCTAGTTCTGGGAGGTGTGAATGGGATTGGGAGATGGGGAGTGGCAGAGGTTGGTTGGAGGATGAAGCTAATTATGACAGAGGGTCTCTCATAGGACCACAGCATTGCTAATACGTGAGGACCACCCTTGATCTTTCATGATTGGGGATAGAGGAACAGAGTGTATAGCTAAAATCCACGAAGTCCTTCATCTTTATTGTAGCCATTTTCCCTCTAAATTACTTAAGGAGAAATAAAAAATCAATATGGTGAAATAATCTCCATAGAAATCATGGGTCTGGGTGTTTAGTCAGGTCTGGGGAGATATCAAGGCAGTATTAATGTACATAGTCTGAAAAAGAGTCTGTCTTCTTTTAATGATGAGTGGAATATTACTGCTAGATTGAGGGTTAGGGGGAGGTGGGTGGAAAGAAGGACAGAGGGCTCACAGGAGGGAAGAATAAGGATTCATTGTGGGGTTGATTACGATGGAGAAAATATGGTTCAGAGATAGAATGAAAGCACAAAAGGGAAGCAGGGCATGCTGCCGGAGCTGGGAAGAGGCAGACAGGCCCTAACTGGGTGTGTCCAGTGACAGAGAATCCCATCTAGGTCAGCCAGGTAGGCCACTGCCTGTGCCAAGGATTTTAACTTGGAGGCAAAGGTGAGTAGAATTCAGGGTCTGAAGCAAAAGTCCTCACTTCTCCAGGGACAGAAGAAGCGGGCACAGGGAGAAGTGGTGAATGAGGTGGACTGTGACTCCCCAAAACTACAACTTGGAGGAGAACTCGTGGGCTGGAAAAGAGGTGACACAGGAAACTCCTGAAAGAGTTTGTTTAATGCTTTAAACCTGTACTATGTTGGTTAAGTCATGTGATATCATAGGTATTATGACTTCGTCTCACTTGAACAGAATTTTTGCCCTAGATTCTGAGCATGTCATGCTGAGAATGCACATAGAGAAAGCTATGAGAGATCTCACTTCAAGCACATTATCTATGAAAGTGCATCAACACTCAAACTTCCTTAGCACCTCTATCCCCTTTTGATCTTTGGGTGATGGTAAAATGGTGTCCAAGGTAAGCCTCATCTTTTATTTCAACTAAAGCATTTTCAAAGCTGGCATGACATTGCTAGATTTGGTGGTATGAGCCTCATCTCGCATTACTTCTTTTCTTTTCACATAGAAAAAGTGCTAGTGAACATAAATATAGTCAACACCCAGTATGCTCACTTATTGAAACACCGTGTAAGTGCCAGGCACTGCATTAGGCTAGTGTGGACAGAGTAGAGATGCGTGAGACAAACATATAAAGACAGCAAACAATGCCAGGCAGGCCCCAAAATGGCCGAAGTTGGCTGGGTTAATCCTAAATTAAACAAAACTTTATTAACGACATCATAAACAGGAAAGTTACTACTTAGCTCCGTGCAATTATGGCCCCATGAGAAGGCAGGACCAATTATTCAAGAGAAACTGGAATAGTGTCCAGTTGAAAATCACCTCAGGGTTCATTCACTCATTTAGCAAGTAGTTACCAAACGCTTACCATATGCCAGTCCTTGGGGTACAGTGGTCAACAAGACACATTAGGTCCCTGTCTTCCTGGAACTCAGTATTTCCAGATGGGGATAGTGCTGTGAAGGAAATGAAACAGGGTGAGGCAAGCGGGCATGTGTAGGGTGGCCTCTCTGGAGGGGTGTGTGACATGCTTGATGAGAAGAAGCCTATTGTATGCAGATCTGGAGGAAACAACATTTTAGGCAGGGGGAAAAGAAACGTTGGTGGGGTGGGTGGTGGACAAGAAAGCAGGGTGGGAAATTCAAGTGGGTGTTGGAGTTCAAAAAGACATCTGTCATATGTGACAACATGGACGAACCTGGAGGACACTACGGTAAGTGAAATAAGCCAAGCACAGGAAGACAAATACCACCTGATCTAACTTATATGTGGAATCTAAAAAAGTTGAACTCACAGAAGTAAAGAGTAGAAAGGTGGTTACTAGAGGCTTGGGGGATGGGATGGGAGAGTTGGTCAAAGGATACACATTTTCAGTTAGGAGGAATAAGCTTTGATGATTCATTACACAGGTGGTGACTATCGTAAATAATAATGCATTCTATATCTCAAAATTTAAATGTCTTGGCCACAAAAAAATGGTATGCGAGGAGGTGGATTTGTTAATTAGCCTGCTTTACTCATTCCACATTACAAACATATATCATAACATCATATGGTTCCCCATAATTATTAGTGCTGAATTAAAAGTTAAAATTTGGAAAAAAGTCACCTTCTGTCCACCATTCCTATCATGATTTTAAGGTATTTCTGGTCTTCTTCAAGTGTCTCCTGGAGGCTAAAGGTGTACATGGTATTTTCCCATTGCAATGCAGCAGCGCAGCAGAAGGGGGAGCTGACACAAGCCTTCCCAGGTCTGAACCAACTTCTCTCAAGCGTGTGAAGCCTTTCTTTATGTAGCCAGTCTCCACCCAGGGCTCAGTAGGCTTAGGGAAATGGGAGGCGGAAGGGCACCTCACAGTGTACTCAACCCTTCTGAATTGGATTTTGTGAGCTGTGTATGTCAGGTTCCGATGTGAGGCCTGGCGCTGTGGAGGTTCCAATGGCCGCCATGTTGTCTCAGAGGGACACACCACAGGCTTCTGGAACTCTGGCTCCATTTTGTGGGTGCAAGTTTCTGGCTTCCGTTTTAAAGAGGTAAGTTTTCCTCTGATGCATATTATTTATATGGATTCCAGATCACCACCCAGTTTGAAAGCATATGCAGTTGGTTGGCGTGTGGGAAAAGCAGCTTGGGAGAGGTCACTCAGTGCAGCCAAAGGGTGTAAAAAATCACCTCACACAGCACAGGTCCCTATCCAGGGCCACAAATCAAGCCCAGGCTCTCCCCTGCCTGGGGGCCCAGGTGGGTTCTCCAGGCCTGTCATCCTCAATCAGGCTGTCTCTATCAGAGAGCTAGGTCAAACTCAGTTTCTTTAAAAAAAATGATTATAGAAACCATATGTGTGTGCAAAGACATGTTGCTTTTCCCCACCTCATGGCTGGTAAAATTTGTTGCCCTCCCACCCCCCTTTTTTTGGAGCTTTTCCGAATTGGAAACAGTGTGATGCTCAGTGCAGGGAGAAGATTACTTTTCATGCAGTTTAAGTCCAGCAAAAAGGGGGATTCATTGCACGAATGAATCATGAATTTTTACAACAGTCCCTTTTAAACTGATGGTATTTAGAGACCTATTGGTCACTGTAATGAGCCAGGCAGTTTCAGAATATAAAACAGCCCTAGAGGTTTCATGGCCCAAACAAAGAGGAATGTCTTAACGTTTTTACCAAGTTCATTTTCTTTCCCATTGGTAACATTGTAAATCTGAGCTTGCGAGGCCTCAGGTTCAAAACCAGCCGTCTTAACTTTTGTTGATTGAAACCTAAATAACAGAGAGATTCCCTTTTCCCCTAACTTCTTGTCTGGGCTTTTGGGAGGCAATATCTATGTCCATACTCTTATTCTTGCTGTTACGATCCTTAAAAGCATGATGTGAAAGATCTTACCTGCTTCAGCATCTAGGACTGAGGGGGAAGTGTAGACTTCCTACTTCTCACTGGCTGTTTCATAAACAAGCAACATGAGCTTCACTTTATATTAAAGCTTTTTCTTAACGGTCCAAAAGGTCAGACTTAGAATTCTATAAGCTAGAATGGCATTTTAGAACCTTGTTTTTAACAGAGATCAGCCACTAGTAAAATAAAACACATGCTATACACCAGTGGTTCTCAACGTGTGGTCCCCTGAGCACCAGCATCAGAGGCATCTGAGAACTTGTTAGCAGAACAAATTCTCAGGCCCCACCCAAACCTACTGAATCAGTGACTCTGGGGGTTGCACTCAGCAATCTGGTTTCAACAAGTTCTCTGGGTGATACTGATGTATGCAAAAGTTTGAGAACCACTGCTATATACCAGTAACATTCAATGTTAAGTAATATGTTAAACTTTATTTTTAACATATTAATTGAATATATAGAAAAAAATCACATTTTTTCCCATATGTTAGTGTACTACTCCAATCCCTAGCTTTGATGGTAGGCCAGATTTCTTCCTTGACATGGTAAAAAACAAAACAAAACCCCCCCCAAAAAAACCTGGACAGAGGAGATGGGGGAAGCACTATACTCTGCAGTTAAATAGTATCTCTACAGACGTGTTCCCTACCCTTTCTCCTGGCTTTGAGGGATCTCTTTTGGCTGAGGGTGGTGGGGCAGGAGATTTGTCTAACTTCCTCTTCATCATTTTCTCTCCATGAATACCTCAACTCTTCCCTTAAAATACAGCAAGAGAACCTATCAGCGTTGTCAATTCTAAGAAAGTGAGTGCCAAGAGCAGGTAGGTATGTTTAAGGCATAAAGTTTCTTACTGATAATTCCATTCTTTTTAAATTTAAAATAAAAAAATAGATTTGTATCAAGAAATGAATTAGTATAATTTGAATCTTCACTAATAGTATATATTATTTTTGAAATGCAGAAAATTTGTTGTTGAAATTAAACAGCCTCTGACAATTGAACAGTTAATGATTGCATCATATTAATCATGAGGGGTGAGGACAGAATTATCAGGGTTTTGCCAGGGGCACTGGATTCTGAACCTTTTTAAATTAAAAAAACAAAGTACTACACATGTATATAATTAATATTGAAACATCTGTAATACAAAGCTGCATATATTTGGTAGACATCATATGTTTGAAATCCATCATTAATTTCTTCTCTTCTGGTAGCAGTTCTCCACATTTCCTATAGGAAAATGCCCCTCATCCATTCCAAACCATGCAGTTTCATTTGGGTGGCTCCATCCTTGGCTCCAGGGCTATACCTGATTGGCTTAAGTAAACAGGCAGCTTGCCATCTCCCAGCCATAGTGACTGGTTAAGGGATGGTGATGTAATCCATTTAGAGCCAATGGGAATCAGGGTGACATTTGCTGGAAATTCTGGGGAAATGACCTTGTCTCTCTTCCTCTGAATTGAGTCGTAGAAGATGTAAGCTTGGTGCCCCTGTGGTCCTGCCATAGTGAGGCAAGCCCAGTGAGGAAGGGTCTGGAAAAACAGAGCCAGAAATGTAGAAAAACTGGGCCCACAATGCTTAGATCAAACATGGCAGAAGCCAGCCATATTCTTGGATTTTGAGATCCATGAGCCAACACATCCCTTTTTCCTGTTTTAGCCAGTTTTTTGTGTGTTGGTTTGTTTTGTTTTTGGTCACTGGCAACTCAAGGAATCCTCAAAGTCAGAGATCTTATTGCCAAAATCATGATGAATAAGATTTAGCCTATACTTAGATGATTCAGAAGGCCCTTTGGGAACTTGGAAGTGTCATTGCTTGTATTAACAATATTTTCTTAATAAGCAACTTCAGCAAAGTCTCAGGATACAAAATCAATGTGCAAAAATCACAAGCATTCTTATACACCAGTAACAGAGAGCCAAATCATGAGTGAACTCCCATTCACAATTGCTTCAAAAAGAATAAAATACCTAGGAGTCCAACTTACAAGGGATGTGAAGGACCTCTTCAAGGAGAACTACAAACCACTGCTCAGCGAAATAAAAGAGGATACAAACAAATGGAAGAACATTCCATGTTCATGGATAGGAAGAATCAATATTGTGAAAATGGCCATACTGCCCAAGGTAATTTATAGATTCAATGCCATCCCCATCAAGCTACCAATGACTTTCTTCACAGAATTGGAAAAAACTACTTTAAAGTTCATATGGAACCAAAAAAGAGCCCGCATTGCCAAGTCAATCCTAAACCAAAAGAACAAAGCTGGAGGCATCACACTACCTGACTTCAAACTATACTACAAGGCTACAGTAACCAAAACAGCATGGTAGTGGTACCAAAACAGAGATATAGATCAATGGAACAGAATAGAGCCCTCAGAAATAATGCCACACATCTACAACTGTCTGATCTTTGACACACCTGACAAAAACAAGAAATGGGGAAAGGATTCCCTAT
This sequence comes from Homo sapiens, assembly GCF_000001405.40. Taxonomy (NCBI): domain Eukaryota; kingdom Metazoa; phylum Chordata; class Mammalia; order Primates; family Hominidae; genus Homo; species Homo sapiens. Next base: position 222,384,000 of record NC_000001.11, on the reverse strand, counting down.
TTAATGAATATTGCTGGGAAAACTGGCTAACCATATGTAGAAAGCTGAAACTGGATCCCTTCCTTACACCTTATACAAAAATTAATTCAAGATGGATTAAAGACTTAAATGTTAGACCTAAAACCATAAAAACCCTAGAAGAAAACCTAGGCATTACCATTCAGGCCATAGGCATGGGCAAGGACTTCATGTCTAAAACACCACAAGCAATGGCAACAAAAGCCAAAATTGACAAATGGGATCTAATTAAACTAAAGAGCTTCTGCACAGCAAAAGAAACTACCATCAGAGTGAACAGGCAACCTATAGAATGGGAGAAAATTTTTGCAACCTACCCATCTGACAAAGGGCTAATATCGAGAATCTACGAAGAACTCAAACAAATTTACAAGAAAAAAACAAACAACCACATCAACAAGTGGGCAAAGGATATGAACAGACACTTCTCAAAAGAAGACATTTATGCAGCCAAAAAACACATGAAAAAATGTTCACCATCACTGGCCATCAGAGAAATGCAAATCAAAACCACAATGAGATACCATCTCACATCAGTTAGAATGGCGATCATTAAAAAGTCAGGAAACAAGAGGTGCTGGAGAGGATTTGGAGAAATAGGAACACTTTTACACTGTTGCTGGGACTGTAAACTAGTTCAACCATTGTGGAAGTCAGTGTGGCGATTCCTCAGGGATCTAGAACTAGAAATAACATTTGACCCAGCCATCCCATTACTGGGTATATACCCAAAGGATTATAAATCATGCTGCTATAAAGACACATGCACACGTGTGTTTATTGTGGCACTATTCATAATAGCAAAGACTTGGAACCAACCCAAATGTCCAACAATGATAGACTGGATTAAGAAAATGTGGCACATATACACCATGGAATACTATGCAGCCATAAAAAATGATGAGTTCATATCCTTTGTAGGGACATGGATGAAGCTGGAAACCATCATTCTCAGCAAACTATCGCAAGGACAAAAAACCAAACACCGCATGTTCTCACTCATAGGTGGGAATTGAACAATGAGAACACTTGGACACAAGGTGGGGAACATCACACACCGGGGCCTGTTGTGGGGTGGGGGGAGAGGGGAGGGATAGCATTAGGAGATATACCTAATGTAAATGACGAGTTAATGGGTGCAGCACACCAACATGGCACATGTATACATATGTAACAAACCTGCACGTTGTGCACAAGTATAATAAAAAAAACCCACAATATTTTCTTACCTTCTGTACTCTTGATGGTCTGGCATCTGGGGCCTCATTGCCTGGGAAGAGACTGCCCTTTCCAGGGCTAGTTAATTCTAGAGATAGCAAAGGACTCGCCCAGAAGTGTGCCTTTCATATGCAAGCTAAACTAACCAATCTGGAGCTCATACTTTGAGCCACCTTCTCTATCTGGCTCCTACACTTGAAGAGGCAATATTCCTCCACTCTAATTATCCTAGGGCCAGGTACCAGACAACTAGAGACCGTTCCCATATTCCAGAGCCCATGGAAATTATTCAAACTAATCAATTTTAAGCTACTTCCCACAATAAAATCTCCTGCCTACATCTTCCCCTTGCCCTTTCTGCCCTTTCTGCCTCCTGACTCACCCGGTGCTTCCCCACATGGCCCTTTGTGGGATGGCATGCCTTCTTCTCAGGAATTGTGAGTGATACGTTATATTTTCAAAGGCAGTTGTCCCCTAATCTGTTGGCTGAATAATGAGAAAACCTACATTTTAAAACATTGCCATGAATTGAAGATATCACAAGAAGCAGTGTGTTGTAGGTGTCAGAGGGCTGTTCTCATGAATATTCCTGTAGGAGGTGGGGGGACAGAGAATGCCTTTTGCTAAATTCCCTTTTGCTTTTGTTCTAAATATTTTAATGAGCATCAAAGCCATTTATCCTGTGAAGACTGCACAACAAAAGGTCGTGATGATTGGAATCCTGTGTTCTTGCATAGATTTGTTGTATTTTATTTTTAGTGCTTTGGTGGTGGTGGTGAGGAGATGAAAAAAGGTCAAAATATATGCCAATAGTGATGCACAAGTTTTATATGGTTCCATTTTTTATTCTAGTAGCCCCCCGCCGAGGGTAAAAGTATGATAGAAGGACATTACATCAATTTGTATCATAATTTAAAAAATATTGGTTTTAATCTAAGAATTTCTTGTGATCAGTAAATGGTTTAGGAATCAGAATAGTGTCATCTTTCACCTACTCCCCACCCCCAAAGAAAAACACCCAGTAAATCCAAATCCCCTACTTTGTTCTGCTGCTGATTGGTCCCATGAATCATTTTTTACGGCTGGCAAAACTAACAGGTCAAGCAGTATAAGGAAGTAAGCAGCTCAGATTCACTGTTTGGGGTTCTTAACATGTAGTTACCTACTCTGGAGAGCTGAAAGCTGGAGTTCATTTATTCTCACGTTCATACATTTGTAATGGGATGCCTAGCAAAGACTGAATGTTACATTTTTGAAAGCTGAAAAATGATTTTGGGGATTGCAATTAGTTTCTGAATTATCTTTGTGTAGAGCCTTCTATGACAGTCTGGGTCAAGAAATAGAACCCAAGGCTGAGTACCTTAGGCTGAAAAATGAATTTTTTGGAAGGATAATGGAAGGATATAATCTTACAAAGCTATAGGGAAGCCTGAAGAATTCCACTTGGAAAATGGGCAGAAACTGAAGTTGGCTGCAGTCAAGAAAAGCAGTTCAGGATATGGGCATCATTGCTACAGTATATTGCTGTCATTGCCAGACTCAGCTACTGTTGGACACAGCCACATTTGGGACATAAGCCACTCTTTTACCCTTTGATTCATTGCCTTGTGTATTTGACTGTGGTAGATATAGTATCACATATTAATCGCTGGTTCAGAGCATATACAGCATCCTATAGGACTGCACTCCTATATCACAGTGTTGTTTCCAAGCTAGCGTCATACTAAATATTCAGTGGATCATTGCACCATTCCATAAGCTGACTTTGAGCTATAGGGTACATTGTAGTACTATTAAGTTCCATGGGCATCAGCCAGATTTCCTCATTTATTTTCCTGTGAAGTGAATCCCTTGGTCAGAGACAATGTTCTATGTGATATAATCATATAAAGCATGTATGAGGCATATAGAAAGTCCAATAATGGATATATTTTCAGAACCATGATGGATATATTGTCAGAATCATGATGGATAAGGCAGAGAAAGCAAATCCACATTGAAAAATAAGTGTCTATTCTGGTGAGAACAAATTGATGCCCCTCCATGATGGCAGGGCTCCAATATAAGCAACATCAGCTGGTGGCTGGTTGCTCTCCTGTAGTACAGGGTCATGTCAGGGATTCTGAGGAGAGTCGTGCTTATGAATTGAAGGAGGTTCTCTTTTTTGTTTTTTTCATCTAATGGGAACGTTTGTATCCAATAGCCGGTTATAATGATGGTAGTTGAAACAGGAATACTCCACAAACAGGGAGAATTGGTAATATGGGAGAGAGAGATTATGCCTGCTGGGCTGGAGTCCTTTGAGTAGGTGAATAGGGATTGATATAGTTTGGCTGTGTCCCCACCCAAATCTCATCCTGAATTCCCATGTGTTGTAGGAGGGACCCAGTGGGATTTAACTGAATCATGGGGGCATGTCTTTCCCATGCTGTTCTCGTGATAGTGACTAAGTCTCGCTAGATCTGATGGTTTTATAAAGGGGAGTTTTTCTGCACAAACTCTCTCTCTTTGCCTGCTGCCATCCATGTAAGACATGACTTGCTCCTCCTTGCCTTCCACCATGATTGTGAGCCTTCCCCAGCCATATGGAACTGTAAGTCTTTCTTTTGTAAATTGCCCAGTCTTGGGTATGTCTTTATCAGCAGCATGAAAATGGACTAATACAGGGATGAACTCCACTGTACCAGTGAAGGGTTGACTAAAACAGGAACAGGGATGGTTCATTCATTTCAACAGGAGGGGAAGGAGAGGAAGCGGGTACAGATGTTTCTCATTTGTTCTTATTTTTTCAGTGAAATGAAGCATGGTGCTATCAGCTAAAGATGGGGTTGGAGAAAGAGATATTGGAGGAGTTATTAGAGTTTTCAAGGAAAGCTAAAAAGATGTGAAGTGGTATCATGAAAAGTGGGGAAGCAAATTTACCATGGGAGCATTGTGTGATTGCTGGGCAGTTTCTCATGGTCATGTCTTTCTCCTAGTATGTCTAGCTGCTCAGTGGAGGCATGGAGTTGGAAGGATCATGACTAACCCACAGCATCAGTGGGGACGCTGGAAAACCAGGTGTGGAGAATAGTCATCCACCAATGGAGGCTTAGCTCAATGAACATTTGGGCCAGGGTATGGCTATAGCTGCTGATGTACAATGCTGCCACCACTCAACACTGTCACCACCAGATACTACAACCATTACACACAGGTTCTGGGCTATACCACTGTCATAGCCACTGCAGAGCTAATCTCCCTGACCAGTCCTCTTTGTATCACTATCATAGCTCATGATTTAAAGGATTGTGGGGAGGTGGGGGGAGCCTGGACCACGACCACCACTAGCCCAAACAGAGCCTTTATATAAATTAGACAAAGACATCCCTCCTTCCTGACATTTTACTCTCATCTGTCAGAATATTGTTATAATAAATATACAAATCAAGGATGCCTATAGTGTTCATAGCACACTTTGGAGTTGAGCAGTGTGAAAACAAACATAGCAGGAGCTCTGGCCTGTGTGTGTGTGTATTGGGTTGACAAGGTATGGAAGTAATGAGAATCACCCATACTTAGCTTCTGTGGATCTGCACAAAGGGAGTTCCCCCAAACTGGGAACTTTTTGATTCTGGTCAACAATCAAACAAAAATGCCCAATACACTCCCATAGTTTAAGGGTCCTCTCTTAGATAAATCTCTTTTACTAGCTAAACCTAAGGCACAAATCTAATCAATGTATTGAAGGAGACTTGAACTAGTAAAGTCATTGAAATAGAAATGCTTTAGACGGAGATGTTAAATCTTCTGTTTGGTAATGCAAGTTGACCATTCTTATGTTGGAAAGCTTTTCTTTCTTCTTGGGAGATATGGGTGTTTTTGTGATCTGCATTTGTTCAGAGAGGACTGGACCATGTCAGGAGGGATGAATAAACTTCATCTTTCCTTTATCTTACACTAGAGGAATGACTGGAAAGTGGCAGGACTGGGATGAGAATACTGTTACCTGGGCTGCAGCAGTGATGGCCCTCATTGGTCTTACTTAAGACAGAATAAACCCACATTTTAGATGAATTGTATTATTATTATTGATGAATATAGTGATAGTTTTGGGGGGCAATAGGGGCCAGTCTTCCCTTTGTTCCTGAAGGAGATGAGTTTCTATGATCATCTTGGGATGGAAAATGAGATGGGGTGGGGAAGACTTCCGGTCTTTCTCTGTCCTGAAACTGGGGTGGGTCTAGGTCCTTGGATAGAGGAAGGCCTGGAAATTCCTTTGGGGAGGTGGAGCTCTCTCCCTTTCTATCCTACCTGATGAAAGGGGAAATAGGCAGGGATATGCAGTCCAATATAGTCTAGGGGACTTTGAGAGTAGCCATGTGAATAGCAGTTGAAAGTGACTTGTGTTGCCACGTGGTCTCTCAGTCTTTGGTAAGGGATCTGTTAAATGCTATAAGCCTGTTCTTAAAGTGCATTGGGCAATTGGGGTGGAGTCCACATGAGTGGAAATTATATGGAGTAAGCAACAAAAGCCAATTAAAAGATGACAGGAAGCATCCAGGAGAATGACTGATGAAAGGGTTACATGTCAACCAGAATAGATTTGTGGAACATGTTAGCATTCCTTGGGAATACCTAGAAATTACCTGATGAGAAGAGATGTGAAAAATATGGGATTTCCCCAGATTCATGGGATGTATTAGGGCCTTAGATTGTATTAGGGCTTTAAAGAAACATGCCATTTTGTAGGCTAGAGACCTTGGAGATGAAAGGTGGCCCATTTATTAAGCACGCACACTTTTATTGAGTGTCTGCTATGTGACAGGCACCCATTTTGAGCACATGGGGTGGATCCATGAATAAGATGCTGTTCCTATTCTCCCCTGACTCTGGTGAGTGAACTAGACCAGTGACTCACCAATCACAATTCACTGTGGTATGTTCTGTAATAAACACCTAGTATGGGATCTCAGATGGTCTTGTCATGGCAAGGGAGGTAAAGTCTCTGCGTGTATGCCGTAGTCAATACCTAAGAACCAGTTCTCTTCACCCACATCCCCGTCTCCAGTGGATTTTCTACAGTGTTCACTTGGGCTGATACTGTCCATGGTGCAATGCAGCCACATTAACATTCTGATCATACTCAGAGCTTCCCTTTCCTTGGCTGTGATATATGGCTGTCTGCAGCTTTGGTGCCGCAGTCACAGATGCTGGGAGGGCTTGGGCTGGGCTCTAAGGGGACTTTCTGCCCCCAGCAGTGGATGCAGAGCACACCTGGAAAGCTCCTTTGCCTTCTGGAGCTCTCGGGGACAAGGACTAGAGTTCAGTATCAGGGCAGTAAATACTGAGACCCACAGAGAATCCTGCAAAAGAAACTTCCCTGGTTTACAAAAGATAATAGTTGTCATTTATTGCGTCTCATTATGCAGCAAACTCTTTCCATATACTATCTCAATCAGGCCTCAGCAACACCACTGCTCTTATGAGATGTATGAGAAAAAGTGAAGACCAGAGAGTTTGACCAAATTTTTTAAGGCAATAGCACAATTAATTAAAACAGAATCAGAATTAAACTTTACTTTTCTGATCCAAAGACAGTGGTTCTCTACCAGGGGTGATTTTGCCTGCAGGGAACCTTTGACAATGTCTACAGGCAATTTTTATTGTCATGACAGGGAGAGTGCTCATATGTAGCGGGTAAACTTTTGAGCACATGGGGTGGATCCATGAATAAGATGCTGTTCCTATTCTCCCCTGACTCTGGTGAGTGAACTAGACCAGTGACTCACCAATCACAATTCACTGTGGTATGTTCTGTAATAAACATCTAGTATAGGATCTCAGATGGTCTTGTCATGGCAAGGGAGGTAAAGTCTCTGTGTGATGCTGCTAAACATTCTACATTGTCCCAAAGACCCCCTGTATGAGTTGAATTGTGTGCCCCCCAAAAGATATGTTGAAGTTCTAACCCTCAGTACCTCAGAATGTGACCTTATTTGAAAATGCGGTGGCTTAAGATGTAGTTATTAGTTAAGACAATGTCACTCTGGAGTTAGTGGGCCCCTAATTCAATATAACTTGTGTCCTTATTAGAAGACTGCAATGTGAAGACCCAGAGGCACAGGGAGAGCTGTGAGAAGATGGAAGCTTAGACTGGAATGATGCGTCAATGAGCAAAGGAACACCAGGGATTGCTGGCCATCACCAGAAGCTAGGGCCTGGAACACATTCTCCCTCAGAAGGAACAAACCTTGCTGATGTCTGGATTTCAACGTTCTAACCTCCAGAACCATGACAGAATAAGCTTCTGTTCTTTTAAAGCCCCCAGTTTGTGATGCATAGTTATGGCAGCCCTCGCAAACCAATACACCCCCACAACAGGAAATTATCTGGTCCCAGATGTCAATAGTGCCACTGTTGAAAAACCCCGCATTAAGAGAACATGACGCTCTCCTACTCTTAACAAGCATTCTACCCCTTTCTTCCTCTTTCCAGGGGCTGCCAAACATTCTGGGGAAGGTTGGAAGCAGTTATGCCTGTATCCAGAACAAGGGGGAGAGCAGGCTGTTTCAGAGTGAAAACCTGTCTTTTAAAATGCTTAACATGGTTAGTGCATCTGGCAACTTAATTAGCCTTGGTGCACCTCGGGAATGAGAGGTACCTGCTGGAGTTATGCTGATGAATTGCAATATTGTTTTCATAGCGCAAGACCCTGGGTCTCTTCCCAGCCTGGGCTGAAAGTCTCTGGCTTTCAGTAGTTGGCTGGGTGGTCTGAAGTTTCCTCTACAGTGTTACATTCTATTTTGTTAGTCTCTGTTTCCTTCACAAGGCTTAGGGCTTTGTTTCACCCCCACCAAAAAGCAGTATTTCTTGAGAACTGGAAAGGAAAACATTCCACTAGGTTTTAACCAGAAAAATGATGTGGCGGGAAGACCAATCCTATCCAAAGTAAATGAAATAAGCCACCAGTGCAATTTGCTGATTCATTATCTGTTAAAGTATTATTGCCACAAAATGTACTATCTCAGGGCCTAGATAGCCCATTCAGCTCTTGGGTGTAAAACCCATTTCATTAATGAGCCTGGCATTTGCAGAACTTGTGCCCTGGTTTTCTTCTATGCTGAAATAATAAGTTGAATAACAAATTGTAAAGGCCGTGTTTCTCACTTGGGTTTCAGGGGGTCTGCCTCCTTCTATGAGGGTGAATATTTTAATGGTACTGTGCCTCCACGCAAAGACACAAAACACACACACCTACACACAAAACTGCCCAACATGGTGGGTAGCTTGCACAGACTTGGAAGCTAGCAGCTCTTAAAATTGGTGCAGAGACTTTTAAAATGAATCCTTTCATCCATTGAAGAAACTGCAAAGTGAATTAAATAAAATCAGGCTAAAAAGACTGATGACTCATAAGAAATAGAGCAACAGCCAATGACAAGTAGACCTTCCAGGAATAGAGCTCCCAGAGAAGTTCCCATTTTCCTTAGAGGAAAGTGAAGATGACCTTGACTCTATTAGCATATCTTGTTTGCTTTGGGAGAGCTGTTTCAGCTGGCTTGCCCAGGACGGGTGCATTTTCTGTTTAATTTGTGTGCCATCGCCCCCCTTATTCCCTAGGGCCCAGCATCTATTGGCTACTCAGTGATGCTGTTAATTTGCACCAAAACTGGCAGTGGCAAGACCTTGAAATTTTCTTATCTTGGGCCTTATAAATGATATTAAGCCCATCCTTTAGCATCTCTATGCCTCAGTGTGTTTACTGGAAAAACAGGTGAGTGAGAATGGGAGTCTGTAGATTTGCAACATAGAGATGTTAAAAGGATGCCTTCTGTCATCATGGCTCTACACTTCTTGACCTTCAACTCGAGCCAGTTTGTTTTTGGTATGTAATTTTGAGAAGTCTGACAACCTAATCATTCTTCTAAGATATTTATTTAGTTTTACTGAGCTTTCAGAGCAGCAGGTTTTATGTAACGGAAGCACTGAAATTGAAGCCTGGATACCTAGGTTTAAGGCCCAGCTCTGTCACTTACCAGGTGTGTGACCCCAGGCAAGTTACATAACCTCTTCAGGCTTTAGTTTGCCCATCTGTCAAATGGGAACCATGTCTGTGTTCCCTGTTCCCAGGGGTTTTGTGAACATCAGGTTTCATGATGCATGTGAAAGGGCTTTGAAAATGGCGAGGCAATATTTAAAGGTCAAGTATAATTATGAATACATTCTGATTCCTTTTAAAATTTCCATGTAATCATTTCTGTAGTCAAGCCTGCTTTTTATGCAAGGGACAACAGAGCACTCTCCTGAGCAGCCTGTTGTTTTTTGACTTTACTGTTATCCCACTTGCTGTTCAGTGATCTGGTTCCAGTTTTACCATCTAGAGACTGGTTCTTTCTGTGAGCATGTTTACTTCTCATTGTCATTAATTAAGATAAGGACAGTGATTTATAAGTCACACAGTTGCTTGAGGCATAGCATTTAAAAGTGCCACATGCACTTCTCCCTTTTAAGGTAACACCTTGCATTACAGTTAAAAACAGACTGTTTGTTTGCAGCATTTGGAGGCATTTTCGGGATTACATCTGTAGCTGCTGTAGAGCAATCAGGAGTGCTCACGAATAAGAAGGTTTGATAACCTCGTGCTGGGGTTTCTGGTGCTTGAGGAATGGCTGAGAGGCTTGAATGGGGCATTGCTGCAGTCTGCGAATCCAGAAGATCACTTGCAGTCTTTGTTTGCATATATAAGAACTATGAATGGACTTCTTTCTTCTGTGAAAAAACAGAAGCAACACAGAGGGTTTTTTTCTCCTTTTGAATCCTACTGAAATCATTCATCTGTTTTCCTTCTTGAGCCTTATGGTCACCGGGCTGGCCTGCCTTCCATCCACGTCATCTTGTCTGTCAAGGCATGGGATAGTGAGCCTGAAAGGACAGGGTGCAGCAACCTTCTGTGGCCCTACAGTGACTCTGGGGCATGTAACTGGAGCAGAGTGACAGGAGGAGGCAGGAGCATAGCAGTGTGGCTGCTGCTCCTGGAATTCATGGAAGAGTGGGTCTCCTGGCCTGCCCCCCTCAGAGGGCTGCTGTAGGGGCTCCCTTTTTAATTCTGACTGATGTAGTCTTTGGACCACCCATAGGGCCAATGGAAGCCACTGAGGAGTTGACAGGGCCCATTATGTTCTCACTGGAATTCCCATATTCTTTATCCTATGACTTCCCTGATACTTATTGAAACTTGGAAGTGTAGATCATTCACTCACTCATGCCTATCTGCAGGTGGCAGAAGTTTCAGTCAATTTGAATAAGTGTTTCATTGACTGAGATATGTACTAGAATCTGTTGACAAGTGGAAATGCATAGGTATTACAAGATACTCAAAAGTTGCAAACAGATTTGCATAATGCTCCTTCAGAGGAAAGAGTTCTTTTACCACAATCCTGTGAGGTAAGAAGAAGGATGTCTTTTTACAGTCAAGAAAATGGAGGCTCAGGGAAGGTGAGTGATTAGCACAGGTTACATCACTAGTAAACAAAAGAAGCAATCTCTACATCACATCTCATGTCTGAGGCCAGGGCTCTTTCCCTTTCACCACAGGATCTTGGGATTGTTGAACTGTGGGAAGGAGAGGAGAGGGCAAATTAGACAGAAGCTAGCAGTTCTAATTCCAGTTATGCTTGAGTCAATTTATATAATTGGGTACATTGGAGGCCAAGAGTTTTGTTTCATGTTATATTAGGAATTTCTATTATTTATTTTTTTCTAGAACAATGGTGTTCAAAACACTTCTTCCTTTTGCCAAATTAAATCTGACATAAATTCCCATATACAAAACTTAAATTGAATGGCTGTGATTGAAGCAGGGTGTGAGATCTTGCCTGCTCCACCTCCTCTTCCCCCTTGCCTCCTCTTGCCCCTCAAAATGGACTTGAGATGCTTTGAAAGCTTGAAGTGAGGAAGGAGCCTTCAGGTCAAAGGGGTTTCATTCTCTCTCTATCTCCTTGCCTCTTCCTGAGTTTTGTCAACTGTCTATCATTTAGTTGTCCTCCTCAAAAAAAATTTCCCAGGACGTTGTAGCATTCCTCCATGTTGCCCTCCAGCACTTGTGAGGAATCTGCTTTTGTTATACATTCCATGGCTTTTCCGGGTTCACAAATGCACAAGGAGAAAAGTGGTAGATGTCAGACTTTGTGTCATTCAACTGTTCCTTATTTCTGTTATAGCCATAACACAGAGGGGCATAGCATGCTGTCCAAGGACATCCCCTTCGCAGGCAGCTGGTCAATGAGCCAAGCCCTTGAGTATTTTCAGGGCAGTCAGTATCTTTTCTTGGCATCAAATTCTTCTGAGTCAGTGGCATGAAGCACCGAACCATGGTTGAAGGTTCTCCTCCAACCACATGTGGACTATGGGTGCATTAAACATCTGCTTGTCACCACTGATGCTGTGATAATCTATTTAAGCCCTGACGATTAGTGTCCAACTGCTAAATGATCTAGACACAGCCTTTTCCTGAACAATTATATTATAGCATTTCCTGGAAGTCTTCATAGGCCCTGAGATGGCAGGAGATCCCAGCTAGCTGTGCTTTGTTCCCTGTACTTGTGGATTATTGCCCTACCTTGAGCCTAAGTGGTTTTCTGTGGAATTGGGAAGGAATCTCATGCTTAGCTTAAATCTCCCCCTTATGCCTAGCTCTTTTCAGAAAGAAACTTCTGACTAAAGCAATCATTGGCTATAAAGATTTTCTGGAAATTTCTTATTTATATGACTTTTTTGTTTTCTCCGCATGTTTCAACATGTCTTAGTAGAGGACAACACACCCAGCCCTGTCCTTACTTGGGGGAAGTGCTGACAAGCTCTTGAACACTCTCTTCATCCCTCTCTTAGCTCTGCACCTGCCCCAACCCCCCGCCAAGGAAGGCTTAATGTGCAGTGTATTGGTTGGGTCTCTTGAGACGTACTGGCTAGCCCTTTTTGAGTAGATCCCAGTCTTTTATGAAATTATGCCACATTTCTGGCTCCTGGAGTGCATGCTGAAACACAGGGAGTCAAGCTCTACATTGGGAAGAGGTGGGTGGCCCCACTTAGGTCTTCTTGAGCCATGTGCTCCAGTTGTTTTTTGCCCAAGAAGTTTTGCCTGTGGGGCTTTTAGGCTCTTTCACAGTCCTGACTAAAACTTGATTTTGTTCCCCACTGAGCTGTTGCTCCTTATGAGTATTCTCCTCCTGCTGAGAACTTCAGAGCGTCAGGGTGAGGAGTGTGATTCAGGCATGAAAAATCCACCTCAAACCCTAACATTGCAAAGAACCCAAACAACTCCCCAAATGCCACAACTTCTGGGAAACATTCCTTTTTCCTTATTAGATTTCAGAGCTCGGATCACTTTCAGTGATTCACTTTCAATTGCTTTTTAATATTGCAACGAGTGACCGTAGACAGCCTGGGTGGTAGGTTTCAAATGATCTTAGTACCCCCAAAACTATTTATCTGACTTTTGACAACTGAATTTTCCCTACCTAAGTTTCTCAAGGCTATGCAGGAACCTCTCAGTCATCATCCTTACCTTCCCCAGTTCTTTGTCTCACTAGGCTTAGAGGCCCCAGATAGTTATTGAATGGTAACTTTGCCCAAGCTGATGAAGAAAAGAGAAAGCGGAGGCAAGAAATGATCTAGTGACCTCATCCAGCATCAGCAGCCAGTCAGGATGGTCTGGAACAAGTATGCAATATGCCTTTCCTTACGGTTGTTTTTTGTTTGATGGATCTAAGCCATTCTTCTTTAACAAATCTCATTAGCATTCTTTACTCCAGCGGTATAATAAAATGGGGGACACTGGCATCTCCTTGAGTGTGGTAAGAGAATCAGACATGGCTATGGTTGGGTTGAAATTATTTTGTCAAAATAAATTCACAGAGTAAAATGATGGGATGGGGGAGGGGAAGACTCTTTGAACTCCCTCCTCAATCTTTAATTTCTGAAGTCTCTCAGCTCCCCAAAGAAAGCCTCTGTCTGAGTCACTCCCTATTCTCTATAATAAGAGCAGCTTCCCCTTGTTGTGAAGTAGTCAAGGTGTCTGTGGCTCCCTCTCCTGCAGCCCTTTCTCTCCTCTGTGTTGTCACTCTCTTCCTCTCTCATCAGCTTCCCAGGGACACCTCCTTCTCTCCTTTCCCATGGAGTAAGGGGGAAAATAAAAGGCAGTGTTCCTCTCTAATGCTACCTCAGAGGAAGCCATGTCAGCAAAATAAATCCACACCTGCCTTCCCCCATTGCGCTGCGGGGCTTTGTGGCCATAACGGTGCCCTGTGGGACCATGCCAGCTGCCTTTGCCTGTGGGGAGCAGCTGTGAGATCCTGGACCAAATAGAATTCCTGGGAGAACAGGCGGACAGGCAAGAGGAAGGTGAGTCAGAGCTGATTAGCTCTATGCAAGCCGTCCTCAGGCCACATTTCTTTGGTCTTAAGTGGAGGCCTGTATATGCTGGCTGAGATAGCCTAATGGGTCCTCTGCTTCAGTTGATGGATGAGCAGTGCGTAGGCAGTTAGCATTTTACGATTCATCCAGATGAGGCAGACCCAGGTAAATGGAAGGACTGGCCATTCTATGATTCTAACAGTGAACGCATCACTGACGTTTCACTTCCGTCAGCCCTGTAAGCTACTGAATGCAGCTGGGCTACTGTGTGCTGCAGAGGAATTAACTTTGACGTAATGGAATTTTGTTTTCACTACTGCTCATAAAAACAACCTCCTCGAGCAAAGGAAAATGTATGCAGCAATTTGTGCGCTTCTAGTAATGAACATGGTCCAGAGCGTTCTTACAGATGGAAATGGCGTCCCTACAGACCAGGACTGGCTGATGAATGATTAACAAAAAGGAGTACTTCCAAGATGCTGGTCCCAGAGAGATAATGGGGAGTGATGGTATAGGCTGGAGGGAAGACAACGTGCTTGAAAAGGTGTGCCCCACTCATGGATAGCCTGACTCAGAATCTTCCTTTGCCTGACTCTTCCTGGAGACCCTGAACTTCCCTCTGGGATGGGGCATGATATTCCCCCAATACCCTTACTTACTCCATTGCCCTGTGCATCCCCACTCCCCACCCTTTCTTTCAGAGGTAATCTCTCTTGGCTCTGTTTCCCTGCTGTTAGATTCTCCCCGGGGCCTGAAAGCTTAAGGAGATGAATAACTCCTCCCTTCTCAGGCCCAGTCCCAAGGCGCAAGGCCACTTATGTCAGCAGCGTGCACCAGCAAAATAGCAGAAGCAGGAAGAGAGCCAGTCGGAAGACAGCTATCCTGGCCGGAAGACCCCTGAAGATGGAGAAAGAGGCCATCTGGGTACAACATAGCAGTTATGTCGGAGTAGGACACTTCCTGTTTACAGAAGACTATAAAACCTTTGCCCCGTCCTCACTTGGGGCTGACGTCATTTTAGGCCTCAGCCCGCCTGCACCCAGGCGCTCATTAAAACAGCATGTTGTTCCACACCACCTCGTGTTGTCTGTTGGCGTGCTCTCGGGGTTCAAACCGATACAAAAACCTTACACCTGCAACCTCACCCTTCATTTCCCCAATTCTCTACTAACCAAATCTTTATGTCTACTGCCAGTTTGATCATCACTACTTACCAGTCTCTGTGTAATAGTGTTCCTTGGAGAGCCCTATGAGGGACCCCAGATCCCAACTATGCACACTTCTATGTTCAATGTTGTTCAGGTAAGGCCTTCAGGTGATTTCTGTGCTTGGCCTGACGTGTAACCTGGCATTATAATAAAATGCTGTGGTTACCCTTTGAGTTTCTGCCTATCTTAACCCTGGCATAGTTAAGAGTTCAGACAAGAAATCTGGGTTACTTGTGGATATATTTTATAAGGCCAGAACTCTCTGTGTCAGGATCGAGGAACTCTGAGTCCCAGGGCATGGGGCCTTAGGTTCTTGAACCCACAGACAGGGACCAACAGCTGCAGTGGGATTCAGCGAAGGGCCAAGGTCCTAAGGGAGCCTGTGTCCTCAGTTATGCTCACACTTTTGCAGGGAGAAGTCTTGAGTAGACTTACTTTTGTTCCCACACTGGCAGCGTAATGGAAGTGCCTTCACTGGGAAAACAATAGAGAGGTTAGTTAATGGGCTTTGGAGTCAGACTGAAGTGGCTTGAGTCCCAGCTCAGGCACTTATTTGTTATGTGACCTTGGGTAAGTTGCCAGTCTTCCCTGTGGTAGATTAAAGATGGTCACATAATCTTTTTACATACTGCTATCAAGGGTTGGGAACTACTTCCCCTCCTCTTGCAACTGGGCTGGCCTGAGACTGTTTTGACCAATACAGTACATTTGAAGTGATGCTAAGCCAGTTCTTCATCTAGCTTTCAAGAAGATTAGCAGCTTCTTTCTTGGTCTTTTGTGGCCCTGAGTTGCCATGGAAGAAGTCCAAGTCTTCTGCCAGAGATAGAGGTCATGTGGAGGTACCCTGGACCCCTGGACATGGGAGTGAAGAAGCCATCTTGGATGTCTGGCGCAGTTCAGCCATCAGATGAATGGTAGCCCCAGCTGACATCTGGCTGCAACTGTGTGAGAGACCTCGAGCAAGAACTGCCCAGCTGAGCCCCAGTCAACTCACATAATCATGAGAAATAATAAGTTGTTGTTTTAAGCCATTATGTTTTAGGGGTGGTTTGTGATGAAACAACAGATAACCAGAACGCTCTACAAGTTTCTATTTCCTCATCAGTAAAATTGAGATAATAGTGGACCTGCCTGGTAAGTGGATGTAAGGATTAAATAGGAGGCTGCGACCTAAGTGCCTAGCAATGCTTGATATATAGTTATATTTTTATTAGGCTGCATATGATAGATGTTCAAAATATTGATTTTGAGTACAGTGAGTTTGAACCCCAATACACTGGATTCTGGGAAGGGGGTTAAAGATCTGTGTGCCCTGGTGAAATCAGAAGGGCTTGAATTTTATCTGAGTTAATGGCATAAAAAATGGGTTCTGGAAAGATGAAGCTGGCCTCGGTGGTCAGAGAGCAGGAGCAGGGCGGGTGGAATTTTAAGTTTCCGAAGGGCTATGTGATGTTATGGGTCAGGCGTGCTAACTGGCATTCCTTTGTGTTCCTTGGAAAATCACTTTATTTTCTTGCTTTTGTTTTCCCATCTTCCCCAGGAAGGAAACAAAAGGGAGATGAATAATCCCATTATTAGATTTTTAAGATATTCTCCAGACCTCTGGGAGTCTTGTGAACTTTGGATTTTTGTCAGGACTTCTCTCAAAGCTTTCTTACCTATGTATCATCAAACTGTTTATTAACTCTTTCCTATCTCTCCTTATACTGATCATAGCATTTATTTTATGCTTACTTCTGTCTTTCCCACTAGATCGTATCGTCAATGAGGCTCAAGACATCCATTCCAAGTCTTCAAACTCTATTATAAAATCTGGCACAAAGTGAATGTTCAATAATTGCAAATGAATGATAGTCATCAGTGTGGTTTTGGGGTCCAAGCCTCAGAGATCATGCCCAGGGAAATCCAGGACCACTGGGAAAAGGATTCACACATTTAATTGTGTTGGCTTTTTGCACCTCTGTCTGTTCTAGTAAGTGACAATTTAAGCAGAGTGGTTTAATGACTTTGGTGAGTCTTAATGAATCCAAGAATATACAAGGGAAGAGACTAGTTCCATTTTATTAGTGCTTCTTGAATACTATGTTAAGGGGAAAAAACAACTCAGAGCACTGATATTCAATAAATTACTTGCAAATAACATTGTTCAATACTGCTAGGGTGTACTCTCCATTAAGGAGAAGAACATTTTATCGGATGCTTTACATTTTAGTCTCTGGGGCTGTTCACATTTACATGGGAGCTGTCAATGTTTTTTAGATGTCTGGGTTTCTCTGTTAAGAACCACCACAACTGTAACTGAGTGAAGAGGCCATTAGGAAGGCCGGGACAATAGATTTGACCTCAGTCCATTTATTTCATAATTCAAAGTATCCTGGTTTTTCCTTCCGTGTAAATACCCTTCCTCTGTGTAATGATAGTGGTTGAGAACAAAGATGGGATTATCACGAAGCAAAAGAAGTCGAGTAAAATATGACCAAGATGTCCCATTTTCCTTTCTTTTCTCAATGGAAATAGTTGTATATGTAATGAGAAGGAAAGAATAGCATTTGCAGCATTCTTGCTTTCTTAAGTCTTGTTTGAAAGAACCACGAATACGTATTTTTCTCATACTCATTGCAGTACTGTCACAAGCTCCAGCCCATATGCCTGCCTTAATGAGAAAATTAAAGACCTGTCAATTTCATTTGTTTTGCTTCTAAGCAGTAGGTGACAGAAGAGCTAAATATTCTCTCTGAGTTGACGTGGTGGTTCTAAAGGCACAGGAACCAAATGTCTATAGTGACCTTGCTTTTCATGTTCAACTAAATGGACCAGAGATAAGATCTATATTGTTTCTGAAGTGTTCAGACCCACAGACAGGGGATGAGAAATTTCTTTGCCAGTGCCAGTGGGAAGAACAAATGAAACACATCGGGAATGCAAATGTCTTCTCAAGTCTAATTTTTTACCCAATTAATGAGATGCTCTCATTTGATAGTAAGGCTTGGTTTGGGGTGCTGGTGGCACAAGGGCAAGGCTAGTGATTCATGGGATTATTACTGCTTGTGGATAATATTGTTAACTGTAGAATATCAGTTACCCAGATGACATTGTGGCGTGTGCTAGAGGGATGATAAACAGGTGTAAGACGTTTGTGCCTTCAAAAATTGTAAAATCTTGTTTGGAAGAAAAGCATCTGTGCACTGAAAGAGATCAGTACATAAAACAAATGCTAAGTGTGAGGAGAGAATTGAATTGCCATTCACCTCGCCTATACTAGAATTATAGGGATTAGAGAAAGAATTAAACCAACATTAAATGGGAAAAGAGCTGATTTATTACTCTGGGCCAGCAGCCTGTAATCCCAACAAATATTGCTTCTGGTAAGTTGTATTGGAAAATGTGAATTAGGTCTGAGGTCATAGTGGGGACTCATTACTTCTACCCCAATATGACTGTACTCATCTAGGTTATTCTAAATGCACCTACCAAGACGCCAAATGGATAAGGACTTCAGAGAAGAGTGGACTATTTCCATGTGTGCATACTGCCTGAGGGCAGGAGGAGAAACTGTCAGTGACCAAAGAAAATGAAAAACAACAACGACTCAACAACAGTTGGCCTGGTTCCTGCTTTTGAGGCACAGTTAACATTCTCCCTAGTAAGACAATAGCCACTGAATGTCAGCCTTCAATCAGTAGGATTATAATTCTTTTTCTCTTGGAGATGAACCATTAGAGATGGAGTTTAGAATTATTTATTCTAGTAATTCTTCCCATGAGGAAAGGGCTCTTGAGTGGAAGTCCCTTAGAAATGTGAGAAGCTGGGGAAAAATACTTCTTCTCCGAGAGGGGTGAAACATGTCATAATAATAGCTTGGAGGAGAAAAGCGGCAACTCTAGACTGGAACAGGGGTGGGGGCAGTCTGGGGTGGTCTCATGCACAGTTGGTTTTGAGTTGACTTGAAGATGGGGGGCAGAAGAAGGGAGCAGGCTTTCCAGGTGGTGGATGAGGCCAAATAACATAAAGAAAATGGTGTGTGGAAACAAAAGGAGAGCATCATAGGGGGAACTCAGAGCAAAAAAAGGACTGGAGATCAGTCTAATGCCTTTGGGTTTGATACTTGATGTTTATCCTCCATTGTTTGATGGAGCTCCTGGGAAAAGGTCACTTGTAAAAATTGCTGCGTATGTGGATGTTTGCAGAACATCTGGGGCTCTATCACCACAACAATAGAGGGTAACTGGAATAGGGAGGGCAGCCCCCACTAGCACATATGGCCCCACTATTGTATACTTCCCTTACAATAAGGCAAAATATTTTTAGGAAAAAGGAAGAAACTTCAGGAAGAAAACCCTGCATGGTTTTCTAATATGATCTATTTATTGCAGAAACCTTCTCTCTTATGTCTCTTATGAAAGACTGAGTGGTTATCCAGCCTTGAACAACTCTAGAGATCTCACCACTTTAGTAGGCATCTTGTTCCATCTCACCTTTAATAGGATACTTCTCCAGTCCTCACATTTTTTTTCTCTGTAATTTCCAAACCGTGGTCCTAGAGTAATACAAAAAAAGGTCTATTTCTATACTACAGCTCGGCTCTTCAAATACTTCAGGATGCGTCTCCTTAATCACCTGTTTGCTATGCTCTACAACCTCAGTTTTACATATCTCATTTTTTATTAACACCATCTTATCTTTTCACATTTTCTCTCTTAGATCCCTGACCTCCAGCAATTCCTCAATCCCATGAGAACCTCCAACAAATTAATCCTACTTCCTTTTCATTGCTCTTCATCCTTTTGATATCCTCTATCCACTCCTTGCCCAGTTAAATTCTATCATCATTCCTTATAATCACTCCTTTGTAGGTACCTGTTGTTCCCTGGCCTTCTCCCTCTTTATGGTTTTAGTAAAAGTACAACCCTGGTTAAATCTCTCTCCATCTACTCTGTGCCTATGCCTGTACAATTGACTGGGGCTGAAGAAAATTATACTCTTGATGCCTGATTTGGCTTTATATTCATGATGATGAACTTCAAATGAGAACTTAATGTTGCCTAGGGTCATTATCACAGTATATTTCCCTGGTCCATTTACTCTCACACTTTCCTAGATGACCATTCCACCATTTCAAACCTCTTACAACTTCTTCCCCATCCTTACTTTCACCTGCTGACCTTGATTCCTGCTTTACTAATAAATTGAAGCAGTTAGAAAAGAATGTTGGTAGACTATTTTACCTCCATATTCTACCCACCTTCCAGCATCTGCTCCCATGTCTCTGTCTTCCCAACCACCTGGTTGCTTTGGGTGGTCCTATCTGAAGCTCACTAAATCCTACCCCCCTCACTACCCAAGGATGTGCTTCAGCAATTCTTCTCTTCCTCTTCAACTTCAGCAACTTGTTCTCCGCTGGACATAAACATGCTGTCATTTCTTCCATTTAGAAAAAAACCTCCTCTTGTTCCCACTCTCCCACCAGCTATATCCCTAATTTTTGTTCCTCTCTGCAACAAATTTCTTTAAAGAATTCAAATTCAAATTGGGAGAGTCTAAATTTGCCTTCTCCAATTCCTCTTCTCATGTTTCCTTAAACCCACCCTAATTAGGCTTTTGCCAATATCCCTCCCCTCCATGTTGCTAATTCCAATGGTCAATTCTCAGTCTTCATATTACTTGACCAGGCAACAACATTTGACACCATTGATCATTTCCTCTTTGATATATTTCCTCACCTGACTTCTGTGATTTCCAATCTCACTGGTTACCTCTTCTCTGTGCTGTTGTAGCTGGATCCTCCAATACTGCCAATCTGTCAGGAAATCCTGCTATCTCTATGCTATGGACTGAACTGTGTCCCCTTTGCCCCAAATTTATATATGTTGAAGCCCTAACCCCCAAGTGATGGTATTTGGAGATAAGACCTTTGGGAGGTAATTATGTTTATGTGAAGTTATGAGGGTAGGGCCCTCATTATGGCATTAGTGCTCTTATTAGAAGAAACACCAGAGAGCTACTTTCACTCTTTCTCTGCCATATGAAGATATAAGAAGAGAACTGTCTGCAAGCCAGGAAGAGAGTCCTCACCAGAACCTGACCATGCTTGCACCCTGATCTCAAACTTCCAGCCTCCAGAACTGTAAGAACATAAATTTTTTGTTTAAGCCACCAAGTCTATGATATTTTGTTATGGCAACCCAAGCTGGCTAAGGCACTCCACCCACAAAATATTTCCAGAATTTGATTATTTTTCATCTCCTCCACTGCTGCTGTATCGTGGCCCAAGCCACTATCATCTCTTGCTTGGATTACTGCAAGAGCCTCCTAACAGGTCTCTGCACTTGTATCCTAGCCCTTCTAAAGTCCTTTCTCAACTTGGCAGTCAAAATGATCCTTCAAAATGTATTAATAAATCAGATGATGTCTCTCCTTTGCTCAAAACTCTGCGATGGCTCCTCATTTCTCTCAGAGTTAATGGACTACATGGCCCTATACAGGCTAGCTCCTATCCCTTTCTGATACCTCTTTGACTTAATCCTACTTCCCTTTTGCTTATTCTATTCCCTTCTCACTTATCTCTTTGCTGTTCCTCAAATATGCCAGATCTGCTCCCAACTTAGGGCCTTTGTACTAGTTATTCCTTCTGCCTGGAGTTCTCTTCCTCCAGAGAACCTCATGGCTCATCCTTCGTCTTCTTTACGCCTTTGTGCAAATGCCATCTCCTCAATGAGGCCTACCTTCACCATGCTATTCAAGATTTCCATCTATTGCCCTTTCCTGACACTTCTATCCCTCCTTTTCCTGCTCGATTATTCTCTTAGACATTAAGATTTTCTAACACATTGTTTATTCTATTAATTATTGGTCTCCCCCTTTTGACAATTAGTTCACTGAAGGCCAGATTTTTGTTTGTTTTACTGATATACCTCAAGCACCTACCTAAAACAGCACCTAGTACATAAGCACATAGAATACGTAATTGCTGGAAGAATAGTATATACATTAGTGTTTTTATTTCTCTCAATAATTTCTCATGTAATATGGTGCTTGGGACTCTCATTATCCTGGCAACTCTCTTCTAAACTCATTTGTCATCTAGCCTTCCAGTGTTTATTACTCAGAACGGGGTAAAATATTTAAATAATATCCCAGATATTCACTGACTTGTGCAGAGTAGTACATGATTATTGCCTTCCATAATCAGGACACTGAGCTTCCATTAATACATCCAAAGAGTAAATAAGCTATTTTAAGAGTAAAATCAAAGAGTTGGTTCATTTTGAGCTTGCAGCAAACCTTCAGAGTTTGGTATTTACATAAGCTGCTGTTAGGTTTCTCCTCTCTTGATTGCATGCATAAGATTTGAAACTAAACTTACTATTGTTCAGTGTTATCAAGATTATAAGGTTTACATGGCAGAGATATACTTTTTCTGTTCATCACTGTAGTTCCAATATCTAGTATAATGCCAGGCAATAATACTTTTTCAAAAAATTTTTTTTTTCTTGACAGCTTTTAAAATCTCTCTCTCCTTTCCCTACCCTAATGTTCTCAGTTTTACTATAATGTTTCTAGGTGTGGATTTAAAGAAAATTATCCTACTTGGGATTCACTGATTTGTGAATCTGAAGATTATTGTCTTTCATTAGTTCTAAATTTTCTTAGCCATTAACTCTTCCGTGTGTGTGTGTGTGTGTGCTTTCTGGAGTTCTATTTGATAGATGTTAGACTTTTAAATTCTAACCTCTTTGCTTCTTAACCCTGCTTTCATGTTTTATTTTTCTCCATCTTTCTGTCCTACATGCTGGATAATTTCTTTACATTTATCTTCTAGTTTGCTGTTTCTCTTTTTAGCTATATCTAACCTGCTGTTAAGTCCACTGCTGTTTTTAATTTGAATAATTATATTTTTAATTTCTAAAATTTTTACTTAATTATTTTGCAAATTTGCCTATTTATTATTGTATTGTTCTTTTCTCATTTTGTGCCTATATAGTAATGCTTTTATATATTGTTTTTAATGATTAATAATTTTAATAAAAATCTTCATGCATTTTCTCCCATTGAACAAGTCAAGAAAGTAAAATTACAATAAATTATTTTTTGGCATAAATAAAAATTTTGAACTTAAAACAATGTGAGTTTTAATATATCTACTTTCTCATACTTTTCAACCACTTTAATATTCTTGAAAAAATTCATGTACATAGGTGCACACATTCTTTCTTTTGGCCCAGGCTATAATATGGTTTGACATGAAATTATAAGACTCTGTCTTCATTTAAATTTTTGATATTTTGTTTATCATGCATTTTTTGCATCAATTTTGATTAAAAAATATTTCATTAAAATATTATTTACCTTGATTGCTGAGCTTTTTGACATCTCTTTTTTTTTTTTTTTACCTGAGGAAAATGCATCACTTGCCTCACTCTAATCTCCATCTTGACTATATTGTATATTTGATCATTTCAAAGTCCCAAAGTCCTTGAAGATCTAATTCTGCTACTTCTCATTTACAATAGCATGTTTACATAAGAGTTTTTTAGTTTTAGGTTATGAGTTCATTTTGGTGCGTCTCTGTCAGATCTTTGTAGTGTCTATATGAAGGGTATATCATTTGTAATGCTTTATATGAAGGGTATATCCTTGAGCATTTATATTTACTTTTTCTGAGTACCCCAAGACAGCACCTACTTTGAATTACTTTAAATTAAATTTTTTCTTTGGGGTTTCCTGGATCACATAAGTAACCTAAATATGACACTCAGATCCATGGGAGGTTAGACTGTGGTTGTGAATTCTTAGGAAAAAGTCTCTATTTTTTTCCCCAAGTGGATCTTAGATTGAGACTAAGGAGTTCTCTGATTGTCTTCCTTTGTTGGTGAAGGAATTTTTCTGTTTCCCCTGTCAATGAGATGTAGCTCTTATAGGGTATTGGTTTTATTGGGGAAAAGTCTGTATGTCCTAACTCATCACCCTCAGATAGTCTAAGGTAACATATCCTGACTTTGGGAGATTCTCAGTATCCAAGCTTATTTGATTCTGAAACTGTAGCTGTTTCTTAGGCAGCCATAGCTTCAACATCAGATTACCATTCTGTTTTCTAGCTCCTTTTCATTTTTTTTTTTTTTTTTGAGACGGAGTCTTGCCCTGTCACCCAGGCTGGAGTGCAATGGTGCAATCTTGGCTCACTGCAGCCTTCACCTCCTGGGTTCAAGCGATTCTCCTGTCTCAGCCTCCAGAGTAGCTGGGATTACAGGCATGCGCCAACATGCTCAGGTAATTTTTTGTATCTTTAGTAGAGACAGGGTTTCACCATATTGGCCAGGCTGGTCTCGAACTCCTGACCTCGTGATCTGCCTGCCTTGGCCTCCCAAAGTGCTGGGATTACAGGTGTGAGCCACTGCGCCGGTCAGCTCCTTTTCTTAAACCAACCAACTAACCCCTGTAATGTTTTCTTAATTTGTTTCAAGTTTAACTACATATTTAAAGATATTTTTGGTCTTTATTATTAAAAATGTCTACATCAAGAGGTTTTTTTTAAAATTTTTATTATTATTTTTGAGATGGAGTCTCTATCCATCGCCCAGGCTGGAATGCAGTGGCGTGATCTCGGCTCACTGCAACCTCTACCTCCTGGGTTCAAGCAATTCTCCTGCCTCAGCCTCCTGGGAAGCTGGGATTACAGGTATGAGCCGCTGTGCCCGGACCAAGAGGTTTTTAATAGTATTTATTTGGTTACATTGTCAGAAACAAAAGTTTTCTTTAGTCTTGAGTTGATTCTTCTATCCTTTCTTATCTCAGATTTAAGCAGACAGATTAAAAGCAAAATAGGTAGAGTATTATGAATTTCTTTGTAAAATTTATTAACATTCCATAATATAATCTCTCTATATCTGTTTTTTCAGATGTTGATTAATTTGGGGTTCCAGTTTTCATAGGTTAGTAGTACCTTTTTATATATTTTTAAATCAACTTTAGCAAATATTACCTAATTTTGCAGTATTCTTGGAATTATCTTCATCTTACAAATGGGGAACTAAGGTTGACTAGATGAGGAAGTCATTCAACTGTGAAATAGAGAACTAGGAGGTAAATCCCCATTTTTCAGTCTACATCTAATCCTCTTTATTCTATACACAGTTGTATTTATTTATTTTTTAATTTAATTTTTAATTTTTATGATTATATTGTAGGCATATATGTTTATGGGATACACGTGATGTTTTGATACAGGCATACAATGTGTAATAATTACATTAGTTTAATTGGGTTATCCACCACGTCAAGCACTTATTATTTATTTGTGTCAGGAACATTCCAATTCCACCCTTTTAGTTACTTTAAAATATACAATAAATTATTGTTGACTGTAGTCACTCTGTTGTGCTATCAAATATTAGATATTATTCTACTGAACTATGTTTTTGCATTCATTCATCATCCCCACTTTTTGCCCTGTTCCCCAATACCCTCCCAGCCTCTGGTAACCAGCATTCTACCTTCTATCTTCATGAGTTCAATTGTTTTATTTTTAGCTTCCACATATGAGTGAGAACATGCAAAATTTGTCTTTCTGTGCTTGGCTTATTTCACTTAACCTAATGTCCTCCAGTTCCATCCATGTTGTTTAACATCACAGGATTTCATTCTCTTTCATGAGTGAATAATATTTTTTTTGTATATATGTACCATATTTTCTATACTCATTCATCTGTTGAAGGACATTTTGACTGATTCCAAATCTTGGTTATTGTGAATAGTGCTGCAAGAAACATGGTAGTAAAGATAAATCTTCAATATACTGATTTCCCTTCTTCTGGGTATATACCCAGCAGTGAGATTGCTGGATTGCATAGTAGTTCTATTTTTAGATTTCTGAAGAACCTCCATACTGTTCTCGTAGTGGTTGTACTAATTTACATTCCCACCAACAGTGTATGAGGGTTCCCCTTTCTCCACATCTTCATCAACATTCATTATTGCCTGTCTTTTGGATAAAAGCTATTTTAACTGGGTTGAGATGATATCCCATTGTAGTTTTGATTCACTTCTTTCTGATGATTAATGATATTGAGTATGTTTTCACCTACCTGTTTGCCATTTGTATGTCTTCTTTTGAGAAATGTCTATTTAGATCTTTTGCACATTTTAAAATCAGATTATTAGATTTTTTTCCTGTTGAGTTGTTTGAGTTCCTTGTATAGTCTGGTTATTAATCCCTTGTAAGATAGATAGTTTGCAAATATTTTCTCCCATTCTGTGGGTTGTCTCTTCACCTTGTTGATTGTATCTTTTATTTTGCAGAAGCTTTTTAATTTGATGTGATCCCATTTGTCCATTTTCACTTTGGTTGCCTGTGCTTTTGAGGTATTACTTAAGAAATCTTTGCCCAGACCAATGTCCTGGAGAGTTTCCTCAGTGTTTTAGTAGTTTCATAGTTTGAAGTCTTAGATTTAAGTCTTTAATTCATTTTGATTTGATTTTTGTATATGGTGATGTTGCAGGACATTTCCTTAGTTCAGTTAAAAATGGGGCCCTTGTCACACTGCCACAAAAATTTAGGCTCACAGACATTTGAAGGGTGAGTAAGGCAAGGTTTTATTGGGTGAAAAGGGAAAAGAAGGGATACAGAGACCCTCTGCAAAGCCAGAGTCCCTGCTGGTACGCTTCCCGCCTCGCAGTTTGAATCTCACTTTCCACACAGGAAGAGGTGGGGCCAGGCTCCTCCCCACTGCAAACTGCAGGAACTTCTGGAGGCGCCATCCCAGTAAACTTTCCTCCCAGCATTCAGGTCATGGGAGGTTCTGTCAGGGAGCCCTTCCCACCTGGCTGTCTCAGTGAGAGATAGGGGTCTACTTTGATTGTTTGGTATGTGGATATCCAGTTTTCCCAGCATGGTGTGTTGAACAGACTGTCCTTTCTCCTATGTATGTTCTTGGAACCTTTGTTGAAAGTGAGTTCACTGTAGATGCATAGATTTATTTCTGGGTTCTCTATTCTGTTCCATTGGTCTATGTGTTTGTTTTTATGCCAGTACTATGCTGTTTTGGTTGTTATAGTTCTGTACTATAATTTGAATTCAGGTAATGTGATTCTTTTCAGTTTTGTTTTTTTGGCTCAGGATGGCTTTGAGTAGTCTGGGTCTTTTGCTGTTCTATATAAATTTTGGGATTTTTTTTTCTATTTCTGTGAGGAATGTCATTGACATTTTGATAGGAATTGCATTGAATCTGTAGACTGCTTTGGGAAGTATGGACATTTTAACAATAATGATTCTTCCAACTCATGAACATGGAATATCTTTCCATTTTTTTGTGTCCTCTTCAATTTCTTTCATCATTTTAAAATAGTTCTCATTGTAGTGATCTTTCACTTCTTTGGTTAAGTTTGTTCTTACATATTGTATTTTATTTGCAGCTATTGAAAATGGGATTTCCTTTTCAGATTGTTTGCTCTTAGCATATAGAAATGCTAATGAATTTTGTATGTTGATTTTGTGTCATGGCAACTTTACTGAATTTATCAGTTCTAGTAGTTTTTTTAGTGGAGTCTTTAGGTTTTTCTAAATAAAAAATTATATCATATGCAAAAAAGGATAATTTGACTTCCTCTATTCCAATTTGGATGCTCTTTATATTTTTCTGTTGTCTGATTGCTCTAGCTAGGACTTCCAGTACTTTCACCAGTGGTAAAAGTGAGCATCCTTGTCTTGTTCCGGAGCATAGAGGAAAAGCTTTTAGTTTTTGCCCAGTCGGTATGATACTAGCTGTGGATCTGTTGAATATGGCTTTTATTGTGTTGAAATATTTTCCTTCTATTCCCAGCTTTTTTAGGTTTTTATCATAAAGGGAGGTTAAATTTTATTGGATGCCTTTTCAGCAGCAATAGAAAAAATCATATGGTTTTTTTCCTTCATTCTGTTGATATGATTGATTGATATGATCTGTTGATATCGGGTGTTGATTGATTTGTGTATGTTGAACCATTCTTGCATCCCTGGGATAAACTCCACATGGTTATGATGAATGATTTTTTCATGTGTTGTTAAATTCAGTTTAGTAGTGCTTTGTTGAGGATTTTTGCATAGATGTTCATTAGAGATATTGGCCTGTAGTTTTGTGTGTGTGTGTGTGTTTGTGTTTTTGTCTTGTTTTAGTATCAGGATAATATTGGCCTTGTAGAATGTGTTTGGAAGTATTCCTTCCTCTTCTAGTTTTTGGAATACTTTGAATAGGATTGGTGTTTGCTTTTCTTTTTTTTTAAATTTTATTATTATTATACTTTAAGTTTTAGGGTACATGTGCACAATGTGCAGGTTAGTTACATATGTATACATGTGCCATGCTGGTGTGCTGCACCCATTAACTCATCATTTAGCATTAGGTATATCTCCTAATGCTATCCCTCCCCCCTCCCCCAACCCAACAACAGTCCCCAGAGTGTGATGTTTCCCTTCCTGTGTCCATGTGTTCTCATTGTTCAATTCCCATCTATGAGTGAGAACATGCGGTGTTTGGTTTTTTGTCCTTGCGATAGTTTACTGAGAATGATGATTTCCAATTTCATCCATGTCCCTACAAAGGACATGAACTCATCATTTTTTATGGCTGCATAGTATTCCATGGTGTGTATGTGCTACATTTTCTTAATCCAGTCTATCATTGTTGGACATTTGGGTTGGTTCCAAGTCTTTGCTATTGTGAATAGTGCCGCAATAAACATACGTATGCATGTGTCTTTATAGCAGCATGATTTATAATCCTTTGGGTGTATACCCAGTAATGGGATGGCTGGGTCAAATGGTATTTCTAGTTCTAGATCCCTGAGGAATCGCCACACTGACTTCCACAATGGTTGAACTAGTTTACAGTCCCAGCAACAGTGTAAAAGTGTTCCTATTTCTCCACATCCTCTCCAGCACCTGTTGTTTCCTGACTTTTTAATGATTGCCATTCTAACTGGTGTGAGATGGTATCTCATTGTGGTTTTGATTTGCATTTCTCTGATGGCCAGTGATGATGAGTATTTTTTCATGTGTTTTTTGGCTGCATAAATGTCTTCTTTTGAGAAGTGTGTGTTCATGTCCTTCACCCACTTTTTGATGGGGTTGTTTGTTTTCCTCTTGTAAATTTGTTTGAGTTCATTGTAGATTCTGGATATTAGCCCTTTGTCAGATAAGTAGGTTGTGAAAATTTTCTCCTATTTTGTAGGTTGCCTGTTCACTCTGATGGTAGTTTCTTTTGCTGTGCAGAAGCTCTTTAGTTTAATTAGATCCCATTTGTCGATTTTGGCTTTTGCTGCCATTGCTTTTGGTGTTTTAGACATGAAGTCCTTGCCCATGCCTATGTCCTGAATGGTAATGCCTAGGTTTTCTTCTAGGGTTTTTATGGTTTCAGGTCTAACGTTTAAGTCTTTAATCCATCTTGAATCAATTTTTGTATAAGGTGTAAGGAAGGGATCCAGTTTCAGCTTTCTACATATGGCTAGCCAGTTTTCCCAGCACCATTTATTAAATAGGGAATCCTTTCCCCATTGCTTGTTTTTCTCAGGTTTGTCAAAGATCAGATAGTTGTAGATATGCGGTATTATTTCTGAGGGCTCTGTTCTGTTCCATTGATCTATATCTCTGTTTTGGTACCAGTACTGTGCTGTTTTGGTTACTGTAGCCTTGTAGTATAGTTTGAAGTCAGGTAGTGTGATGCCTCCAGCTTTGTTCTTTTGGCTTAGGATTGACTTGGTGATGTGGGCTCTTTTTTGGTTCCATATGAATCTCTCGGCAGAAACTCTACAGGCCAGAAGAGAGTGGGGGCCAATATTCAACATTCTTAAAGCAAAGAATTTTCAACTCAGAATTTCGTATCCAGCCAAACTAAGCTTCATAAGTGAAGGAGAAATAAAATACTTTACAGATAAGCAAATGCTGAGAGATTTTGTCACCACCAGGCCTGCCCTAAAAGAGCTTCTGAAGGAAGCACTAAATGTGGAAAGGAACAACCGGTACCAGCCACTGCAAAATCATGCCAAATTGTAAAGACCATCGAGGCTAGGAAGAAACTGCATCAACTAACGAGCCAAATAACCAGCTAACATCATAATGACAGGATCAAATTCACACATAACAATATTAACTTTAAATGTAAATGGACTAAATGCTCCAATTAAAAGACACAGACTGGCAAATTGGATAATGAGTCAAGACCCATCAGTGTGCTGTATTCAGGAAACCCATCTCACGTGCAGAGACACACATAGGCTCAAAATAAAAGGATGGAGGAAGATCTACCAAGCAAATAGAAAACAAAAAAAGGCAGGGGTTGCAATCCTAGTCTCTGATAAAACAGACTTTAAACCAACAAAGATCAAAAGAGACAAAGAAGGCCATTACATAATGGTAAAGGGATCAATTCAACAAGAAGAGCTAACTATCCTAAATATATATGCACCCAATACGGGAGCACCCAGATTCATAAAGCAAGTCCCGAGTGACCTACAAAGAGACTTAGACTCCCACACAATAATAATGGGAGACTTTAACACCCCACTGTCAATATTAGACAGATCAACGAGACAGAAAATTAACAAGGATACCCAGGAATTGAACTCAGCTCTGCACCAAGCGGACCTAATAGACATCTACAGAACTCTCCACCCCAAATCAACAGAATATACATTTTTTTCAGCACCACACCACACCTATTCCAAAATTGACCACATCGTTGGAAGTAAAGCTCTCCTCAGCAAATGTAAAAGAACAGAAATGATAATAAACTGTCTCTCAGACCACAGTGCAATCAAACCAGAACTCAGGATTAATAAACTCACTCAAAACCGCTCAACTACTTGGAAACTGAACAACCTGCTCCTGAATGACTACTGGGTACATAACGAAATGAAGGCAGAAATAAAGATGTTCTTTGAAACCAACGAGAAAAAAGACACAACATACTAGAATCTCTGGGACACATTCAAAGCAGTGTGTAGAGGGAAATTTATAGCACTAAAAGCCCACAAGAGAAAGCAGGAAAGATCCAAAATTGACACCCTAACATCACAATTAAAAGAACTAGAAAAGCAAGAGCAAACACATTCAAAAGCTAGCAGAAGGCAAGAAATAACTAAAATCAGAGCAGAACTGAAGGAAATAGAGACACAAAAAACCCTTCAAAAAATTAATGAATCCAGGAGCTGGTTTTTTGAAAGGATCAACAAAATTGATAGACTGCTAGCAAGACTAATAAAGAAGAAAAGAGAGAAGAATCAAATAGACACAATAAAAAATGATAAAGGGGATATCACTACCGATCCCACAGAAATACAAACTATCATCAGAGAATACTACAAACACCTCTATGCAAATAAACTAGAAAATCTAGAAGAAATGGATAAATTCCTCGACACATACACCCTCCCAAGACTAAACCAGGAAGAAGTTGAATCTCTGAATAGACCAATAACAGGTTCTGAAATTGTGGCAATAATCAATAGCTTACTGACCAAAAAGAGTCCAGGACCAGATGGATTCACAGCCGAATTCTACCAGAGGTACAAGGAGGAACTGGTACCATTCCTTCTGAAACTATTCCAATCAATAGAAAAAGAGGGAATCCTCCCTAACTCATTTTATGAGGACAGCATCATCCTGATACCAAAGCCGGGCAGAGACACAACCAAAAAAGAGAATTTTAGACCAATATCCTTGACGAACATTGATGCAAAAATCCTCAATAAAATACTGGCAAACCGAATCCAGCAGCACATCAAAAAGCTTATCCACCATGATCAAGTGGGCTTCATCCCTGGGATGCCAGGCTGGTTCAATATACACAAATCAATAAATGTAATCCAGCATATAAACAGAACCAAAGACAAAAACCACATGATTATCTCAATAGATGCAGAAAAGGCCTTTGAGAAAATTCAACCTTCATGCTAAAAACTCTCAATAAATTAGTTATTGATGGGATGTATCTCAAAATAATAAGAGCTATCTATGACAGGCCCACAGCCAATATCATACTGAATAGGCAAAAACTGGAAGCATTCCCTTTGAAAACTGGCACAAGACAGGGATGCCCTCTCTCACCACTCCTATTCAACATAGTGTTGGAAGTTCTGGCCAGAGCAATTAGGCAGGAGAAGGAAATAAAGGGTATTCGATTAGGAAAAGAGGAAGTCAAATTGTCCCTGTTTGCAGACGACATGATTGTATATCTAGAAAACCCCATTGTCTCAGCCCAAAATCTCCTTAAGCTGATAAGCAACTTCAGCAAAGTCTCAGGATACAAAATCAATGTACAAAAATCACAAGCATTCTTATACACCAATAACAGACAAACAGAGAGCCAAATCATGAGTGAACTCCCATTTACAATTGCTTCAAAGAGAATAAAATACCTAGGAATCCAACTTACAAGGGACATGAAGGACCTCTTCAAAGAGAACTAGAAACCACTGCTCAATGAAATAAAAGAGGATACAAACAAATGGAAGAACATTCCATGCTCATGGGTAGGAAGAATCAATATCGTGAAAATGGCCATACTGCCCAAGGTAATTTACAGATTCAATGCCATCCCCATCAAGCTACCAATGACTTTCTTCACAGAATTGGTGTTTGCTTTTCTTGAAATGTTTGGTAAAATTCAGCAGTGAAGCCATGAGGTCCTAGGCTTTTCTTTGATGGGAAACTTTTATTACATCTTTGATCTCATTTCTTGTTGTTGGTCTATTTGGGTTTTGTATTTCTTCATGGTTCAATTTTGGTAGGTTGTATGTGTCTAGGCATTTATCCATTTCTTCTAGGTTTTCCAATTTCTTGGCATATTGTTGCTCATAGTCTCTAATGATCCCTTGAATTTCTGTGGTGTTGTTGTAATGTCTCATTTTTCTTCTCTGATTTTACTTTGGCATTCCCTCTTTTTTCTTAGTCCAGCTAAAGGTTTGTCAATTTTGTTTACCTTTTCATAAAACCAACTTTTTGTTTTGTTGATCTTTCATATTGTCTTTTTCTTTGCTTTAATTTCATTTATTTCTGCTCGGATCTTTATTATTTCTGTTTTCTACTGATTGTGGGTTTGATTAATTCTTGCTTTTCTAGGTCTTTCAGATGCATCATTAGGTTGTTTATTTGAAGTTTTTCTACTTTTTTGATGTAGGCGCTTATTGCTATAATCTTTCCTCTTAGTATTGCCTTTGCTGTATCCCACAGGTTTTTTTTTGTGTGTGTTTTCATTTGCATTTGTTTAAAAAATTTTTGAATTTTCTTCTTAATTTCTTCATTGACCCACTGGTCATTAAGGAGCATGTTGTTTAATTTCTATGTGTTTGTATCATTTCCAAAGTTCCTCTTGTTATTGATTTGTAGTTTTATTCCACTGTTATCAGAGAAGATATTTGATGTGATTTCAATTTTTTTTGACATTTTTAAGACTTGTTTTGCAGCCTAATATATGGTCTGTCCTTGAGAATGATCCACGTGCTGAGGAGAAAAACATATATTCTGCCGGTATTGGATGAAATGTTTTGTAAATATATATTAGGTTCATTTGGTCTATAGTGCAAATTAAGTCTCATGCTTCTTTGATGATTTTCCATTTGGATGATCTTTCCAATGCTAAAAGTAGGGAGTTGAGGTCCCCAGTTTCCCCAGCTATTATTAATATTAGCACTCTCTTTAGCTATTTAGGATTTATCTCTTTAGGGTTAATTTCTCTCTTTAGCTCTAATAATATTTGCTTTATATATCTGGGTGCTCCAGGGTTGAGTGCATATACATTAATAATTATTACTTTATCCTCTTGCTGAATTCATCCCTTTATCATTATATAATGACCTTCTTTGTCTCTTTTTATAGTTTCTGTCTTAAAATCTATTTTGTCTGATATAAGTGTAGCTACTCCTGCGCTTTTTTGGTTTCCATTTGCGTGGAATATCTTTTTCCATCCTTTTATTTTCCCCCTGTGTGTGTCTTTGTAGGTGAAATGTCTTCTTGTAGGCAGCATGAGGCTGGGTCTTGTTTTTTTTAAAATCCATTCAGCCACTCTGTGTCTTTTTATTGGAGAGTCTAGTCTATTTACATTCAATTTTATTATTGATAAATAAGGACTTTCTGCTACCATTTTGTTATTTGTTTTCTTATTGTTTTGTGGTCTTTTCTTCCTTCTTTCCTTTCTGTCTTCCTTTGAGTAAAATGATTTTGTCTGGTGGTATGTTTTAATTTCGTACTTTTTATTTTTTGTGTATCTGTTTTGATTTTTGGATTTGAGGTTC
The DNA here is from genome assembly GCF_000001405.40 of Homo sapiens. Classification (NCBI taxonomy): domain Eukaryota; kingdom Metazoa; phylum Chordata; class Mammalia; order Primates; family Hominidae; genus Homo; species Homo sapiens. The sequence continues at coordinate 222,349,903 of NC_000001.11, read as the reverse complement.
TCATGAGACTTGCAAATAACATCATATAATCTGTTATTTTAAACTGATGACAACATAATTCTGATTGCAAACAACAACAAGCAAACAAATAAGCTAAGAGAAAACTAATAAAAACTGTACGCTTTAACTCCACCACTCCACTTTTAAATTTTTTGTTGCTTCTGTTTATATTTTTTATACTTCTAACTTTTAAAAAGTTGTTGTAGTTATTATTTTTGACAGGTTTGTGTTTTAGTCTTCCTCCTCAAGATATGAGTGGTTTACATACCACAATTACAGTGTTAAGAGTATCTTATTTGTCTGTGTACTTACTATAACTAATGAGTTTTGTACCTCCAGTGATTTCTTATTGCTTGTTATTGTCCTGACTGAGGGCAACAGAGCCCATCCCTTATCCCTTCAGAATGGGACCTGCCTGTCCATCGGGACCAACTGACCCATGCTCAACTGCTGTTCATATGGAAACTTCTCCACTTCTCATAGTGGTGTTTATTATCTGCATGGTTCTTTTAAAGTTTGATCTCTTCAGAGAGCCTGGTGAAGCTGTATTGGTTTGTGTATGTGTGAGACAAGGAGTACTGGTTAGTTATGCACGATCCATTCCCAACCTCCACCAATCTTGTTTGCTCTCATTATACAGGCAGGAAAATTCAGACTCTCTTGAAGCTAGGGATAGCTATGTGACCTTTCTCTAGTCAACAAAGCTTAAGGGGACTTCTGCTGGTTGACTTCTGGGAAAGGTATTTTATCTTCAGCACAGTGAAGGAGGATCACAGAAGGTTTCTCCCTTGTGCTGATCTGGCCAGTTCCCTGCTTCCTGCCTTTGATTGTGTGAGGATGTGATATTTGGAGCTATGAAAACCATCTTATGATATTAAGTCAGGCTCAAAAGAATCACACATACACCAACCCAGTGTCCTTGTGTGGAGCTTGTGAGCCAACCCTGGCATCAGTCACCTGCAGACGTCTTATGCAAATTATAAATCTCCTTTGGTTTAAGTCATTGTTAGCTAGTCTTTATGTGATTTACAGCGAAATGCATCTAAATGGATATGTTTCCCTCTTCCACTTTTCTTTTTTTATTATTATAGATTGTATAATCAGAATTTCTGTTTCCCATTTTTGAAAACTAACTTTTAAAAATACATTTTCAGTATAAAACCTTATCCATTATTTCTCTTAAATTTCTCTTCTAGAGCTTAGGAAACTTGTAGGCCCATCAGTAAATAAATTGAGTGCCTTTTCTATATCAGGTGTGTGAGGAATTGGAGAAAAAGCAATGAACAAGATCAACTACTTGTTGTCTTGTAATCTAATGGGGGAAATATTTGCCTGCTTTTGTTTTCTTTTGCTACTATAAACTCTCAGGCGGTAAGGCTTACTTTTCTTAATTTGCTTGCCACTTCTGCATTCTTTACCTGTTTTTTCTTTTGATCAAAATGAAACCAGAGTCGTAGCCCCCATCATTGCTGCTGCCTTTGGAGAGATTAAATGATCAGTAAGACAAATGTGGAACTGATCATTCATACTCCATCTACACTGCTCAGTGGGACAGATGGTGTCATGTGGCTCAGATACTGTCCTGAAATGATAATACCAGCACTCTTTCACCCAGTTTCCTTCATGTCCTTCATGTGAGAAGTTCAGAAGATTAGAGAAGCCCTCCTACCATGCTTGGAACCTATTTGGCCTGTTGTCTTTTATCACTTGGATTGCTTTCTCCAAGAGAAACCAGATATTCTTTTGTTTTGTTTTTTTTTTTTTAAATCCAAACACCCCCCTCCCTAAAGACCTAAAACATATTTAATTTACGCACTAAAATGCTTATGCAGTTATTTGTATGGCATCCACATTTCCCTAAAGCAGTGCTATGGCTGTAGAGTCAACAAGGCAGAAACAGATGGCGTGGATTTCCCTTGAAATGTACCGATGAGGAGAAAGAAGTAACCTGGCTCTTTATCATTTAGATTGTTCACACAAGCGAGGGACCCTGAGCTCCATGATGTGTAAAACAGGTCCATCTTGGGCTATAATCTCTGGCACTTGTTCAGTGTCTGATGGAACAACAACCTGTACTTGTCCAGAACACTCTGGCAGATGGCCCATCTGTTTATCCACCTGCCAGCATCCCATGTGCTCTCATTTACTCATCTCACTTCTTCTGGCTCCTTCCAAATGGCCTATGCCAGAAGGTTTATGATGGTTCTAATTTGTCTCTCTTACTTCTAATTTCCTGTCCTACCCAGCTCTGTTCCTTCCTTACTCCAGGAAAGGAGTTTGTTTCTATGTGGCAGTTCATGGGAGAAGTGTTGACCCTTACCTGAAAGTCAGAGTCCTAGAACAAATTTATTCTCAAATTCAAATTTGTGCCACTCTTGCAAGCAAAGCCAAAGATGAGTAGAGGAAAACAAAGGAGCAATTCTGTAGAAATACACTCACAGCCATGAGGGAAGCAGTTCTGCATATTCAACCTGTAATGCACCTTACAGTTTATGCAGCCTTAGTATGCACAAAATCATGTAATTTTCACAACAGTCCTGAGAGGCATGTTTGATCATTCCAGAAGGAAACCAAGCCTTTGAACCTGGAAGTAGACAGTTGGCTGCAAACTTGGGTTTTGGGTCCCAGGCCCAGGGCACTTTCCAGCACCCTCACCCCATCTCTTGTGCTGCTTCTTGCTCCTGCTTTCCAACTCTGTGTGGCTGGGTCTGAGCCAGCCTAGCAGAGACTTCCCCAACCTTGTGGTCCCATTGCCGCCTCTCCTTGGCAATACCTCGGAGCTGGATGGGGCAACCTTCTGGTGCCAAAGAAGCTGCCCTGGCAAAATCTCAGTGCCTGGAGAGTCTGTCCTCATTTTCATTTTTATTAAAATTCTCTTTTGGCCAGACGCGGTGGCTCATGCCTGTAATCTCAGCACTTTGGGAGGCTGAGGCAGGTGGATCATGAGGTTAGGAGTTTAAGACCAGCCCAGCCAACATGGTGAAACCACCCCTCCCGCAACTAAAAATACAAAAATTGGCCGGGCGTGGTGGCATGCATCTGTAATCCCAGCTACTCAGGAGGCTGAGACGGGAGAATCACTTGAACCCGGGAGGCGGAGGTTGCAGTGAGCTGAGATCGCGCCACTGCACTCCAGCCTGGGTGACAGAGAGAGACTCCATAAAAAACAAACAAACAAACAAACAAACAAACAAAAATCCTCACTTATCTGTTTGTTGCTGTTTTTTGAAACATACTTTTCTCTGTTTCAAGCAAGAAAACAGCTTCAGCTCCAAGTAATTCACTCTCCTCTTCTTGTATTTCCACATTCACTCTCCACTGACTTCCAGCTCCTTTATTCACTGTCTTCTAAACACAGCCTGTCCTCTTTGATTTGTTCTTGTCACCCCCCCCCAGTGCTCCTTCCTACCTCTAGTTAAACCATCTCCCTTCTCTCTTTCATTGCCCTTATTTGATTGGAAATTTCCTGAAGCCTGGAACCCAACCTTAGTAATTAATGTATTCATTCATTAAACATATCGTTCAGGTTTTAGAGAGCCAATAAATCTCATCTGTCTTCCTCTTATGTCTTTAAGGCCCATTGAAAGGTAGACTTGGGAGTCAGAGAGACGGAGATAAAAGTATCCCTCTTATTACTGGAAAACCTGATGGGAAAACATAGCTTTGGGTCTATGGAAAACTGTCTTTACTCTTGTATTAAGTGAAATAAGCAGGTCACACAAGGACAAATCTGCATGATATTACTTATGTAAGGTATCTAGAATAATCTAACTCATAGAAGCAGGGAGTAGAATGGTGGTTACTGGGGGTTGGAGGACGAGGGAATAAAGAACTATTGTTCAAGGGGTATAAAGTGTCAGTTATGCAAGATGAGTAAGTTCTAGAGATTTGCTGTGCAATATAGTGCCTCTATTTAACAGTACTCTACTTTGCACTTAAAAATCTGTTAAGAGGGTAGATCTCATGTTAGTGCCTTTAACACAAAAAACCAAAAAACCAAGGAAACTTTTGGAGGTGATGGATCTGTTTATTACCTTGACTGTATTGTTGGTTTCATGGGAGCATGCATATGTCCAAACTCATTAAACTGTATACATTAAATATGTACAGTTTTTAATATATCAATTATACCCCAATAAAGTTATTTAAAGAAAAAGAAAGAAGAAAGACTTACCTACCCAGTTGTGGACACAACAGGACCTTCATAGGCCTCCCCAGTAGGGCAGGTTCCTTACTGCTGCGTAGAATGGGCTGTAAGGCAAGCTTGCTAAAGGCAGACTTGCTCAGAGAACAAAGCCCAGGGCATGCTCAGTTTATTCTTCTAGAGAAGCCAGGTGCATTACTCTAGTGGAGCTCCCTCTGTGTGGGAACTTGAGGTCAGAGAACCCGAGGTTTTCCCAACACAAATTATTATATAGTGTACAAATGTTTACTGAGCCGGGATGTGATTATAGAGGCTGGAAATACAAAATTGAATAAGACATTGTTACACCCCTCTTTAATATCTCAGCCTATTGGGGGAGACAGTCAGTAAATCATTTATTGTAGGATTATGTGATGAGTGCTGTGAAAGACGAAGCAAGAGAAGGGTCTTTCACATCTAAATCTTAAAGGAGATGCTGCTTGAGCTGAACTTCAAAAGTATAGTAGGATTTGACCAGACAAAGGAGTGGGAAAAGAACATTCTGGGTGTAGGAGAAGCAGATGCAAAGCCATGAAGTGGGAGCCATAAGTGGTCACCTGGGGAACCGTTAATAGTTCAGGATGGCCACAGAGGGTCAGGTGTGTGGGTGTGTGTATGTGTGTGACTGTGTGTATGTGTATATGTGTGTGTGATGGGGAGGTGGAGTAAATGAGAGTGATAGGAGATGGGTTGAACAGTAAGGTAGGAACTAGACCAGGAAGGCCCTTGTCTGCTTTAAGAATCTGACCAGGGGGAGTGGCTGAGAGGTTTTAAACAGAGAAAGGATAGGATCAGGTCTGCATTTTAGAAAGAAACCTACAATGCAATATGGAGGGCCAGCTGAGAGACTTGAACCCAAGTTTGAAGACTACTGTAATAATCCAGTTGACAGATGATGAGAATCGGCTCTCATGAGATTATGGGAACTAAGACTGGGCTGGTAAGAATGGAGAGGAGGGGTAAAATGGAGAAATAATAAGAAGAGGGAAGAACCACCATTCTTGCATACCATGGCTACTCAGTAAATGAGATTAGGGAAATGAAATGAAACCTCCCAAACCCTATTCTTCAGGTGGTCTGTGTGATGGTTCCCACTCACTGAGTCCTCATGCTGGTTCTGCTGAGTGCCCTGGGCTGGTGAGAGCTCCCTGTGGGTTTGGATGGTCTGCACCCTTGACTAACCTCCCTTTGCTATTAGATTGCAGCATAGGGTCGTAGTGAAGACCCTTGGATTTAGATCCATCTCTTCCACTTACAACCTCTGAGATCTTTGGTAAGTTACTTAACCTCTCTGTAGCACAGATACCCACATTGCACTGTGGGTATCTTTCTAAAATGTAGACCTGATCCTGTCCTTTCTCTGCTTGAAAACCTCTCAGCCACTCCCCCAGTCAGATTCTTAAAGCAGACAAGGCCCTTCCTGGTCTAGTTCCCGCCTTGCTGATCAACCCATCTCCTATCACTCTCACTTACTCCGCCTCCCCATCACACACACGTACACATACACACAATAAATAGAGAGATAAAAAGAGAAATAATAACATTAATAATGCCTACTTCATAGGATTTTTGTGAGGATAAATTAAAACCAAGCACAGTGCCTGACACTTGGTAAGTGCTCGGTCAATGTCCACCGTAACTACTCCCAGTTTAATTCAGGCACCACCACCCCTCCTCCAGTTTGCTCTTCAGAGGCCTTGCTCCATTTGTGGTCCTTGTCCCTGTTGGGCTTGCATCCTTTCCAGCAGAATCTGGAAAGAAGACAGAGCTCATCGTCCACTGATGCCATTTCTCTGCCCATGAGGGAGGCTGAACATCTCATGGCATCTTTTGTAAATGCAAACCCATCCTGATGACAGACACAAATAATAAAATAATAATAAAAAGAAGGAATACAAACAAGACTTGAAAAATTCAAGTGAGGTTTGAGTGCCACATTGATATTTTAAACATTGCCAAGCTAAATAAAATAAATTGGGAAGTGCTGTCTAGGCACAGTGACAAGTGTTACAGTGAAGAGGGAGCAATTTGGAAAGACAGTCCTAGAATGGATAAGCTGAGACATGTTACCTCACAGCTGCCCCTACCAGACCCTTTGCTCAGAGTTAGGCACCCGCATGATGAGGGGAGGGTCATGAAAGGCAAAAAGGATAAATTATTTTCAGATTCATCATGCTTTGCCTTTTCTGTTGATAAAGGCATTATATGGGGATTTTAGAAAAATTGGAAAATGCAGAAACATAAAAATAAAATATAACTTACCTCCATGCAAGTATGTATGTCCTCCATGCAGAGAAAAGTACAGTTAATATGAGCAGTTTTGGTGATTTTCTTGAGGTAAATCCTTTATTTCCCTACCTCCTTCCATGCTTCAGTAACACAGGCAGGACTATCTCTCTTGGGGACAGCAACACAAGGGAAGAAGGTCTTCCCTGGACACCTTCTCCTTCCTGACTCCCTTTCCCCAGCTCCACCCTCCTGCCCATCGCAGCTCTGACATCACCTACTGCAGCAAGACTTTCTCAAACTCCACCCATAAAAGGGATTCCTGTGCTTCACAGAGCTTCTATACCTTGTGTCATTAGCATTGCACTTATTGTATTATCTGTTTAGATATCTGTGTATTCCATTAGACTGGGTGTTTTTGTGTATTATTCATTTTTGTTTTATTGACACCTGGAATAATGCCTACTGCATAGTAGGTGCTCAGTATCAGTGGATATTTGTTGAGTGTATGAGCCAATAAGCTTAGGAGAGATATCAGACTTGTTTTGTAAGGCTTCAAGGATTAAAACTAGGACTAATGGTTAGAGGCTATGGTGTGACAAATTTTCTTTCAATGGAAGACAAAATTTGAGTGAATGAAAACAGAATGGGCTGCTTTAGGAGCTAACAAGTTCCTGGTTGGTGAAAGCATTTAAACATAGGCTGGGCAACCACTGATTCTGTAGAATACTGTCAATCTCTAGATTAATTAGTGTTGATCTAGAAGACTCTCCAGGTTCATTCAGCATTTAGATCTCCTAGTCCTATATTGAAGAAGTCATGAAATATAATTTGTGATTAGAAATTCCAAGTTGGTAGCCTTGACTAAGGTCTGGCCCTTCGGTGCTCATAGATAAAATGAGAGTTTTCACTTCTATTTTTATGTAGCTTTGAGTAATTGTACAAATATACTTTTAACTGCTTTTTTCAATTCTCAGGTTGCATAGCTTCGTATCCAAAGAAGTCACAGCTGCCACAGAGCCATAGACTTATTCCATCAAAAATGGGCTCTAAAACCAAGTGCCAGCAAATAATGGGCTCTGAAAGTGCCAGCGGACACAAAATGGTGCCCTTCTCCTGAGCTCTGTGTTCTTTTAGCTTCTGTCTGCTTTGTTTCCTTCAAATATCTAGCCTCTCCAGAGTTTGCAAGATACCTTATCTGTCATGAATGCTGTTTCCTGGTTCTCAAGTAGGGCTGGATTGATCATCTTACAGGTAGAACTTGTTCCCTCTGTCCTTCTAAGTCTGAGATAAGTGAGAAAATGCAGGAAAGCATCTACCTATAACAGTACCCAGTACTTGGTAGGTGCTACATTTGAGCGAGGTCCTTCTCCACTTATGTTCCCTATCTAAGACCTCTCTTAGTGCCCCTTCTCCTGATGTGGCTCCTCTCCAGCCCCATAGGCAGTTACAGTGGAGCCTGAGCCACACAGGCCTATCACTGCTGCAAAGCCCACTTTGTCATCCCTGCTTATTCCTCCTTCACCCCTTCTTCTCTGGGTGAAGGTCCTGCTCTCTTCTCTTTGTGTAGCTGCCACCATATACTAAGTGGATATGTCTGATGGAATTCTTTCTCTAGGTAGGACCTGTGTCCCACAATTCTTTGGCATCTCTGAACACAGCCCATGGGCCAATTTTCTTTTGCAGGTCCCACTGCTAATCACCACAGCAAAGTGGCCAAGAACTAAGGGAAATTTGGAGAAGATACTTCTATCTAACAAGGTTAAGCAGGACTCATAGCACTTTCCCTTAGACCGTTATGGGATATAAAACAAGGCTATTGCTCTCTTTTTCAGGATTCCTTTTAACTCTTATCTCATAAGACCTGAAGGAAATCTCTGTCCCCTCATTGATCTCTCCTTTAATTCTTTGGCAATAGGCCTCTTTGAGCCTGTACTATGAGACACTATTAGTAATTTGAGTAATTTGCCTTTCCAACCCCAACTGGGCTGTAAACCGCTTACAAGAGAGCTGGCACATGAGAAGTGCTCAAGAAATTGTTGTTTTTTAGTGCCTTTCTCAGTTCTATTTTCCTGACACTAAGAATAATGCCTAGCACATAGTAGGTGTTCAATAGATATTTGTAAAATAAATAACTTACTGATTGGAAGAACGATCAGGGTTTCCAGGCTTTAGACTTAGATTTTGGCAAGGAGAATTGTCAAAAAGTATAAAATTTGTCAACATGGGTAAATTTATGTGGCAAGAGAGGAGAGGAGTAGCAAAGAAAAGAGAATTTTGAAGTGTCAGGGAGGGGCAGGGGTGGGCAGGAGAATGGAAGTGGAAAACTCAGGCCTTTGGATCTTCCTAACCTCCAAGAATCTGACATCTGAGAAAGCAAAATGTAGCATAGCAGGGCTCCTGCCCCTTCTCTTAGCCCTCCATCCTTGGGGCCAAATCTCAGAACCTTCCTCCTGTACCATTCAACTGGGGCCCATGCAGCTACCCATTTTTGGATCTCAGAACCTTCCTAGGTCATCATCTTTGTGCCTGTATTCTAAAAATAATCAGTTTCTCACATTTACAATATAGCTTAAAGCTTGCTGTGTAAAGTATTGTTTTATTTTAAAAATTTGCTTAACATTTCATCATTTCTTTTCTGTCTTATGTTTTGGATAGGTAATATATACAATGGCATATGGTGGTAATAAAAAATAAATCTCCTTTGTCTCGCTTTCTTTCAGTGTCTGAGTTCTCTTTTCTGGAGGCAATTACCATTATCAGATATTTATATCTCCTTCCAGAGATTTGGGTATATAAGCCTATTTTTTTTCTTATAGAAGTAGTAGCATGATATTATTTTTACATCTTGCCTAAAAATAGTTACAAATACATATCTTAGTGTTCTATATTGGTTTGTATAATGCAGTCATGTCCTTTTTAGTGACTCTATAATATTCCATATCATGGAAGCTCTTGAATTGGTTTAACCAGCCCCTTTATTGAGTCCTTGAAGTTCAGTTTTTGTCCAGTCTTTTTCTGTCGTAGACAATGTAATAATCCACATCTGTGTGCATATGTCTTGCACACATGTGAGTATACTTAGAGGTAGAATAAATTCCTATAAATATAATTGACCTATGAAAGGGTATATTCAGTTTATATTTTGCTAATAGTGTTAGTAATTTATCAGTATTAGGAATAGCAGCAACGATTCACTCAGTGGCTTACTATTTTGATCACTGTTTAGGCATTTTGCATGTTCTATATCTTATTTCTTCATCACTACATTGAAGGATGTATTGTTACCATCTCTATTTTACACAGGAGCAAACAGGCTAGAAAGGTCAAGTAACACAGTAAGTGGCAGATCTTAGGTTCAGTTGTCACATGCGATATGATTCTGGGTAGCTTATGGCTCTAAACTGCATTCTTGCTCCTCAAACTGGCTGGACCATCAGTGAATGAGAAGAACACGTGCTTCATATAGAAACAGAAATACATGATCACACCCATACTCTTTTCTTGGCTTCGATTTAGAACTAGCTATTAGACCCTTTTGAAGACCCCCGCAGAAAAGAGTAACTTCATAAGTTCTTTTCCTAGAAAACACAAGAAATACCAAAGAGACAGTTTTTAGGATGATAAAGGCATCTCCTTTTGGTTAGTCAAAACACGATGACTGGTACAGCCAACTTGAAAAATGAGAATTGCACCTCAGAATGAATAATCCGGCAATGTTTCTCACTCATTCATGGCCACTGAAAGCTACTGTCCCCTGAAAGATAAATAATGCCTTTGCCCTTTACTGGTAGGCCTGTTGGTCTACCAGACCAAAGCTATTTTGAATCCACGAATGAATCGTTTGATCAGATTAGACCCCTTCCTCTGCCACTCATGATGAAGGCTTTTTCCCCCCTTTAAGCTGAGAAAGGACAAAACCATGACATTTTCGGAGTACTTAGTCACTTGAATCTGAGCTGACCTAACAGTGAAAAAAGCTGGTTCTGGACATAAGTGAACCTCAGGGCTTTCTCATACATTATCTACCTCTATGGTTGTCTTTTTAAAATTAGGACTGGAAAAGAGATATACAATTTACCGTCTTAACCATTTTTAATGTGTACTTCAGTAACATTAAATACATTCACATTGTGAAAACACTTCCATCTGTTCTTTTACAATGGCAGACCCTGCAGAGTTGTCGATAGGTGCCCTCTCTACTTTCTTGCACCCATTTTTCCTCTGCTCTCTGGTCAGTATTTTATCTCCACCATTTCTTTACAGCGTCACCAGCATGCCACCACTTAGTTATACAACCTTCTTTAGTTACTTACAGGCACATATCACAACCTGCAATTAACATGCATTTATTTGTTTTCTTGTTTATTACTTGTCCTCCCCATCAAATATCAGCTCATGAGGCCAGGCCCCTTGTCTGTTTTGTTCATCCTGAGGCCTGGCGCACATCATGGCCCTCATTTCATATTTGTGAAATAAAATAAGGCATTACACCTACCTTTTATTTTTATACACCTTGAGATCGATGTGGGGTTCCTCTTCTTTCTCAGCCCTTCTTCCTTTCATTCTGCTTCTTCATCTCTACTCAAGTTTAGGTCCTTTCTTTTCTAATCCCTGTGGCTCAATGATTTATTGGAGGTCTGTGCTTACATAGATTATCACAAAGGATTGATCATGCACATTGCAGAAAAGACCCCAGGGTTGCAGAAATTACTCCCAAATCCTCTCGTACTTGAGGGAGGAGGCCCAGGGGAATTGCCGCTCCGTGACTTGATGAGGTAAACCCCACACCAGCCTGGAGTACCAGGCTGAGCCACCCCTGGTGGGTATGGGGTGTGGGTCAAATCATACTCAATGTGCCTTCCTCTCCTCTTTCCATTTGCTCCAAGGAAATGTATCTGTGTAAAATCTAGCTAAACATTATCACTTAGAAACTTCTGAGAAAAAAAAAAGGAGTCACAAATTAACAATCTGAAGGGTGTGGGTGGATATAAAGGGACTGGATGGCTATTGTAAAGGAAACAATTACCCATCATTACAGTTACAATAATAATATGACCAGGTCAGCTTTTATAAAGAGTCCTGCAATATAGATTCTCACAGAGGCTATGTTTTATTAAAGCAATTTGAACCAGGTCTTCTGACAACTCCCAAGTCTAGTACTTTTCCATGATCCAGACTGGTTGTGTGGCTTTCAGACTCAGGAGATTCTTCTTTATTCGCCAGTGTAACCCGGCTGTTTTTCTTGATGCTGTTTCCTTGAGTCAAGTGCAGATAGTATGGGGTCCTCTAGAGCAGGGGTCCCCAACTCTACCAGTCTGTTCCCTGTTAGGAACCGGACTGCACAGCAGGAGGTGAGCGGTGGGCAGGCGAGCGCACATTACCACCTCATTTCCATCAGATTAGCTGTGGCATTAGGTTCTCATAGAAGTGCAAACCCTATTGTGAACTGTGCATGTGAGGGATCCAGGTTGCGCCCTCCTTATGAGAATCTAACTAATGCCTGATGATGAGGTGGAACAGTTTCATCCCAAAACCATCCTCCAACCCCTGCAATGACCTGGCTGTGGAAAAATTGTCTTCCATGAAACTGGTCCTTGGTGCCAAAAAGGTTGGGGACAGCTGCTTTAGAGTCTTTGGCTGGGGGATTTTGTTTTCTGCCATACCCATGAGAAAGGCATTACTGCCAGCTGGACTGGATGGAATTACCATGGCTGAGTGGCCCTTTCATGCATGGCAGGATTGCAGACTATGAAGGGAAACACTGAAATGGCAGACCCTGGATAACAGTAGAACCAGGTAAAGAATGTCAAGTTCAAAAAGACAAGATGGGAAACAAATCTTCTATATGTTTCCACAGGCCTCTTTTAAATTGGGATTTTAAAAAGTTGACTTTTAGAAACATGTATTAAAACAATCACATAGATGAGACTATCTTAATTGCCATTTCTAAGTTGCTTCAGCTTTCATGCAAACTCTTATACTTTTTCAAATATAGGCTATGGCAACTGAAAACTTGTAAATTCTTTTTCTTGGCATTTACAGTCTTTTTTGATATGAAAAAAAGACATTTAAAATAAAAAATATCTCAAGGTCCCAAGATCAGTGCGAGAAAGATGTTAAATGTTTCCACATAGCTGTGATTCTCTTGATTTTAGATCTACCTTTAAGTTCCATGATGTCAAGGTATTTTTCATCTGTTGGTGATTCCACCAGAATCTCTGATGAAAGGATCTGTGAGGTCTTTTCAGTTTCAGACAGGCTCGGGGAACCTCTGACCTGGTATCAGCATCTGAAAACTAATGGTGCAATTCAGTGCTTGTAGAGCTAAAAGAACACCCCGCCTTTGACTTGGGCAGGGCTTGCTCCATGATGAACAAGGCACTTAATGAGCAAAGAGATGGCGGGTCGTGGTCAGAGGTGCATGGAGGTCCAGGATGTGACAGAGTGAAGAGACCTATTTTGCTTATGACTTCTTTGCAGGTAGTTAGGTCGAATCTCTCCTATTTTTGGAAATGCCTTTTCCTCCCCCATTTTTGTAAAATGGAGCATGATTTTATACATTTGTGTCTTGGAAATGCAGTATAGGCAATAATGGCTTAGTTCAAGCCTGTAAAGTTTCTTATTTGGATTCCTAAGCAGGCAGTACTTGCTGCTCCTTTTCTGATTTCAGTGGAAATGTGTAAGTATGAGTCTTTTTAACACCAGTGGTAAAGCTCCATAGATAGATAGATAGATAGATAGATAGATAGTTTTCAAGTTCTTTGTAGTTAAGATCAGTAGCTCAATTTTCTGCTGATTACTCTAATTCCCTGGCTGTGTCTTCTACTGATGACACTTCAAGTGGCTTTCCCCTCCCCTTCTCAGCCCATAGAGTAAGAGGAGGCAATGTGTCCTTGATCTTTGTACCTGAGTGCCATGCTGATTTTTATGCAAAGCTGGGGGATGAGAAATACCTCATTTAGCTGCCACATTGCCTTGTGGTTATGATCACTTCAATCTTGGAAAATGTGCATTGTTTTTCTGCTGTAATCCAGAAAGCACTGAGGTGAAGGGGTGTTTTCCTCTGTGTTCCACTGGCTGTAATCAGTCCCGGAACAGAATGTATCTACTGCAGGCAGTTCTTCCTACTAGTTGCTGTGGAATCACATGAAAGAGGCTACCTATATTTTCTATCAATAAGGGGCTCTCAATGCAGGGGATTACCAAGAAGACCTATTTCTTCTTTGTAGGAATAAGGGTTAGGAAGATAGCGTAAACAGAGACTATATGAAGCCACAGGAAAAACATTTAGCAAATTCAAGAGTTGGGTTTTTTTTAAAAAAACTTCTTTTTGTTCTGAAGAATTATTCTGTTATTATTATTATGTTTATGTTTTGTAGAGGTGGGGTCTTGCTGTGTTGCCGAGGCTGGGCTTGAACTCCTGGGTTCAAGCCATCCTCCCACCTTGGCCTCCAAAAGTGCTGGGATTACAGGTGTGAGTCTCTGTGCCTGGCCTTATTCTGTTGTTTTAATAAAGATTTTATCCCTTTACTTCATTTTGGGAGGCAGCATAGGAAAGTGATGAATTGAAAGATTTTAAATTTAATCCAAACATTTATAGTGGTTCAGGGCTATTGATGTTAATGTCATTTTCAACAAAAGAACTAACTTGAAAATAGACATGTAAGTGAAAGCATTGTAATTTGATCTTCTGATCAAATGCCAAGAAAAATTGCTAGGCAGCAAGTTGCATTTGATAGTTGATGGTGACACATGTTTATCTATTCATGGTCTTAAAAATGAGAAGAAAAGCAGGTAGCTAGGCTTCTCATGTAATTCGGGGAGTCCATCTCTTAGAACTGCCACATGTCTTTCTCTCCCAGGGCTGACCATACCTACTATCTTTTTGGCTCTTTTGCCTTTCTTATTCTCACCATACTTATTCTCAGACCTCATAGGGATCTCCGTCCCCTATCTTTTCCTTTCTTCTTCCATATTATTAAGCAGTGAAGGTCTCATGGCTCATCATCTAAACCATGGTTGGCAAATTTTTTGTGAAAGGAGAATAAATCTTGGAACCCCAAAATCACTATGCCAAGGTAAAAGTCAAACTGGGAACTATGGCAGGCAAATCTGCCTTCCATTTTATTTCCAAATAAGATAGCTACAGAGATAAGAAGCTACATACCTCCCTGACAATTTGTCCCCAAGGAAATTCCTTGTGGGCAAAGAACAGACAGAACTCAAAGTCATTCCTGAGGCTCACCTGAGATAAATGCATATCTGATTGCTTCCTCTGCCCTATTGTTTAGGAAAAAATGCAGATTCACTGAGCCAGACTAAAGTGTGTATTCTGTGGAGGCTGATCAAGAACTCAAAAGAATGCAACCTTTTGTCTCTCTACCTACTTATGACCTGGAAGGCCCTGCCTCAAGTTGTCCCAACTTACTGGACCAAACCAATGCACATCTTACACATATTTATTGATATCTCATGTCTCCCTAAAATGTATAATAGCAAGCTATACCCCGAGCACCTTGGGCACACTTCGTCAGGACCTCCTAAGGCTGTGTCATGGGCGCATCCTTAACCTTGACAAAATTAACTTTCTAAATTAGTTGAGACTTGTCTCAGCTACCTTTTTGTTTACATTTTCTAAAAAGGACCAAACAGCAAATATTTTAAGCTTAGCAGGCCATGCAATCTCTGTCACAGCTAAGCTGTACCACTGTAGTGCTAAAACAACCATAGAGAGTATGTAAAGAAATGGGTGTGGCTGTGCTCCAGTAATACTTTATTAATGGATGCTGACATTTGATTTTCATATAACTTTTGTGCATCGTGAAATCTTCATTTGAATTTTTGTACCTTTTAAAAATGCAAAAGCCATTTCCCATTTTTGTCTATGAAAACACAGGTGGTGGGCCTGACTCAGCCTTGGAACTGTGGTTTAGTGACACATTCTCTTCTCAACATTCTTAACTTCTTTACCTCATTTTGTTATTCTCAATGACCTAGCAAAACCTCAACACGAAATTGGTACAAATTGCATGCTTTCTTTTCTCCTCTCCTTTGTATCTTCAGTCTCTTACTCAAGCCTGTCGGCTAATGGGCTCCATGTTTTCAACCTCGCCTCCTAACTGATCTCATTTATGACTAAATGATCTTTCTAATTTGCTAATTTGATGTTGTCTTATATCCTTCTGAAAGTCTTTCAGTCTATACTATTCCTTTGTGTTCTTGATATTGTATACCCACCCAGTTTCACCAGGTCTCTGTTGCTGTCCTGCCACTCACTGTTGTGGGTCTTTGTCCAGCCAAACTGAAACCCTCAGAGTTTCATGACACACAGATGTACCATTTGCTCTATGCCTTTGAGTCGACTATATGATCTTTCCTGACTTCTATTCCCCTCTTTGTCATCTGGCTAATTCCTATCTGTCCTTGAAAATTTAGCTCACCTGTCACTATGTCCCTCTTGCAAGGGGCTTCTTCAGCCTTCCCCCGCCCATTATAGTCTGCTTTAAGTGTCTTTTTAAAGGATCACACATGCAGGCAGAGTCTCTCCTTACGTCTAAGCCCAGAGACCTTGGCACAGTCCCAAATATATACACACTCACATATGTCAAAGGTATTGAATAAAGTTAGTGGTGTTTTAGGGTAGGAAGGGATGAGTGACATATATTGTAGGTGAAAGACATGTTATGAAACTATTGCTATAGCTAAAGAGAGATATGATGTTGGTCAGAGCTAAGGCCCAGAGCAAAAATAATTAAAAGGAAGTAGTTTAGAGCTAGAATTGCTGGAAAGTTTCTCAGCAGAGGAAGTAAAGGAGGAGAATTCAAACATTCAAACTTTCTGGTCTTCACATTTTTTAACCTGAAAAATGAACAGCTTGGGTTAGTTCCAAAGTTTCTGATGCTATGACTCCAAGGTTCCAAATTTGGGTAAATGAGAAAGCTTAGGTGGCTGTCATAAATTTGGCCTTGGAGTTACAGAGTTCAGTGTGCTGATGAAGTATCCACGTGGAGAAGGACTAGTGGTGGGGGAATTTAGGAACAGCTCTTGGAAGAACAGTCTGGGCAAGATCCATGGGCTGGGCAGTTACCTGCATAGATGAAAGTTGGAGTTCTATGAGTTGGTGCATTCCACAGGGTGTACATTGTGGAGAGAAGAGCACAGAACCTTGAGGCATGCTTATTTTTCAGATTCTGGAGCGAAGGAGTCTAGCTAGATAAGTTCTCAAGGGGATTACAGAATAAAGAGATTTCTGTTTGGATTTGTTTTAGGATTTGTTTTAGGATGGTAGATGTGTATTTTAAGCAAAAGGAAAATAGGGGAGAGAATGAGAAGATCTCAGAAAGGAGATGGTTGAAGAAACCAGGTTCTGAGCTGGGAGTGGTGGCTTACACCTGTAATTCCAGCACCTTGGGAGGCTGAGGTGGGCAGATCACCTGAGGTTGAGAGTTGGAGACCAGACATAGTGAAACCCCATCTCTCTCTCTCTTTTTTTTTTTTTTGAGATGGGGTCTTGCTCTGTTGCCCAGGCTGGAGTGCAGTGGTGCGATCTTGGCTCACTGCAAGCTCTGCCTCCCAGGTTCACGCCATTCTCCTGCCTCAGCCTCCTAAGTAGCTGGGACTACAGGTACCTGCCACCACACCCAGCAAATTTTTTTGTATTTTTAGTAGAGATGGGTTTTCACCGTGTTAGCCAAGGTGGTCTCGATCTCCTGACCTTGTGAGAAACCCCATCTTTACTAAAAATACAAAATTATCTGGGCATGGTGGTGCACGCCTGTAATCCCAGCTATTTGGGAGGCTGAAGCAGGATAGTCACTTGAATCCAGGAGGTGGAGGTTGCAGTGAGCCGAGACTGCGCCGCTGCACTCTAGCCTTGGTGACAAGGGTGAAACTCTGTCTCAAGAAAAAAAAAAGAAAAAGAAAAAGAAAAAACGAGGTTCTGAAGGCGATTGGAGGAAGTGGGACTAAAGATATAAATAAATGGTTGAAATAGGATGGAGAAAGGCACTTCTTCCTTTGAAGAGGGAGGGAAGGGTAAGTGAAGTTATAGAGTTATTTTAAGGTAGAGAGAGTGAGAAGCTGAGGCAGCATATTCCTTTTCCAGAGAGTGAGGGAGGCAAAGGGTATGTGGAAGCCTAAGGCTACAAAAGATGCTTAGGAATAGTTCATGTGGGGAATGGGACAGAGCTTAACTAAAGTTGAAATGATTGATTATTAAACATGATTATGGGAGTGGGGCCAGGGAGCTTAACTAAAGTTGAAATGATTGATTATCAAACATGATTATGGGAGTGGGGCCGGGGGCTGGGGGGTCATTCCCCCTGTGCAAAGATACTTTAAGAGCAAGTGGATGATTGCAGTTGTTGTTTCTAAGTGCTTGAGATTTGTGAAGTCAATGAAGGTATAAATTAAAGACATGATTCCACCTGTGGTTGTTTGGAATGGGAATGAGATCATTGGAACTGAAGATCTTGAAGGGAGAGCTTGCTCTGGGATTTCCCTGGTTCAATTGTGGTCTACAGACTCCAGGTTGAAGGGGAGAAATTATAAAGGAACAACTAGTGCTGTCTAACAGTAGATAGACACTGTTCTTGTCATGCCCTTGTTTAGTAGGTAGAACAAATGTTCATAGAGCTGGAGGGTGCTGTCAACCACTGATTATAATTTAAACAAAAACTGAGTAATCATCTTTAAGGGTATACATGTATCACTCATGTGTTTGCTACTTTTGAGACAGAAGCTATAGATTGTCATTACATTTCCTTTTGGCCCCAAGTTTTTTTAAATAGTTTACTTACACAATTCCCATACATTCTAAAGTACAGCACAGCTTTATTCCATCACATTCAACATCACGTGGATTCAGATACTTTGTAAGCTGAATCATACCTCTCAGACCTAACTACAAACTCAAAAATATTTGCATAGTCTGCTTATCTTATATTGTGGATAAGCTGATCCCCAGAATCAGCACTGTGAGACAGAAAGGAATTGGTATTCAGACAGCATGCCATTATGAGGCAACATACTGAGTAGAGTCATATGTCACATGCCCCTAATTGTAAATCCTAATTCCACCTTTTTTATTTTTGTTTTTAAAATAGCACAACCTTGTGATCTTGGACAAGTTACCCTTTAAACTTCAGTTTTTTTCATCTGTAAAGGAGGAACAAAAATAGCATCTATTTTATGGGGTTGTTGTGAGGATTAAATGAGGTAGGTTCACAATAAGGCACTTATAGCTCAGGGCAAATGCTCAGTGAATTTGAGCTACTGAGTGCACTAAAAAGAACAGGGTCAAGTGCATCATAGACATCAAGCCAATGACATGGGGACAAGGAATTTATAAAGGAGATTTGGTTAAGTGAATCTCAAGCAGAGCAAGGTGATGTGGCTGAATGACCAAGTAAAGAGATGGGATTTTCTTGTTATGAAAATGGCGTCTCTCAGGTTTTTCCAGTAACTATGACTAGATTTTTTAAAAGTGGATAATTCACTTAAATTTATCTAATTACTAAAACAGCAAAGCTCTGAGAAACTCATAAAGGCATCTCAATGTTTTAATGAATATACGTTCATAATGCAATATAAGAAAAACCCTTGCAGATGGTCAAAATGTAGTATCACTTTTAGTAGGAAATCACCCAGGTGGCAATAACCAGTGGTTTTAGGTGTAGTGTTAAACTGTTTTCTTTTGGTCAAGGTTTAGCCTTTGGATGGATAGGGAGTAATAGAGATTTTTAGTCCCTCGATGATGAAAAAATTATAATATGCAAATTTTTTACCCTCTCCTTGGTATTGTCATTAAAAAATGTGGTGACAGTTTATACTTTCTCAGTTGCGGATCAGTGGAGACCTGGAGGATCAAACTTTTGGTAGTATAGCAGATACTGTTGTGTGCCTGCTCCAAAAATATTCACCTTCTTTCCCCCATAGTAGAACCTCAATTGCGTTCAAGGATGTGTGGTGTTTTCTGACCCCAACCAATTCTCCAGACACCAACTGGGTGTCTAACAATTCAACTCAGCTCTGACACTAACTACCTAGAGTTAGTGCAGATCCCACAGGTTAAGGATCCAGTCCCGTAAGACTGTCACTGCTTTAGACACCAGTCATAAATGGAGTACCAAGGCCACCCGCCCTTCTTCTCATCTGACTACAAATTTGGGAGTTCTCACAATCTCCTTCTTGGGTTTAATAATTGGCTAGAACAACTCACAGAACACAGGACAGTGGTTTACTTATGATTATCGGTTTATTATAAATGGTGAAACTCAGCTACAGCCAAATGGAAGAGATGCATAGGGCAAGGTATGTAGGGAGGAGCATAGAGCTTCCATGCCCTTTCCAGGTGCACCATCCTCCCAGCACCTTGATGTGTTCACTGACTCAAAAGCTCCCTTAGTCTCATTATTTCAGATATTTTATTGAAGATTTATTATGTCAGCATGATTGATTAAGTCATTGGCCATTGGTGATTGAACTCAATTTCCAGCCCCTGTTCTCTCCAAAAAGTTGGTGGGTAGGGCTGATAGTTCTAATCCTCTAATCACATGATTGGTTTTCTGGTGACCAGTTACCAGACTCCTGTTATCTAGGAGTCGCCACCAAGAGTCACCTCATTAGCATGAACTCACATGTGGTCAAAAGGGGCTCGTTATAAGTGACAAGACACTCTTATCACTCAGGGAATTTCAAGGGTTTTAGGAGTTCTGTGCCAGGAAATAAAGACAAGACCGAATATATATTTTTTATTATACCACAAGGGGTCACTGAAGAAGAAGTCCCAAACCCCTCCCAAGGAAAGTTCCTGATTGGTTTAAGCCCATCTAGATATTGGTCCTTATAAGAGCTTGACTTATTCATAGGCATGGCCAATGAGACATGAAACAAGGTTGACTTCTGGGAGTTTCTTCAATTTAAGAAGCCCATCTAAAAATAGTCCCTCTTGACCTGCTAGATGTTGTTGTTTTGCATAGCTAGATGTACATGTGCCATATTGTGAGAATGAGAGAAATTAAGCCATGAGAGGATACACAAAGAATAGTAAAGTAGAAATCTGAAAGAACCTGGGCTCCTGATTATTGGGTCATCATTGTTAGTTGTCTGAATTCCAAGCTAAGGAATTTGCCTTTATGCTGTAAATAAGTTATTTTTAAAATACATCTTATTTTGTATATTTGAGGTTTACAATATGGTGTGATGGAATACATATAGATAGTAAAATGTTTACTATAGTGAAGCAGATTAGTATATCTGTCATCTCACATAGTTACTTTTTTTGTGACAAGAACAGCTAAAATCTACTTAGTTAACAAAATTCCCTAATGCAATACAATTTGTTAACTCTAGTGCTCATGCTGTACATTAGATATTGACTTATCTTGTGTATTATCTTATGTATCTGCTACTTTATATCCTTTGACCTACATCTCCCCATTTCTCCCATGCTCCACCTTAGATTATGAAAAAAAATTACAAACCACATATTTGATAAGCGGTTAATATCCAAAATTTGTAAAGGATTTTTAAAACTCAATAGCAGAAAAACAAATAACATGATTAAAAAATGGGCAAAGGACCTGAATAGGTATTTCTCCAAAGAAGACATAAAAATGGCCAACATATATGAAAAGGTCTGATAGGTAATTTAGAGTCAACAAAAGTTTATAACCTGCTGGGAATGGTCCAATAAGTTTTTTTTTTTTTTTTGATAACTCCATCATAGAGAATGATTCGCAGTTGGGGACGTTAGAGGCAAGAAGGTCATTGTAATTGTTTAGGTTTCAGATGATGATGGCTGCACTAAGGAAGTGGACGTGGAATTGGAGAAGACATGCTGAATTAGAGGCACCACTGGAGTGTGGGATCAACAGTATGTGGCGACCAATGAAGTGAGAGTGGTTGAGGAAACAGTAGCTGTCAAAAGTATTCTTAGATTTCTAGCTTGATAGGCTGGATTGACAAAAATGTCTTTACTAGAAAGAGGGAATACAAGATGCAGTATAGTTTTATTTTTTTCTCTTTCTGATGGAAGGATGATGAGTTCAGTTTTAAACATGTTGAGTTGCAGAACCTGAAGCAATTCTAGGTGGAGGTGTCTAGTTGGCATCTAGAAATACAATGTTGGAGCTGGAGATAGATCAGGGGGATTTTCTTTCAGGTGGAATTAACAAGATCCCTCCTATCTGGCAGCAATGTATGTTTTAGCCACTTTTGCATTATAGTTACAGAAGCCAAAGGAGGAGGGATCTCATGTTCATAGCTTCACTGGACAGATATAGAACTAGATTTGTAGAGGTTAAATGATCTTGCTAACTTCACCAAGCTGCTGACTGGTGGTTGTAGGGAAGGAACCAGAAACCTTATTTCCCAACTCTTTGAACAATGCTTCTGCCAAAGTCTCAGTTACATTTTCTTAGTGACAGACAGTTTAATCCATGAAGTCAAGATGTTTGACTTTCACATCAATGTCAAAGATAAAGATTTTTGTCTAGACAGTTTTCTTCTGTTTCTCACCATACAAGATATTCAAAATTGCTACAAGTTTGCTTAGAAAAGATGAAGAACCAGTAGAATAAATGTAGTTTCTCTTTTGGAAAGAGAAGGAAATATATAACAGGTAAGACTTAAAATTATTAATCTAGAGAAGCCAAATCTTCTACTTATATTCCTTTGTTATTACCAAGAGTACTACTGACAATCTGTTTATAATACATATGTACATATATGTATATACATCTTTTCATATCTAAAAATATATTTATAAAATATTCTTGACCCTGGGGCCTATACTACTGAAATGAGTTAACACTAAACTCATTTAAATTCTATGATTTGCTTTACTGATAGCTTTTTCTTTTTATACTTTTATTTCATAGCAACTAATAGTGCCTTGAAAGGGCTCATCAGTTTCCCTGAACACTGAATGTATTTTCCCAATGGAAGTGTGTGTTTGGATAGGAATAGAATTATGGAGTTGTTGACAATTTTGGGAAGAGCATAGTCGGTGGAGTAGCAGAGCGTAGGGGATAAGGTCATGGGTTCTGGGATCTGACAGACCTGCATTTATATCTTGGCCCTGACATTTAATGCTTTGGCAAGTTACTTAACTTTTCTTAGCCTTAGTTATACTCTTTGTAGAATTGGAATAATATCAACCAATGTGGGCAATTGTTATGAAAATCAAATGAGAAAATGGACATGAAGTCCTTAGCTTTTTTTGTGCTTAACACAGAGTGAGTACTCAATAGATGGTAATTTTAAAAAGAGGGGTTGTGGAATCAGAGCATGCTGGTGGTTAGTTGTTAACAGCCTTGAGCTACTACTTCTGGAAGATTGTGTTTATATGTATTTGATGCTTATTCAGAGGAAATTTAATGGTACTGTGAGTAGGAGGTGATCATTCTTTCAAAAAGAGTGGAGGTGAACATGTACACTTTACTGCAACCTGCCTCTGATAGTGTGACCAATGACAGGTAACTTAACCTCAGAGCTTCAATTTCTTTACCTATAAAGGGATTCAAGTTATGTAGTCAGCACATGTTTATTGAATGGTAATATGTGCCAGGCATTGTGCTAGGCTTTAGAGATAAAATGTTGAGCAAACCAGATGTGATCTCTACCTTCATGGAGTTCATAACTAGTAGGGGAAATGAGCACAATCACATAGTCATAAAAGTACAATAAATGCTGATAAGTGGAAAATGCCAGCATGAGTGCCCTGAAGGGAAGGTAGTGCAGATGTTATTAAAGTATGTCAAAGAAGGATCCAGATCTGGCCTATGAGACCCATGAGAGGTGGGTCTTTTCTAAAGAAAGAGAATTTAACTACCGTGTACTATGAGTATGCTCTAGATGACTTGTATAGTCTGTTCCAGCTATGACATATTGCTGCAGTTCCACACACATGACAGAATTATGGCATCCTCTGAAGTTATGCTCACTTCTGTTATCTTAACCAAACCCTACACTGCATTGCCCTACCTCACTCCTTTCCTTCCTATGGGGCTGCTTGAAAGAACCATCTATACTTGCACCATTTCCCACGGCTTAGCTGTTCTTCAGCCCACTGAAATCTGTTTTCCCCCTTCCTTTCAGTGTAAGCAGCCATCCCCAAAATAACCAAGGATCTTATGGTTGATAAATAGACTGCCGTTTGGTCTTTATCTTAACATTTGGGCAGCTTTTGAAAGGGTCTACCTCCTTGAGGCCCCATTCACCTCTTGGCTTCTGGGGTAGCATACTTCCTTTCTACACCACTAGCTGCTCCTTTCCAAGCTTCCTCAAAGCCTTATCTTCCTCTGTGCACCTGTTGAATAGTACTAGTCTGAGGTCCTAGTCTTTGGGCTTCCTCTCTACACACATCTGCTGGCTAATCTCATCCATTACAAGGACATGATTACTGATTCTGTACTGATAGCTCCAAATCTGTACTTTTTGTCCCAATCTTTCTCTATCTGAGGTACAGACTCATACCTTCTACAGCCCTCTGGCCATTTCTCCATGGGGCCTCTGCAGACAAACTCAATTTATCCAAAGATAAATTGACAGGTAACCTCAGAGCTTCAATTTCTTTACCTATAAAGGGATTCAAGTTATGTAGTCAGCACGTTTATTGAATGGTAATATGGGCCAGGCATTGTGCTAGGCTTTAGGGATAAAATGGTGAGCAAACCAGATGTGATCTTTACCTTCATGGAGTTCATAACTAGTAGGGGAAATGAGCACAATCACATAGTCATAAAAGCCTAGCACAATGCCTGGCACATATTACCATTCAATAAACATGTGCTGACTATATAACTTGAATGTCTTTATAGGTAAATAAATCGAAGCTCTGAGGTTACCTGTCATTGGTCACACTGCTCTTCTGTCTGTGGAGTGACACTTCATCTATCACCACTAAAGTCAGAAATGCAAACAACTGACCATTTCCTTAAACTTATCATATTTCTCATTTGGGGACTTTGCACTTACTGATAACTTTAGTTAGAACAGTTTTCCCCTCCACAGCCCTTTCTACTTATCTTCAATACTTGTTCTGGTGTCATCTTTGAAGCCACTGAAAGTTCCATTTTGGGGTAGATGCCTGTAGTAAGCAGATTTCTTTTCTTTTCTTTTCTTTTTTTTTTTTCTTTTTTTTTTTTGAGACAGAGTCTTACTCTTTTGCCCAGGCTGGAGTGCCGTGGTGCAATCTCGGCATACTGCAAGCTCTGCCTCCCAGGCTCATGCCATTCTCCTGCCTCAGCCTCCTGAGTAGCTGGGACTACAGGTACCTGCTGCCATGCCCGGCTAATTTTTTATATTTTTAGTAGAGACTGGGTTTCACCGTGTTGGCCAGGATGGTCTCGATCTCCTGACCTCGTGATCTGCCCTCCTCGGCCTCCCAAAGTGCGTGAGCCACCGTGCCTGGCCTGTAGTAAGCAGATTTCTAATATAGCCCCCAAGATTTCTGCCCTCTGGTTTACATGCCTCACACTTCATATTATCCCCTCTCTTCAAGTGTGGGTGAATGTGATGGGATATTACCCATATGGCTAGGTTACATTACATGGAAAAGATGAAGAGATTTCACAGATGTAATTAAGTTGACTTTGAATTAATCAAAAGGGAGATTATCCTAGGTGGGCCTCACTTGATCAGGTGAACCCTTAAAAGAGGGTCTAGAATTCAGAAAGATTCTCCTACTAGCTTTAAGAAGTGAGCTGCCATATTTTGAGAAGGTCTGGGTAGGGCTACATGGCAGGGATCTATGAGGGCCTCTATGAGCTAAGAATGGTTCTAGATTGTCAGCCCGCAAGAAAAGGGCAACCACAAGGAAGTGAAGTCTGCTAACATCCATATGAGCTTGGAAGAGGACCCGAGCTCCAGAAAAGAATATAGCCTGGCTAATACATAGAAGAAGCCTTGTTTGACTTGGAGCAGAGGCCCTATGGGAGCTGTGCTTGGACTGCTGACCCATGGAAATAATGAGCTAGTAAGAGTATGTTGTCTTAAGCTGCAAGTTGGTGGTAATTTGTTACACAGCCATGGAAAACTAATCCAGCACCCCTCCTGGGAGTTCCTTGAACTCTGTTGATCTCCATCATATCCCTGTCCCCACTGACTTGAGAATATGCTGACTTACCTGTTCTCTGCCCCAGACTCTGAGCTCATTGAGTACAGGGGAAATTTCTTTTTTTCTTTATATCCAGTACCTGGCAGTGTTTTACACAACACTGGTACAGAAAAATTGTTTGTGGAATGAATGAATAAAATGACTCATGAGGAACCAAACACATATATGGTTGGAAGAGATAAATCTGCGTTTTCCGTGGAAATTCTTTGAAAAAAAAAAAGGTTCTGAAATGGTGTTTCTCAGGTTTCCTGCCAATAAGAAATGAATATTTTCTGTGGTTATGTACATGGTACTCTCTACCTCCAAGCTTTAATTAAGATAAAAGTTTTGAAATGCATAAAAGTTTAAAAGTCCCCCCAAAGCTAGGTTCTGCAAAAGTAGTGTGCTAGCCAGTACTTAGAGGGTGAGGAAAATGAATTCGTGTCTGAAGCATCTTGGCTTATGCCAGGAACTAATAGAGGCATGGGAGAGAACTGGGCTCAGTAGTCACTTTATGGTTTGGATGACATACTGTTTTCTTTCCAACAAATTCTGCCACCTAATGAGTTGTTTGTGTGTAAATGTTCAAACACTGCCCTGCTTTAAAATTACTTGCCATGAAACACAGGCCCTGAAATTGGCTTGGAAAGATTTCCCTAGTGGGGAGAATTGGAGAGAGGACGGACTAGAGGTTACAATGGGCCCTGCCACTGTATTTTAGCTGAGTTCTAAAACATGAAAATCAAAGCAACATGTGTGTGCTTTGATGTATGAGGCACAGTAGTGAGTGCTGTAAGTCTAGCTCAAAGTCAGTGCCCCTGGGGAAGAAGAAGAGGCATTGCCTGGGTAGGAATTTGAATGGGTTCCTTTACAAATAACAGTTTTCCATTTTAATGATATGGGATTTTACATTTTTACCATTATAAAATAATATATATGTATTTATTATAAAACAGGTAATAAAATAAAAAACAGAGAAAAAAATACCTATAATTTCATTAAACAAAGACAATCATAATCACTGATGGCACTTTGGCATATTTCCTTGCAATCCTTTTTCTTCAACTTTTTAAGAAATACATAGCTGTGATCATATTCACTCTGTAATTTAATTCTCTGCTTTTATCTATTTTATGTAATGACTATTATATTATAAACTCTTTATAAACATTTCAATGGTAATTTGTTTTATGAAGATCATTTTAAGTTAAGAAAAAAATTACTAGTTAATCTAAGATCTTTACCATAGCATTATAATAGAAACATCATTGGAAACAAAATTAGTGTACAAAATAGAGGAAGACCTATATTCATAACATGGAATATATTTCATTACCATTATTTCCTCAGGATAAATTACTAAAAGTGAAATTACTGGGTAAAAGGAAATGAATCTTTTCAAAGATCTTGGTAAATATGTTTACAAAATTTTAATTTTCATTTATTTTTGCTGTTTAAAGTAATATACATAAAATGCACAAATCATGTACACAGTATCATAAACTGAACATAGTCAGTATGGCCACCACTACCTTCCAGCTACCAGTATCCCAGAAGTTGTCATCATACCCTCTCCTAAACACAGACCCCCTCCTCTTCCTCAAATGTAACTCCTATTACAGCCTCTAACACAATAGTTTTGCCTGTCTTTTTTTATTATTATTATTATACTTTAAGTTCTAGGGTACATGTGCACAACATGCAGGTTTGTTACATATGTATACATGTGCTATGTTGGTGTGCTGCACCTATTAACTCATCATTTACATTAGGTATATCTCCTAATGCTGTATCTCCCCTCTCCCGCTACCCCATGACAGGCCCTGGTGTGTGATGTTCCCCACCCTGTGTCCAAGTGTTCTCATTGTTCAATTCCCACCTATGAGTAAGAACATGCAGTGTTTGGTTTTCTGTCCTTGCGATAGTTTGCTCAGAATGATAGTTTCCAGCTTCATCCATGTCCCTACAAAGGACATGAACTCATCTTTTTTATGGCTGCATAGTATTCCATGGTGTATACGTGTCACACTTCGCCTCTGTCCACCTGTCTTTTTAAAAAACATTACATAATGGAATCATACCACACATATTCCAGTGTGCATGGCTTTATTCACTTATGATTATGATTATGTTTGGAAGGTTCATGTGTGGGGTTGTGTATAGCAATACTTCATTCATTTTTATTACTGTATAGTATTCTGTGGTATGAGTATAGCACAATTTATTCAGTGTAGTGCCAAGGATTGGTGCCATTTTTAGCTATTATAGACAATGTTGCTATGACTTTTCTGATACATGCTTTCAGGTTCAAATATATACCTTCCGTTGCATATATACCTAAGAGTGAAATTGCTAGGCTATAAGGCATGTTCAACTTTAGTAAAATACTGCCAAATAGTTTTGAAAATTAGTTTTACCAGTTTATGCTTCCACAGTGTATGCAGGTTCTACTTTCCATTTTCTTCAAATCTTCATCAACACTTGATTTTGTCAGTCTCTTTACTTTTTTCTGTTGTTTGCATAAATAATGGTATCTCATAATTATGATTTTAATTAGCATTTTACTAGTATCTAATGAAGTTGAGCACGTATTTGTAAGTTTATTAACCAAGTGGGCATCTTCTTTTGTGTAGTGCCTGTTCAGTTCTTTGAGCCTCTTGTTTCCTGCTGGATTGCCTGCTTTGTTCTTACAGTATTGTAGGAGCTTTTTGTTCAGATACATGCATATATTTTGATTGTTTATTATAAATTATTTTTTCCTCTCAGCTTGTTAGCTATATATTTTAGTAGTTACCCTAGGTATTATAACATATATCCTTACATGTGTTACATTCTAGTATAAGTTAGTACTTTTACCACTTCATGGATAATGCAAGGACTGTGGAACTCTTTTACTGTCTTTATCCCTTCCCAACTTTTGTGCTATGTTTGACATTTATTTTAAGTCAATCAATCATTCAATCAATCAATCAGTCTATCTACCCACCATCCATGTATCACAAATCCCATCAAACATTGTTGTTTTTTACTGTCAGTGATTATTTACATGTACCCATTTATTTAATTTTTTATTGCTCTTTTCTTTTTGGGTCTTCATTTTCCTTCTGGGATTATTTTTCTTTTGCTTGAAGAACTCCTTTTAGTATTTCGTTTAGTAGGATTACTTTACTGACAAATTCAATTATTGTTTGCCTGAAAATGGCTTTATTCATCTCTCATTATAGAAGGATAATTTCACAGTGTATACATTTCTAAATTGTCAGATTTTTGTTTTTAGCTCTCTGAAGATTTAATACCAAATTTTTTTTGGATTCAATTTGTTCATGTTGAGAAGTCGTCTATCGGTTTTACTGTTCTCTTGGAAGTATTATGTCCCTTTTCTCTGACTGCTTTTTCCTTGTCCTTAGTTTTTTATAATTTATTATTATGTGCATAAACATGGCTTTCCTTTTATCCCACTTGGGGTTTGTGGTACTCCTTGAACCTGTGGTTTGAAGTCTCTCATTAGTTTTAAATATTCTCAACCAACATTTTCTCAAATATTGCTTCTGCCCCACTCCGTCTCTTCCTTCTTTACACCAAATATTGCTTTTGCCCCCTCTGTCTCTTCCTTCTTTACACCATTTAAGTGCATGTTAGACTTTATGCCTCTTAATCTAATTTTTATTTCTTCATGCTTCAGTCTGAATCTTTTCTTCTGACTCTCTCTTCAGCTGCATTTAATCTTTTCCATACTTTGAGCTCTTAACTTATGTTAAGAATTTTCATTTATTTTCTTTTTGTAGTTTCCTTGTCACTCCTAAAATTTGTCATCTTCTCATTTATTTTCTTGAACATACTCATCATAGTTACAATATATGGATGACATGTGTGCCTGTTACTATTTTATTCCATTGTATTTTTGTTTGTTCTATTCCATTGTCATTTTTCTTTTGTTTTACAACTAATTCTTATATGTTTAAGGTCTATTTTACTTTTTATGTGAGTGCTGGACTTTATGTTGAAAAATTATGGAAATAGTTTAAGGTCATGGATGACATTTTTCCCCAGAAAAGATTCACCTTTGCTTTTGGCAGGATGCTGGGTGTGGGAGTGTTACCTGATTCCAACCAGGAAATCAGCTATTTTGAACCTGTGAAGTCATTTTGAAATAGACTTTTGGCGAGTTTATTTCTACTTCGTCCTTCCTTCTTGGTTGAATTCCTTCTGTGTCATGACAAAAAGGCTGGAATATTTTCTTTTGGGATCCTTCTTCTTTGAGACCCTAAACTTCTATTTTTATCTCCCTGTCTTTCCCTATAGACTTACGAAAACCTTGTTCAGTTTCTCAAACTCTCAGCTGTTGCTTTTCAGTTGACAAATGCCTTGGGAAGGAATAAAGCACCAAATATTAGATTCATTTCTCTGAGGTTCTCCCCACTCCAAGATACTAACACAAGTTCTCATTGCCTTTGTAGCTATAAGGTGCCTTTGAATTTGTCCATGTCTTCTGGTTGTCAATGAGAGAGTTGGCCTAAACAAGTCAAAACCCCTTGACAGAAACAGAACTCTTCCTATTTTATTTCAAGCACAAGGAGAAGGATCAAAGGCAGAAAAACAGGGAGCTTATTTGTGGGCATGTATGGAAGTGGAAGCATTCATTGATGGGAATGTCATCTAATATGGCCAATTCTTGTAATGTTCTTAACACTTGAACCTCAGTTTCCCTGTCTTAAAGTTTAAAAATTATTTACCTGCTCTACTTTCTGCTGAGTTTGTGAAAGGATCAAATGAGATAACATGTGTGAAAGCACTATAAATTTTAGAGTGACACTGAAATATAAAAATTTACTATTGATCTCTGCCTCCCAAAAGTCCCAGGTTTCCTAGACTGTCTATGAAAAATGGCAGCCAAAATGGCAATAATGCTTACACACAGGGATTTCCTCTGACAGGCAAAGCTTGCTTGATCACGTTACTGTCATGAGTTTTGAGAAAAGCCTGGCCTTTTATTTTCTTGTCTATAAAGCGTATCTTGTTATTGCTTACATTTTATTCTCCAAAAGTAAATTTTAACCCTGCTATTGTTATTATACAATTTGCTACATTATACCTGCTGAGTGATTCCTTACTCAATTCAGTTTAAATGGAATGAAAGCCAAAATACTTTCCTTTTTTATTCATAGAATATTCACTTTAAAATTAAACTGAAGCAAGCATCAATGAGCAATGTGCTGAAAAGAAGACAGCAGATTCAAAACTATAGCTCATGATAGGCATTTAAACTGAGCTTAGGATACTTAGGACCAAATTAAGAAAACTGGCTGTTGGTAGTTATCAATGAGACTGCTTCTTTTGTAAAATTGTCACCAATGAAAATACTACTTTCTTTGATATCCTTGATTTATTTGCTCGCTCTATTCCAGACTAAAGGAAAAATATTATTCAGTTCACTATCATTGTCATTAGCTACCACTATTTACGATGTACTCTCTTCATACAGGGTACTTTGGTGCTGGGGCTTAAAAAATAACAAAAGATTCATTATCTGTCTTCAAAGGGCTTCAATATAGTTGGAGAGATAGGATTTGTGCATAAATAAATATAAATGATACATAAGGCATTAAGGACTAAATATTTGGTACAAGAGTGTGTTTGGTTGGCAGTTAAAGAAATCTTAAACCAGGGAGATCTGGGAAAGAGTCATAGAGGAGGTATGGTTTGAGCTGAGCTTTGAAGATGTTAGAAATTAGTTAAGTGGAAATGATGAAGGAGGGAGTTCCAGGCAGCTGGAAGAGCATGAGCAAAGGTCTCGCGATGCAGATCCACAGGGTGCAATATAAGCTCCACAAAACGAAAACACTAGAAGATAAGCTCCAAGTGAGCAAGGCCTTGGTTTTGTTCATTGCCTTATCCCCAGCATCCAGGTCAGATCCTGGCACACAGGATATGCTCCGTAAATATTGGCTGATTGCATGAGAGATCAGAGATAGTTCACCCATTGGTGTGGTACAGAATTCTTTGCAGGAAGAAATTCTCAAGGACAGAGCAGGAAGTTGAATGTCTGGAGAATTGGATTCCTGTCTGAGAGTCGCAGGCATGTTCCCTGAAGGATCTTTTCCGTTGTCCTTCACAGCACATCAGTAGGTTTTTTTCTCAGGTTGGAGTCGTTTGCATTATGCATGTGGAGAAGGAGGGCGGGCGGGGGGAATCACTCAATGAGCGAAACTTCCGACTGCGTTGGAAGCTTTCTGAAGGGCAGTTTTCCAATCTCCACTCTTTCTGAGTTTTTGTGGCTATCATTTTGTATTGGGAATAGAGATTTTGTGCATGAGCTTTAGTGGGAACTAAAGTTTATAAATGAAATTCAGCTCAGTTAATGAAAGACCTTTCTTGAGTGTTTGACAAGTTGGAATTTGGAGAGAGCAAACTGCTAAGGCTGAGGCCCTCAAACTGATGGTTTGAATCTTTGAAAAACCAGTAGTGACTGAAACAGCTGACACAAATTCATTGAGAACATGTCACACTAACCTCACATCCTTTTGGGATGGGGTCGCCAGACTGATACAGGCAATAATCATCAGTGCTTACTTTAATTTAATTTTCTGCTGAACAGCTTGTGAATGTAAAGGGAAAAAGTATCTTGGGCATCGGTTTTACTCTGAACTGAACCTGGCACGGAGTTGCTCAGTGGGAGTAACCTAAAAGATTGGGTAATAACAATAGTGCTATTAAAGCTCACTTTTAGAGTCTAATGTCTAGGCAATAATGACAAGCTTTAGGGATAACAACAACAACAAAAAAAACAACAAACCCCAGAAAAGCCAAACTTTCCAAACCCATAAGATAGTTTAATGTTAGCTAGGCTTTTGACAAAGTTCTTTTCATTTCTAAGTTGCAGAGAGAAGATAATGAAGTTGAATAAAGTCATAAGCAGTTGAAACACTGTGTTATACTGTAAGAATGTTGATTGGTGGCCAGGCTAGTCTATAACATGCCTCGGGATTCTGTCTTTGTGTCCTGTCCTGCTCTCCATGATATTCTATCAGTGATGTCAATAAAGATAAAGAAGCTAGCATGTTATATTTTTCATAAATCTGCAGCAAAAGGTTACATGTGGGAAGAGGCTTATAATTTAATAATATGTGATCCCTCTTTAGATTTAATTTTGTTGCTATAAAAATAAGTTGGAACCATATATCTATAAAACCCAAATGTAGTGGCTCAGATGTTCTGGGTAGTTGCCATGTTCCCTACCCTTCTCAGAGAAATGTCATTGCAAACAATTTGCGCCGTGTGTCCCTTCTACCTGGACTCCACAGATTGGTGCCTTACTCAAGGGGCAACTGGGTGACTCTTGGGAGAAATCTGCCCAGTGACGGCACTAATAGTAGACAATGACTAGGAAACTCAAAACGAGGCTTATTCTTAGAATATTCACCTTATAATTAAATAGAAGCAAACATCAATGAGCAGTATGCTCTGAATGCTGAAAAGAAGACATTTTAAAGGCAGCAAATTCAAAACTATAACTCAGGATAGACACTGAAACCATACTTTGCACCAGATTAAGAAAACTGGCTGTTGGTAGTTATCAGTGAGATGGCTTCTTTTAGAAAATTGTTGGCAATGAAAATAATACTACTTCCTATAAGTATACTACTACTATTTCTGAATAGTATCTGACTCTCTTATAGGAAATTTTTATGGTACTTATTTATTTTTTTGAAGACAAGGGTCTTGCTATGTGGCCTAGGTGGGACTTGAACTCCTGGCTTCAAGTGATCCTCCCTGCTCAGCCTCCTGAGTAGCCAGGACTACAGGTGTGTATCACCATGCCTGGCTTGTTATGAGGAATGTTAATATGAAAGCAGATGATCCACAGGCAGTGGCAGCACATGTGAAGAGATCACAGACAGAAGGTGGTGAACCTAAGTCCAGAAGAAGAAGGAGCATTGAGTCAGCACAATGACAACTCAAGAGAGGTGTTGAGAGAAGCACAGAGAAAAGGAGCCTAGAGGAGAGGTAAGGTAGATATTAGAGTTGCTGTTGGGACATGAAAATTGCCCTTGTGTCCTGAACAACTTTCCAGTTTCCTGAGGTCTGTGTCTTTTTTTTTTTTTTTTTTTTTTTTTGAGACAGCGTCTTGCTCTGTTGCCCAGGCTGGAGGACAGTGGCTCAATCATGGTTCACTGCAGCCTTGACCTCCTGAGCTCAGGCAATCCTCCTTGCCTCAGCCTCCTGAGTAGCTAGGATTACAGGCGCACATCACCACACCTGGCTAATTTTTGTATTTTTTGTAGAGACAGGTCTCACTATGTTGCTCAGGCTGGTCTTGAACTCCTGGGCTCAAGTGATCCGTACACCTCAGCCTCACAAAGTGATGGGATTACAGGCATGAGCCAGTATGCCCAGTCGCCTTTATCTTTTATGTGTGGTTTATTCTTCGTGTCTTTAGCCAAACATTGTGTTGCTTGAGATGACCCTAACATTTCTTAAAAATTTGAAAAAGCCCAACTAAGACTTCAAATGAAAAGGATGAGGTAGGGTTGTCAAGTGACTTTTCTGGATTTTAGGGACAGTTTATATTAGGATTTATATCAAAGCCTCAAGCAAAGAGCCCTTGAGGAATTTGGTTCTTTTGGTGACAAAAGACATCAAAGTTGGTGCCTTACCAGGGAAACTGTCCATCTGTTTCAATTCCCATAAAGCATTTACATTTCTTTATATACTTCACAAAAGTTTTCCATTTATTTTGACCGATTTGACAATCACTTTAAAAATATGTAAGTTTGACTTTGAATTCCGATTACCATTTAAAACCCATGGTAACCAAAAAAGTTTTCAAACCAGCATATATCCTGTAAATTTTAATAGATTTCAGAGAAACTTCAGAGTTAGAAGTACATGTTCCTTTGAGTGAGGCTGACATTCTACAGTACCACTAGATATGAGATAACTTTTTAGTATAATGATGGCTTATGCATCTATTTTCTTAACTTTAACAAAAGAAAATGGCATCATGGAGGGGAACCAGGGGTTTAAAGAGTTTTTTTTTTTTTTTCTTTTATTTAGGCATTTTTTTCCTTAAGGCTGAAGAATATCTGTAGCTCTTTTCTCTTGGCTATATGAAAAGAGAGGAATGAGATTCAATCCTCTTCATCTTATTCTCTCCTTCTGATATTCCTCCTCCTTCATTCGTTGGCCCTAAAATGTTGAGCAATGGAAGAGAAAAAGGAAACAGAAAGCAAAAGGGAAGATGCTAGATTAGAAATGTCAACTTCTTTAGTAATGAGGTGAGATGAGGGCCCAGAACCACATGTGGAGAGCTAGTCATGGAAATGGGCGTAACTGTAGGAGGAACTCAATGTTATCACTCAGGGAGGGACAGAGATCTCAAGCCAGGTAAAACTGGAGCTGAGATGAACAATGTCATAGGTCAAAACCAGGCATGAAATTCAGGTCAGAGAGCATATCCAAGGCAGAGTTTGAGCCATCACTATGGAGACAGACAGGTAAGAAGTTCACCTGCTTTAAGAAAGAAATCAAGGTTGTTTTAGGCAGGACTTAAGGTCCTCAGGCATTAGAAGGCTGGTACAAAAAGGTACATTGATGACACACTGAGGTTAGGATGAGATTTTTCTATCACTGACGGTCAAACAGGATTATTGGTCCACTAGTATACTAATAAGGGAAAAGAAAAGAGCTTAAAGAACTAAGCTTTTGTTATCAAGTATATTTCATCGTCAATGATTCTTCTGTAATGATTTCATGATGCTATAAGGAGGATCTCTTTGCTGGCATTTCTTCATATGAATGTTCATTAAGTCCTTTTAGGTTTCCTATGAGTACTTCAGACCTAAAAGGACTTAATGAACATTCATATGAAGAAATGCCAGCAATGTCTGCTGCTGCAGGATGTGTTGATCTCTGCTGAGGAGTTGGTGTCCAAAGTCCTCCTGCTGGTTAACAAAGTCTTATAAAAGGTGGTGTCTTATCAGCAAGTTGTCCATCTGCCTCAGGGTCTGTCTCCGGAAAACTGTCCCAAGTGTATGATTCTGATTTTAGGTAATAGCCAAAGAATCTTGCATTAGGGACCCAAAAGACACATTGGGGTTGCGGGTTGGAGAATGCATTAAGAAAGTGGGTTGCATTAGATAAGTAGTCTAAAGTCACAGGAGTTCAGAGTTTAGAGAATGAGGCAAGAGGGCAAGTCAAAGAATGGACAAATAGGAACAAGGAACTCAAAAGAGTCAAAGGACGGGCAAGGCATTGCAGTCCCTGGCTGGACAGTCTAGGGAAAGGCCAGGAGCCCCACAAGCTATTCACTCACCATTCACTCATTCACTCACTTGATAGTTGTTAAGTGACTTTTTAATGTTAGGTCTTTTAATGTTAGGACTTTTAAATGTTAGATAGAAAAGATGAGGGATATATCATAATTCACAAAACAGACATGGCCTCTTACATTATGGTGTTTATGGTCAAGTAGAACAGACACCACCAACATTGCCCCTAAGGAAATAAACTTCTTACCCAACCTGGAAGTCTGAAAACCTCCCTGCTGGGGCAGAACCAGGCCAGGGCTGGGAGGAGCCTTGACCAATTGACAGTTGGTGGGCTTCGTTAAAGCATTGACTTGTGTTTTTAACAGTCGTTTTAAATTTGCCCAAGGATTTGTGTGTGTGTGTGTATCAAACAGACGATTTATAGTTAGGTGATTTTAAAATTAATATGTAGTTGCTCAACAGACAGGAAATTTCAGATAGACAGAAAAATTAAGAGATCTATTGCACAAAAAGGAGAAATATTTTTAGTTGCACTTTTAAATTTAGGCCTTGATTGACAATTTGGGGGAACCATCTTTCTCTTCTGTCATGTCTCTTATATAGGTAATATCTTCAAAATGCCTTTCTCATTTATAAAAACATCCAAAGTAGACTGCAACTGTCTGTGTTAAAAAATATCAATCTACATTTTTTTGCAGAATGCACTAGACTTGTAATTAAATCATTAGTTGCATAATCAGTTGTATACTGTCTGTTTCTGCTACTAGATTATAAGCCCCAAGAGTGAAATATCGAACTATATTTTGTTCACTGAAGCATCTCCCATAATAACCATAATGCCTACATATGAGATACTCAATAAATAGTGAACATATGGCTTCCTAAAATAAAATTAAATTAAACCAATAGTCTATTAAAGTCACAAATTGGCAAACCTATTTTTCTTAAGGCCTTACATTTAACTTATAAAACTTATTATTCTATCTATAATTTTGGTAAATACTTACATAAGAATATATATCTTTATGTAAGAATAGATATATTTCTGTGTAAATTAATAATAGTCAATAAATTAATAATTTTAACAGGTTGACTTCCCCTAAACAATTAACCTCATTTATAAACCTAATTAATTTGTAGCTCTTAAACATCTTTGTGTAAATTAAATGCAATTTTTCTGGTTCTCTTAAGCGCATCAAATGCTTCAGAGGGAAAACTCCCATACCCAGCAAACAACTTCTTCTAGCTTTGGAGAAGCTTTTGTAAATTAAATAACATGTTTATAAATGTCTTAAATCAAGTTTAAGTAAATGTTCGCACTGTTTACAAATGAACTTTCTTATACATTTTACATGAAAAGTACAGGTAACTTCAATTTAAAAGTATACATTGTTTCAATAAGAAAAAAATAATACCTATAATTACAAAACATTTTAAAATTTGACAAAAATATTAATAACAAAGCTTTTATATATTTTATCATTGGTTAATTTTTATACATTCCTATGGGTTTAAAATCATATTTCAGACTAAAAAGAGCAGATTAAATGTATCATGTGGGCTAAGGCAATGAAGGTAAAAGCTAGGACCATGAGTTGGATACTAGCCAGCAGAGATGTCAGTGGGATACTTATTTTCTGTATAATTCAACTCAGTCACAGAAGAACCCATGGAATCCTCTCTTTTGATTGGAGACTTTTTGTGAAGTGAATGAAGAATACTCAAGTTTGTGCTGTGGGTGTTGCTATGAACTGAATGTTTATGTCACCTCCAATTTAGATGTAGAAATCCTAACCCTCAATGGGCTAGTACTTGGAGGTGGGGCCTTCAGGAGATGATTAGGACTCGGGGTGGAGCCTCCATGAAGGAGAGTAGTGCCCATAGAAAGGAGGCCCCAGAGAGCTCCCTCACCCTTTTCGCCATTTAATGATACAGTGAGAAGAAACCATCTATGAAACAGAAAGGGGACCCTCACCAGACGCCAACTCTGTTAACACCTTGATCTTGGACTTCCCAGACTTCAGAACTGTGAGCAATACGTTTCTATTGTTTATAAGTCACTCAGTCTATGGCATTTTGTTATAGCAGCCCAAATGGACTAAGATAGATGTCTTTCAAGTTTTACCTTTATCCAATTTTTATCCTCTCTTTCAGCATTTTGTTGCCTGTTTTGGATAGGAAAAAATTCTTGAACTCTTCCCACTCCTAATTGAGTGGTCTCTAATCTTTTTGCTGGATGATTAGAGGAGTTGTTGAACCTTGTACTTCACCATTCAAGTTGTATATTTTCCAGTTTGATTGGATTTCTGCATTCTTTAAAAAAAAATTTCTTGCATGGCTTTTAGCCACAATTCTATAGTCATTTATTGAGATCTAGGAGATTAATCTGGTTAAAATGGGGGGTAGGTAAGAGCAAAAGTCAGGGCTCCTTCTTACAGAAAAGGAAGCATAAGGCATTCTAGAGAACAGTTGTCAACCACTCTGGGCCAGTGAAATAAAAGTTCAGCCTGCAAGAGGAAAGCTGTCATGCTGTGCCCCTTAATTCCCCAAGCTGAAGCCTTGGTCTTACTGATTGCATGCGCCATAAAGAACAGGGCCCTGGTGAGCCACAACATAAAGAGACCATGGGTATTGCCATCTCTTTACATTTCTGGGGATATTACCATCTCTTTAAATTTCTGGGTAACAAGTATATCCGGCAGCATGGAATTGCAGACTACGGAAGAGGGATAAATAATGCAGATTCATTTAGCAACAGCAGTTTACTGACTGTATTGTCAAAAGTTATGAATAATCCATTTGCTCACTTGCTGGACTGGTTTCTCCTGCCTGAAGACCAGGAAAAAGGGAAAACCATAGTTTCCTATTGAGTGGGATGTTTTGCTAGAGGAAGGAAACCCACTAGGGATAGTTCAATACCTAATCAGGGGGACTGAAAGGCAGAGATTTAATCAATCATCCTGAAGTTCCTTGGGAGAGGTCTGTGCAGGCTCATCTGAATGTGGGCTCCGGAACTCACTCGCTGTCCTCTGGGAGGATGTGCATTTCCGCTGCCATGTAGCAGGCCCTAAAATGGGCATCAGCACTCACTGGATTTCCGGCGGAGGCTCAGTCAGGATGTCACATGCTGTAGAACAGCTGCAGAGGATGACAGTGGCAGCAGCTGACTGTGAATGCAGACAAGGGCTAAGATACTGGCTACACAGAGATTTTCATTACCAAGATATCTGGAGAGCCTTCTCTTGGACCAATTATGTAACCTTAGAGTCTATCATAGCCAAACTGCTCATCTGAGACTTCAGACCCATGAGGCTAGTTATCTTATGTCCATGGCAAAGTCCAAGAAAGAGCCTATGACATCACAGAGATTTTGAATATCAGTTATTCAAATTGATTATTTGAATATCAGTTATTCTCAGTAATATTAGATTATTCCTGCCATAAGTCTTAAGACTCATCTTTTTCTTATCATTCCCAACAGCCTAACTCAGGCCCATATCATTTTATACTTGAGTTACGACAGTGCTTCCCTGTGTCTGCTCCCTGCTATAGTCCATCTTGAGTCCCCTGTCAAGTTAATTTTTAGAAAACTCCACCTTTTATCACATCACATCACTACTCTGCTCTGGACCTTTTTTTTTTTTTTCTTTTTGAGCTGGAGTTTCACTCTTGTTACCCAGGCTAGAGTGCAGTGGCGCGACCTTGGCTGCAACCTCCATCTCCTGGGTTCAGGTGATTCTCCTGCCCCAGCCTCGCAAGTAGCTGGGACTATAGGTGTGTGCCACCATGCCCAGCTAATTTTTGTATTTTTAGTAGAGACAGGGTTTCACCTTGTTGGCCAGGATGGTCTTGATCTCTTGACCTCATGATCCGCCCACCTCGGACTCCCAAAGTGCTGGGATTACAGGCGTGAGCCACCGCACCCAACCTCTGCTCTGGATCTTGTAGTGGCTTTCTGTTATTTAGTATCTAAACATTAAACTACTCTGGATTTCCAGGACTTACAGTGTCTAGCTTTGCTTTCCTGCCCAGCATAATCTCAGTTGCTCTCTGGAGGGCTGGTCCTCTTCAGGGGGCTTGCCTCCTTGCTCGACC
The DNA here is from genome assembly GCF_000001405.40 of Homo sapiens. Lineage (NCBI taxonomy): Eukaryota > Metazoa > Chordata > Mammalia > Primates > Hominidae > Homo > Homo sapiens. The sequence goes on along the minus strand of NC_000001.11, from coordinate 222,310,029 downwards.
TCATGGATTCTAGGCTCCTTTCCAGAGCTTGTTTTGTTCCTTTTTGACCTTTTACCTCTTCTATGAAGTCTCTCCCCTCCAGGCCATGCCAGTTTGTTCATTCATCCATTCATTAAGTCTATTTAGCACCCTTCACATTCCATGCAGTGCCAGGCTGTGGGTACGTATTTGTAACCCCCTTGTCATCAAAGCTACTGCATCTACATTTGTGCAGTTTGTGCTCTCACCAATGTGTCTGGTTGAGGGGACTAGTAAAATCTACCCTAAAAAAGAAAAAAAAATCTTTAGTACATTTATAATTGTATACTCTGCATTACTGAGTATATTCTTGAAGGAAAGAACTTCCATTCTGATCAAAGGTTGCAGAGTACAGATTCCTGTTTAACATTTTACACATTCAATGACTGGAAGAAGGTTTCACAGACGGGTTCTGTTTCTGTGCATTGCAAGCCTTGTTTCTTCTCCACTGTCCACACACCCTTGTTGGATGTGTTCATGTCACCATATGACCTCTTGACGTGCCCCTTCATGACACAATGCCAAATGAATCTTGCCATGGATGATAGAAGTACTCTTGAAAGTCATTCTTACACTTGGATGCCTAACAACTTAATTTTACCCCCAAATGTCTGTGAACTGCATAAATATATCCTCCTAAACCCAGATTATATATATTCCCAACTCAACTTTGTTTTAGCTGGACCCCTTCGATTACCCCCTAATAAGAATGGAAATGTGATGGAGGAAAAGTTGGCTTGGAAAGAGACAGCATTTTAAATCAATTGCAATTAAAATATCTTATTTCTGAAAATTTTTACATATAGTCATGAAAGCCCAGTGTTAGGGCTCTTCCTACATCCTTAGAAAGTGCTCTTGTGACCGGGAGTGCTGGCTCATGCCTGTAATCCCAGCCCTTTGGGAGGCTGAGGCAAGCGGATCACTTGAGGTCAGGAGTTTGAGACCAGCCTGGCCAACATGGTGAAACCCCGTCTCTACTAAAAATACAAAACTTAGCTGGGTGTGGTGGTGGGCGCCTGTAATCCCAGCTACTTGCGAGGCCGAGGCAGGAGAATTGCTTGAACCCAGGAGGCGGAGGCTGCAGTGAGGCAAGATCGCGCCACTGCACTCCAGCCTGGGCAACAGAGCAAGACTCCATCTCAAAAAAAAAAAAAAAAAGAAAGAGAAAGCGCTCATGCAAGTAAGGGGTGACACCCTTTGGCTTCATTAGCATCATGGTAAAGGTGCCACTGAATCCACTGGGGGTTAGGAAAGACTTCAACCCTCCTCAGCCTGCCCTGCCTCTCATGCTCCAAGGCTACCCCTTCCCCATCACTCTGAGAGCCTCTCTCCTTGCAGGCCTCTCATGAGCCCTGTAGCTGCAGTTCTCCTGCTTCCAGACCCTCCTGCTTCTCCCCCTTAGGTTTGGCCAGGTCATCAATTAAGACTGACTACTCCAGGGCAAATCTAGTCATATTTTCTCTCATCCTGGTCTTTGTACCCATTACAGTCTAGGAAGCAATCAAATGGCTTATTTGGCTGGGATTTCTGAAGAGAATTTAATATTGGTGCTTGTTTCAGAGGAGGTACGAGTTAAAGGAACCAGCAAGGGGAGTTGAGGCACACGGGGAGGAATAACAGCAGGAATCTGTTACCTGGAAGAGAGCCTTCAGGCAAGGGCTTCCCGTGAGGCTGTGGTCAGAGAGTGGAATTTCTCAACCTTGGTGACATTTTGGGTCAGGTAATTCTTTGCTGTGGGGACTATCCTATCTGTGCATTGTAGGATCTTTAGCAGCATTCCTGGCTTCTCCCTACAACATGCCAGTAGCACACAGCCATCTAGCCATGATAGCCCAAAATATCTTCACACGTTGCCAACTGTCCCCAGGTAACAGGGCCAATTCACGCCTGGTTGAGAACCATTGTCATAAAGAGATGAAACTGATTTCAGACCTAGAGCAATGGGTGGGGATGGTGAGGAGGAGGAGGAAGGAAATAACCCTGTGTCTCTCTTAGTCTGTCCTCCCAACTGTCTGCTTGGCATTGCTGAACCCAAACAGAAGCTAGAGGACAAGTTTGTGTTCCCTTCAGGATGCTCCTTTCTTTTACTTTGAGACTAAGCCCCAACAGGCAATTATAGTTGCAGCTCCCAAGCTGGCGCACAGAGTCACAGTGGCCACAAGCCATCCATCCACTCACTCATGACTGCTGACGAAGATTGCCTCTAGCAGCACAGAGATTAGTTATTAAAGTTATTGCTAGGGACAGGCCTGTGCCTCTTGTTTTCACCTGTTTTTGCTCCACTCTAGTGCACAGCTTGCTTATTTCCTGTTATTTCTAATTTAACATCTTCATTCAGATCTCCCTGCTCACTTATCAGGAGAAGCACCTTGGCAAAGTCTACAGAAGCTGGAGGAATAATCATTGTACCAATACACTTTCGGACTCCCAGGACTTCTTTCAAGAAAAATCCTATCACGGCCAAAGTTTCCTCTCTCATTTGTCCCTCTGTATTGCTCCCAGAGCCTTCTAGAGGAAGTATTGCCAAACCATCATTCTATTGATGTTATTTTGCACTCATGGTTTTGTGTTTGGATGACACTTTGGCCACTCTGTTGACATCATGCACAGAGCAGGCTATCAGGCAATATTTTGTTGATTGATTGATTGGATAGATCCTTAGCTATCTTGGGACAGGGTTTCTGTATTTTGTTGAGGAGTTTGTTTACAACAGTGCTTATTAAATTTTAATAAGTGCATAAATCACCTGAGACCTTATTAGAATTTAGATTCTGTGTTTAGATATGGGGAGGGGCCCAAGTCTGCATTTCTAATAAGCTCTGGAATGCTGCTGCTAGTGGTCTGCAGACCATATTATGAGTAGCAAGGATCTAGGTGATAGCAAGTTACATGGGCCTTTATTATATGAACAATTCTTTCAATAATACTTTTAACCTGTTGCAAAACTGGGTTTGGCATTGTAAGAGAGACTGATGCATGCTTTTTATCCTAAAGACCCCATGCCACTGTGTGGAAAGATAGAGGCTTTCTGGCTGTTATATTCCTCAAGAGATGCTTCTTTTTTGACTCAGTCTATTTCCCACATCACCAATGTGAGTCAACTTCTGTTGCCTTTGTGCTGCCATCCTCAGCTTTGCTCCACATGCAATAGTTTTTACCTTGATGCACAAGGTAAAAAAAAGGCATTTCTTGTCCTGAGCCTGGATAGAATTTGGCTATTACCTCTCTCTGGTATGGATGAATCATTTTGGTGACAGGGAAGTAAGTTAAGCAAGGCTGCTTTTCCACAAGGGGCCAGGTTTGGGTATGTGTATATGTGTGCTTACCTGTGGGCTGTGAACTCAATTTAGTGTTGCAATAAAGTTCCCTTCTATGAACTATAGAACATTTTAATGCTTCCTGAATGCCACTCCAATGCAGCAGGGAAACATTACAGAGACTCTGTTATTATAGAAGCCGTCCTTGTTTACTTCAGAATTCTCACTCATGCCTTGTTGCTTTTCTCTTCTGGGAGACTCTGTTTTTGGTCAGCCAGTAACACTGATTGAGTGCTTATTGAGGTGACAGACCCCATGGAAGGACTGGAATGGGTCCAAGTCTGAATAAATTATGGATTATTCCTAGATAGTCATCTTACCAATGGGGGCATTTCCAATGAACTGGCTCAAATGCTTCCAAATGACTTAGATCCTGCTCTTGATATATGTAAAGGGTGGTGAAGAGAGGGGGTTAGCATGTAGAATATTGGAACTCTCACTTAAAGTAAAGCTACTCCCCTTGGAAAGAAAACCCCCCTTTTCCCTTTCCCCCTTCAAGCTAAAGGAGATTGTTATCACATCAAGTGATGTCTGTTGGGATAGATGACTATTAAAATGATATGAATGAGATAAAAATCACCCTACAGCAGGAAAGGAAGGAACAAGACTTCATGTTCTGCTAGTTCTATATGTTAATTTAAAACAAAGGACAGAGGGAAAGTTCTAATTAGGCTTATCTGTGTCAGTGCCATTTGGGTTTCAAAGCAGGTAGAGCAGGTTTGAATTCTGGGAAAACAGAGGGCTTGTTGTTCTTGGATTCTGGGTAAGGAGGAGAGACAGAGAGTGGGAGAAGCATTCAAAGATTAAATGATAAAATATGGTTTTTATTTAAAAAAAATACCCATATATGAGAGTTTCAAGTATTTGCCAATTTTCAGATCTTCTTTCCCTGAAATTCAGTGAAATAAACAAATACAACCAAAAATAGAGAATACATTATCTACAACAGTGTTTCTCAACTTCAGTACTGTAGACATTTTGGGTCAGATAATTCTTGGTTGTGGGAACTGTTGTGTGCAATGTAGGATGTTTAGCAGCATCTCTGGCCTCAACTCACCAGATACCAGTAGCGTCTCCCCAACAATTGTGACAACCTGAAACATCTCTAGACATTGCCAGATGTTCCCGGGGGTAGGGGCAGGGGAGCAAAATCTCCTCCTCTTCCAGTTGAGGACCAATGATCTGCACCAAATCCAGAGGGTAACCCCGGACCTAATACTGTAGGTTTTCACCTGGAGTCTTCATCCAGCTCCACTAACTTCTGGTGTCATTTTATTTTATTTTTTTTGAGACAAAGTCTTGCTGTATTGCCCAGGCCGGAGTACAGTGCATGATCATGGCTCACTGCAGCCTTGACTTCCTGGGCTCAAGAGATTCTCCCACTTCAGCTTCCCAAGTAGCCGGGACCAGAAGCATACGCCATCATGCCCAGCTAATTAAAAAAATTGTTTTTTGTAGAGATGGGGTATTGCTATGTTTCCCAGGCTTGTCTTGAACTCCTGGGCTCAAGTGATCCTCCTACCTTGGCCTCCCAAAGTGCTGGGATTACAGGTGTGAGCCACTGCGCCTAGCCCACTCCACTAACATGGACATAAGACCTGTGCAGGGTTCAGTGGTGACACTTGTGACAGGCCCATTGCAGGTCTCCAGTGTGGAAAGTGGTGTCATCAGTCATTGCAGGAGAGACAGGTGTTCCTGCTTAGGCCCCTTCTCCATCGTGGAGCAGCAGGGGCTGAAGGGGGCATGGGGCTTTCTGCCTTCTCTCCAGAGAGACCTGCTCCCCTCAAAGCAGGGAAACAGCTGGAAACTCAGACATGCCTGTGCTGTCTGTGTAAGGACAGACCACAGCTAAGCCAAGATGCAGGGCTTCAGGTTGAGAGGGAAAGTGCAAGGACAACAGGCTCCCTTGGTGCCAGATCATCTCCAGTTTAGCAATATGTACCAAGATTTAAAAATATTGGGCTACCCTTTAACCCAGCAATTCCGCTTTTAGGAGCTTTCCTGAGAGCATATTTAGGTAAGTATGCAAAGATCATGTCTAAGGAGAGTGTTTAAAATGTAAAAAGAACAAAACTGGTTCTACCACTGTTTGGGGATTGGCTAAATTGTAGTAAATACAGATAATGGAATAAAATATACATATTGTATTACATGTTTTTCTATTTATGATTTAAAGAACTTGATGGTAAATGTCTGTATATCTTTATCTGTGTCTATTTCTATATCTTATAATACTGACAAAATAAAATACCCTATTATGAGCCCACTTATTTAAAGTACATGCATATGTGTGCCTGTGTAAGTATGTATTATGCATGTTCTTGTGGTCTGCATATGTGTGTGTGTGCATATATGGGTGGGTAACTTTACATGGCAAAATGTCTGGAAGGATGTTCCTCCAAAACTGAGTGTGGTTATCACTATTTAATTTTCTTCTTTAGGCTTTACATTTAAGTGGCTCCATAGTGACTGTGCCTCATTTTTAAAATAAGAAAAAGAGCTATTTGTATTTTAGAAAATCAAACAAAAACTGTGTCACATTTCTTGTTCAATCCTAGTTGAAATAATAGATTTCTCTCTAAGTTAAAAGTCACGGGGATGATCCTTATTTGCATTTATTTTTGGTCTCTGAGCCTATTGGAGCTCATTGTGATATTGCAGTTGCCACCTTTTCTCCATACTTCTCCAAGGAAGCTATGGCTTACCTTGAGATAGCTCCTGCTCCTTCACTTCCTAAATTCTGGATTTAAAAAGCCACTTAAACCAAGGAAATGAGTTCTGATATTATGGGGACATTGCCTGCTGTTTAGGATGTTTATCCAGATATCTCAGACTTCTAATTTTAGGATGTCTCCTGCAAACCGATTATCCTAATACTATATTTACCAAGCTACACAGAGCTTAAAGAGATTTTTCCATTTGGGGCGTCTCTGCCCTTCATCACCGATGACCTTCCTATTTCAACAGGACCCTGTTACAGGTGATCACCACTTGCAAATTTAGCAAAAGCCAAAGTCAAAGAGTTGTGGGTTTGTCACTGTCAATGGTTTCTACTTAGAGAGGGGGAAACTGGTTCCGCCTCTGCTGGAGTGCAGTGGCACAATCTCGGTTCACTGCAACCTCTGCCTCCCAGGTTCAAGTGATTCTCCTGCCTCAGCCTCCTGAGTAGCTGGGATTACAGGCATGTGCCACCATGCCCAGCTAATTTTTATATTTTTAATAGAGTCGGGATTTCACCATGTTGGCCACGATGTTCTCAATCTCTTGACCTCGTGATCTGCCCTCCTTGGCCTCCCAAAGTGCTGAGATTACAGGAGGGAGCCACTGTGAAATTTTATTATATTTTTAGAGACAGGATTTTACTGTTTCCCAGGCTGCAGTGCAGTGGCACAGTCATAGCTCACTGTAACCTCAAACTGCTGGGCTCATGAGATACTCCCACCTCAGCTTCCCAAATATCAAGGACTACAGGCATATGCCACCATGCCTAGCTAATTTAAAAATATATATATTTTTTTGTAGTGTTGGAGGTCTTACTGTGTTGCCCAGGCTGGTCTTGAACTCCTGGCCACAGCAATTCTCCTTCCTCAGCCTCCTGAGTTACCAGGATTACAGACATGAGCCACCACAGCCAGATCTGGACCACACAATTTTGCTGCCACACCCTTTCCTCCTCTGGATAAGAATGTTCTGATTTCAATAAGACAAGTGGAGGGGTTGTGTCACAGGAACCATAGGGGTGAAGTGCGGGTCAGCCAGTGGCTCTGGTCTCATAGGAGCAATTCTGAGGGTACCTGCAGGTGAGCATTGTATACTTGATGATTTCACATGGTCGCCAGCTTCTCTTTGGTTCCAAAGTTATTGTTGTGCCCACTGGACTGATCAGTTTTTATTCTTTTCTAACATATTGTATATTTAACAGTTTCTACTCAACATAGTAATTTTCAGAAAGTTTTCCTTTTAGGTATTTCATTTGGATTTCTTATAGCAGAAGCTTTCTCTTTTAAGTTTTCCACTCCGAGATTAACTTTGAGGACTATAATGAATGAATCTAACCTGAAGCCTCCTATTATTTAACAAAAAAGTCTGTAGAGATAAATTGGCTACATTTTGAACAAGTATGCAAGCAATAAGTGAACACTCCAATTGGGGAGTTAGTTTTCTATTTTATTGTTGCCTGAACGTGCATATTACCTATTCTGGCTTTGGCATATGGGGCTTTGACTCTTTGGAGCAATGTTAGACATTGCCTTGGTTGAAAGGAAAAATGTCCTCACCTGTATTGGATAAAATGCCTCCACCTGTATAGGATAGAAGATAAAAGCACTTTTGAAGAAGTTTGAAACATCCTGGGAATTTTTCACATTGCTCTCTGTCCTATGCGTTTCATTATAGAATTTGCAAATGAAAATCATTTGTACTATAACAGATCTAAACTCCTGATGTTCAGTATGCAGGAGAATCTAACTCGTGAGGTAACAACAAACAGCAGGATCATCTGGACTTGTCTCTCCCTGGCCTCATTGCCCATCATCACCCCCTTTGCTCATGACACTGCATTCTCCCTGGTTTTCATCTTCTAGGTTGTAATTTAAATGCCCCTTCCTCAGTTAAGCAACCTCTCAATCTCTGGAAGACAGCAAGGATAGAAAGTCCTGTAGTTATATGATCTCATAGGACTCTGGTAATCCTCTCTTGTATCTTTTATCAGAATAATAATTATATGGTTATCTACATAATTAGTTGTTTAATATATGTCTTTTCCCTAGACTGTATACTCAAGGACCAACGCTGCCCATATTTGTACTCCTAAAGAAGAGAGTATGTATGACTCAGTGCAAATCCATCCCTAACACTAAGTGGGGTGGGGAGAGGATTGGAGAGGGAGAGAGAAAAAAGTTATATATTTCTCTGACGATGAGTAAGGTGGGTCACCAGTTGTCACATGAATTAGGAGAATCTTTCAGGTAACAAGACAGTTCCAAATAGCCCTGAATAGAAATCTGTCTGCTCTGATTGCTTTAGCCTTACCTGATATGACCTGGGACATCTGAATGACAATGCTGTCAAGAGGGTGACAATGAGAATATGAAGCTGACAGCAGTAATAGCAAGGGGTCTCTCTGAGTCAAAGCTAAAAAGGAAGAGATTGACCTTGTATAGTGGCTGTATTCATTTCATCTTGGAGTGACTTTGATGCCTATTTCAATGACATACAGAATGGAAATAACTTCAGTAGAAGCTGGACTTTTACTCACTCTAATATCTTTTTTCCCCATTTTTTTTATTGTGGTAAAATACACACAACATGAAATTTACCATCTTAACCATTTTTAAGTGTTTCGTTCAGATGTATCAAATACTTTCATAATGTTGCACAACTATCACTACCATCCAACTCCAGAACTTTTTCATCTTGCAAAACTGAAATTCTGTACTCATTAAACAACTTCCCATTTACTCTTCCTTCTGCCCATGCAATCACCATTCTACTTTCTGTCTCTATGATTTTGATAACTCTAAGTACCTTATATAAGTGGAGGGCTGGGTGTAGTGGCTCACACCTGTAATCCCAGCACTTTGGGAGGCTGAGGTGGGCGGATCATGAGGTCGGGAGTTCAAGACCAGCCTGGCCAACATGGTGAAACCCCATCTCTACTAGAAATACAAAAATTAGCTGGGCGTGGTGGCAGTCACCTGTAATCCCAGCTACTTGGGAGGCTGAGGCAAGAGAATTGTTTGAACCCTGGAGTCAGAAGTTGCAGTGAGCTGAGATCATGCCATTGCACTCCAGCCTGGGCGACAGGGTGAGACTCTGTCTCAAAAAAAAAATAATAATAAGTGGAATCATACAGTATTTGTCTTTTTGTGACTGGCTTATTTCACTTAGCATGATATCCTCAAAGTTTATCTGTATTGTAGAATATGTCAGAATTTTCTTCCTTTTTCAGGATGAATAATATTCCATTGCATGTATATGTACGCCATAGTTTGCTTAATCTGCTCATCATCAATGGTCACTTGAGTGGCCTTTTATCTTTTGGCGATTGTGAATAATACTGTTACAAATACAGATGTACAAATATCTTTTTAAGACCCAGCTTTCGATTCTTTTGGGTATATACCCAGAAGTGGAATTGCTGAATCATATGATTCAGCAATGAATTCTATTTTAAGTTTTTTGAAGAACCACCATACTGTTTTCTATAGTGGTTTGATGTGGTTTGGGTCTGTGTCCCCACCCAAATCTCATCTTGAATTGTAATTTCCATATGTTGAGGGAGGGACCTGGTGGGAGGTAACTGGATCATGGGGGCAGTTTCCCCCATGCTGTTCTCTTGATAGTGAGGGAATTCTTATGAGAGCCGATAGTTTTAAAAGTGTTTGGCAGTTCCCCCTTCACTCTCTGTCTCTCCTGCTGCCTTTTAAAGAAGGTGCCTGCTTCCCTTTAGCCTTCTACCATGATTGTAAGTTTCCTGAGATCTCCTCCCACCAGATGGAACTGTGAATCAATTAAACCTTTTTCCTTTATAAAGTACCCAGTCTCAGGTAGTATCTTTATAGCAGTGTGGGAGCAGACTAATACATGGATGTACCATTTTACATTTCCACCACCAGTGCACAGGGGTTCCAATTACTCCACATCCTCACATGTAATTTTCTATATTCTTTTGATAGTAGCTATCCTAATTGGTGTGATGTGGTGTCTCATTGTAGTTTTGATTTGAATTTCCCTAATGATTAGTGATGTTGAGTGTACTAGTTCATTCTCACACTGCTATAAAGGACTACCTGAGACTGTAGTAATTTATAAACAAAAGAGGTTTAATTGACTCACAGTTCCACAGGCTGTACAGAAGGCATGGCTGAGAAAGACTCAGGAAATTTACAATCATGGCAAAATGGTAAAGGGAAAGCACACACATCTTCATGTGGCAGCAGGAGAGAGAGAGAGAGAGAGTGAAAGAGGAAGTGCTACACACTTTCTAACAACCAGATCTTGTGAGAACTCGTTCACTGTCATGAGTACAGCAAGGGTGAAGTCCACCCCCATGATCCAACCACCCCCCACCAGGTTCCTCCCCCAATATTGGAGGTTACAATTCAACATGAGATTTGGGTGGGGACACAGAACCAAACCATATCATTGAGCATCTTTTCTTTGCTTATTGGCCATTTATATATCTTCTTTGAAGAAATGTCTATTTAAGTACTTTGTCCATTTTTATTTTTTTGTGTATTTAGGCATTCTCTACATATCCTGGACACTTATATCCAGATACATGGTTTGCAAATATTTTCTCCCATTCTGTGGGTTGCCTTTTCACTGCTGATAGTATCTTTTGATACACAGAATTTTGTAATTTTCTTATTTTTGAGTGTGAAACAATAATCATTTATTATTGTTATCTCTTATGATTTTGGTGATTGGGTTCAGCTAGGTGGTTCCCACTCAGAGGATCTCACCGGGCTGCCATGAGACAGGGATAATGCTGGAATCATCTTGAGGGCTTCTTCATTCACATGTTTGGCACTGGGACCAGGAAACTTCAAAGTGCTGGGGGTTGAAACAGCTAGGGCTCCTCTGACTCTCTATTTACCTTCATGTGGTCTCTGCAGCATGTTGGTTTCAGAGCAACTATACATATGCTCCAAAGACATATGTTCTGATTGAGAAAACTAGATGAAGCTGTATCAACTTTTAAAAAATATTTTCACTGGCATACAATTGTTCATATTTATGGGGTACAATGTGATGTTTTGATACATGTATATATGATATAATGATCAAATCATGATAATTAACATACCTATCATCTTAAACTTTGTTTTGCTGTGAGAATGTTCAAAATCTTCTTTTCTAATTACTCTATTCATGAGCCCTTATGACCTAATCACTTCTTAAAGGTCCCACTTCTTTTTTTTTTCCTTCAACTTTTATTTTAAGTTTCAGGGTACATGTGCAGGATGTGCAGGTTTGTTGCATAGGTAAGTGTGTGCAGTGGTGGTTTTCTGCACAGATGAACCCATTAGCTAGGTATTAAGCTCAGCATTCATTAGCTATGCTTCCTGGTGCTTTCCCTCCCTGACCCTCCCTGACAGGTCCGAGTGTATGTTGTTCCCCTCAATATGTCCATGTGTTCTCATCGTTCAGCTGTCCTTTATATGAGAGAACATGCGGTGTTTGATTTTCTGTTCCTGCATTTGCTTGCTGAGGATAACAGCTTCCAGCTCCATCCATGTCCCTGCAAAGGACATGATCTCATTCCTTTTTATGGCTGCATAGTACTCAATGGCATATATGTACCACATTTAATTTATACAGTCTATCATTGATGGGCATTTGGGTTGATGCCATGTCTTTGCTGTTGTGAATAGTGCTGCAATGCGCATACATGTGCATGTATCTTTTTTTGTTTTCTTTTGAGGTGGAGTCTCACCCTTGTCACCCAGGCTGGAGTACAATGGTGTGATCTTGGCTCACTGCAACCTCCGCCTCCTGGGTTCAAACTATTCTCCTGCCTCAGCCTCCTGAGTAGCTGGGATTACAGGTGCCCAGCTACCACGCCTGGCTAATTTTTGTACTTTTAGTACAGATAGGGTTTCGCCATGTTGGCCAGGATGGTCTCGAACTCCTGATCTCAGGTGATCCACCTGCCTTGGCCTCCCAAAGTGCTGGGATTACAGGCATGAGCCACCATCCCTGGCCACATGTATCTTTATAATAGAATGATTTCTATTCCTTTGGGTATATAACCAGTAATGGGATTGCTGGGTCAAATGGTATTTCTGCCTCTATATTTTTGAGGAATTGCCAGACTGTCTTCCACAATGGTTGAACTAATTTACATTCCCATCAACAGTGTAAAAGCATTCCTTTTTCTCCTCAACCTCACCAGCATCTGTTATTTCTTGACTTTTTAATAATCACCATTCTGACTGGCATGAGATGGCATCTCATTGTGGTTTTGATTTGCATTTCTCTAATGATCAGTGATGTTGAGCTTATTTTCGTATGTTTGTTGGCTGCATGGGTGTCTTCTTTTGAGAAGTGTCTGTTCATGTCTTTTGCCCACTTTTTAATGGAGTTGCTTGTTTTTTTTCTTGTAAATTTTTTAAGTTCCTCGCAGACTCTGGATATTACACCTTTGTCAGATGGATAGATTGCAAAATTTTTCTCCCATCCTGTAGGTTGGTTGTCTATTCACTCTGATGATAGTTTCTTTTGCGGTGCAGAAGTTCTTTAGTTTAATTAGATCACATTTGTCAATTTTTGCTTTTGTGGCAATTGCTTTCAGCATTTTTTATCATAAAGTCTTTTCTCCATGCTTGTGTCCTCAATGGTATTGCTTAGGTTTTCTTCTAGGGTTTTTATAGTTTTGGGTTTTTACATGTAAGTCTCTAATCCATCTTGAGTTAATTTTTGCATAAGGTCCAAGGAAGGGGTCCACTTTCAACTTTCTGCATATGGCTAACCAGTTCTCCCAGCCCCATTTATTAAATAGGGAGTCCTTTCCCCATTGCTTGCTTTTGTCAGGTTTGTCAAAGATGAGATGGTTGTAGATGTGCAGTCTTATTTATGAGTTCTCTATTCTGTGCCATTGGTCTATATGTCGGTTTTTATACCAGTACCATGCTGTTTGGGTTACTGTAGACTTGTAGTATAGTTTGAAGTCAGGTAGTGTGATGCCTCTAGCTTTGGTCTTTTTGCTTAGCATTGTCTTGGCTATTCAGGCTCTTTTTTGGTTCCATATTAATTTTAAAATAGTTTTTTTGTAATTCTGTGAAGAATGTCAATGGCAGTTTAATGGGGATAGCATTGAATGTATAAATTACTTTAAGCAGTGTGGCCATTTTCATGATATTGATTCTTCCTATCCATGAGCATGGAGTGTTTTTCTGTTTGTTTGTGTTCTCTCTGATTTCCTTGAATAGTGGTTCATAATTCTTGAAGAGGTCCTTCACTTCCCTTGCTGGGTCTAGTCCTAGGTATTTTATTCTTTTTGTAGCAATTGAAGGCCCCACATCTTAATACCATCACAATGCCAATTAAATTTAAACATGAGTTTTTGGAGAGGACATTCAAACATAGCAGTTACTATTTGCAAGGAATATTGTAATCCATCCTTTCACTTTTAATTTATTTGTGTCTTTGGATCTCAGTTAAGTCTTGTAGACAGTATATAGGTGGATAATGGTTATTTTTTCATTCTGCCATTCTCTGTCCTTTCATGGAGACTTTAATTCATTTAAATTTAAAGTAGTTCATAATAAGGAGGAACTTATGCTATCTTGCTATTTGCTTCCCATATGCCTTATAGCTTTTTTCGCCCCTCATTTTTCACATTTCTGTTTTCTTTTGTGTGTAGTTGATTTTTAATAGTGAGTTTATTTTTTATTTTTCGAGACAGAGTCATGCTTTGTTACCTAGGCTGGGGTGTGGTGGTGTGATGATAGCTCACTGCAGCCTTGAACTCCTAAGCTCAACTGATCCTTCCACCTCAGCCTCCCAAGTAGCTAGGACTACAGGTGCATGCCACCACACCTGGCTAATTAAATACATATATATGTAGTGACAGGGCCTTGCTGTATTGCCCAGGCTTGTCTTGAACTCTTGGACTCAAATGATCCTTCCACCTTGGCCCTCCAAACTAATGGTATGTTATTGGCATGTGCCACTGCACCTGTCCTAGTGAGACATTTAAATTAATTTCTTATTTTCTTTTTTTTGGGGGTATATTATATAGTTGTTTTATTTGTGGTTATTATGGGTATTACATTTCACATCCTAAAGTTATAACATTTTAATTTGAATTTATACAGCTTAATTTCATTAATAAGCAAAAGCTCTGCTACTTTACAGCTTTATCTTCAAGCGTTTTGATTGTTGATGTCATAAAATTACATTTCATACATTATAGCATAAAAATAGAAAATATAAGCTAATAATTTTTTGAAGTATATTCATCTCTAACATTATGTAAAAAACAAAATATAGACTTACAAACCAATGTTACAGTAATACTAGCTTTTAGACTTACAATTGTTTGAAAAATGTGTTGGTCTCTTAAGTCATATAGAGAACAAAAAGTGGGGTTACAAACTATTGTTAAAATGATACTAGCTTTTACAATTGCCCATATATTTATTGTTATTGATTAAAGGTATCTTACATGGCTTTCAGTTATTGTCTAGTGCTCTTTCATTTCCTCCTGAAGAGTTCCCTTGAGCATTTCTTGCAGGATAGGTCTAATAATAATGAACTCCCTTAGCTCAAGTTTGTCTGTGAATATTTTTATTGCTCCCTGACTTTTGAAGGACAGATTATTGGATACAGAATTCTTGGTTGATAGTTTTTTCTTATAGCACTTTGAATATATTGGTCCAATGCCTTCTGGTGAGCAAATTTTTTGATGAGAAATCTGATAATCTTATTGAAGATCACTTATATATGATTAGTTGCTTCTCTCTTGTGGCTTTTAAGATTCCTTCTTTATCTTTCTGAAGTTTAATTATAATGTGTCTCAGTGTGAGTTTCTTTGAGTTCATCTTAGTTGGAGTTTATTGAGCTTCTTGAATGTTTATATTCATTGCCTTCCATCAAATCTTGGAAGTTTTCAGTCATTATCTCTTCAAATATTCTGTCTGCCATATTCTGTCTCTATTATGCTACTGGAATTCCCATACTGCATATGTTGGTCTGCTTGATGGTGTCCCACAGGTCTCTTAGGCTCTCTGTTTATTGTTCAATCTTCATTGTCTCTGTTCTTTAGAAACATTTATTTTCAGTATTCTATCTTCAGTTCACAGATTCTTTCTTTTCTCCAGCTCATCTCTGCTTTTGAATACTTCCGGTAAATTTTTAATTTTAGTTATTCTATTGTTCAGCTCCAGAATTTCCTTTTGGTTTCCTTGTTAGGTTTTCCATTTCTTTATGGATATTTTCACTTTGTTCAGACATCATTTTCTTGCCTTTTTTTTTTTTTTACATCTTTCTTTGGTTCTTTGAGAATTTTAGGATAGTTTTAGAGTCTGTCTAGCAGATCTGCCATCAGGGAAAGGGCACTGTTCCTAAATCCCCTATAGGTTACTTCAGCCAATGGTGTAGGAGGTTGCAAACAATGGGGAGAGATGTGATAACAATGGTTACTTACCCCTTTGTCTGCACCTATGTTATCAGAAGCAGCAATCAGTGATATTTGTAGGGAAAGTGCTTTTTGCCCACCTGGCTCCCGTAAGCTGTGTGCAAGCTCCTCCTGGAAGGTGTGCACAGCTGTCTGCCATTGGGCTGGGAGTGGAGGATAGGTAGCTGCTGCTGTGCAAAGAGTGGAAATTGTCTAAAATTAACTGTAATTTACTATCTAAACCTTCTGCTGGAAGTTAAAAGCCTTCAGTAGACTCCAGAGTTCCATATAGTTATCAGACAGATTCTGTTAGTGCAATTATTGTCTAGGTGGAGATGATAGATTCCTGGTGCTTTCTACTCCACTATCTTCCTAGAATCCTCTTGAAATATCTTTTTAAGAGATAAAGGCCCTGCTGAGATCTGGTTGTCCAGATCTTGCTAACCATTAACTGAAGCAGATAAACACACTATAGGGTTTTTTTCCCCCACTTTTTTTTAGGTTTCCTAAGAATAGATGGTGGTTTACAGCTATGAATAGAAGGAAAGTATTTAGGCTGGCCACAGTGGCTCATACCTGTAATCCCAGCACTTTGGGAGGCTGAGGTGGGCAGATCACTTGAACTCAGGAGTTCAAGACCAGCCTGGGCAACATGGCGAAACCCTGTCTCTACAAAAAATAGATAAATTAGCCAGATGTTGTGGTGCACGCCTTTAGTCCCAGCTACTTGAGGGGCTGAGATGGGAGGATAGTTTGAGTCCGGGGGTTGAGGCTGCAGTGGGCCATGATCATGCCACTGCACTCCAGCCTGGGCAACAGAGTGAGATTCTCTCTTCTTTGGAGCCAAGGGTGCAAATGGAAAATTCTTTCAAAATTTCTCAGAGTGCTTTCTACACCTTTTTACATTTTGCTATATTTTGTGCTCTTTGTCAGTCTACATAAATTTGAAAATGTCTGGCCAAAATATATCTTATATATCTGGTTTTATTAGCTTTGATTAGTAGTATATTTAATAGTATATTTACTATATTTTTCTAAAATAATTCATTAGAACATAATCCCAGGAAAAACCAGTAGAGAAGTGGAAATGTGGCACTGGAAAGGAAGGAGATTGAGTGGGGGTATGGAATTAAACGAAGTCCCTTAAAGGGAATTTTATATCACTTCTGCAGCGAACTCTGGGGACAATGTAGGTCACACCTCAGATTTTTTCTAATAATGAAGTAAAGGAGGTGGAGTATTTATACCTCACATCTATCAGTCATTGGTTAAGTGCTGCCCCTGGGGCCATGTCAGTTCTCAGGTACTTCTGGCTGTGCTATGTGTGTGCAGGCAACATGACTTCTAGAAACCTAAGTGAAGTCTTCCAATGAAGATACATAGGTGCTTACTGCTGGGAATGAAAGCAAACTGAGAGCCGATGTGCACAAAAGTGGCTAAGGGATCTAAGGGAACACAGATGGAAGACTAACTACACTCCACCCCTTATACCATTCAGGGCCACTTCCATCTCATGTAAGTTTATTTGATTGATCCTGTGGTTTTGTGGCTAGTTACAAATTCTAAGTAAATAAAAGGACTTACAAGAGGATGGTTAATGGAATAAGCTACAGCTCCCACTGTTTAACTGAGACCATACCTATCAACTCCTTTCTCCACCAGTCATCCTAAACTCCTTTCCTGCATGGGCAGGATTTCTACTAATCTAGATTGCTTTCCAGTTGAAACGACACAGATATTCTTTCCAGAGCGTTCTGAGGGTTAGGTAATCATGTCCCTCCCATGAATGTTCCTCCCATGAATCTTGTTCTTTCTCACTCATAGTTAAAACTGGGCATGGCATCACCAAGAGAAGGTGCTTCAGGGAAGAAAGCACTGCTTCTCTTTAGTGAATTCTCAGACTTTCTGACTTACTTTTCATTGCCCCTCTTAGCTAGCAGCAACTCTACCTTCTCATGATGGTCTAGGTCAATACTTCCTGCCAGAATGAAACTCCTTTCTGTGTCTGCTGATCTACTGTATTGAGGAGCCCAAAATGATTAGCTTTAGGTTCAGTGGATCCTTACTGTGTCCCTTAGTGAAAGCATTTCCTTCCCACTCCCACCCCTGGGAACCAGTACCCCTAGATCTGCCAAATATAACATTGTAGGACTAGGAAACACAAAGTTCCTAATGGATCACTGGGTATGAAGATAAAAGAGGCCACATCTGCTTTCATCTTTTGATTCCTGGACCCAGATATTCTAACTATTAAGACATAGCAACATATTATTATTGGTTCAAGGTATATACCACATCTTGATAGCACCTCATTTTTGTGGAATTTCATCTTTTATCTTTTTATCTGGCAGCTTAGCTACATTTTCTTTCTTTTTTTTTTTTTTTGAGACAGAGTCTTGCTCTGTCACTCAGGCTGGATTGCAATGGTGCAATCTCGGCTTACTGCAGCCTCCGCCTTCCGGGCTCAAACGATTCTCCTGTGTCAGCCTCCTGAGTAGATGGGATTACAGGCACGTGCCACCACGCCAAGCTAATTTTTTTGTATTTTTAGTAGAGACGGGGTTTAACCATGTTGCCCAGGCTGGTCTTGAACTCCTGGATCAGGTGATCCACCCGCCTCAGCCTCTCAAAGTGCTGGGATTACAGGCACGAGCCACTGTGCCCGGCCTACATTTTCAATGGATAGTCTATGTTGTATATAGCTGGTAACTCCTGGATGTGGTATAACATAGGAATCCTGTGATCATGTGCCCAGCGTTGAACCTCACTGGCTGGAAATGGGTTTCTTGGTCTAAGACATTATTATATGTAATCCTATATTGGCTAATCAGTATAAGCACTTGGATAGTGATACTAACTGAGGTACTATAGGCAGGAAAGACCAACCTATACCTGGAATACATATCAATCCTCTTGAGGATGCATCTCTGCCTTTTCTAAGGTGAAAGGAGCTCAGTGTGATCTACCTGCAAAAAAAGTGGCTGGTTGGCATCCTTGAGAGATGGCACCATATCTAGATCCCAGCATCAGTGTCTGTGGTTGATAGGTCAGACATTCATAAGTGGCAATATTGAAATTAGTCTTTGTAAGAGAAATCTCTTACTATTAAACCCATCTCTGCCACCACGGCTATTACATTTATGTTCTTACCATGCAAGCATGTGATGGCTGAGGACAGAGTCTTGATGATAATTGCTAGATGAGATGTTTTGCCTGTTTGGTTGTTTAATTCCTTTACATCAGATTCTTTCTGATGGGCGTTAATGTGTAGCATGCAGATCCTGACATTTGGTATCTGTATTCGTTCGTTCTCACACTGCTTTGAAGAAATACCTGAGATTGTGTAATTTATAAAGGAAAGAGTTTTAACTGACTCACAGTTCCACATTGCTGGAGAGGCCTCAGGAAATTTACAATCATGGTGGAAGGCAAAGGAGAAGCAGGCACCTTCTTCATAGGGTGGCAGGACAGAGTGAGTGCAAGCAGGGAAATGCCGGATGCTTATAAAATCATCAGATCTCAAGAGACTGACTCACTATCATGAGAACAGCATGGGGGAAACTACCCCCATGATCCAATTACCTCCACTTGGTCCTGCCCTTGACATGTGGGTTTGCAATTGAAGATGAGATTTTTTTTTTCAACATCTTTCTTTGGTTCTTTGAGAATTTTAAGACAGTTTTAGAGTCTGTCTAGTAGATTACAATTCAAGATGAAATTTTGGGTGGGGACACAGCCAAACCATACCACTGTCCATTCTTATAGGCCCTTCTGTGTGCTTTTTCTTCATACCTTCTTGTCCCTGAATTTTTATCTTTACTCCTTATATGTCCCTGACCAACGAGCCAGGCCATTTTCCACAAAACAGATGTCTATATATACCCTTACTATGAGCCACTTTTCTCTCCATATAAAGTGGATAATAAGGCACATTACTGAAAGCTCTGCCCATTGTGAAGAATAAGGTCACTCCTGGGGTTATAGTGGGGCAGCAGTCTATTTTTGGCTCACACCAATATTGAGTTAATTTATTCAAGAACTAGGCATTTTTTTTCTCCTCTATTAGCTGGTTGTATGGAACTCACTCCTTTCCATTCTACTCCATGAGACCATGGACAGTGTCAGTGCAGCAGAGATGAGTCAAATGGGATTCTTGGGCATCTGTTTAGGGACCTTCTCAAGCCTGATGGTCTCCTCCTGTGCCTACCTGATTCTATGATTTTGTATGTCTTGTAGCGCCGAACTCATGAGGGACAGCTCTAGTGATATGTTCATTTGATACTTCATAGTTAGACACTTCATCTCTGCCATAGTATGCTAGTAGTTGTTTTTCAAATGGTGTATAATTCCCTGTTGCAGAAAGCATGCAAATGGAAATTTGTTTCCTTTGACTGGTCAAAAACTCTGCATGATGGTTTTCTCCACTGTGTATTCTATCACTGTTATGTCTGCTGGTTCATGTGCAGGCAGGTCCCCTTGCCTCACAGTCTAAACTTGTAGAATTCTCTTTTTCTTTGGACATTCTACTTGAAACTGGCAGTGTGTTATGGCCCCAATAAATTGATCACAGCAGTAGTTTTTCCAAGTGCAGAATATGTTGCTTCTAAAATCAGAATAGGCTTCCCAGTTTCTGGGTGGAAGGAGGTGTAAGGCACAATAGCTTGTTCTTTACCATGGAGGGGATGGATGTTCCATTATGTCCAGACTACTGTCTTCCTCAAAACTTCACGAATGCAGCAAGTTCTTGACTATTTTTAGGGTTATATTTCTCCCTGGCATATTTCTTGCCAGGGCATCTATGGTTCTTGTCACTTTTTGATTATCAGGTCTAATTAACTTACGTCATTATTTTAACAGACTAACCTGATGTTTTGTGGACTATCCAAATGATCCACACCTCTTCATACTATATTGAAACAGAGGGCAGGGGGGTTAACATAGTCCCAGAGCAAGACTATGAATGTAATGTTATCTGTCTTATGTGAAATCAAGTACTTCTGATCTATCTTTCTGATTGATATTGAAAAGAATTTGTTCACCAGATAAATAGGCACATATCAAGTAACGAGGCTGTACTGATCCCTTATAGTAAAGATAACATACTTCACATACAACTGTGATTAGGGACATAGATTAACTAAGTGTGAGATAGTCTACCATCATCTACCAGAATCCACATTTTTTTTTTTTTTTGCAAGGGCTCGACTGGTGAATTAAATGTTGTTTGCTAGAGTAACCAATCCTTTAGGTGTTGAGTGTAGTATTAATCACTGTTATTCTACCTGGGATACAGTATTTTTTCTGCATTACTATTTTGGCCAGGAAAGGAGGCATTTTTAAAGGCTTCCTCTTGACCTTTCCTACCATGATTGCATTTACTCTGCAGGTCAAGTAACCAGTATAAGAGTTCTGCCAGATGTAAAATATGTCAATGTCAGTTATATACTCTGGGACAATGGAAATGAACACCTTGTGGACCCATTAACACATTGTAAGCTAGACTTGGTCCAGGACTGCATTTATCTCTTGATGTCTATATGTCTCCTCTCTAACAGGGCCTGTTTTTAGTGTCAGTTCAGATTCTGCATCCAGATTATGTGGCTGTCAACATATCTGGCCTTCTGTAAGGTACTTTCAGGCTTCAAATTCACCCATTGTTGTGGCTCTGCTACTCTTCTAACAAGGCCTGTGCCTGATTTTAAGCATAGTCTACTGTCTGGCTGCAGTGGATAAAGATATCTTTAAACACTGCCATAAAGATATTCTAGCTCTTGCATTTTCCCCCGAATTACTAATTGCATATATTTTTTTCAGTTCATCGATTGTAAGTGGCAGTAACCCAACTCCACGGTCTTTTACCAAATCTCCCATACATTTCAACTAATATAGGTATCACGCATGCCAGTGCATCCCCTTCCATCTGTATCCTATCCAAATTCACTACAAATAAAAGTCTTAGCAATTGGGGCAGCATGCTAGTGGATGTCTACACTCTATTTCCCCATAACAGTGGGTCTCTTGTTAGCATTTGTCTAGTGAGTGATCCAGTTCTAAAATCCTATCCTGAGAGTCTGCTTTTTAGGACCAAGCATGGAACCAGCTATCTTAGGTTGGGTTTCCAAAAGCAGAGGCTAAACTGAGAATTTATTGAAAATGATTTATTAGGAAATGCTTCAAAGAAAGTCTGGTAGGGAGTGGAGAAGTGGAACTTGGAAGAAAGATACCGAATGAGGATATAGTGCAACAGGAACAACGCAGTAAGGTTTCCCCCTAGGCATTAGAAGTAGAACACCACACCCCAATGACTCACACCGGTGGCCGAAGATGGGAACTTAGAGGCATCTGTTTTGCCTAGCAGACTGGATTCTCTGCTTTTCTTGCTGCTTCCTTTAAATAGACCATTCAGGCATTTACCCTTGAACTTAAAGTGACCTGCACCCTGTTCCCTTACATATACTGCTAGTTTCCACACTCTCAGTCTCTCTGCCTGATTCTTTATTCCTGCCTTGTGTGACCGGGGGCAGGGGGACTGCCTCCCAACTCATTGTGCCCTCCCTGCCTAGGATTTGTAAGTAATAAGTCTTTGAACTTATTTCCTATTGTGGTAGTGTATTGAATTTGAGTCTTCCTTCTGAAGAACCAGGAGCTACTCTAGGCTAGGTTTGCCCCAGGATGCCCCAGGAGAACACAAAGTTGGACTCCTTGCACCAGAACGATACTCAAGCAGGCATAAGTTGGACATGGGTCAGACCTGACCACAAGGGTGTTTTCCAGTATAAACAAGTCTCCTATGTGAGGGACCCTTGGTCATGGGTCAGACAACTGGGTATTAGGTCCTCCACCAGGTAAAAGAAGTATCCCATGAAAGGGACACTGTAAATACCCATGCCTAACTCCCCTTCATGTCTCACTGGGGCAGGATTGCCAGCTACTCTGGTACCGGAACCCCACTTTCGCTGGGGGCTCCCAAAACATGGTATCAAAGTTGCACAAAAGATAATTTTGTCTCACTACTGCAGGGGAGTTCCAAAAACAGTGGCGGTCGTATTTCAGAGTGATCCTCATTAGTGTAAGGGAGCAAAAACATTTATATTGCTGCACCACAGATGTTGGCTTAGGGCTGTCCCTGTGGGAACGTAAATTTCTAGGCACTTCTGGCTCTCTGCACCTAGGCAAAAGAGGTAACAGCAGCCTGAGGGCAAGTTCTTTGAAAAGGAGATTTAAATGCTGGCTGTTGGGAGTGGGGAAATAGCAGGAGCTCGGATCCGTGAAAATGCCAAATGTGTCTGAGGACTCATGAGTAGAGCAGCAACAAGGCCCACTCTTCTGGCCCTGAGATTCTCTCCTAATTCATTCATCATGGTTTCATTCACTTATCTGGGTTTGAAATCTACTTACAACACTTACTTACTGCCTGACTTGGACAAGGTATCGAACTCCTCTGTAACTCAGTTTCTCCATCTATAAAATGGGTATGATAAAGCACCTCTATAAATATAATATGTTGTTGTGAGGAATAAATGAGACAATACATGTAAATAACTCAGAACACTCTGCTTGACCCAGAAATGACACTCAGTGAATGGTAGTTTTTTATTATGACTGAAAAAAAGAAGAAGCAAATGAAGATGAGAAATGAGCTTGCTAATAATCCTCAGTACAGAGATGGTCTGTGTGGCTACGATCTTTTCTTTCTGCCAAATATGGGAAATAGAGCCAGAGTGGATAGCTGCAGCATGAAAGGACAAACTGGAGATTTTCCTCTGATGAAGAGTGTGTCTATAAGGGCAAGTATTTTTTCTCATAAGAAGAGATAAGGATAAAGGAACTTTGATCCCAGGTGAAATGAGGAAGCTGTACATAAATCCAGGATATTGATTATATTGAAGCAAGTTGGTGAAAGAAGCATCTGAGAGGTCCTTGAAATGAGGAAGGAAATTAAGTATCAAAACCTTGAATAATTATTTTTTAAAAGTACAAAATTATATTAAATTTATTTTATTATAAAACATTTTCCCCATATATTATCAAAAATTATTTTAGCCCTTTTCATTAGGAGTTGCATGGTTTGTATGGATAAAGATTTTTTTTAAAAGCCCTGATTTCTTCCCTGCATCTGAACCCAATATTACCTTATAGTTTAGACCATATGACCTAGGCCTTTTGCCAAAACCTTGTAGCAACTGTTGGGAGAGGCAATCCTTTATGAGCTCTGAGTGTCCCTGCACATCCTTGCTGCATTTTTCAAGAATGCAGGCCTTGATCACTCTTTGCCTGGGTCATTGCTCAGGGTCATGTTTGCAGCGAGCAACCTTGAGGAATGAGGTAATGACTCTTTGGAACAAAGAGCAGGCTTGCTATAGTGGAGGTGGAGTCCCCAAACTCAGAGCTCCTCCACTGTGATGCAAACCCATTACGTGTGCAGCATTCGCTAGGGCTGCTTCAAGTTGCCCCTGCAGGAATTAGATGAGGAGGAGACAAAGGGACCTGACATAAACATAAACTCATGCTGCTGGACAAGCTGTGAGTAATAATGTCATTTATGACAGATCTAGAAATCTCATATCTTCTGTCAGCATCCGGGAAATAGTAACAGGTTAACTTGTTAGCTTGTAAGTAGGATAAGAATGCCAGATCCTGAGAGCAACATTTCTATCTTAGGAAATATACATGAAACTGTTCCCATAGCATTAATAAGAATTATATGCAGGCATTAGACAAAAGTACAGATAAATGTTAATCAGATTATCCTTTGACTAACTTCCCTGTAGCTGCTTAGGGACCATGTAGGCCAGGACATAAACTCTAACTTCCTCATTTTTCCTATAAATAGCATCTTTAACATCAGGGGCACAAGACTTCCCATTTGAGATGTTTTTCAGAACAGCTGATGCCAACTAGTCCTTGGTTCCCATCAAGAAACCAAGTCAGCATGAGAATGCTATTTCTTTACCTCTCTGTCCCGTGACTTCACCCTTCATTCTTCAACCAGTCAACACCTTGGCCTACTACCTGTCCAAATTCCTTAAAACACCTAGACCCAAGCTCTCCACGGAGATGGATTTGAGGTTTCCTCCCATCTCTTCATTTGGCAGCCTTATGATTAAAACTTTCTCTGCTGCAAACCAATATCTTGGTGTATTGACTTGCTGCACATTAGGCAATGCCTGGTATGATTACATGTCTCTTCAGAATAAAGAGAAGGGCAGTTCAAGGAGAAGCATGGTTGTATGCGTTAAATCTTGAAAGGAATCCGTAATGTTGAGGCTTAACAACTGTCCAGATGTGGGTAACCAAATTCCCAGGGCTCTGGATGGGATCTTGAGGAAACTGTCAAAAGTTTGTGGTGGGATGTCCCAAGGTGGTGGGATGACTACCTTAAAGGAAAAGAAAGCAGTTGATCTAGGGCTAGGAGAGGAAGAGATGAACAACAGTGTTCTCCATTTGCAAGATAGGTCCCCTTTATGTGGGGATTTGAGACTGAGAGGCAAATGAGATCAGAGTCCTAAGGCCTTTATAAAGATCCAGAGGGTCAGGTAAAGGGAACAGGAACTGGCTTGGTAAGTAGCAGTGCCTGGACTTAGAAAAAGAAGTGGAATGAATTCTAGAAGGTCACAATAGAAGTTGTGTACTAGCCTGCAAAACATGACAAATCTCCATATTTTAACATCTCTGAAATATAGGGACATTCTTATAATCAATAGTGTCAAATAGTTGGAGGAATATACCAATGCTATCATTGATCCCATCTCTATTATTCTTCAAGCCTTGATCTTTGTTCCTGCATAATTGCCTCATAGAATCTCACATGCAAAGTTTGGATAAAGGCAACTGCTGATGTCTACATTTGGGAACAAATGCAATATGGTTTATTTGGCTTGCTGCTTTTCTCTTGAGGGAAGGATGAATCACTGACTGGTCTTGTAGTTGTGCCATTGAGTCCAAGTGGTAGGGATAGGTTGCAGGTTGGAGTGTCTGGCTGAGAGCAAAGCAATGGCTCCAGCTACTGGTGTCTAAGGGCTGTAGCCATGATAGACCAAGGACCCAAGGCAGGTGCTTGTCCACTTAAGTGATCAGAGAATTTAATGGGTCTTTGTGGTGATTATCTCACAAAATCTGAGCCAGGTGAGTTTGGTGCCTGGGAGATCAATTTACAGGTCTGAAGCTCCAGACACCCTATGGGGCTCAGGGTTAGGGATTTTGTCCCCAGGAAAGAAAACTTCCAAGGGTAAATCTGAGCTCTGGTTCTAGAAACTTCAAGATAAAAGGCCAGTTATGGGGCACATTGAGTGGGGCATCTCAGGATTTAGAACTAGAATTGAGGAGGCTGTTGTCAGAAGGAAGGTGCCTAATGGAGGTTGGGGGTGGAGGTGGGTCACAAACCCAGAAAACAATGTTTTTGTTTTGTTTTTAAACATAAATCCTTGCCATTTGAAAGAGAAAGGTAGAGATTTCCCTCAATTCCAGTGAATCCTGTGTTGTCAATGAAACATCTTTTAGAATCTTCAGTTGGAAAAAAATATGAGAACTTCTCTTGCCTAGTCTTCTGATTCTAGTGTGCAAATATTGGGGCCTTTCCTATTCTAGCAAACCTCAGGGTGTGTCCTAAGTTTACATCTGCAAACCCGTCTATATAACCCACCTCATAATGTGAGACCAGCTCCTGAGAACATCACTCACAGTAGATGTTCTGGGATAGATTGCTCCCTTCCTGCCTGTGTTCCCCCTCTCCAGCTCCATCCTCCTGTGTCCCTGGCTTATGACTTCCTGAGTTTGTCTTTAGTCTTGACCATGGATTTTGCTTCACTAGTGCTGACCACTAGCATTTTATTTGGATGTCATTTGCACTACCTCACTGTTTTTTTCCACTTCCTTCTTTTTAGGACATTAATCTGTCTACTCAGACCAAAGCCCAACCTTGACCTGCTTGGCCATGGGCCCGCCTGGCCTGGCTCTACCTTCTTGGGAGGGGAGATTATACTGTTGGATACGGGATATCAAAATCTCCTTGGGTTTAGCTAGTTAAAAAGACATATGTCTTGATATTTCATCAGCCCCGAGTGTTTTTTTAAAAATCATTATGGGAAAAAGAAGATAAGGCATTTTGGGAGCTTTTATCATTTTGAAGATCATTCTGCAGTAGAGTGATAAAAAATACCAGCAATGCAAACATCTGGGTGAAAGAGCAGCAAATCAAGTCATAATTCTTTTTTATGTGCAAATATTTATATTCTCCCAGGCCTTGTATCCTCAGTTAGTGTCTGATGTAGAGTCAAAGGAATGTTTCACTACATTTAATAATGAGCATGAGGAACAAACCTCAAGTGTGACGCCATCTGCAAAGCAGTGTGTATTTCAAGTTTGTTGACAGAACTTCCTAGAGGGCAATTGGAAAAAGAAGCTTAATTCCTAATGAGAAGATATCTTACATTTTCCTTACTCCATGAAAAGGACCACTTATAATTTTTTCCATTTCTAACAGTAACAATTTTAACACTCAAAATCAGTTTCTTAAGTCCTAAAGGGATTGGAGACATATTTCTCCAGAAATCTCCACTATGATGGGGAATGAGATCTGGTCCAGTACAGAAAGCATTCACATCATAGGAATTAGGGGACACACATTTATTTACATATTTATTTTTAGAAAGTTTAGACACTTAGACTTTAGAAAATCTGTTTTTCATAGGAAGAAGTCTTTCCTAAATTATTTGTATAGGCCTGGAACTGGGGAGGAGGAAGAACTTTCTCTTTGGAAGTTTTCAAACACTTTACATAGCATTAAATGTTATTTGTCAGACTATCATAGCATTATCTATAGGGTAATTAAATATCTTAGAACTATGCTGTGATTTTATTTGCTGCTGAGTGGAGATGGGTTCTGTGGCTAGTGTACTAGGATAATCTTTTTCTAATAATCTCATTTATTCTTGAGAATCATCTAAAATAAAAAATAGCATTTT
This sequence comes from Homo sapiens, assembly GCF_000001405.40. Lineage (NCBI taxonomy): Eukaryota > Metazoa > Chordata > Mammalia > Primates > Hominidae > Homo > Homo sapiens. Next base: position 222,282,607 of record NC_000001.11, on the reverse strand, counting down.
GTTGCCCAGCATTAACTTTATAATTGTTTTTCTGGGATGAGAGAGGGCTTGTGGGACATATAATTCACACTTTGACAAGAGAGGTGCTAGGAGAATAGATGTAGGACAATACAGTGCCAGATTCAATAGAGGAAAATGGAATTTAAAGATGGAAGATTCACAAACTAGAAATCCATAAGTTGACATTGACTTGTGTGGGTTTCTTGCCACTAATACCAAGAAAGGAAAGGGATGATCATCAGAAGCCAGCATGGATTCACTTATGAGCAAGTCAAGGCTGACTAGTGTTATCCGTTATCTATGCACCTATACTTGAGCCTGTACATATACCTATACCTGTATCTATACCTATGGCTATGTCTATGCCACATGTATCTCCATCTAATAGTATGTATTTGTTCACAAATCACCACTAAAGAACTTACTCTTATAACCAAATACCACCTGCTCCCCAAAAACCTATGGAAATAAAATATTTTTTAAGAAAGGAATTCTATAGATATAATCAATCAGAATTTTAGCAATAAATGTGATGAGATCTTCCATTGCATCCTCTAGGAATGTAGAGATGGGAATTGTGGGCTCGAGTGCATAAAACTAGGTAAATTCATAATTAATTGAATGAGCTAAACCACTGCCTCTGAAAGAAAAATTTCTCTAAAAGACCAGTGCTGATTCAGATTATTTTTATTAAAGTATTACAAAAAAGGGAAAGAACAAAAAAGTAGGTATAAACTCATTATGTAATAGCTTTTATTAAAATGTGGACAGGTTATTTTTATTTTTATTTTTTATTTTAGGTTTGAGGATACATGTGCAGGTTTGTTATATAGGTAACCTCATGTTATGGGGGTTTGTTGTACAGATTATTTTGTCACCCACGTACTAAGCTTAGTATCCAGTAATTATTGTTTCTCCTCCTCCCACTTCTCCCACCCTCTGTCTTCAAGTAGGCTCCAGTTGCTTTCTTTGTGTCCTTGAGTTCTCTTCATTTAGCTCTCACTTATAAGTGAGAACACGAGGTATTTGATTTTCTGTTCCTGCTTTAGTTTATAAGGATAATGGCTTCTAGCTCCATCTATGTTCCCACAAAAGACATTATCTTATTCCTTTTTATGGCTGCACAGTATTCCATGGTGTATATGTACCACATTTTCTTTATCCAATCTGTCATTGATGGGCATTTAGGTTGATTCCATGTGTTTGCTATTTTGAATAGTGCTGGAAGTTCATTGCATACATGTGCCTTTATAATATAACAATTTATATTCCTCTGGGTATGTACCTAGTAATGGGATTTCTGGGTTGAATGTTATTTCTGTCTGTAGATCTTTGAGGAATGGCCACACTGTCTTCTACAATGGTTGAACTAATTTACACTCCCACTAACAGTGTATAGGTGTTCCCTTTTCTCCACAACTTCACCAGCATCTGTTATTTTTTTATTTTTTAATATTAGCCATTCTGACTGGTGTGAGATGGCATTTCATTGTGGGTTTTGATTTGCGTTTCTCTAATGATCATTGATGTTGAGCTTCTTTTCGTATGCTTGTTGGCTGCATGTATGTCTTCTTTAGAAAAGTGTCTGTTCGACACCTCTCAAAAGAAGACATTTATGCAGCCAAAAAACACATGAAGAAATGCTCAGCATCACTGGCCATCAGAGAAATGCAAATCAAAACCACAATGAGATACCATCTGACACCAGTTAGAATGGCAATCATTAAAAAGTCAGGAAACAACAGGTGCTGGAGAGGATGTGGAGAAATAGGAACACTTTTACACTGTTGCTGGGACTGTAAACTAGTTCAACCATTGTGGAAGTCAGTGTGGCAATTCCTCAGGGATCTAGAACTAGAAATACCATTTGACCCAGCCATCCCATTACTGGGTATATACCCAAAGGACTATAAATCATGCTGCTATAAAGACACATGCACATGTATGTTTATTGCGGCATTATTCACAATAGCAAAGACTTGGAATCCACCCAAGCGTCCAACAATGATAGACTGGATTAAGAAAATGTGTCACATATACACCATGGAATACTATGCAGCCATAAAAAATGATGAGTTCACGTCCTTTGTAGGGACATGGATGAAACTGGAAATCATCATTCTCAGTAAACTATCGCAAGAACAAAAAACCAAACACCACATATTCTCACTCATAGGTGGGAATTGAACAATGAGAACACATGGACACAGGAAGGGGAACATCACACTCTAGGGACTGTTGTGGGGTGGGGGGAGTGGGGAGGGATAGCACTGGGAGATATACCTAATGCTAGATGACGAGTTGGTGGGTGCAGTGCACCAGCATGGCACATGTATACATATGTAACTAACCTGCACATTGTACACATGTACCCTAAAACTTAAAGTATAATAATAATAAATTCAAAAAAAAAAAAGAAAAAAGAAAAGTGTCTGTTCATGTCCTTTGCCCACTTTCTAATAGGGTTGTTTGTTTTTTTCTTGTAAATTTGTTGAAGTTGACAGGACAAATTAAAAAGTTTCTTACAAGTTTGTGGTTAGGCTTTAGAAATTTACAAAAGAATGTTGCTCTCATCCTAACAACAACAAAAATGCTGGATTCATTTCAAAATAATCCTTGAAAAAAAAATGCATCAGAGAGTTGAAGATGCAAAGAAATCTAATTGAACTAAAGTCCGAAAAGGAATAAGCCCTTCTCAGGAGAGAAGAGACCCATGCTACTTTCATCCTTAGCAGTGCTGCTGGAGGAGTACTTAACCCTGCCAGAGAGGGAGAAACCAGCTGTACTTCTAAAAACAGCACACAAACAGATGAACAGAATGGAATCCCTGGGAGCCTGTATTAATTTCCTAAGTGCTGCCTTAACAAATTACCACAAACTTGCTAGCTTAACACAGCAGCAATTTATTCTCTCACAGTTCTGGAAGCCAGAAGTTCGAGATCATGGTATCAGCAGGGCCATGTTCCCTCCACAGTCTCAAAGGAAGATTCCCCCCTTCCCTTTTCCTAGCTCGAGTGGCTTCCTACAATCTCCGGTATTTCTTGGCTTATTGCTGCATCACTCCAGTCTGTGTCCACCTTTGTGCTATCTTCTCCTCCGTGTCTAAGTATTATAATTTTTTGTGTCTTATAATAATGACATTTGTCATTGGATTTAGGGCCCACCCTAATCGAATATAATCTCATTTTGGTCCTTATCTTAATTATATCTGTAAAGACCCTATTTCCACATAAGGTTACATTCTGAGGTTCTGGGTGAACATGAATTTTGGGAGCACACTGTTAAACATACTTCAGAGCTCCAGGCACAGAATGAGTTCACAGAGCCACAAAAGAGCCCAACACAGCAGGTATCACTGGCAAGGGAAGATCAGAACTACAAGGTTACAATGACAACAGTGAGTGTTTGACATCCTGGTCTGCTTCCAACCTTGAGAAAGGATCAGTGTGTCAGTTGGATATCCAGATTTCCTCAGAGTCCCTGTTGTCTGGGAAAGGGGATTCCTTCTGCTCTCTGGACAGCCAGATTGGTATTACCCAACTCAACTGTTTCCTGCCAATCCTGACTTCTCATAATTGACTTCTCTTATGTTGTGTTCACAGAGCTGGCCTTTCAATTACAATCAAACCCACCACTAATTCCCCTCTGCCTCCCTAAGCTCAAGTACCAATGTGCTCCTTCCAGTTGATCTCATTCAGTAATAGTTATTTATTGAATGCCTACTGTGTATTAGACAATTTTCTAGATGTTGGGAATACAATAATAAATAAGTCAGATCCCATAGAGCTTACACTCTAGAAAGGAAATGGATAATATATAATGAAACAAACAGGAGGTTGCATATTGGGATAGTTGCTATCAGGGCACTCATCATATTGGAGGTGCCATGAATCATACATGGTGGTTCTCAGTGCAATACAGGAACTAAAAGGGTGTTATCAGTTGGAAATGCTTTCAGCTGTTTTGACCAGAATACTCAAAAAACAGTGGCTTAAAAATAAGGACATTTAATAATCTTAAATAATAAGTCTAGAGTTTGGCAATTTAGGGTGGAAACAGCAGTTCAGCCACATTGTTAAAGATCCAGTCTCTTTGTATGTGTCCTTTCTGCCTTAACTTTGGTTTTTCTTCTGTTGGTTGAAGCTGTCTGTTATAGCTTCAGGCATCACATCCATGTTCATGAGGGGAGAAAAGAGAAGAAACTGTCAGCTGTATCTATCTATTCCATCAAGAACACCCAAAGTTTTTCCAAAACTGCATCCTGTTTGCATCAAAGTGGCTAGAACTGGAGCCTGTGGTCACCCATTAGAAGGCTCAGAAACTGAGGAATGGGGTGGCTGTGTTTGGCTTAAACCAACTGCAATCCAAGGATGTGTCCACTGCTGTTCCAAGACTGAGGTTCTGTTAGTGAGGAAGATGGGGAAATGGATAATGGGTCGATGGAGAACTTTGCCACTTAGGGTATGAGTTGAAGAATAACTGTTGGTGGGAAGTGGTGGTGATTGATGAGCATGGTCAGATCACAAAGGATGGTAAGACTGGAAATAAGAATGAGTTAGATTCAGTTTAAGAAGACTCTTACTGGACCAACAATGAGTTCAGCCAAGAATATCAAGAATACAAGTGAGTGGATGGGCTCCCCATCATCATCTGCCTTTGTCACTGAGACCTGGTCAATGCAGTCTGCCTGGACTGAGATATCTGCCGGGCCAGAGGATCCCAGAGCTGTGAGCTCTTTGCTGTTGATATCAGTAGCTGGTGGAAAGGCCATATTAGTGCTTGGTCATTTACCTACAAAAAGCAGTTTTGCTGTGGTACAGCGTGGTTTGTTTTGGCAATCCACATATTGAAATTTACTAACAGTAGAGAAAATAAGTGCCCATAAGCAGAGCCTATGAAGATGCACAGATACAAAGCATGTATACAAAGAACATTACTTCTACGAATATATCCTGGAAGCTGAGGGTGGAGATGAGGCAGACAAAATTGAAAAAAGGTTTTATACATAGAGATGCTCATCCAAGTGTTTAGCACAGACAAAAGGCCTGAAAGTACAGCTCCCGTTGACTATCTGACTTTGATTCCCTCTTTATTCCCAGAATTACTTTCTTTCAAAGTTAACCTTGAATTTAAGTATTTGTTATATTTTATTGAGCATTTAACATGATTTTGAGAGAGGATTCTTTTTTAAAAAATTAGTTCAGTGTGCTCTCTCATTAGAAGCCCCCAGAAGATATTTTGACACAGGGAAAGGGAGAATATTAAGGTAAGGGAGAAAGTGCATTAGTGGGTGCCCTAGCTCAACAGAAAAGCCTCTAGAAAGATACAGAGCATTGAGTGGACAGATTGTATTATGGATTGCTATTCACTTGTCTAGCCCCTTCTCTTCTTTCCTTTTCTGTAGGGATTGAGAGGGTCCAATTCACTTCCATTTTATTTATTTTTATTTAATTTATTATTTTTTTAAGAGATGAGGTCTTGCTATGTTGCCCAGGCTGGTCTGGAGTCCTGGCCTCTAGTTACCCTCCTGCCTCAGCATCCCCACCTCCCAGTAGCTGGGACAGGTGCGAGGCACCCTGCCTGGCCACTTACATTTTTAAAGGCTTTCAGTGTATTAAAACACAAATGTCTGAACTTTTTGTAGTACATTTTAGAGGTGTACATTGAAAAAATTAATGCTGTAAAGCATGAAGACACAAGATAGTTTTTCTGTTCAGAGCTTAATTATAATTCATAGCATGTTAGAGGTGGTGCGTTCTGGTGATTGCATATAAGTGTAAGTCTGGGTGATAAGTTTCTTCTTTTAATCATTCAGTGTACCTCTGGGACTGATGTATAACTTCATTTGGAGTTAACTTCACCAGTCTAAATTTTAATCCTTTTGTGAGTGTGAGAACTAGTCCAAAGAGCTCTTCTCGTTCTCTGCTCCTTGTCAAAGGTGAAGATTAAGAGTTTGAACCCAGAAGAGGTGTCCGAACATGTTTATTGAATGAATGAATGAATACATTGTGTGGTGCAGATCAACAAAAGAAAGCACTCACAGGAGGTGGAAGTCAGGGAGTGCTATGATGTGTTTTCATTTTACTGCTGGCTTATACATTTTGAGGGGCAACCGTTTCCTAGGTTTTCACGATGTTTTTGATCTGATGAGGCTGTGAAAGAATCTCCCAAGTCTGCTTCTCCCCAGCAGTGCAGAGCCTGCCAAGGTGTTACTACACAGCAAGCCCCTTTGGATTAAATGAGTCCCATCTGATTCAGGGATGAGTGCCAAATGCTTGTTGATAGCAGATCACAGGGGGAGGGCACAATTCCAGCTCAGTGGCAGCAGCTGAGGAGATGTCCTGCCACGGGTGGTGGTGACAAAGGAGCAGATGGCATGGAATGAAACGAGAACAAGATGTGTACCCAGTGCGGTGTAAATTAGTTACAATTTCCGCATAAAGCTCCATCAGGTTACTATGTACAGTGTTCTGTGTGCGTAGCCAGCAGTGTTCAGGCTATGTTCATATTCTTATGGTTTAATATCCAATATTAAGGCTCTCTGGAAAGTGGAAGCTTAGATTTACCTATTCCAAGCTGCAATTAACAGTTTTGCAGAGTTCAATACTATTTTTTGGGGAAGGAAATTTATTATTGAGGAATTGGGGCCTGGATGGAACAGCACTAGGAGGCTCTCTTGGGTCTCATTATATTGTGCTGTTTGTTGTGGAGAGCTCAGTTACATATTCAAACCTGAGTGCCTCTTTTTTTTTTTTTTTTCTCCCAGACAGCTTTCTCAACCACACACTGGTGCAGAAGAGAAGAATCCCCTTTATGCAAAGCAGAATTGAGCAATTAAATATATTGATGAAGAATGCAGGTGTCAGTATGCGTCCCTTGGTGTCCTAGAGAGACAGTCCTGTCAAGTGTAGATGGTTACTATTTGGAATAATTCATCAGTTAGTCAGTGTTACTTAACAAAATACTGGGGTCTATTTCTATGAAACAAGCTCTACACATCTGTCTACTTATTCTTGAAATGGGAATTGACTGTAACAGGGAAAATGTATGTAAAGTCTGACCACATAAAACAACCCTATTTTCTGCAGTTATTTCCCCAGGGAGGGGGAATGTGCTGTGATTCCTTCCTTGTCGGTAGATAAATTGAAAAATATTCCACCTCTCTTTCATTCAGCTCTATTAATTATGACTGATAGCCCCTGGCTTCATTACAGTTGTATTAACATGATGCCTTCTACATGGCTTCTGCACAGGATGGAATATGCTTCCCTGTTTTCTCTCATCTTGACATACCCTGTCCTGGAGAATTTGTAAAATCATATAAGGAGTTATAGAAGAGCATCAGCTCGGGGCCTAATAAGGCGATTTCTCTCACAGATGTGAGTAATCAGGAATGCCTCACTAACTGTGGAGTGCAGGGTTAAAAGTGCTATGATGGTCTTATTAGAAGTGATGAGGCATGGGCAGGGGGATTTGCCCAGGAATGAGTCTACTGGCAGCTTCTTATAATTCTCATCTCTGATTAAAATCCTTAATTGATTCAAGAGCTCGGGTGCTAAAAACCCTCATTCATTTTTTATCCTGATGAGAGAAACATGTTCTCTAGAGCTGTGCACATGTGGAGAAAGGAGTGGGGAGTCATTGCCAGTTGACGGCAGGTTCTGTGAGGTGGTGAAGAACGGCAGGCCAGGAATGACAACTACCTGGGTCAGTCCTTGTTTCACCATTGTGGCAGGAACATGCCTTTACCTTAGTTTCTACTTCTGTAATGTGGGGATAGTAGTGTCTATCTCAAAGGGCTGTTGGGGCATCAGATGAGGGCCAGGAACGTTGCGGGAGCTTATTAAGCCTTTCTTTTAAAAAAGTCTCTTCTTGATACTGCTTACCTCCTTGAAAATTCTAAATATATAATTTTAATCCAATTTAATGCCTTAATATACTACAAGTCTAGGCCAAACACAGGAGATTACTTAAAATTCCCCTTTATAATTTGGCAGATTACCAAAATCAAGTTTTACCTCAAAAGGGGGTTGGCCCCAAACTCATTCAGAAATTCTTCTTGTTCCATCCATCCTGTCTGTATTCTTCCCTGCTCTTCCTACCCTTTACCATTTCATCTGGTCAAGAGAACACTTAGCAAGGGTCCTGAGGAAGAGAATCAGTAGGGAATAGGGTGGAGAGGCAGAAACCATTCTGTTGGAGAGCTGTGTTATTCTCCTTGGGTTCTGTAACGGTTAAGTTTATGTGTTGACTTGGCAGGGCCATGGAGTGCTCAGATATTTGGTCAAAAATTATTCTGAGTGTGTTGTGAGGCTGTTTCTGGATGAGATTAGCATTTGAATCAGTAGGTTCAGCAAAGCAGATTGCCTTCCCAATGTGGATGGGCCTCATCCAATCCATGGAAGACCTGGATAGAACAAAAAGGCTGAGTAAGACAGAATTCTTTCTCTATGCCTGACTCTCTTCAAGCTGGAACATTGCTCTTTTCCTGCTTTCGGATTCAGACTCAGATGAAGACTTACATTACTGGTTTTCCTAGTTGTCAGGCCTTCTAACTTGGGCTAGAAATACCATTGACTCTCTTGGGTCTTCAGCTTGTCAGCTGCAGATCTTGGGACTTCTCAGCCTGCATAATCATGTGAGTCAGTTTGTTATAATCGTTCTATATATATGGTTATATATAGATAGATTTAGATACCTATCTATATCTATAGACATATTTGGATTATATATGATGTGTATGTCTATGTCTATAGACATGTCTGTATTGGTCTGGATTTTTTAGAGAAACAGAACTGAAAGATATATCTGTATCTAGATCTATCTATACATCTACACCCTATTGGTTCTGTTTTTCTGGAGAATCCAGGCTAATACAGATTTTGATACAAAGAAGTGGGGTGCTGGTATAACAAATACCTAAACATGTGGAAGCGGCTTTGGAACTGGTTAATAGGTAGAGGCTGGAAGAGTTTTGAGTTGTATGCTAGAAAAATAGATGTTAAAAGTGATTCTGACTAGGGCGTACATGGAAATTAGGAACATGATATTGAAAACTGGAGGAAAGGTGATCCTTTTTATAAAGTGGCAAATAATTTGGCTGAACTGCGTTCTAGTGTTTGGTGGAAGGTAGAATTTGTGAGCAAAATGTGGGCTAAACAGATTTCTAAGCAAAGTGTTGAAGAAGTGGTTTGGTTCCTTCTAAATGCATATAGAAAAATACTAAAGGAGAGAGATGAAATGAAGAAGAAATTCTTAATCAAAAAGGAAGCAGAATTTAAAGATTTGGAACATTCTCAGCTTATCCACATTACAAAAAATGGAAAAGCTTGTTTTGAAGAGAACATTAAAGATGTGGCTGAACAATCATTTGATAAAGACATCATGGGTATGACTTATTGACTTAGCCATTTTAACAGAATCCAGGAATAGAGATGAGATTATACCAACAAAGACCCTGCCAGTATGAACTAAAGAGAACAGAAAAAAATGAGACTAAATTAGGGAAGGCAGTTGTACTTCTTTGATTTAACAAGACCAGACCATAGAGCCATTTAGCTGTGAACATGCACTACTCTTCAAGAAAACATGCACTGTTCTTCAAGAAGGCAATTCAGAGATTATCAGTGGTGCCACTTGGTTTGAACAGGCTAGATGGCCTCTGACCAATGCTGTGGGAATGGGACCACTCTGCAAAATCCTGTGAGTGGGGCCACATGGAACTTTGAGGGTGCAACCCTGCACCTAACAGAACTTCAGAAGTGGGATTGTCACCCCAGTGGTCCATGAGGCAGAGCCTGAAACCAAAGAGGATTAATCTGGAGCCTTAAGATCTACTGGAATTTGCCTTGCTAAGTTTCAGACTTTCTTAGGACCCATTACTCCTTTCTTCTTTCTTATTTCTCCCTTTTGGATTGGGAATGTTCATCCTATGCCTGTCCCATCATCATAGTTTGGAAGCATGTAACTTGTCTGCTTTCAAAGGTTTGCACAAGGGGAGGAATTTTGTCTCAGAATGAATCATAGCAACATATGTGTCTCACCCATATTTGATTTTGCTGATATGAGTATTTGGACTTTAATCTTTAGAGTTCATGCTAGAATGACTTAAGATTTTGGGGGCTGTTGGGATGGAAGGAATGTATTTTACATGTGAGAAGGACATAAATTTAAGGGGGCCAGAGTGAATGAGTGAATTGTGTCCTCCCCAAAATTCATATGTTGAAGCACTAACCCCCACGTGATGGTGTTTAGCAATGGGGCCTTTGGGATGACATTAAGTTTAGATGAGGTCATAAGGTGGGGGCCTCATGATGGGGTTGGTGGATTTATAAGAAGAAGAAGAGAGAGATTGCTGTCTCTCTGCCATGTGAGGACAGTGAGATGGAGGCCATCTGCAAACCAGTAAGAGTGCCTTGTGATGCGTGCCTGTAGTCCCATCTACTCGAGAGGCTGTGATGGGAGAATTGCTTGAACCCGGGAGGCGGAGGTTGCAGTGAGCAGAGATTGCGCCACTGCACTCCAGCCTGGGCGACAGAGGGAGACTCCATCTCAAAAAAGAAAAAAAAAAATAGAGTGCCTTCATCAGAACCCAACCATGCTGGCATCCTGGTTCTAGACTTCCAGCCTGTGTGAAATAGATTTCTGTTGTTTAAGCCACCCAATGTATGGTATTTTGTAATGGAAGTCTGCTTTGACTATAATACAGGTCTGCTGTTTTTTTCCTCTAGGAGGCCATCTCTTTACTGTGATGTTTGGCCATGGTGTTTGTGTGTATGTGTATATAGACAATGCTAATTGCTGTGAAGTCCACTAATTTCAAGCAATTCTCAGCAAATGAGTGCATTAGACATGCATTGACCATCACATTGGGCCTGTCATATTTATTACATCAGCCACTGTTTAAGAGCATCTAATTCCCTCAATTACTATGGGCTGAGAATCTCCTTGTCAGGTAGTTTGGAATTATGGAATAAAAGCAAAATATCTTATGGAACTGTAATTTCAGAAACAGAGGAATGGGCTAGAAGCTATGAGAAAAGGAACAACTAAAAGATACTGACCATGGAAAGGAGTGGAACTCTGTTTCTCCCCTCTTTCTCCTTCTCTATCACTGTCACCATGAAAGAAAAGTGTATATGAGCTCCCTTTCTCAAGTTTTCTCCCTTTTCTCAAGTTCTCTTTTTTCTTTTTTTCCTCTATATAGCTCCTTGCTCTGGAGTCCAGCAGTCTGGCTGCTTCTTTGCAGCTGTAGTTTCTTCATGGCTCTGCATGGTCTCTGATGGTCTATTCATGGGCCTTGTTATGGGTTGAGGTGGATACCCCCAGAATTTATATGTTGTAGCTCTAACCTTCAGTAACTCAGAATGTGACCTTATTCAGAAATAGGGTCATTTCAGATGTAATTAGTTAAGTTAGGATGAGGTCATACTGGGGGAGGGTGGGCCCCTGACTTGATGTGACCAAGACTTAAGACCATACAATGAGAAAAATGATAGGACCTACCTCCTAGAGCATTTGGGAAGATGCAAAGAGTTTGGTATTTATTTATGCCAATTATTATTCTGTAGTGCTGGACCATTCAAAACCATGTTGCTCCACCTCTGGACAAGACTTGGTTAATTTCCCTGGCAGAGGATTTCAACATACACAGGTTTAGAAAAGTAAAACCCCATCTTATACATCACCTGGCCAGATCATCCAAATAGTAATTGTGGAGTATTAGTCCGCTTTCACACTGCTGATAAAGGCATACCCAAGACTACACAATTTACAAAAAAAGAGGATTAATGGACTTACGCTCCATATGGCTGGGGAGGCCTCACAATCATGGCAGAAGGTAAGGAGAAGCAAGTCACATCTTACGTGGATGGTGACAGGCAAAGAGAGAGAGCTTGTGCAGGGGAACTCCTCTTTATAAAACCATCAGATCTCATAAGACTTATTCACCATCACAAGAACAGCACAGAAAAGACCTGCTCCGATGATTCAATTATCTCCCACTGAGTCCCTCCCACAACACATGGGAATTCAAGATGAGATGTGTGTGGGGACACAACCAACCCATATCATGTGATATGCTAATAGATCCTTATTGTGAGCTCACAGTTATTAAATGAACAAATCCATAGATTAAGAACAGAAGTGTTAATGAATTTTTAAAGTCTGCTAATTTGTTCAACATTTAGGGCCATTAACAAGTGCATGGATTTTCTTGAGAACATATGATTACCTTGTCTTCCAATTACAGACAGCTGACACCATAGCATGTTGTTTACAAAAGCAAGATTGTAGAAGAGATTATAGGTGCTGGGATTGACTGGTGATAACTTATTTAGGGGCTCCTAATAGGACTTAAAATACCCACCTGTTATTTTGTATGTGCATTATAATATGCTGGAGTATATTCAAAGAAGCTTTAAATTGATAACTGTTTTTCTGAAAGATGCAGCAATTGCAACTTATTTTCTTCCTTCTTAGCAGGATTCTGATATCCAGGTCTGCAGATGCTGCAGGATTTTGCTTAATACATTTAAGAGGTATTGATTCTTCTGGGCATAGTTGGAGATGAAGGAGCAGTTTCTGGAAGAACTCGCTTTGGAAGAGAAACAGGTCTTTGTGGCAGCAAAGGGAACATTGTTAGAGAGGACAGTAGGTATGCATGCACATATATGTGTGCGTGCATGTATTGGGTGTGTGTGTGTGTTGGTTTAAGTTTCCACATTAGGAAAATGACAGTAAAGTTACACAGTGGGGATAGGCAACCTTTTAAGAATGGTAACTATGCTCCAGCCTCAGGACTGAGCCTTTTCCAGAGCCAGCAAAGCCTGTCCTTGGGCTTAGTCACTCTTTTTTACATTCTTTATGCCTGTATTCTGTGAGGATACTTTATTTCCCTTTCTTCTCTCTCCCTCCAACCTTTTCTTCTATACCCCAACTGTGTTGTAAAGCCAAAGGACTTTAGGTTTTGCTTTCTCTCCTCTCCAAAACTTGCCCACTCTTAGTGTGAATTTTGAGCCAGCCAATGTGCTTCCACTCCCAGGAGTAATTGTTGTTGAAACGTTGTCTCTGATGGTCTACTCAGGGCTCCTGTTATGGGTTGAATTGTGTCATCTCAAAATGTATGTTGTAGTCCTAACCTGTAACAACTCAGAATGTGACCTTATTTGGAAATAAGGTCATTGCAGATATAATTAGTCAGTTAGAATAAGGTCATACTGGGGTAGGGTGGATGCCTAATCCAACATGACTTTAGCTTTTATAAAAGGGGAAAATTTTATAAGAAGAAGAACAGCACTATGTCAGTATCAAGGTAGAGATCAGTGTGATGCATGTAAAATCCAAGGAATGGCAAAGATTGTAGGCAGACCACCAGAAGCTAGGAGAGAGGCATGGAACAGACTCTCCCTCACAATCCTTAGACAGAACCAGTCCTGCCGACACTTTGATCTTGGACTTTTAGCCTCTACAACTGTGAGACAATTAAGCTCTGCTGTTCTAAGCTTCCCAGTTTGTGGTGCTTTACTATGGCAGCCCTAGTAAACTAATACAGGTGCTATTTTCTGTTAGAGCCAAGCCATCTCAGGCAGCAGTGAGGTGATGGGAGAGATATCCAGAGAGGAGGGGCAGAGTCCCCATTTGAGAGCAGACCAGGTGGGCTTAGCATATACTTAGATGCAATTTAGAGGCAGGATCCAGCCTGGAGTTTGCTATAGCTCAGCTCCAGCTTGGCTAACACCATTTCACACTTTTCTTTAAACCAGCTGGAGATTCTTCACCTGTCTTTGCCTGTCCTTGAGTGACAGGATGACCAAGGGCCAGAGGATCATCAAATACTCATTGCTTTTAGCACTATGCAATGTTATTTCCTGCATGACCTCTTGAAAGGGCACAGATGGGAGGCTGTCTTGTTGATTCCTGGTCTGCAACAGGCAATTTATATTCATAACGTGCTTTAAAAAAGCACATACTGTGTGGATCCCAGTGCAAAATAAAAATGTGGGGCTGGATGGGATGGCAAAGTCAATCTCCCCTTCCTACATGCTGGCTGTCCATTCTAACCCCTGCCTGGATGCGCTTGGTACCTAGACTGAGGTGGATGATACATCCCTCCCCACTGGTCACCCACCAAACATGTAGTGGTGCTGTCAGCCTGGTGCAGGATGGATGCTGTCTTGTCCTGTCCCAAGATGCCATGGGGTGAGTGTCTAACCCTGATCCTCTCTCTCCTTGGGGTAAAGAATGACAGTAGAATGCAGTCCTCTTCCTGTCAATGCAACTTGGTCTCCACCCCAGGTGGACAGTGGTAGTGGTTGTGGGATGGGGTCAGGAATGAGGAGGTCAGCCTGGGCCAGGACACCAGGGGTTGGGGAGTGGACTGCTGAGATCCCGTCCGAAAAGGCAAGCAGATAGGGAGGTGGTGGGACATAGGAGCGTATGTGAGTCAAAGCTCCAAGCCTGAAGCTCCATGGCCTCATCAGACTTCATTTACTAACCACAAATTCAAAGACAAAATTATTAAGGACTTCAAGATGGCAACTGCAGAGCATTGAACTTCAACAGCCTGGCCCTTCTGAGGGTGGGGCCCTGTGTGGCTGCACAGGTCACTGGTCCATGAAACTGGTCCTGTTATAGAGGCAACAGTGTAGAACTACTTAGAAACAAAAATAAATATTATGATGCCATGTGTATCATCATGAGTGCCATAGCTTGAGAATAAATTTTGTGGCCAGAAAGAACAACAAGGAAATTCATGGGTGACCTCTGTCCTTGAAGGTTTGTTTCAAGCCTAGATTCGTAGAAGGCTTTGTCTTGGAGGACTAGGAAGATCATGTGATACAATTCTCTCCTTGAACAGGTGAAAAGATGAAAACTTGCAAACAGGTTCAAGATCACACAGCTAATTATGGTTAGGTCTAGGGTAAGAAACAATGTTATTTTGCTCTTAAATTGTTGTAAGAAGGGCCTGGGAAAACAAGAATGATGAATATGTTTATTATCTTGATTATAGAGCTTGTTCATGGTGTTTATATTTATTAAAACTTATCAAATTGTATAATTAAAATATTTGCAGTTTGTTCTTTGCCAATTATACCTCAATGGAGCTGCTTAAAAATATTGAAGGCAAGAATCAAATAAACAACTTGATTTAAGAATAAGGTAAATAGCAGCTGAAGTTTTTCTGGAATATAGGGAAACAGGAGTGAGCAGTTTTTTGCACAAGCAAACTGCCATTAGTAGCATGCATTAGGGTTTACAACGTGCTTTTGTTTATACTATCTCTTAAGGTTCTTCAGGGTGGAACTTTAATGTTAGGAAATGTCATGGAAATGCAGAGTCACCGAAGACCTCCTGAGCAAAGTAGGAAGCTTGGGAATCCTGGAATCTTGAAGACAGAAGAACCCTTAGGGATTACTCAACTCCTGGAGGAATTCTTAAAATTAACCTCCTTTCTGAAGAGAAGATTGGGGATGCAAAAGATTAACCTTCATTTGACTTCTTTTGATGGGAGGAGTGTTTCTGCCACTTTTATCTGCAGGAAGAGGGCTCTCCACCAGCCTGTAGGCTTGGCCTGCCTCCCGTCCACCCTGCGGAGGCGTGCTTGCTACAGAGCAGGAGGCTGGGCAAGTTCTTTTTCTGACTTTTAACAGGCAGTTATGCTTCAGAATAATTTGGTCTATTATCTTTCTTCACAGAATACATGACAAAAATGAGTCAGCAGGGAGGCAGGTTAGAGCAGTCTAAAGAAAAACAATAGGTGCTCTGAAGATGAAAAAGAAAAAGTTTAGATTTCCAGCGTTAGGATGAAGTTCAAGACTCTTATGCTTCCTCATGGACTGTGAGCCGTGGGACAGGCTAGGGAGATCCCTGGGCTCTTTGCCCCTCAGTCGGTTTTCTCACCGGGAGGCAGCAAGGCCTCTTCTCTTTGAATTTCTCTCATTCATGCTGGGAGTATTTTCTTTGCTTGAACTGGGATGGGCAGCTCACCAGGAGGTGAGCACTTCAGGAAGAGGAAGGCACTTGCAGTTCTTCAGAGAGAGCTTGTGGCAGTTCGCACCGAAGACTGGACTGCGTTCCTCCTCCACGTGCTGAGTTTGCATTTAAAGGAGGGAGGGAGCTCTCTTAATTTGTGATTATTTTTCCTGGTTGCCTTGAAACTGAGCTGAGTGTTCCCCAGTGTCGTCATTTTTGTTTCACTGGGTGAACTGCTTTTAGAGAGCCCTGCTCTGAGATGGGGGATGTGTGAGCCCAGAGTCTTCTCTGTGGGACTCAGTTCCTGCTACTTCCCCTTCAGACCCACCTTGGCTGGCAGGTGGACCACTAGGAAAACACCCCTTGCTCTTGCTGGGAAGGGTCGAGTCGGGTGGGGAGAAGCCAACCCCAGGAGGATGGAGAGCAGTGAGGGCTGTCATTGCTGCTCAGTGTCTGGGTGACCTGGGTACTTTCTGAGGATCCAGGAAGGCCCATGGAGGAAGCAGGCCATGCAGAATCTGTCCGAATGTTTTACGGCTCCTGTGGTGATGTCAGGCTTTTATATCTTGGATTTTTTTTTTCTTGAAAACACCATGTGCATAAAAGAGAAAGTCACACACACACACACACACACACACACACACACACACACACACACACCAACTTTGGCTGTAAATGGAAAGGACCTACTTCTTTTTCTGTGCTGCTTTTATTTTCATGGTTAATTATTTATTCATAAATCTTGCCTGAGAGATTTTATTTTGGCTCCCAAGCGATAAAAGCTCAAGGTCACAGGGGAAGTGTTTTCAAATGCTAAGTGATCCTCCTCCAACCTAATGTTGTAAAATTTTTATTTCAGGAGTAGTGTTGCTCACAGGAGGGGTGATGACTTAATTTTAGCTCCCAGATGAAATATTGACTTTGCTGCTGATGAGGGGATGGAAGACAGCACAGATCAGCGTAATGAGGGCCGTCGCGGAGCTGCCTTCACCCTGACTTGGCAACCCGTTCATTGTGGGATGACCTTTATAAAATGATGATGGTGTTGGGGGAAACGAGGGAAAGTTTCAAGGATGCTAGGCTGCTGCTGATTTCTGCTTCCACTGGAAACAAACGAAAAAATACATTGAGGAAAGATCTGATTTTTCTTGTGCCATTTGAAAGCTATGCATACTTATGTCCAAAAGGAAGTTTGCTTTCACATCCGTTGATAACAATGGCCTTCAAAAATGCGACATTTTTTTCTCATTGTGCCACTGTGAGCTATGGTCACCGAAAAAGGGTGAAAATCATTCATATGAGATAAAGGGTTAATAGCTGAGATTTTAATCCTCTCTAAAAATTAGTTTTAGGTTGTTGACTTCTTAAGGTTTAAATGTTACTATTTTTTTATAGTTACACATGAAATAACATTCAGAAAGCATCCAAAAGCGAGTTCTTTTCCTCCAACGCTGTCTTCCTGTCCTTCAGTCCCCATCTCCAGAGGCAGCCACCTAAGAAATTTGTTGGTATTCTTCCAGAAATAGTCTACATTTAGAACGCTTGCATATATATAAACCTTTAAAAATTAGCTAACAATAGCATATCAGCAATTTTTCTTGAGGTTATTTCATATCAGTACAAGTAGGAGCTCTAATGTTTTATGATGTGAGAAGCCCCAGCCTTCTGTGGCAGAATTGGGTCAGAACTGAGTAGTTCTTAATTTCTCTTCTACTCCCTTTCCTCAACTCCAAGTTATTTTCCTTTGCTCCCAAAATACCCAAAGGCAAGAAAGACATTCTCAGTGTAATTTTTGTATTAGGGTATTAGCCAGGCTGCTATAACAAATAAACTTCAAGATATAATGGCTTAACTGAGATAGAAGTTTCTCTCTTCCTTGTATGACTGTACAGGAGGAGGTGGTCCAGGGCTGCCAGGGTGTCAGTGGAGTCCTCCATGCAGAGCTTCCACCTCAGAGTCCAAGGCAGATGATAATTCTTATTATTTCACCAGCAACAGGGAAATAAAAGAGAAAGGGTCAGGGAAGTACTTACACATTTCTTTTCAGGGGTACAACTCATAGGTGGCACACATCATTTCTTCTTACATTCTGTTGTTCAGAGTTTATGCGCATGGCCACATAGGCTGCCAGCTGAAACTCGGGAGTTCTGTTATCAAAGCAGGGAGGATGGATATTATATGGTCCCAGCTGGGGACAGGATGGTGTCTTGTTCTACATGCTGGCTCCAGGACTAGTGGAAAAGGGAACACTGGAAAAAGCTGAAAGAAAGAATCGTATTTTGATAAGAAACTCTATAAGACTTCAGGTCCAGGTGACATAGTTCAATGCAGACAAGTGGAAAAGGAGCAACTGTCCATCATCTCTTCCTGGAACACATGGGTATCTACCAATGGAGAAAGGAATTTACATTCTAGCAAGGAGAGACAGACAATAAACACAATTCAGTACATTAGGTAGCATGTTTGATAAGTGCTGTGGAGATAAACCATGAGGAAGGACTATAGAGAATTGGGTGGTGGGGATTGTTGTGGTTTAGAAAGAACAGCTTGGGAGGGCCTCTCTGAGAAAGTGATGTTACGGAAAGATCTGAAGGATATGAGAGTGTGAGCTATGCAGACATCTGCAGGAAGTGCATATTTGGACAAAGGGAAGAACAGATGCAAAGGCCTCAGAATGAGAACATGCTCAGTGTGTTTGAGTAAGAGAAGAGCAAGGAGACCAGTATGGCTGGGGCAGAGTGAGGGGAAGATGAGGAAGTGATGATGAGAGGGGAGGGAAGCCTATAGCGTGGGGCCTTGGAGGCCATTGTAAGGATTTTGGCTTTTATGTGGAGAGAGATGAGAAGGCAATGGAGGATTTTGCAAAGAGGAGACATGATCTGACTTACTTTAAACTGTCTTTCTGGTCTATGTTGAAAAGCGCCTCTAGGAAGGCAAAGGATGTTATAATTATTTAGGTGAGGGATGATTTGGTTTAGGAGATGTAGTAAGAAGACTGCATTCAGGATGTATTTTGAAGGTGGAGCCTGCAGTATGATGAAGGATTAGATGTGGAGAGTAAGAGAAAGAGAGGGAACAAGATTGACTCTAGGGTTCCTGGCCTGAATAACTGAGGCAATGGAGCTGCCATTTCCTGAGACGCAGAAGGCACAATGGGGAGTGGATTTGGGAGGACGATTAGAAGAAGCTCAGGTTTTTGACATGTTAGGCTTCAAATGGGTATTAGATATCCAAGCAGTATAATCTGAAACCCTGGGTTTAGCTGTGCCTTTAGTCAGATACATTTCTTGGGTTTTCTAGGTCTATGAGCCAATGTAATTTTTTTTGTACTACGGTTTTTGCTTCAACTGCTGCAGGCAAAAGTCCTGGTTTATTTACCATCTTATCGGCTGATTGACTGCCTCCTTTTCAGGTGTATCCTATGGAAGTTTACTGTGATCACCCATGTCTTTCTTTATTATCTGTCTTAGGTTGTAATCCATGAAAAGGCAAGAGCTAAAACTGTAACCTTCTCTTATAGCTCCTCCTAAGTTTCTCTCTCTCTCTCTCTGTCTCTCTCCCTCTCACTCTCTCTCTCTCTCTCTCCTTCTCTCTCCCCACTCCTGCTCCCTCTCTCTGTGTGTGTGTGGGAGATAGAGTGTGTGTGTGTGCTTTGAGGAAAACCATTAATACATTATTTATGATGATAATTCAATTTAAAAGACATTTATTGAGTGTTGAATAAGACAGTGTCTGCCTTCAGGAGGAAAGAAGACAGATACATTAACAAATAGTTATAATGCAATGTGTCATGGACTGTAATAGGAGTATAGGAATATAGATCTGAGGAAAATTAAACCTGTTGGTTTCAAACCAAGCTATGGCTTACTTTCCCGTCATGGTCTCATTCCCCTGGTGAATTTGATGGATCTGCCAGGTATCTTAACCAGATGTGTGGATGATGCAGCAGTTGTGTTGGGTGTACTGGCTGGACATGACCTCAAGGATTCTACCACAGTACAAGATCCTGTTAAACCATTCATACTTCCCAGTTTGACAGATGTAAACAAACTATGTATAGGAATTCCAAAAAAAATCTTGTACCATAATTATCAGTGAAGTACAATCTCTTTAGTCCAAAGCTGCTGACCTCTTTGAGTCTGTGAGGGCCAAAGTAATTGAAGCATCCCTTCCTCACACCAGTTATTCAGTTGTCTGCTACCATGTATTGTGCACACTGGAAGTGGCATCAAATATGGCAAGATTTGATGGGCTATGATATGGTCACAGATGTGACATTGATGTGTCCACTGAAGCCACGTATGCTGCAACCAGACAAGAAGGATTCAATGATGTGGTGAGAGGAAGAATTCTCTCAGGAAACTTTTTCTTGTTAAAAAAAACTATGAAAATTATTTCATCAAAGCACAGAAGGTGAGATACCTCATTGATAATGATTTTGTGAATGCTTTTAACTCTGGAGTTGATGTCTTGCTAACTCCCACCACCTTGAGTGAGGCAATACTATACTTGGAATTCATCAAAGAAGACAACACAGCAAGAAGTGCCCAGGATGATAGTTTCACACAGGCTGTAAACATGGCAGGATTGCCAACAGTGAGTATTCCTGTTGCACTTTCAAACCAAGGGTTGCCAATAGGACGGTAGCTTACTGAATGTGCATTTTGTGACCAGAAGCTTCTTACAGTAGCCAAATGATTTGAAAAACAAGTACAGTTTTCTGTTATTCAACTTCAAGAACTCATGGATGATTGTTCATCAATCCTTGAAAATGAAAAGCTAGCCTCTGTCTCTTTAAAACAGTGGAGAGAAATATATCATGCAAATTAAAATGACTTTTAGAGATTCTAAAAAAAAAAGAAATTATTGCTTGCATTTTTAACTTGGTGATGGTTATCCTCTTAGACATGGAACCATAAAGATGTAAAATTTACAGAAGGATTAACTTAGTCTGCAAAGCATAGCGGTTAATTCACAGCTAAGATAATAGAGAAATTTGTCAAGGATAGAATATGATAAAACCTGTAAGAAGCAAAGTCAAACTGTCTATTGACCTTGGGCTTTATTATCTCTTTTTATTTTCTTCCCTTTTTGTAACATTTAAAATGTAATTAAAATGATCTGAGAGTGTTTCTAGCATGTATTTTGATCTTGACTTGGGTCTAGCTTAGTAGTCCAAATTTTGAGTGTCACAGATTAATACAATATTAGGGCTGGAAGTAATCCCTCTTTTCCTTGCTATGCCTATTGCCCTTAACTTGATGTCTGCTAACACCTACAGTCTATAAAATTGTTTTCTAAATTGTACCCATGGATGCTACTTCTATGGAATACTAATAGTTATCTAGGGAAAAGGGGCCTGGGCCAGTCAAGTAAGTTTCCTTCCTCAAGACCTGTGGAGTCTTTTGCATACTAACGTACACAGAGAATGTCCAAGATGGAACTGAAGGTAGAGAGTGAAATGTGATGTGTACAATATCCAGAGTTTCCCCAAATGATTTATATTTGCTAACAAATGATAGGTAGTGTTGGATTTTTCTCTGCTTTATGTCTGTGTCTCAGTGAAATTTTGTGTTCTATAACACTCAGTGCTTAAATGGCAGTGTTTTTTGTTTGTTTATTTGCTTTAGGTAAAAAATTAGCTTAATTTTTTTGAAGCTAAGTAAAAATTGTAGCTTGCCTTACTTTTAAAAACAGCTTTATTGAGGTGTAGTTGGTATAACTTAAATGTACATATTTAAAGCATAAAATTTGATAAGTTTTGATGTGTGTATGTAATTGGGTACTCATTATCACAATCAAGATAATGAACATCTTCATCATTCCCAAAGTTTTCTTGCATCTCTTCCCTTCTTCCTGATCTCTTTTGCCTGCCCTCTCCCTATCCTCAGGCTGATGTGCTTTCTGTCACTATAGATTAGTTTCTGTTTTCTAGGATTTTATATAAATGGAATCAGAGTATGTACTTTTTCTTCTTTTTTTTTGTATGATGTCTTTCACACAGCATAAGTATTTTGAGATTTATCCATGTTGTTGCATTTTCAATAGTTAATTCTTTTCCATTGTCGAGTACTGTTCCATTGTATGGTTGTATCACAGTTTATTTATTCATTAATCTGATGATAGCTATTTGGTTTGCTTCCAGTTTATTGCTACTCCAAATGAAGCTGCTATGAACATTTGGGCACAAGTCTTTATATGGACACATGTTTCCATTTCTCTTGGAACTACCCCTAGGCATGATCATAATAGGTATATGTTCATATGTTTAAGAAACTGCCAAACTGTTTTTAAAAGTAGTTCTGCCATTTTTACATTCCTGCCAGCAGTATAGAGTTCCACTTCTTTCACATCTTTGCCAATACTTGATATGGCCAGTAATTTTAATTTTAGTCATTCTGATAGATATGTAGTGGTATTTACCTGAAGTTTTAATTTGCATTTTCTTGATGACTAATGATGTTGACCCTCATTTCATGTGCTTATTTGCTGTGTTTATATCTTCTTTAGTGAAATGTCTGTTCAAATATTTTGCCTGTTTAAAATATATTAGGTTTTGATTATTGAGTTTTGAGGGTTCTTTGTGTATTCTACATGCAAATTCTTTATCAGATACATGATTTGCAAATTTTTCTTCTAGTATTTGTCTTGTATTTTAATCTTTTAACAGTGATTTTTGAGAACAGACATTTTAAATTTAGTTAAAGTTCAATTTGTCAATTTTTTTTCTTCATGGATCTTGCTTTAGTGTCATAGCTAAGGGTTATCTTTGACAAATCCAAGGTCACAAAGATTTTCTTTTACGTTTTCTTCTAGAAGTTATATAATTTTAGGCTTTACATTTAGATTATGATACATTTTGAGTTAATTTTTGTATATTATTCAAAGTTTAACATAGACCAAAGTTTACTTTTTATGCACATGGATATCCAATTCTTTCAGCACCATTTGATAGTAAGACTATAATTTGTCCACTGAATTGCCTTTGCACCTTTGTAAAAAAATCAGTGGTCCATATATGAGTGGGTCTATTTTTGGGTTCTGTCTTCTGCTCCACTGATCTATTTTTGTGTCTATATGATAATACTACATTGTCTTGGTTACTGTAGCTTGAGGGTGAGCAAACTTTTTCCATAATGGGTCAGATAGTAAATATTTTAGGCTTTGTGAGGCATATACGTCCTCTGTAGTGTGTGTTTCTTTTAACAACCATTTAAAAATATAAAAACCATTCTTAGCTTGGGGACTGTAAAAAACAGGTCATGGGCTGAATTTGGTCTGCAGGTCTTAATTTGCTAACTCCTGCTATAGTGTTATAATACATTTTGAAAGTGGGTTGTGTTAGTCTTCCAACTATGTTCTTTATTTTCAAAGTTGCTTTTGCTATTCTAGATCCTTCATATTTCCATATGAATTTTAGAATCAGTTTTTCAATTTCCACAAAAAAAGGAATTTGGGGATTTTGACTGGTCTTTGCTTTTGGAGTTGTGTTGATTTTCTAGGTCAATTTTGGGAGAAATGACATTTTAACAGTATTGAGTCTTCTGGCTCATGAACATGATGTATCTCACCATTTATTTAGGTCTTTTTTGATTTCTCTCAGTAATTAATACTGAACAGGTCTTGTATACCTTTTGTCATTCCTAACCTCGGGTATTTAATATTTTTTAAGCTACTATAAATAGTAGTGATTTAAAATTTTGATTTCTGGTTTTTGTTGCTTGTATAGAGAAATAAAATAGTTTTATGTGTTGATTTTATAAAATGCAACTCTGCTAAACTTGCTAACTAATTCTGATACCTTTTAAACATATTTCATAAGAATTTCTACATAGACATTCTTGTCATCTGCGAACAAAAATATTTTTAGTTGTCCCTTCCCATTCTGGACAATTTTTATTTTTTGTCTTGACTTTTGGCACTGGCCATAACTTCCAGGAGAATGCTAGGTAGAAGTGATGAGGGAAGACATATTAATCTTTTTCCTAATCTTATGTGATGGTTAGTTTGCAAGGGCTGCTGTAACAAAATATTGCAGACAGAGTGGCTTAAACAACAAAAATGTATTTTCTCACAGTTCTGGAGTCTAGGAGTCCATGATCAAGGTGCTGGAAAGTTTGGTTTCCTCTGAGGTCTCTCTCCTTGGCTTGCAGACAGCTGCCTTTTCACACAGTCTTTCTCTGTGTCTGTCTGTGTCCTATTCTCCTCTTCTTATGAGGACACCAGTCGTACTGGATTAGGGCTTAGCCGTGTGTCTTCATTTTACTTTAATTACATCTTTAAAGACCATATCTCCAAATAACCAGTACGTCTTAAGGTACCGTTGGGTTGGGATTTGAACATATGAATTTGGAGGATGGGACGTAATTCAGCCCGTCTTTCATCATTACATACGACGTTAGCTGTAGGCTTTTTGTAGCACTGTTTCATGTTGTGGAAGTTCCCGTCTATTCTTAGTTTGCTGAGAGTATTTATCAGGAATTAATGGAATTAATATTGAAATTTGTCAAATGCCTTTTTACATCTGTTGAGCTAGTATGATTTTTCTTAATTTGTTTATACTGTGCTTTTAGAATGTTATCCAACTTTGTATTCCTGGGATAAATTCTAATTGGTCATGATGTGTTAACTTTGAAAATATATTGGTGGATTCCATTTTCAGAGATGTGCTAACTAATGAGACAGTAAAACTCCCAAAATGTAAGTGACACTTAAACGCAAAACATAAAAAGGTCAAAACCAAAAGAATTATTTGAAAAAAAAAGTGTGCTGAATTTAAAACATGGAAGAATAGATGTTGAAAATTTTATGCATAAAATAGAACTTCATATTGATAACACTAAAAATCATATATAATTGCTAAAGCTGTTTTAAAGATGTTTGCTGGGAAATATAGGATAAATATGTAGCAAAATAGCTTAAGCTACTTTGACATGTAGATGTAACTGTATTTGGACACAATAGCTTGATGTAATTTTGAACTGGCTAATGATATAAGACCAACTCAAAGAACAAATAAACCTAGCAAAGTGTTTTTCATTGCAATTTGACTTATGCACTGATATTAACTTGCAGTTCTTTTTATATATGTGCAACTTGAACATGATGGTGGTTTGAAGAATTAATTTTTTTGGCTTCACTGTTGACAATTATGATTAGCTCTGAACTGTATAAATCTGTGAAGGATTACAAAGTTAACAAGTATGTTTTAGAGTTTAAGTTCTGTATAGATATATGCTCTGATGTCACACTTCCAGTGAAAAGAAAATTTTCTGAAGTAGTTACCTAGATCAAGGAGCTTGGGCCAGAAGAAAAATCAATGCATTGTTTCCTTTATTGCAAAAGTCATGCTGTGAAAAAAGCCTAAATAAACAATGTGTCAAGTGACACAGTAAAAATTGTAAATTAAGTGGAGTGCATGACATTCTAGATTATTCTCTTTACTATGGGATAACGTGGAAGATGAATTACACATGACTTTCATTGCATATTAAGGCACAATGATTGTAGAGCAGAAAAGTTGAGCGTGCTTGATTTATAGAATAAGCTCTTAATACTTCTGCAAGATAAGAAAAGTATAAGGTCTCATCTTCTCAAAGAGGTAAATTGGACATCTAAACTGCTCGTTTGTCTGGTATCTTTGGTATTATAATGATCCTAATACTTCCATAAAAGGAAGGAGTACAGCATAATTGTCAGTGGCAGATAAGATCAAAGGACAAGAACAAAATCGGAAGCTTAGAAGAACAGAGATTTAAAGATTATTATGACATGTTCCATAATTTAACAATTCAAATAAGTCATGATCCAGATTACTTCAAAAATGTAAAATGTTATCACCAAAGACTTGATGAATTTTGACAGAATTTTTGCATTTTAATTTTCTATTAAAAATATTCTTACATAGGGGGCCAGACGCCCTGTAATCCCAGCTCTTTAGGAGTCTGAGGCGGGTGGATCACAAGGTCAGGAGTTCAAGACCAGCCTGGGCAACATAGTGAAATCTGTCTCTACTAAAAAAATACAAAAAATTTGCTGGGCATGGTGGTGGGCACCTGTAATCCCAGCTACTTAGGAGGCTGAGGCAGGAGAATCACTTGAACCCAGGAGGCAGAGGTTGCAGTGAGCCAAAATTGCTCCACTGCACTCCAGCCCAGGTGACACTGCAAGCCTCTGTCTCAAAAAAAAAAAAAAAAAAATTCGTACATAGGAAATTTATTTATCTGAAATCCATTCCTTTCATTGAGAGATAATTTAAATTTCATTATGACTTTATAGGAAAAATTGTTGGAGTGGTTACTGATGGATTGAAAATGAACATCAAAAATAAAATATTGCTTTCTTCATTTTGAATAAAATTCCAACATAAATATGCTAAGCTTGCTAAAATTCCTTTTAAAATCACTTCTAATCCTCCTGTCAACATATATCTGTAAGACTGGTTTCTCTACTATCAGTGTTATGAAACACAGAAATAATTTAGGTATACATTATCAAAAGCCAGAAGCATTGTGATCAATCCAAACTTGATCAAATACATTAACCAGCACAAAGCATGCTCATTTGTTGTTAAGAACTTTAATACTGATAAATATGATGTTCCTTCAAAGTGTGCACTTCAGTGTTTAGTATGTGGACTCACTCTTTCACACTCTTTGTTTAGTTACAATTGCAGAATGACAAAAATTATGATTGTGTATCAGTGATTCGTTACTTATTGTCATATATACACACTTTCAATAAAAGAAGTGTATAATTTTTGCTATTCTTTTCTTTTTTCTAGGTTATGTTTATTTTTATATTTATTGAAATGTAATTTTATGTCTGCTGAACATAATAAATTCGGAGGTTATATTTTGTTCATCTTGCTTTTTCTAATTTATTTTTCTAGCAACTTCATTTTTAAAGATAATTTTTTAGAACAGTTTTAGATTTCTAGAAAAATTGCGAAGATAGTGTGAGTTCCCATATACTCTACATCATTTCCCTTATTTTTAACAGCAGTGTGGTACATTTATCACAATTAGTGAGCCAATATTGATACATATTATTAACTAAAGTCCACAGTGTATTCAAGTTTCCTTAATTTTACCTGATCTTTTTCTGTTCTAGGATTGCATCTAGGGTACTGCATTACATTTAATTACTGTGTCTCCCTAGGCTCCTCTTGGCTGTGATAGTCTCTGAGACTTTTGTTTTGGTTGACTTTGACAGTTGTGAGGAGTACTGGTTGCGTAGTTTGTAGAATGTCCCTCAATTGAGATTTTTCTGATGTTTTTTGTCACGATCAGACTGTGGTTATAGTAATCCATTGTTAAATCATATTTTACAAGTGCACAGATAGGTGGCGGATTGGATATTTAAAACAAACAAACTGGTTCTTCTCTACAGATGGTTGAGGAAGCAGGCTCTTGTGAAACTGGGGTCACACAGAATTCAGGGTGTTACTGAATGACCTAGGGAAAGGTGAATCCAGACCTCCTCTGGATTCTGGGGCTCCTAGCAGAAGAACTTTTGCTCTGAGACTTTCCTGGAACATCTTTTAGTCTCTGTGTCTTTCTCATTGATCTTCAGATTCCAGGAGAGGAACCGTGATGAACTCAGGTTGGAGAAAGGCAACTAGCAAATATTTGGTGATTTGGGGGGTGGGTTTGCAGGTGTGGGGCTTTACCTGGATGTCAGACTGGGGGAATTGATGAGTCTGAGCTCACTCATTCCCACCTCCATCATTCCACCCCCCCCACCTGGCAGGCACACTTGACAGCAATAATTTAACTTAAGCATACTGTGAGAATGACACTGTGGTCTAAGAAGGATGTGTGTTTGAAGTCCTGAGCTAAGGTATCAAGGACTGGCCAACCTGGAGATTCAGTCTTTATCTGTGAAGGACATCTGAACCTCCAGCCCGTCACTTAGAATGCAGGTCATACAGAGGATCAAGGTTTTTTGTTTTGGGTTGAATGGAGGTTGCTAGGTAGAGGTTGCTGGATGGAGGGTGCTAAGTAAAAATGCTATATAAATTGTGTACTTTTTACAAATGGTAGTGGTTCTCCTGTTCAACCCACTGCCACTGGACCATACTTGTATGTAAATTCCCCCTAATAAACCTCATGTCTCCTTTGTTGTCTCTGGATTTCTCTCTTTTTTTTTTTTTTTTTTTTTTTTGCCCTCTTGACATGGTACCATCCTTACTGGAGTCAATAGGGGTCTGGCATGCCACCCAAGTGTCCATTTTTATTTTCTACATGTTCTTTGTTAATTCCAAAGCCCTGACTTTTCCTTCTTCTTTCAGAGTTGGAATTCTTTTACTCTCCAAAAGGGGATGATGAGACACCACTTACTAGCTCATCGAATAGGCCAGGCTGGTAACGCAGGATATTTTCCTGACCCCTTCACTGGTAGGAACTGGCATGCATGGGCACTGGCAGTGGTGAACTCTACTCACTTGCTGCTCCACCCCTCATGAGAGGGGGAGTGCAGATGAGTGGGTACAGGAGTTGGGGTGGGCGCTTTTGGGCACCAGCAAGAGCCAACCCTGTACTGGCCCTGTTGCAGCATCTAGGGGAGGGTGCCCATGACCCCTGAAGCCCCAGAGGAAGTGTTACAGCACCCTTTTAGCATTGCCATCCACAGATGGCTTGAGTGTTAACAGCTCAGTGGAGGGTCAGTGTGACAACCTTTTGCACCCACACTTGTGGCACCTGAGTTCTTAACTGGTGTCCAGGAGGAATGAGGTGGCATGAACCAATTGAAGGTGGTAAATGCAGGGGATTTTATTGCTGATGAAAGTGGCTCTCAGCTGGAAGGGGAGCTGAAAAGGGGATAGAGAGGGAAGGTAATCTTCCCCTGGTGTCTGGCCATCCCTGGCTGGACTCCTCTCTGAAGTTATGCCATCAAGCTATCCCTCTGAATTCAAGCTGCTTCTCTCCAATGTCCAACTATAGTCTCCAACGTCCAACTGCTTCTGCTGTCTCTGCTGGCTAAGCCTGGGGGTTTTATGGGCACAGGATCAGGGGTAGGGTGGGCCATGGGTGGTTTTGGAAAAGGCAACATTTGATCAGGAAAACAGGGATGTAACTTTTCACTTTGGGTGGCGGTATTAGGCTTTTCAGCTTGAGGGTGGGGCCCTTGCCAAGGACTTGGCCTCTTCTGCCCAGAATTTCCCTGCCTTCTGTCCATATCACTGGGATGAAGAATCCAAGGTAGGAAACTAATCTCTATTTTCTGGTTTTAATCAGTAGAATTCATTTCTCGATAGAAAATGTGTGTAATTCCAGTTCTACCTCTTTTCTCTTAAATATTTTTTCTTTTAATATTGTTCACATTTTATGTACTAATTAAAGAACCAGACATTGCAAACATGACACATTGATTTTTTCCACAATGTTTGTGAGTAACATATGGAATTGCTAACTAACAAAGTTATGGTTTGGTTTGTCTGTCTGCTTCTCCATTCGGGCCTCTGGCACAGCCTCCTAACTGGCCTCCCCGCCTCCAGTCCTTGACTCTTAAAAATGCAGCCTATCCAGAGAGTCCATGGATTCTAAGGGGCACAACTTACCTTATGGATGTCTTGCTTGAAACCCAGTAAGCCCTTTTGGTTGCCTAGAGCATGGTGTTGTCAGGACCAGCATCATCTGCATCACATGAGAACTCGTTAGAAATGCAAATTCTCAGGCCTTACCCCAGGCCTAGGAGGTCAGAAACTCTGGGGGATGGGGCCCAGCAATGCATGCTTAGAAAACCCTTCAGGTAATTCTGAATCAGGCTGAAGTTTGAGAACCTCTACCCAAAAGGATAAAAAACAAGCTGCTTCTTTGGAGAAGACCTGCTGCGGCCTGGTCCTCACCACCTTTTCTGGCTTCTTCTGCCCCATTTCCTGCTTTGCATTTTATACTATAGTAAATTGTCTGCAGTTGCCTGCATAAACCATTCTCTATCTCATTTTCAGTTGTTTACTCAAATAGGTCCTCTTGGTGCAAAATCTCCCTGCCCCTCACCTGTTCATTTCATGCTGATACTTGAACACTTAGCTCCAGGGTCATTTCTCTGGGAAGCATTCCTCCTGCCTCCCTGCACCTCCTTAAGGGCTCTCCCAGTACCCTGTGCCCATGGCTGTAATTAAGATAAACTCATCACATTATATTTATTTGCTTATGTCTATTTCTGTCACTACATTGTGAGCTCCTTTTATCGGGGACTCCACTTCTTTCATTTTTAATCCACAGCACCTAGCCGCGTATGCTTGACAGTGAGTTATTTGACTATCACTGAATGATTTATGAATGGGTGAAATAATGAATGAATAAATACTCGCCAATATTTCTGTCATATCTATGGTTCTTTTCCTGCATTCTCTATGGTCAAGTAAAAATTCCCTTTAATTCACCAGATGTGGCCAGCCCAAGAGATATTAATTATATCCCCTTTTTCAGGTTATCAAATGCAAGACAGATTCTTCCTGTCCTCTAACTTCCACATTATGCATTTTAAGCCTCCCACACTTGGTCCAAAGGCCAATCTTAGCTCTCTCCCAGTCAGTGACATTGTCATATTGTAAATTTGGCAGCAGCAGAGATACCTGATTGATTTCTGTCACTTATTATTCATTCAGAAATTCATTTAACTGAGTTTGCTGAGGTGTCATCGCGAAGCTAGTATGGACTGAGTCAGAGGAAGTGCTTTTTAAAATTCTACTTAATGCTCCCTTAGGGCTTCTCTATGCTGCCAGAGTAGAATAATATATTTTAAACAAGAAAGAAAAACAGCTCATTACTGTTTACTTATATTCCTATTTCTTCTTTTATTTAGGAGCCCTGTGTCTTGCTTGCATCAAAGACATGCATATTCAGACAATTTTGAAAATGAGACATTAAGTAGTCCTGTATAAAATAACACAAGCAGAAAACAAGACTGGTTCTAAAAGTCATTTCCGTTCTCCTTCTTCTGTATCCACACATCACCTGAATAATACAGATGTGCACACTTGCTGTTCCATCTGCTGCAGGACCTGCACACACAGCAACTCATCCTGCAGAGGTTGTCGGGCCATGCTGATCCAGGCACATGCTTCTGCGCACTTTCCTTTTGTCATTACAGATGACAGTTAGAAATATACCTTCTGGCCATGGGATTAGATAGACAGTAAAAAATAAATAGTAATGATGACAATTAATTTACTCTTTTAGGTCATTTGTATTTTTCAGCAGCCTTTCCCATTTATTCTCACAGTTTCTTTTATTCTGACAGTTGAGGTACATTTGTGGAAGTATCATTTTGGATTTACTGATAAAGAAGCTATGAAATTAAAAAATTCAAACTTGAAATAATTCAAACTTAAAGCTGTTGGAACTTTACATTTTTAACACTTTTTAAATTATAATTTAAAGAAAAAATTGACCATGTTCACTTTTTTTTTTTTTTTTTGGAGACAAGGTCTCAATCTTTTGCCCAGGCTGGAGTGCAGTGGCATGATCTAGGCTCACTGCAACCTAGATCCTCCCACCTCAGCCTCTTGAGTAGCTGGGAC
The DNA here is from genome assembly GCF_000001405.40 of Homo sapiens. Classification (NCBI taxonomy): domain Eukaryota; kingdom Metazoa; phylum Chordata; class Mammalia; order Primates; family Hominidae; genus Homo; species Homo sapiens. The sequence goes on along the minus strand of NC_000001.11, from coordinate 222,251,106 downwards.
TACAGGTGCACACCACCACACCCGGCTAATTTTTGTATTTTTTGTAGAGACCAGATTTTTCTTTTCTTTTTTTTTTTTTTGAGACAGAGTCTGGCTCTGTCGCTAGGCTGGAGTGTAGTGGCACGATTTCAGCTCACTGCAATCTCCGCCTCCTGAGTTCAAGCGAGTAGCTGGGATTACAGGCACGTGCCACCACACCCAGATAATTTTTGTATTTTTAGTAGATACAGGGTTTCACCATGTTGCCCAGGCTGGTCTCAAACTCTCGAGCTCAAGTGATCCTCCCACCTTGGCCTCCCAAAGTACTGAGATTACAAGCATTTGCCACTGCACCTGGTGGGAGCTTTAAATTTTCCTGAGCCTTGAGAGGAAGGTGGCTATGCCATCTAAGTCATGTGGCTTGCAGCTGCAACTTCTGCCTTTTTCTTTTCTTTTTTCTCTAAATAATTAAGACCAAACAGTGCTGGAGCTAACACACTGACTCAGATCACTACCCCTCTTCAGGGAGTTATAGAGTAATCTGCCTTGGAATGTAGCAATTTTAACCAATTAAATTTCTGTGGCATATGCACTGATCTTGTATGGAAAATGTTGTAATCCTGCTAAGATTTCTATTTAAGTGGAACCTTAACTTCTCCACTTTGGAATGCTGACCCCATTTGTTTGGAGTTGGTGTCTTGGGTGGCTGTCCTCAGGCTTTGCACTCAAATAAACTGTACTTAATTATATTTTCTGAAATTCATTATTTAAGGCTGACAAAGCTGTGGCAGGAAATATGAAATCTCCCAAGGTTACTTAGCAGGTCACCCGTGGACTGGAAGTAGAACAGCTTTTTCTAGTTCTCATTTAGTTACTGGATAAGAAGGAGCCAAGATGGAAGGAGCCAGATGGCAAATTGTTCAGTAGAGTTTGCAGAACCTTTGTGCCATGTGTTAGCAGGTGTACCAGGTGCACCCACATCGTCAGGAAGGGTCAAAGCAGAGGTCTGGAGTCAGACTGTCCAGGTTTGAATTTTAGGTCTTCCACTTGCTTAATTGGGCACAATGAACACATTACTTAAACTTTCTGAAATTTAGTTTCCTCCTTTGTAGATGGAGAAAATTATAATAACTATTTCATGTGGTTGTTTGAGGCTTAGATGCATTAATACATAAACAGCTCAAAATTATGTCTTAAAGTGATAAGAATTACTCAATAAATGTTAACTCCTATTGTTATTCCACTCCAAATTCCTCTGTGAAGACCTGTGTCATTACAGCAATGAATCTATGTTGCTCTCTTTCTTCCGTGAACCACGGTCATAAAGAACTTTTTTAAATGACACAACTTAGCCACCAGAATATACTTGCTAATATTCTAATAATCATTAAAGCTATATTTGTTTCCCTAATTATGTTGCAAACTCTAGAGGCTGACTCTATGCTGTATACATCTTCTGAATCAATGCCAAGCCCTTAATTAATATTTGGGTGAATGACTTTTGGACAAAATGGCTTAGATTCTACTATTTTGTTTTTTCAAAATTGTTGTTAAAACAAACATTTGGCGGGGTGTAGTAGCTCAAGCCTGTAATCTGAGAGCTTTGGGAAACCAAGGTGGGAGGATTGTTTGAGGCCAGGAGTTCAACATCGGCCTGAGAAACCTAGCAAGACCACATCTTTACAAAAACATTTTAAAAAGTTAGCCAGGCATGGTGGTGCATGCCTGTAGTCCTTGCTACTTGTGAGGCTGAAGTGGGAGGATCACTTGAGCCCGGGAGTGTGAGCTGCAGTAAGTTATGATCATGCCACTGCTCTACAGATGAGGCAACAGAGTGAGACTCTGTTTCTAAAACAATAAAAACAAACATAAAATCTGCCTGGCATATTTGATTTAATATGCTTTTAGGCAAATTACCTTATTTACATTTTATGACACTGTGCAGGTGAGAACATTTTACTATACCCATTTCACAGATGACAAATATGAGCAGTTGAGCATCTACAAGATAGATATATTAAGTACATTGGCCAGAATTTGAACCCAGGTCTTCTGGCTCCAAAATTATGTTTCTTTTTTTTTTTTTTTTAAATTGTACTTGAAGTGTCTGGTTAAGTCAGACTGGACCAAACACCTGACAGTCATTTGCTTTACAAATTTCTTTTTTTGTTTCTCATTTGGAGATATCTGTTTAGGGAATTAAAGCAGGCTCATTCAGAATGGGCTACAAACCAGGATTCCAATTAGAGGGTGATACAAATAGGGTTGGAACACATCACCCATGCCCTCCCAGACCTCTGGATCAAGGCTGGACTGCCCAGCAGGACTGGTGGCAAGCACTGTCTCTCTTCCTGGCCACACCCACAGGGCAGTTGAGATTTTAGTAGCATAGCCAAGCAAGGATGATTTTTTTTAATGACCTGAAAATATAAAAACCTGAGAAAAGAAACAAAATTTTATAACAATTTCAAAATACTTATTAGAGAGAAGGGCTGTTTCCTAAATATTTGGAGAAAATGCTTCTGAATTGCAAACATTTACTGTGCAGATACTGCATTAAAGTAAAATAAACATCCAATCTTAGCTAGTTTTCTATGCCTAACAAAGATGGACACCAGTATTCCCTCCTATCTTCATATTTGGAATATCCTGAAGTGACAATTAGGGACAGGCCCTCCTTGCCATGACCTTACAGTTTGATTCAGCAGCATGGCCTGGGATCTCCAGGCTAAAGTTCTTTTCTGAGAGTTTATTTTCTTCACTGTAGAGTCAGAAACTCAACAGCAGAATGTGAGGAGATGGCAGATATTCAAAGAGGTTAATAAATGGACTATTTTGAAATGAGAAGGCTACGTATAGAAAAGCCACAGGGGACTGTGCAGTGCCCCAGAGGAAGTAATAGAGGGTGGAAGGGTGTGTTTCAGGGCCTGGAAGGATGAAAAGAGGAGTGGTTACTGGGACTCAGAGACAGAATTAGGTAGCAAGAGTAACCTGATCAGAGCAGGATGCTTCCTATTGAGAATCAGCCAGAACTCTGCAGGGAGGGAGGCCACGGGTACATTGACCCGTCTGTCCCCTACTCCCTCCCATTTTATGGTAGTGTTCCACATTGGCTGGACCCAACTGGGAGCCAAAAGGCCTTTTGATGCCATCTGTACAGGTCAGCCTCCCAGGGCACAAGGCAGGGTGGAAAGGATAAACAGAGATGGAGAGGGGGTGGTGCTGAGGGCAAGTGGAAGACAGGCAGCCTAACATCAGTGAGTCTTTATCAGGAATCAACTTTTTTTCTAGATTTTCTTTTTTTAATGTAGCATGAGGCTCTGAGCAGTCAGCAATTTCATATTCTATTTGGATGTGTTTCCTGGGTATGCAGTAGTATTCTCGACTTGCAATTCAATCTGGGAGAATGTCTCTTCCTTAGAGTTAGAGGAAGAAAAGAGTGCACAAAATACTTAAATCTCTGCCCCTAAGGTGTTTGTCTCTAAGAAGTCCTGCGTTGAGGTTGGGAGGAGGGTGTTGGGCTCTAAGAAGTTCTTGGGGTGTTGATGGGGGGAGGGTCATAAAACTGGAAGAGTAAGAAAAGAAAGTGATGTCTCTCTTGGGGTCAGATGAAGGGCTTCATTGCTTCCTTCCCTTTGGAAGTACACACGTTGTCTAAAGAGCCTATCCTGCCCAGGCTGGCTTTTCTAAATTCCCTAACCTCATCCCTTTGTTTTCTGACCTATGTTCTCCTCCCATGTTGACTGCTGGAACACAAACTTAGCATGAGCTGCTGGGCTTCCTGCTGAGCTCCCAGAAGCTGCAACTCTTTCAGTGTGTGCCACTCTGGTCATTGTCTGCAAGGTATTTGTGTTCTCTTGTTCCTGCCATACAGACAAAATGCTTGTTGTCTCCTGCCTTGAGCTGTGGATGGAAAGAGCAGGTTCCCAACACTAGGGGAGAGAGCTTTGGTATAGGGTGCTTTGGAATAGGTTACCTGTGGTAGTTAAGACATGGGTTGACTAACAGACTTTCCAACAAAATGTCTCTAGAACTTGAGGTAATTTTTTTTCCCTCCTCTTTTGCTATCGTTTTTAAAAATACTCAGATTAATTCACTGGTATGGCCTTTTGGGCTTGGAGTTTTTTTTTTTTTGTGGGAAGATTTTAAATTTTGGATTACTTTTTTAAAGTTGATATATGGCTAGTCAAATTTTCTTTTTGTCTTGTGTACATTTTTATAAGTTGAATTTATTCGAGGGATTTATCTGTTTTATCGAAGTTCTCTTTTTTTTTTTAGCATAAAGTTGTTCGTAATATCTTTTTTAAAAAAACTTTTCCTAATTAATCTTTGATCTTAAATTTCTTTTTCTGGCTGACCTTTTTAATAGTTTTCATTTATTTTTATATTTTTAAAATTGCTATAGGTATTTTGAGGTATAAATTTCCTCTGATCCCTACTTTAATACATCTCACAGATTGATATGTAATGTTTTTATTATCATCATTTTTCAGAAATTCTATAATTACTGTTTGTATTTCACCTTTATTTATTTATGTATTTATTTTTTTGAGAGGGAGTCTCACTCTGTCGCCAGGTTGGAGTGCAGTGGTATGATCTGGGCTCACTGCAACCTCTGCCTCCTGGGTTCAAGCAATTCTCCTGCCTCAGCCTCCTCAGTAGCTGGGATTACAGCTGCCTACCACCATGCCCGGCTAATTTTTGTATTTTAGTAGAGACAAGGTTTCACTATGTTGGCCAGGCTGGTTTCGAACTCCTGACCTTAAGTGATCCTCCCGCCGTGGCCTCCCAAAGTGCTGGGATTACATGCATGAGCCACCGTGCTTGGCTGTATTTCCCTTTTGCCCAAGAGCTAGAAAGTCTTTAAATTTCTAAGGTCAAGGACTTTTTTATCTTTCTTTGTTTTCTTTCTTTACCTTTTTTGCATTGTGATCAAGGAGTTCTATTTTACGGAGCCTAGTGATGTTTTCTTTGAACTGAAGTATATGATCAATTTTCATTCAATGTGCACTGGAGAAAAAGGTATACTCTCTATTATCAGGATGTAGTGTTTGATATATGCCTAAAAAAATCCACCTTATTTTGTTTAGCTACTTTGCAACCTTACCTTTTTGGTCTATTTAACCTGTATTGTTTAAGAGTGATGTGTTAAAGGGTTCTATTATTAGTGTGTTTCTACTTATTTCTCCTTGCATCTCCCATGACTTGTATTTCATAAAGGTAGTTGCCAGGTTATTTGGTGCCTAGATATTCATAACAATTATATTTTCAATGTAGCATAAACAAAAAATAAAATTCTAAGCCCCCCACCCATCTGAACAGATTTGGAATGGCCAAGAGCATTCCCAAGTTAGCGTGAAAAATGAGTTCAGGCCATGATGGAAAGTGGGGAGCAGTCTGGACATACCTCATTAACATTAACATCAACACAGACCTTAAGGCCAATAGAACAGACTCTTTACTTCTGATAAGAAATATTTACAACCTATTCTCTCTGAAGGCTGCTACCTGGAGGCTTCATCTGCATAATAAAACCGTGGTCTCCACAACCCCTTATCATAACCCAGACTTTCCTTTCTATTGATTCTAGGTTTTTAGATAACTCAACTAACTGCCAATCAGAAAATCTTTAAAACTACCTATGACCTGGAAGCCCCTGCTTCGAGTTGTCCTGCCTTTCCAGTCCAAACCAACGTACATCTTAACATGTATTGATTGATGTCTTATGTCTCCCTAAAATGTATAAAACCAAGCTGTACCCCAGTGACCTTGGGCACATGTCAGGACCTCCTGAGGCTGAGTCACGGGTGCATCCTTAACCTTGGCAAAATAAACTAAATTGGTTGAGACTTGTCTCAGACAATTTTTCGTTCACAGTACAATGTGGCTTTTAATATTATAAAATGTCCTTCTTTGTCTCATTGAATGCTTTTTGGCTTGAAGTCTACTTTGGTAACAGCACTGTGTCCTCTGCTTTCTTTTACTTGGTACATTTTTTTCCTACCTCTTTACTCTTAGCCTCTTTGAATTATTCATTTTAAGTGTATCTCTTATATATAGCATAGAGTTAGGTTTTGTTTTGTATACCAACTTTTAAATCATTTTTATTAATAGATAACTTAAGCATATTCACATTTTTTGATATTATTATAATGCTTAATCTCAATTCCACACTTTTATTTTACTTTATTTTATTTTATTTTTGAGACAGAGTCTTGCTCTGTTTCTCGGGCTGGAGTACAGTGGCGCCATCTCAGCTCACTGCAACCTCTGCCTCCCGGGTGATTCTCTTGCCTCTCAGCCTCCTGAGTAGCTGGGATTACAGGTGCATGCCACCACGACTGGCTAATTTTTGCATTTTTAGTAGAGATAGGGTTTCACCCTGTTGGCCAGGCTGGTCTTGAACACCTGACCTCAGGTGATCCACCCGCCTCAGGCTCCCAAAGTGCTGGGATTCCAGGCATGAGCCACCGCACCCGGCCCACCCTACTATTTTACAGTGAGATTACCATGTGCACTATCCTAAATTTACTAGCTTTTCCCCTTCTCTATTTGGTATACCCTCTTTGACTTTTAAATTTTTATTTTGGCATTTAGGAAAATTTAAATTTTTATTCTAAGTAGTTACCTTTGTATTAATACATTTTTTTATGTTCAGTACCCTTTATTTTTACTTGTTTTACCATCTGTCAGTTTTAAGTGGTGCCCTTTGACTCCCATCTATTATCTATACACAACAGGTAATGATTTGATTCTATTTTCCATTTTATCCCTTTTGTTTTGTTTCTCTTTATAAAGTCTTAATTTTTTTTGAGACAGGGTCTCACTCCATTGCCTAGGCTGGAGTGCAGTGGCGCAATCATGGCTCACTGCAGCCTTGACCACCCCAGGCTCAGGTGATCCTCCTACCTCAGCCTCTCATGTAGCTGGGATTACAGGCACATGCCATCTGCCTTGCTAATTTTTTATCTTTGTAGAGATGGGGTTTCATCATGTTGCCAAGGCTGGTTTCAAACTCCTGAGCTCAAGCAACCTGCCTGCCTTAGCCTCCCAAAGTGCTTGGATTACAGGTGTGAGTCACCGCACTTGGCCTGATTACAGGGGTGAGTCACCACACCTGGCTGGCTTTGCCCCTTTTAGTCCCACTTTTCAATTGCACTCTTTTGACTTGTCAGAATATACAATATTTACATATTATTACTTGCCCATAACCCACTCTTGTTTTGTTCTTACCTCTACAATTGACGATACAAAATGCCCACTGCCAGTCCTTTTGAAAGGTTTGCCTGTAATTTTGGTTTGATGAAGCCTGTCCTCTACTAAATGTCTTAGAAAGGGCTCATGTGTATAGTATTTCCTTCATTATGTCACATTCAGAACTGCATTTCTATGGCCTTGAAACTTGAAAAACAGCTGGGTTTGGTATAGTGTCTTTCATTTACATTTTTTCTTGAAGTTTTCTAACAATGCTGGTCTACTATTGTTTTGCTTTTTAAGTTGTTTCTGAGAAGTTTGAGGACAATCTATTTTTTTTTTTTTACCTTTTATTTTGCCTTTTTGCCTGGAGGCCCCTGAGGATATTTATCTTGATCTTTAAGGTCTAATAATTTTATAAGAACATGTCTGACAGTTGATAATTCTGGTTAATTTTCCCCTGTATTTGGTAGGTCTTTCAGTTTGTAGATTCAGGCATTCCTTTATTTATAGAAAGATATGTTATATTATCATCTTAAATATTAGTTTGTTTCCTTTAAAAAATTTCTTTTTCATGAATTGGTAAAATGAATGTTCAATCTGCTTTGCCTACCTTCCTTTTCAATGACTCTCTCTTGACTGTTTACACTTCCTCTGTATCCCATTTTCATTCTCTTGGTTGTTTTTACACCTTTCTTCAATGTTCCTTATAAAGTGTTCATTAAAAGCTATAAGCTTTCCTCTCTTGAGTACCTTATAATTTAGTTTTGCTTTCTGATACGATTTTTTTTCTATTTCTTCCCCAAGTTCATTGTCCGCAGAGTAGTTTGGACACAGAAACCCTGGGATGTTGTGAATTCTTTAATTCTTTTCTAAATTCATACCTCTATAAGCCTAATGAAGCCATCATCAAAATGCTTTTAATTTGCTAGTTTTAAAAAAATGATTTCTTCCAATAATAGTATCTACTGTAGGGAAGTTTAAATTTTTCCCCTGAAGGATCAGTGATTGAGTCTATAAAGCAAACTGATAATACACAGATTAACTGGGGATAAAAAAAGGCTTACAAATTTTATCAGATGTATATGCATGCTCAGATGCCATCTAAAATATAAAAGCTCAAAGAAATGGCCAGATGGTTGATGCTTGATACCATCTTGAGGTTACACAAAGAATAGGGGCTTGGATTGTGATGAAACAGGTTCTGATGGTAAAATGGGTTATAGGAGGGAGAGAAGAGGAAACCTGGCTAGCAAAGGTGGTCTTGTTATGCAGATGAAACCTTACAGGTAGCAGTTAGTAGTTGTTAAGTACTTTTAACAAGAGTTAGCAAACTTTTTCTGTAAAGGGTCAGACTGAAAACGTTTTAGGTTTTGTGGGCCATATGGTCTCTGTCACAACTATCTTAATATGAAAGCAGCCATAAATAGTATGTAAATAAATGGGAATGACTGTATTCCAATAAAACTTTATTTACCAAAACAGGCCTGGATTCAGCTCATAGGCCATGATTTGCTGGCCCTCGTTTAGAACAAAACTAGGCACACAATACACGATATCAGTAAGACCAACTAAATAAACTCCATGTGAAAGGGCTATTTTTAAAAGATGATTGTCAAACACACTTGCGCCATAGCTTTGTATCCAAAGTAAAGACAATGAGATCTGGATACACATACACAGGCACACACAGAAACATGCACACACTCACATATACTATGTCACACCTCATACACTTAAAGACACATACACTTATACACACACAGTTTATTCATATTAGGGTTTAATGGGACCATGTAATTCATTTTTCACTGACTGTCCCTTGCCAACCAGAACATGCTGTGTTGTACTCTCCTGTGACCTGACACAGTGGGATTGGAAAAGACAGACTAATTTTAGTGAGAACTGAGCACATATCGAATCACTGTGTAAAAATCATATAATATTCCTAAGGCAAATATTAATGGTATCTTGATTAAGTTCTGCTTTGGATTAATTACTTATTCTTATTTCGTTAATGAAATTAGTGGAGATTTGCTTTATATATGTATATCTGTGTAATTTTTATAAATGTGTAATTATCAGAGTGTCTTGAAGGGTCTTTCTATAAATGATCACTTTGATGTGTTACGTTGGATGATGAATTTTGGTTTGGTTCCAGTTGCAGGAAGTTTGGGATCCTCCTTTGGATTGTGCATCACTATGCAGGTTAGTATGAGTCATAGTGTGCAGCAGCGCCCCTCACACAGGGGCACCAGCTGCAGGGGGTCTGTCCCTTGCAGACACCTGACCCAGGGACGGATGAATAACATTCACTGACACACAGATATTCTGCTTTGCCAGTCCAGCTGAGGGTGTCTGAGCTGCTTACAGACTCCCTGTTAAGTGCTGTAAACAGTTGCGACTATGGCACTGATCATCTAGTGAGACTCGCATTTATTCAGTAAGATTAATTAACAGTGGCTTGAGTCAACACTATTAGAGGGTAATTGACATTGTGGACTTCCCAAGTAAAAAGCACTTAAGCACCTGCAGTACGTCAGAGGTTAGTCTTAAGACCACATGGGTAAACAAGCTAGCTAGGTAAACTACTCTGCCTTCCTTTGTTACTACTTTAATTTGTTTAACTAAAGGTAAAGGGACCAGGCCACCATCAGCCAGATATATTACCGAAGTTATGCAAACTTCTTGGCCTTCCAAGAAGATTTGTGTCTATCTCTATAACTATCTCTAATATTTTTCCCACCAGCCTGATTGAACCGCAGCAATAGTATCTCCAGTTGAGGAGCTCACAGACTGCAGAAGAAGTGCATGTTGGCACACACCGGCACCATTATGCCAATACACGGTGGAAAAGTAGACTCAGAAAGAACATTGTGGGAGGCCTGGGGAGGCAGACATTGCTTGCCATGTGCTTGTAAGGTACAGCACCGTGTGCAGGTTAGAGTTTGATTATTTTGGGTGAAGATCATGATGTTGTTGAAGCTGATGGCAAAAGAATAATTAGGTTTTCTCAGGTGGCTGAATCTTACACACAAAGAATAGGCTAATGTGGGCCATATGATGACTTTTGGCCACCCGAGGCCTTGAACTTCTGTGTTTCCTGAGCCACTGGCTGATTTCAGAAGTCCCATCTGCCTAAGGAGTATCTTTGCTTCCCAGGTTGCAATTCCAGGCAGGCCCTGACACAGCTAGAAAATTTGCTGACTGTAATCAGTGAGTCAACCAGCTGTTCTTAAAGCAAGCTGTTTATGTGCCCTCCTGGTCAAGTCAGACTCAATGTTGAAGAATAAGTAGTTCATTCAGTAATAGCTGAGCTGCTCTTTTTTTTCAAATCCAAAACGAGAAATTAAAGCAATACAACATTTTTGCCGGCTACATTCTGTTTTGAAAAGATGAATCATCCTCCTGTTTGTACTCAAAACATCTAGTTAGGTGCAAGATGATTTGCAGACTAATTTTGTACAGGAATCACCTTTTGATAGCAGATCAATATGAGTATATGTGTTTGTTCTGGGGAAGAGGAAAATGGCACACATTTTGTTAGGAAAAAACTTGAGTTGCTACTTCTCAAATACATTATTGTAATGTTTTACATAAGTCACAAGATCATATACAATTATATGTGAAAAGCTAACAAACAAAATCTCCATTAACTCTTTGAGAAAACCTTAGTAATAGCCTAAAAACAGCCGCTTACATTCCCTGTAATCAATTTCAAATTGGGTGATATTGCAGTTTTAAGCACATTTGAAGCTCCATATTTCCTGGGTTTCTTCCTCTCTGAGTTTGGAGGTGAGCAAGGAGAATGGAAGGGAACCTAGAGGAAGCAGGAGCAGTGTCAAGGACACAAAATGACTGTGAGAAGCCTGGGTCACTCATTGTTTTAGTTAGCTTTGGTGGCAGGGGGAGGATGCAGAATAAAATTTTCTGTATACAAGAGTCACCTTCAATAGTGATATTTTCAGTGCAAGTTAAGGATAGCACTGATTGGTTGAAGATTTCATTGAATGTTAGATAAAAATGAATGTGAGTAAAATTATTCCTATCCATCTTTATTATGAGAGAGTGAATATTATTGGCGGATTTAAAAAATACTGGATGCTTTTATTAGTAAGGGACCAGAACTAGTTAGATGCTAGGTCTAACTAGCTTCAAGCCTAAGTTAACTCCACCTAAGGGTGTCCTCTGGAATATGAGATGTCACAGAAACAGTTCAAAGAGAATTCTGCCCAGAGATTTTTTTAACTCTTTTACTCCTTTGCTCCATTTGTTTCAGAGTAGGCTCATAAGGAAAGAGCCATGTTTTATAGTGGTTGTCTTTCACGCTTCCCCTCATTTGTTAACCATTTCCATAGATGTACAAGTTCTGTTAATTACCTTGTCTTTTTTTTTATTATACATGCCCAAAATTGCTGTCCTATGTTACTGTTGTGATTATTATTTTAATCTACTATTTCTGCTTTTTTCACTGGTATCTTGCATCCCTCCCAGTTACCTTCTTGAGTACCATTTTGTTATCCACCGGAAGTTTCTGAGGTTACTAAGCACTGTGACCTGACCATACCCCATGTCTAACTAGCTTCAAGCCTAAGTTGTTAACTCCAGCCTAAGGGTGTCCCCTGAAGAGTTGAAAAGCCACAGCATTTTCTAAGCTGTCATAAAATGTGACTCAGCTATCCCCAAAGCAGCCAAATTACAAACCCTTGAAGGAGTTGAGAATGAACATTGACCCTCAAAAATGATTGAAAATAGAACCAGCAGCAAAATAAAACCTGCTCCTGGGACTTGTGTGGGTTTTTTTTTTTTTCTTTTCTGCTCTTTGGTTTCAAAAAACAGCTGTACCTAGTTCCAGGATCTAAAATTTGGAGGGTTGGGTTCATGCAATACAAGTCGCCATCTCCTAGATAATGCAGGACATGGGGCAGGTAGCTGGCACTTGCTCAGTGCAGCAGCACTATCCAAGTTTTATCTTATAATTCCATAGAGGCCTTACCTACATGTAGAAGTCCCCAGAACTTCCTATGAGGATCAGTTAGTTGGCATTTTCTCTGTTGCTGAAGTTGTCTGTCCTCCTTGCCATTTTCTCTTATGGGAACAGTTGGCCCATGGGTTGAGTGGATGAGGCTTTGAAAGTCAGTTAGATTCCATAATGGCCCTTAGGCTGAAATGGCCACAAGCGGGGTCCTCTTTGGATTTAAAAAATCCAATCACAAAAAATCCAAAGCAGTCTCCAGCTGGAACCTCCATAACTTCATGGTTTGGGATTTTTAAAAATCATTTCTCTCTTTCATTAGCAGACGTAATTGGAGTTGACCAGAGAGCCACGAGTGATTGTTTTTCTGGCCCTGAGCCATCCTGACTCCTCATTAAATTAATCATTGTTCACCAGGCAATTGTTTAAATGGCAGAGAACATTTAGAACCTGGAGCAGATAGCCTGGGAGAAAGGTTGAAATACAGAGAAAAGAAGGAAAGAATTTAGGTAGCTGGGTCTATTCAGGTCAGAGTCATTACATGGCTCTTAAGAGACAAGTACTGCTGGACCTGGCCAGAGGGAGCTGAAAGAGAGCCCAGGACAAGGTCAGGAGAAAGCAGAGCCGTAAAGGACAGTTCCAGGACTGCGGCAGCCCCAGAGATGCAAATGCAGATGTTTGGTCAGTGGTGTCAATTATTTTAAATTGTAAATTGATTTTTTGTGTTGTTGTTACCATTATTTGGCTTTGAGTGGTTGGGAAATTGTGTGTGGCTGGGATTATAAAAACCCAGCAATATTCTTCAAAATATCTTTCAAGGAACGATAATTCAGTGGGAAGCTATAGGCATTAAGAGAGAGAAAAAAGACGTTTGTTAGTCAAATAATTTTGGGAAATTCTGGCTTAAATAAAGTTAAACACTTATGTGCTTCTCAAGCCTTCAACACATATTTATGCAGCATAAATCCATGAGAGAGGTATAAGATGCAAGGTTCCCCCAACTTCTCTGAGCATAAAATTATAATGGACCATCTCATACAATTAGTCTTCTGGGGAACAAATTTTGGCAAATGTTAGACTAGTACATACAGTACTGTCCTGGAAGTCAAGCACCCAGATCTGATCTTTGGTGCAGAAAGGGCTAAAGAAGGGCACAAAAATGAACGCTTAGCAATTTCAGGACTTTTCCCAAATCTGGGCCTGGCACTGATACTTAAATGAAAACATTAAAGTTACAAGAGGAACTCAGTGATACAGTGTATGAAGTCATTGATTGACTGTTCTCTCTGGACAAGAAAAGAGAGACTAAATTTTAAGTCTCTCTTTTAGGAATTCTGGGAGGGATAGGATTTTGGCCCACTTGTTTGAAGATTATTTATTAATAGGTTTCTGGGAGATAGTTTGGGAGACCATGGAGAACTAGATGCATTTGTGGGTGGAGAGAAGGAGGTAGAAACATTCAGTGTAGGTATCCTAAGTCTTGAAGGGATATTCATTTAGTCAAAAATGCTATTGGTCCAAGGGTCACTGGAGTGGAAGCTGAGGGGGGTCCTGGTGTGGTGAGCTTGTTTCTTTATATCAAGAGGGTATAATTGGCTAGAATAAATGAAAAGATAGGAGAAATTGTGGTCAGCTCTTTTCACATCTAGAGTTTTGAAGGCTATTTAAAAATGTTTACCTACTTGTTTACAATCTCTACATTTTTCAGGTATGTAGTTGGTACACCAACTAACTAGAACTTCAGATTTGTGGAGGAAGATTGTATGGTATAGGGCAAAACAAACCAAAAAACTCCCCTAAACTTTAGAAAGCTAGGGCCAACCTCATTTTTGCTACTGCTTAGCACTGTGGGATGACAATCTTTTTGTAACTCAGTTTCCTTCTTGAACATGGGCACAGTGACCTAACCTGTTCTACTACTTTCTTATAGCTAATTAATTCATTAATTTTGTCAAGAAATACTTATGGAGACCATACTTTATACTAGGTACTCTTCTAGAGTATGGGGACAAGAGTATACCAACCGAAGAAAAGAGTTTAATATTCTTTAGAGGAAGCAAACAGCAAATAAACCTATAATATAATATTATATAGTGATAAACATTATATAAACCAAAAATAAAATTCTAAACTCCCCAACTGACTGAATGGACCCCCACTCTTGACCAAGGGCATTCTAAAGTAAACCTGCAAAACTAGTTCAGGCCATGGTGGGAAGTGGGCATCACATCAGACATGCTTCATTGTAATCTCCTCCCTATGGAATTCAGGCACAACTGACCAACATTGATATTAAAACAGAAATTTTAAGACTGACAAAACTGTAGCAATAAGATATCAAATACCAACCTGTCTCTAGTATAGCATCGCATGACAGATGGCAGGCCCTGAAAGAAATCAAAGTATTTTACCCCAAAATGTATTTCTTTGACATATTTTGAAACGGCCCTGCACAGCTGTCTGTCATGTGGAAACTATATTCTATAGAGAATCCTCTTCCCTTTCCAGGTCTTTTCCTGATCCAGGAGAGATTTAACTAAGAGCCTGGAACCTTTTAGGGCTTGATAAAGACATTTATCATTTATTCTCTGAAGTGTGCGACTGGGAGGCTTTATCTACGTAATAAGAACCTTGGCTTCCACCACCCCGCCCCCCATCCTGAATCTTAATTACAAACATTTCTTTCTGCTGGCTTCAACTCTTCAGTCAGAGTTTAACCCTTTCAACCAATTACCATGAGGAAATCTTTAAATCCGCATATGACCTAGAAGCCCCCACTTTTGAGTTGTCCCATCTTTCCAGACTGAACCAATGTATACCCTACATTTATTGATTGATGTCTGCCTGTAACTTCTGTCCCTCTAAAATTATAAAATCAATCTGTAACCCAACCACCTTTGGCACATGTTCTCAAGACCTCTTGAGACTAGGCTTTGGGCCTTGGTCACTCATATTTGGCTCAGAATAGGTCCCTTCAAATATTTTACAGAGTTTGACTCTTTTTCATTGATAGTTATGAAGAAAAATAAAGCAACATAAGGGATCAGAGAGATAGGAAAGTCAGAGATGGCCTCTCTGAGGATGTGACATTTGAGAATAGACCCTATGGTGTTATTTTTATATACGTATTCATCCATGGTTCCTGGTTTATAACTCCCATCACCCTTGTTATAGTCTTTTGTTATAATGTCGGGGTGCTTTAGGCCTCAGAAAGCAAAATCTTTCTCTCTGACCTTCTCCTGTCCTCTTTTCACCTACTTAATGCAAGATTCTAATCTCATTGTAAATCATAAGACCCTCATTCCAGAGAGAGTCCTTCCCCATACTCTGGAGGAAAGATTGCTGCACAGAAAGACCAAGAAGAATCTGAACAGACAGGTCTCTTGCTGGGCTTAGATCTTATCCTTTTTGTCCAATCACATTTTGACATGGTTGTCCATGCTTCAATCATGGACAACCAATGAAGCCTCCATAAAAGGCCCAAAGGATAGGGTTTGAGGAGCTTCCCAATAGCTGAACACCTGGAGGTTCCTGGAGGAACTTCCCAGGGAGGGCATGGAAGCTCTGCTCCCCTTCTCTCATACCTCATCTGTATCCTTTGTAATATCCTTACAAATTGGTAAGCACAAGTAAGTGTTTCCCTGAGTTCTGTGAGCCACACCAGCAAATTAATTGAACCCAAAGAGACAGTCATGAGAACCCCAACTTGAAGCTTGTCAGCCAGAAGTTTCAGAGGCTCAGACTTGTTATTGAAGTCTGGGAGTTGGGGGAGCAGTCTTGGGGACTGAGCCCCCAACCTGTTGGAGTTCACTAAATGCAGGAAAATAGTGTCAGAATTAAATTAGAGGACACTCAGCTGGTGTCTGCTGCTTGGTGTGTGGGAGAAAACCCCCACACATTTGGTCATGGAAGTTTTCTGTGTTAATTGTTGTGGTGCGAGAGCAGAGGAAAAACATGGAGTTTTTCTCTAAAACAGACATAAATAAGTGACAGATTGAGCCAATGAATGCCTGGAGAAGAAGAACTAGCAGGTACAAAAGCAGGAGGTGCGAATGTGCTTGGCAGGATAAGATAACTACTTTGACAACAAGGACAACAACATAAAATGCACCATATCTTAATGGCTTCATGCAGTTAAAGTTTATCTTTTGTTTATTTGTAGAGGAACCTAGTAGGCATTAGTAAGTATGGAACTTCTGCTCCACTTAATTGTTTAGGGATCCAAGCTGAGGAGGGTCCTGCTACTTTTACCAATGGGTCCCAAATTTGTGATGGGGATCACCTTAAGTGTGGTATAAAGAGGGCATAGAGAGTGAGTACTTGTATTGCATGAGTGGTTTTGGAGACCAGGCCTGAGGGTGGCGTATATCCCTTGCACAAATGTGCCATTGTTCAGAATTCATACACATTACAATTACAAAGCATTGGGATTTACCATCTAGCCTGTGCTCTGGAATAAGAGGCAAAACAGGGACACTAGCAAGCATGAGCATTCTCTGCCACAGCACATTTGAGTCACTTCAGCAAGGTCAGTTTGGTTGAAACATGGAAAGTGAGGTGACAGTTGTAAAAAATGGTTCTTGATGGGATTAAATAAAACGATACAACCTGGGAGAATGGGAAGTGCTGGTGTATTTCATTAAATCCAAATGCTTTTGATCTTAAGCCACTATATTTTGTGTACTGCTAATAAAGAAAATTTTCTTCAAATTAAGCAATGTTACAATTTTATCATTTAGAGTCTTTAAACTTACTGAAATTGATTCTTTTAGACTTATACATGTTTTTAAGAAACATATATCACTGTTGCGTATTCCATAGAAAGGAAGATATAAACAAAAGAAATTGGTTAATACATTCTGACAACTGAAGAAAGACAAGATTCATAAATTTGGAAAGGAGAGCTTTATTTCCCATAAAGAGTTGCAGCCTGCAGGGTGGCCATTCTGACAGGCTGGGAAGTGTCGCCTCCCTCCGGTCAGAATCCTGGAATGACACTTGAAGAGTAAGGCAGGAATTTATGCTGAATGGGGTGGCCAGATATACATATTCAATAAGCTATGGGAACAGTCATGAATATTTATGAAAGGAGAAACATGCACATGCACAGTTGAACTTCATGCTTTTTGTCCTTGTTCATGGGACAAGGGACATGACCCTTGTTCAATAAATGGAGGTGTTAGCATAATCCAAGGTGGAGATTTTGGCCTTCTAATGTCAAAAAGTGAAGCAGAAGACATGAAAACCTTCACTACATTCTCCATAGACTGGCCAGAACCACTCCATGGATGGCGGTTTCTTATCAGGAAGGAATGCTGGTCAGTTGCTTTGCTGAAACTGCAAAAGAAAGGGAAAACGTCAGGCAGTTGGTTAATGTCAGGGGTGGAGCAATATTTCCAGAGGGCTGGTTTTTGTTTAGCCCTTAGGGAAAAAAGCCTAACACCATTAGTGATAGAGGGGGTATTAGTAGGTGTGTCTGAACACCCATCCCCGTGAGAATTCAGTTTTCAAGGTTTTCTGGGTCCCCTTGGCCAAGAGGGGGCCCATTCAGTCAGTTGGAGGATAAGAATTTCATTTATATTTCTCAGTTCCTAAAACTTATTCAAACTTAGGATCTGATTTTTCTGAATAGCTTTTCAGTTCTGTCATCAATGTCCATGTTTTTCCACTCACTTTTGCACTCTGCGCCATCAAGAGCTTTCAAAGAAATGTTCTTCACTGTGTCTCTTGGATTTTTCTTAGGGCTACTGAGACCTTTTCCACATGTTTTGATGCATGCATTTTTTTGGTCTTACCAGAAAATGACAACCAGAAATCATACTTCTTCAAGTGATCCTTGGACACTGTATGGACTGAAATGCTTAAGAGTTTCCAGTTGTTCAGACAAGCCCTAGGAATAGCACCCAAGTTCATGTGCATATGGAAAATGACAGTCTGCCATGGCAACCAGTAGTGGTTGTGAGACAACAGTTGATTGTTAGAGACATTAAAATGTGAAAAAAATTCACATCTTACAATTGACTACCTAGTATACTTAAGAGGTAAAGGATAAATGGATTTCTTCAAGCTATTAAAAACATCACATACTGGCTTAATGGTACATTTCTAAAGGGGCCATGGAATGGTTTGAGAGAGGGCATCTCTAAGTCAGTAATGGCATTGCTCTTAGGACATAAGAAGCCTTATGCCCATCTTCATTATTTATTTCACAGACTTATTGAGGTAAAGGGAACTCCGTTTGTTTCATCCCCTGCCTTCTCCAGCCCACTTCAGTGCATATACTGACTTCTTCTACCTGAAGCCTCTCTCTGCCTAGAACTTAAGCCAAGCTGACTCAGGAGGCTGAGTATCACGCAGCTCTAACCCACCAGTCATATGGCATGGAAATTATTTTGCTGCTCTAGGTTTCTAGTGGCCTAGGGTGAACTCCAGGTGTTGCAGTTCATGATGCTGCAGCCCTCACCTAAGCTGGAACGTGGATCCCTATTCTGCAGGACTGGGCTGTACTTGCTTTTTATGCAGCCTCAAGTTTCATATTAGGACGATGCTCTGCTCCGGACCTCAGCCCTTCTGACTAGGATCTTACCATCTTACCTAACCCTTGCCAGGATTCTTTTTTTCCCACCTGAAAAACAAACCCCTTTCTCATTTTCTTCCTAGCAGCTGGCATACTGGCCACCTCTGGAACTTCTGACCTTTGCATAGACTTTGCATGGACATGAGTGCCAGTTAAAGACATCTCTATATTGCCCAATCCTTTGGAGAAGTTTATATGGGAGTCCTTGCTTTCCATAACCCGTAATCAGTTTTTCTCAGTCTCATCTTCCAATGATACCCCACACCTCATGGCATCCGAAGGCCTAGGAAGGTTGACATGGAAACTCACTCAAGTCAAGAACCACTGGGAATGAACGCAGATGAAGCATACAGACTTCTGACAATTTGATACCTTAAGGAGGTTCTGTCCCCAGAGAAGAGCTGCTAGAGGTTTTCAGAGAGTTCCAAAATCTTATTAAAATGAGTGAATGTCAAAATAGTCATGTTTTAAAGATGAGATGGGACTTCAGAGAGCCGTTAACTTACATATTGAGCGGTTGGTGACCATTTAACTTTGTCTTATTTGAATAATTTACAGCCATTGTAAGTGGATTGTTAAACTGTGCCACAGTTGGGAACTGTTAAGGTTAAATTATTAACAAGAAGCCATATTTGTAGAATGAATGAGGCTGTAAAATGAGGTTTTCTGGAGTGTTTAAAATGGCCTATTTAATTTCTTTCCTTGCTTTGCTCCTTAGATCATCATCTTAAATTAAAAATCATGGCTCTATGTTTTTATTTTATTAGCTTTACATTTGTTTGACTTCAAATCACTCACATGATTTGCAGGAATAATTATGACCATTTGATTATGATTGCCATAGTTTTGTGGGGCTTCTATCATTTTTCATCTTATCATCTTTTCTTAGATGTTTTATAAAAGTGTTTTAAGATAGTTTTGGGGGACACTTCAATTAACTGATGCCAAATACCCAACTAATTCATCAGAAATTGGACAACATGAATCTCAGGTGGGGAAATCATCCCAGCCCACTCTCTAACAAGTCCACAGACTTGGGTTTGGAAGTTAGCACAGGTGTCTTGATCCAGGCTCAATTGCTATTAGAGCCAGAGCACAGTAGAAGTAGGGAAACACCAATAGCTTTTCAATGTCAATGTGTTTATCCTGTCTTCACATTAGTGGGCTCTGGTATAAGATTTGAGTTAGGTATCCAAACATGGAGAGAGAGAGTGTAGTCTTTCACAAATAAGGCAACTTCATTTGAGTCTAGATTTTTTTCGTGAAGAAACATTGGTAGGATAAAGGAAGGAGAGTAGTATTTCAGTTCTTTTGAGGAGTTTCCTTTTATCTCTCTCCTTCGGAGTGGTGACATTGCCATTTCTCATATTTGTTTTTGTTTTTATTTTCTTCTCATTATTTGGGAAATATCTTGGAAGGCAGGTCCTTGTAGCATCAGTCTACAAACATGAAGGGATGGGCTCCTTACATGAGGAAAGCATTGGGCTTATCACACGTTCTTCATTTTCAGACTAGAATCCTGGGGTACATTTTAATGTTGGCTAACTCCGAGGGGAGACATACTCTGAAGGAAATGCAGAGGGCCAAGCTGAAGATGGGACTTTGCCTAAAATCTGCCATGAGAGTTTAAGTTGTGTATGATGGGAAATTGTAGAGGAGAGGAATGGATGGACGCAGATCTTATACAATAGGCATGTGTATGAGGACACCCACGCTGTTGCTGCCACTAACCAGCATCTGTCGGAGCAGCACTGTCAGGACTAATTAATCAGATTTTGTACAGAGGTGGCAAAAATGAAAAACTTCTGTGAATCCCAAGTGTTATCACTTTTCATCACAATAAAGATATTTAGTGGAGTAGTCCACAGATTAGACATTTTCACGGAATCTAAGTTTTGCTGACCTCCCCTGTTCTCAGGCATTTTTGGAAGGGGTGGGGGGAAGAAGGGCTAAATTTTCATTCCATTGGCTCATGATTTTTTTTGTTGCTATTAAAATTTTTGTATTTCACTTACCACCTGTCTTTTTTGTATATTATTCAGTCCTTTGCTCTTGTTCCATGTGCTTCAGGTTGATGTCAATTCTCTGTTTTACACACAACCAGATTCCTATTTAGGATAAATAGGAAGAATAAATAAGGCTACAGAGCAGGTCTCAGAAATCATAGCCCTCGAGTGAACTCTTCTCTTCAGAACGGAGCTATCTTCCCCTCCCCAACCCCAGCTGCAGCATCCTATAGATGGGAAAGGCTGATGTCATACAAACATCTGCAGGAAAAATGGTCACACTCCACAGTGCATGCCCCCTTTATTCAACAAATGTGTAGTAATTATTTTCTTAATAAACATCTTCTATTTTCTACCCTCTGTGAGCAACACATGTTTATTAAGCTTTGCAAATCTCTGCATGGGTGCTAGTAATACAAAAAAGAATATGATAGATTTCCTGCTCTCAATTGGCTTAATTCTGAGTGAGGAGATAGACAAGAAAATCAATACTCACCATATGGTGTGTCAAGTGCAAGAATGCAAGTGTGCTCCGCAGCCAGCTTGGTATTAGAGGTACTCCTTCAGTGACGTATCTTCTTGTTTTTCTTCAATATTGGAACATTTCAGCCATTTTTTGAATAATTTATCTTCTGTATAGCATATATTAATCTACTTCTATAGAGTGTATTGAATCTTCTAATTCTATCCTGTGTGTTTGCTAACGTCTCATTTTTCATTACTTACCTCTTTATCCTGCACACTAGGGAGTTTCCTTGGATAAAGTTTTCAGTGCACTAATTGCCCCAGTTTGCATCTTCCAAGCTACTGCATTATCTAAACATTAGGCAGATGTTTTTTCCTTCCCCTTTAGAAATGTATTTTAATTCTAGTGTGAAGTTAATGGCTTTAAAAAGGACTGTAGAATCTCTCTTCCCAAATGCCAAACCAGTTGAACAAACAAAATGCTAGTAAAAATAAGCTATTATACCTCAGGCTCAAGCCAACATTTTACCTGCAAGATTCTCTAAGAGTGGAGAACTCACCTTGGGAGTGATTGAACAAAGAGAGAAGTGAGGGTTCTTATTTGACTTGGATATTGCCCAGTATTAAAGGCTAGCTGAGAAGTATTGTAGGAAAAAACTTCTTAAGATATTGCTTTTAAGAAAGGGTGACTCAGAGATGTCAAGATTCAGCCTCAGCTTCAGTGGCTGCAATAGTGACTTCTCAACTAAGGCCCTGGATTGGTGCGGGGAGTAGGGGAATGTCATCACTAGGCGCAAAACATACTATTTGAGCCAGGTGAGAACATAAGTCAAGTGAGTTATTCTAATAGAAAGAAAGAAAAAAGTAGCATCAGGAAAAGACCAGCACAACTTACTAAGAGCTAATTCCAGGGTGGGTTTGACCAACCAACATTTCATTATTAGTTAAACATGCCAGCCTATTTTGCCACTGAATCTCAGGAGCTGAACTGTCAACTACTGGGAAGTCATTTAGGGCCAAGGATAAGAGCCAGCCTCACTCTCTGATTTTAAACTGAGGACCACTTGCTTGTGAGATGAATGTGGTAACCTCATAGTTAGGGAAAAACTTCAGAACCTTAGTTACATTTAACTTTGATCCCCTTTTCTCATATCGACTATCTTCTGGGATTATTTTCCTTTATCAGAAGTAATTCATTATTATCTCTTTAATAAAGAGTATTAGATTTTTGGTGGTAAACTCTCAGTATTTGTTTATATTTGTAAAGGACTTTATTTTATTATTGTTTGTGAATATAATTCTGCTGGTTAAAAAATTTTACAATGGCAATTATTTTATCTCAATTCATTGAAGCTATTATTCCACTGTCTTCTGGATTCTATTATTGCTTTTGAGTAGTCTATTGTCATTCTTATTTTCATCCTTTTTAGGTAACCCATTCTTCCTTTCTGGATTCTTTAACAACGTTTACTTTGTCTTTGTTGTTTTTCAACTTTATTATGATATATTTAGACATGGATTTGTTTCTATTTTTCCTGCTTGAAATATCTTGGGCTTCCAATACCTGTAGATTTATATTGTCTATTGGCTAAAATAGATAAAAATTCATGATATTTTAAAATATTGCCTCATTATTGTTTTTATTCTATCTTTTTGGGAAACTGATTACATACATGATATACCTTTTTATATATTAGCCATTTGATACAGTTTGGCTGTGTCCCTACCCAAATCTCACCTTAAATTGTAATAATCCCCACATGTCAAGGACAGGGCCAGGTAGAGATAGTTGAATCATGGGGGGCTGTTTTCCCCATAATGTTCTCATGGTAGTGAATAAGTCTCATGAGATCTGATGGTTTTATAAAGGGGAGTTCCCCTGCACAAGCTCTTTTTCCTGCCACCATGTAAGATGTGACTTTGCTCCCCGTTTGCCTTCCACCATGATTGTAAGGCCTCCCCACCCATGTGAAACCGTGAGTCAATTAAACCTGTTTCCTTTATAAATTACCCAGTTTCAGGTATGTCTTTATTAGCAGAGTGAAAACAGACTAATACACCATATGTCTTAATCTCTCTTTTGTATTTTCCATTTTCTGTGTGGCAGTGTGTACATTTTAAAATATATCTTGTTGGGCTGGGTGCAGTGGCTCACGCCTGTAATCCCAGCACTTTGGGAGGCTGAGGCAGGTTGATCATGAGGTCAGGAGTTCAAGACCAGCCTGGCCAAGATGGTGAAACCCTGTCTCTACTAAAAACTACAAAAAATTAGCCAGCTTTATTTCACTTGAAATGGAATATTCTAGACTAACATTTCGATGAGGAAACTCTGTTCCATTTTTATATTCATACTGGTATTGAATGGCTTAGAAATTTCCCCTGAAGTCTGTGGTCCAGATTCTTAGGGAATTGTCTTTGGAACAACCTCCTAGCATAGACTCCTGACTCTGCCATTTATCCATTAATTGACAATTGAAGAAGAAATTAGAACCCAGTGTTGTATTATTGTTAAATTTTTAAACAATTATCTCTCTTATTGAGGCCAAACAATGGAGGTATTGCTCTGGGAAGCTGAGGTTATAGGGCTCAAGTATTCTGGTCTAATTGTTTCTAAAATTGTACTTTGTGAAGTCTGGGAGGCTCGAAGGCAGTGGCTCACGGGCTGTTGTGTGTACAGGCAAGGCCAAGGTGGAGGCAATTCTGCTCACCCCTGCTTCCCCCAGAGCAGTACCATCTTTAGTATTAGTTCTGTATATTCGAATCACACATACAACTTTCTTTGATAGAGGGTTTCCATAGTTTTTGTTTATTTTTTACTCAGGCTTTCCCTAAAATGCAGTATTAGGGTTTGGATGTTTGTCCCCTCCAAATCTCATGTTAAATGTAATCCCAAGTTTTGGAGGTGGGACCTAGCGGGAGGCGTTTGGGTCATAGGGGTAGATCCGTTATGAATGGTCTAGCACCACCCTCTTGCGGATGAGTGAGTTTATGTGATATCTGGTTGTTTAAAAATGTGTGGCACCTCCCTGCTCTCTTCTTGCTCCCTTTCACGCCATGTGATATGTCTGCTCTTCCTTTGCCTTCTGCCATGATTGTAAGCTTCCTGATGTCCTCACCAGAAGCAGATGCTGGCCCCGTGCTTCCTGTACACCCTTAAGAACCATGAGTCAATTAAACCTCTTTTCATTATAAATTACAGTCACAGGGATGGATTCCTTTGTAGTAATGCAGGCAGATTATAACACATGCAGTAATGTGGACAGTTAATGTTAACAACTTTAATGGGGATGATAATCAATTCTAATTGGTTAATTGATTACAATTTTACTTTCTTTTGTGTCACCTAGAGATTGCCTCCACCAGTTGGTACTGAAGCTATAACAGGTACCATAAAGGAGCAAGAATACCCTTGCCTTCAGAATGTTTTATAGTATAGTATTAAATACAGTACATAAAATATGTGCGTGTGTGTTTGCACACACATGTATACCATATAGTGGAAAATTTCCAAAATAAAGAGGATAACATTTACATGAAAGGAAATTAATAGCTCGTGGTCTGGTAAGTTAATGTGTCATATTTGGTAAAAGGTAGGATTTTGGAATCTACTGACCTTTTGTTCAGAGCTAAGCTTCTCACCACTAAAATACTGCTGATTAAGCTGGGTTGGGGTGAGGATTAAAAGAGTCAACCCAAGTAAAATCATATTTACTCCGTCGCACAGTTATTCAATAAATGCTGCTTCCTTTTCCTTCTCTCTGATCCTTTCCTCCTTTCATAGACACTTGCTACCTATTTTTATCCCCAGCAATCTAGTTCATATTCTCAAATTCTAATCTTTGAAAATTTCCAGGATATTTGTGTATATGTGTGTGCACACACACATTTGCTACTGTGAATACCTTAAAGGCAAGGACATTCTGACTCCTTCAATGATTTGTATTATAGCTTCAGATTTTTTCCCTGACACTTGCAAGATAGAATAACATCTATTCCTCTGCGTATCAAACCCACACACCCCCCAACATAAAAATATCCAGCAAGATGACAATGTGTCTGACTGTTAGATCTCTGAACCCATGATCTATTTCTGTTTTGGCTAAATTCTAAGGCATTTAAAATTTCTGGCGACATTAATGGGAACGAACAGATAATAAAAAGCACATTAGAGACACTCTCTCCTCTCCCTGCATTATGTCTACTCAAAAAAATCACTAAAAGTCTCTTTGGAGAAGGTTGGCCAATGAATCCCTGGAACGCGGTAATCCTTAGTGTTATGATTCTCATCTACAAATGGTTTCTGGATATTACAATTTAAGTAGTGAGGCTTGAGCTAAAGTTGACATCATGTCAACAAACTGTAACAGTTTGAAGTGACACTAAGGAAAATCGTTCTTTAAGAAACAAACAGGAACAAAATCATGAAGCGTGGGCCTTTTGCCAGTTTAAAAAAGAAAATCCATATTATTGGCTATGTTTAGTTTCAGAGATTTATGATCTAAGCCTAAGGCAGTTCTTCTAGATAAAATAGTAAACTGTGTCCACATATGCCTTTAAATAAGCCTATGACTAATTTCCTAATCATCAAAATATTTTGCACTTCATTTAGAAAAAAGATTTCAAAAACTTGATAATGCATTCATCATTTCTCACAACCCTTTGGGAACTTGAGTTGCATTTGACATATGGCTTAGAGGCAGCATTATTGGATTTCCCTAACACCCAATATCGAGTTGTTATTGAAAATATTAGGACTGAAAAAACATCTGCAGGGCTTGATGGGTCTTAATCATTCAATTTTATGAATTAAGGTATAGCATCGAGGTGGCTGCAGTGGCTGGATGCTGACTTATTTCCAGGAGTTGAGGTGGGGTGGGGTGGACAAAAGATAATTAAGAAGAGGCTTCTAGGAAACTTCATGCTTGGCTAGTCTTGAGTTCAGGAAAAAAAAAAAATCACAGAGCGTTTTGCTTTTTAAGAGTTATGTAAAGTCTTTTAAAATGCTGCCATTTTTAGCTCTCAATAAAGGAGTGATCCATGTCATCGGCCAGCTGTAATTCCTGCCCTTTCACTTTAACTTGGATTAGTTCCTGTTTTTCACTTCTTGAAGGTTCAATGTCAAATATATTTTCTTCTAATGATTCAAACCATAGTAGAGAGTCATTGGGCTGTATGGAACTTTGCCAACTTAAGAAACAAGGATTTCTTTTTGTTTGAAAAGAAAACTGTGACCTCAAGTGGCTACAATAATATTAATGCTAATGAGTAATTAGATTATTGGGCTTACTGGGTGACTGGCAGTCATTTAAATGTTGAATATGTATAAACTCTTTAATCCTAACAATATCACTATGAGTTAGATACTGTTATCATCTGCATATTACAGATTAGGAAATTCAGGCCAATGTATGTGATTAACTTGGTCAATGTCACACAGTTAATAAGTGGCTGAGCTGTGCCTTAAACCCAGTGACCAGATGATGAATAACAATCGTGCGTGATGTGTCAGAGCTGGGCGTATCACCGGGAGTGGGATGCTCTTAGAGAGATAAACTGCCCATATGCAGTTGACATAGATTTCAGGGATTTAGGCAGAAAGCTAATGTTTATGTGGAGTTTGCTTTCTCTCCTTTTTAGGTTGCCATCTCTAAGCTTGTCTGACAAGATTTAAAGGAATAATTTGAGTTCTTATGTCTGCCTAACAGGTTCTTGGTTCTTACATCACATTAGTAAGGACTGGCTCT
This sequence comes from Homo sapiens, assembly GCF_000001405.40. NCBI lineage: Eukaryota > Metazoa > Chordata > Mammalia > Primates > Hominidae > Homo > Homo sapiens. Next base: position 222,224,166 of record NC_000001.11, on the reverse strand, counting down.
AACCCAGTGGAGTATAACAGAGGTCTCTGATCACATTTCCTAAAGTGTGATCTGGGTTTCGTATAAAGTGCGCTGAGAGGGTGATCTTGACCTGGAATTGGTAGTACCAATATCTTTTTCTCCGCTTTATAAAATAAATCCAATTAAATAAGATTAGTATACAAGTAAAACTTTTCACTTGTAAGTTTCCTGCCAAAGAAACAAAGCATCTTTTTCTCAAAGGCTCTTGTCCTGAGATCCAAGTGCCTTTGAAGTGATTGGGGTCAATAAGATCACAGGCACAGGCAACTGCAAACCAGCGTGGGGTGTGAGAACAAAAGACGAAATAGAGCTTGGATCCTTCAATATTAAAACCAAAACCAAGGCAAAATTTTCAAAATCTATGTGGGAACAGAATACAGAGTATTCCAGAAAAAAAGTGGTGCTAACAAAGAATATAAAGTATTGCCAGAGTATTGGTGAGTGAACCAAGCCTGTTATGCATTCAGCTTGTCGTTATACAAGTAACTCTTGAAACAACGCTCCATAGGAGAAAGTAACACACTGAATCAAGATCAGAAAATGAAGAGGATCACAATATGTTTCTTTTGGGAGCAACCAAGAAAAATGAGTTTATGCATTACAAGGAACCACTCTTTAGAAACTTAAAGAACAGATAACTTCAATGTTAAAAATAATGTAATTGATAATAGTGCCTTCTAATTGCAAAATGTTTTGACTACAGCTGCAAGTCAGGGGTCTCCCAAACCACTCTAGGGTTCAATAATTTGCTAGGAAGTCTCCCCCAGGCCTCATCAAATCATGGCTTCAATTTATTATAGCAAAAGAATCAAAAGCAAAATCAGGAAAGGGAAAAAGTACATGAATGAAGTCCAGAGGATACCAAATACAAGCTTCCAAGGGGTCGCTCCTGGTAGAGTCACACAGTCCATGCTTCATTCCCTAGGAACAAGTCATGACAACACATGTAAAATATTGCCAGCCAGGGAAACTCCTTAGAGACTCAGTGCCCAGGGTTTTCATTGCAGGCTGATCATGTGGGCACCTTTTGCCAAGCACATAACAAGATTCTAGACTTCCACAAAGAAAGCAGATGTTTAGCAGACATCATATTGTTTGTATAATGGTTTAGGCATAGTGGGCCACTCTTGTCAATTAGGGTGGTGGAAATCCTTTTGAAATACAAATGCCTAGTTGCCAAAGGCTGACCTTCACCTTGCAAAAAGGCCTTCATAAAGATAGCCTGCTGTGTTAACTCTTCCATACAAATGGCAAGTAGCATGACAGACTGGGAAACACTGATGTAAAAATAAGCTTAGTAGAAACAATCAAGCAGTAGGATTTCTAAAGTTCACCTTGAGTTTCCTAAGAAGGGACAGACTTGAAGTCAAAGTGACCTTGGATGTGACATGATAAAACTCTGACAATAGTATCTGACTGTCATAGGAATGGCAGATATACTATCACCTCCCCACTTCACTCTTCCCTTCCCATCTTTGCTTTGGGCATGACTGGGCAAGGCACACAAACATGAACTCTTATATTTTAAAATTACGTGAAATATTCTCTTCTGGGATATATTTGCAAATTCTTTGGCCTGTTAGGGTGAAAGTGGCTATTCCAAAGGTAGAGTACTTACTAGACTCCCAGAACATGTAGTCATTTCAAAGTTGCACTGCAAGTGTCCATATAGGGGTTTTTCTTCACAGAGGGTTAGTTGTTAATGTTACACGTTCAGACATTGTGACTAAGTTTCTAGGGAGACTGAATGTGGTAGGTCAAATGTGTCATTAAACCTGAACTTATCTAAATTCAACACTTCTGGCCTCATAAACAACCGAATGAGGTTTGTTTGTTTTTAAGTCTTCAGAAAGTAATAAATCTATTCTGGAATGGGAATAAAAATGACAGGCCTATAATCAGAGATACTACAGATGAAAAAGACCTTATTAGGTCATTTAGTTTGCAGCTGGGTTCCTCTCAGCATGGTTGCCAGGGTTCAAACAGGGCCAGACTCAGTGTTCTAATATATCCCTCAGAAGGCTCTGCTACCATCTAATAAGGCTAGAAATTTCATCTGGAAGGTAATGGTGTCATCTATCTAGGAGCTACTACATGTAACTGATGAGAAAGGGTATACTTTAATGGTAATTGGGAGGAAAATTGCTGGGGCAAGGGCCTCTGGGGAAAGGATTGATGAAGGGCCCTCAGAAAGGAGATGTGATGGGTGCAGAGGGAGTGAGTAGGGCAGCAGCATGGAGTGCAGCCCTGCTCTGCCGAGTGCTAAGCACCAGGGAGTTACAGAGGAAGGTGAAGGAACAGTTTGTACCCTATGTAGCTTATTGTCAAATAGGTTTACCTGGGGAATCAAAATGTAAATTGAAGAACAACATGGGAAATTCTTTCTCCTTCTATCCTCCAAATTGGTGTATCATAAAATCCAATTGTAGATCATGTTTTATTTCTAATGCTGCTCATATACAATCAGTAAGCCACATGTTGTTTTTTTCTCCCCCAAATAGTGACAGAGCAGGAGTATCACCATCTTTGACAAGCCCCTCATTCTAAAGTTCACCTTAATAAAAAACCACCTAAATCCAAAGGGCATCAGCCTAATGGCTAAGGTCAGCACAACCATAAACCACAAACAACATCTCCAACCAGAAACATTACAAACTCCTCCCTGACCAGGGACATGCTAGCCCTGAGATAATTCACCTCTGGCCAGGAAGTTGCCAGCCTCGAGATAACCCCACTCCGGCTGGAAAGATGTCTGCCCCAAGATAACCTCCCCTCCCCTCAAAGACATTCCAACCCCACCATAAAACTTCTCCCTCACACAGGAACATTCCAAGCTTGTAATAAGCCCCTCACCCTAAAAGCAATATATACTGTTAGTCTGTAAGAGAAAACGCTCCTTACTGAAATTGGCCAGAAGCCCCTCTTAGGTTTTATCCGAAGAAAACCTGTCTTTGGCTGCCAGGACGTGTTTCATGTTTCTTTTCTCTTTCTTTAACTCTTACAAATAGTAGAAGACTAAATATGAGCTGTCCCAATATACTTAAGAAAGTATATTGGACAAGAGTCTGGCCTTTCTGGTGTCTCTTGGTGTGTTTCTGAGATAGGGAGGTAAACTGAGTTAATGTCCATTTTGTATAGACTAGAAGAGGTATATCCATTCTAATCATCATATCTTGCATCAGCTTAACATTTTTTTTTTTTTTTTTTTTGAGACGGAGTCTCGCTCTGTCGCCCAGGCTGGAGTGCAGTGGCGGGATCTCGGCTCACTGCAAGCTCCGCCTCCCGGGTTCACGCCATTCTCCTGCCTCAGCCTCCCAAGTAGCTGGGACTACAGGCGCCCCCCACTACGCCCGGCTAATTTTTTGTATTTTTAGTAGAGACGGGGTTTCACCGTTTTAGCCGGGATGGTCTCGATCTCCTGACCTCGTGATCCGCCCGCCTCAGCCTCCCAAAGTGCTGGGATTACAGGCGTGAGCCACCGCGCCTGGCCATCAGCTTAACATTTTTACAGGTACATTAGTTTAATTAGTTTAAGGGAAAGTAACCACACATACCTTATTATATTTCAGATTTATCTTAACACCAAGTCAGGACCTGAGAAGGTAGAAGAAAGGAACCCCAGTGGCTTCCCCATTTTTCCCTTCCTCCCTCCCATCCTACCTCCTTCACTTCCTTAGTTACTTCATCTAACTAATGTTTATTGAAACACTTCTCTGGACCAGGTATTGCAATCAATACTGTGGAAAACAGTATTGTACCAGTTAGATAATGTCCCTGCATTTAGAGAACTTTAATTTGCTCTGGTGGGGAATCAAACATATGAGCAAATTATAACATAGTGTAGTAAAGACAAAAGAACAGGGTGCTAAAGGAAGCACATGATGTGGTATCTAACTCAATTAATCTAACTCAAGAAAATTTTCTCATGGGAAGTGACATATAGGCTGATACCTAATGAATAGGTAGGAGTTAGCCATGTAAAACAGAGGTCAAAATATCGGTCATTGGCAGAGGATATAACATTTGAGAAGGTTCGTAAGTCTGAAAGAGCAAGGGTCAGGCAGGCAATTAAAACAAGCCCAGTGTACCTGGAACGTACAGCAGAGACAGAGAAAATGACAATAGCGAGATGAGGAGGGGAAAAGTGTGTTGAGAGAGAAGGTGGAAGGATGATCAGAAACCAGCTCAAGGTTATGCTTAGTAAGTTGAATTTTACCCAATTAGCATTAAGGAGCCATTGAAGAGGAATGAGCAAGAAAAAGTCATGATAACATCTTTAAAGAAACATCACTAGGACACTCCTACACTCCTGCATAAGACCAGTGATTAGCTCTCTGAAGAAGTTAAATGAATGTGACTCTTTACTGAGGTTTGGGATTTCAATACAAATAGGAGAATTAAATAAAGGTCGATGATATAAACAGTAAGATCCATATCCTCAATCTCTTTCCTCCACTTGCCTCCCAAAATCATCACAGTGGGGTTTACCCCCATGGTCCCAACCTCCTAGCAGAAAATTCATAGATTTCTTTCTGGAAAGTATCTGCACAAGAGAAAAGCACTATCAATAATAATTTTTAGGGATCTAAAGGGAAACAGCTGAGTCCTTCTTGTGTCACACTACAGTGAGGTCTGCTATGAGATAAACCCCATACCTACAAACAACCTTGCAATTAGATTTTTAGTTCCTCCTTCTTAAAAATGAAGACATAACCAACTATCAGCAGATGGATTTGAGGAGAGCCAGAGTACAAAACAGACAGAAAAAGAAATAAAAAACTTTTGGAAGAAAGAGAAAGTATGTAAAAGTAGAACACTTTCTTTAAGGAAGTATATTTTTAGAGAAATAAATGAAAATTCATCTAAAAAACAACGATAGACAAATCAACAAAAGAAAGACATTCATGTTACCCAAAAGAGCTTTTAAGCTTACCAAACTTATTATAGAGGTCTAAAAAAGTCTCAATAAAAAGTTTGGAAGATAAAATGAGAAAATGTTTCAGAAAGTAGAATAACAAGAAGAAAAAAATGCAGAGATGAAGAATAGAATAGAAATATTAAAAAAAGCAAAGGGCTAACTTTGAAGGTCCAGCTTGTAAAAGTATATGCTTTAGGACAGAGAAAATGGAAGAAAATTATCACATAAGTAATTCAAGAAGATTTTCTAAAACTGAGGGATATGAAGTTTCCAGATTGAAAGGGCCCCTGAGTGCCAACAAAGTTGATCAAACAAAACCTATTAAAATGTAAATTAATGTGAAATTTCCGAACACTAGGGGCAGAGAGGATTCCAAAACCTTTCCTAGGGAGAAAAGAGGTCATATGCATAAGATCTGGAATTAGAATGGCTTTCAACTTCTCAACGGCAAAAATAAAAGCTGGAAGACAAAGGAAAAATGTCCTTAACATTCTATGATGCCCAAAATGTAATTTTATACACAGACAAAATAGAAATCAAATGTGAGGCTGGAATACAGCATCTGAGGTAGGGAAGATCTCAGAAGTTTTATTTCCTATGCATCTTTTTTTTTTTTTTTTTTCAGGCAATGAGTGGAATAAGCAAGCAGGTGTCTTAATTCATTTGTGTTGCTATAAATAAATACCCGGCTGAGTAATTTGTATAGAAAAGAGGTTTATTTTGCTCACTATCTCACAGGCTGTACAAGAAGCATGGCACAAGAATCTGCTTCTGAAGAGGGCTTCAGGAAGCTTCCACTCATGGTGGAAAAGGAAGGAGAGCAGGTATCACAGCGCAAGAAAGAAGAAAGTAAGAGGTAGAGGAGGGAGGTTCCTGGCTCTATTTAACTATCAGTTCTCGTGTGGACTAATAGAGCAAATACTCATTACTTTGAGGACAGCACCAAAACATTCATGAAGGATCTGTCCCCATGACCAAAAAACTTTGCACCAGACACACCTCCAACACCAGGGATCACATTTTAACATGAGATTTGGAGAGGACAAATATCTAAACAGTATCACCATGCAAGGTAACACTCACAAGTTTTAGAGATTAGGACCTGGAAATCTTTTGGGCCATTATTCGGCCTACCACAGCCATGCTGACCTTCTGGACTCTGGTGGGAAAGGGAGCTATTGGTACATGAGCATGGATGAGTACCCCTGTGGCTAATGATGAAAGTAGAGAGACTCACTGCCTGAGGGCCAGAGAAGACCTTGAGAGTGACAGTGATCATACCTGTCGCCCTGAATGCCCCATCTGGACATGTTCACACTTTTGAGAAGGGAAGAGGACAGGGCCCAGTAATATCTGGTTACAGTATGGGTTCCTGTCTACCCCAGGACAGCATCCTTATTTTCCTCAAGCTATCAAAAAATATATATATGTATATGTCCTGGTTTCCTTCAGGGAGTGAATGCTTCTCAGAGCCACCTACTTGTTCCTTCCAGGGATATCTCACCTCCATCCTTAGCCTCTGGCACGCTGGTTTCTGCTGTTCAGTTTTTCACACAAAGAAGTTTTCTTTTTTGTTGTTGTTGAAATGGAGTTTCGTTCCTGTTGTCCATCCAGGCTGGAGTGCAGTGGCGCAATCTCGGTTCACTACAACCTCTGCCTCCCGGGTTCAAGCGATTCTCCCGCCTCAGCCTCCTGAGTAGCTGGGGTTACAGGCGAGCACCACCACACCTGGCTAATTTTTTTATATTTTTAGTAGAGATGGGGTTTCACTGTGTTGACTAGGCTGGTTTTGAACACCTGACCTCAAGTGATCCACCCGCCTTGGCCTCCCAAAGTGCTAGAATTACACATGTGAGCCAACGCACCCGGCCGGTTTTCTGAATACCAAGAATGTTTTAATATTTGGGTCAGCTGGTTGCACAAAAACTCTGTTGTGTGTCCATGTCAGCTGTGAAAAACTGTATCTTCTCCTGTCCCCTATCACTCTAATTCTTTTCTGTATTCTTGATTTCATATCCCCACACAATACATCTTTAAATTTTTATCCTGATGTCCCATGTTCTCCCCGTTTCCTCTCCAAAATAGTTCACTGGTTTATCAGCATCCTGTGGGGGGTGTTTTCTGTCTTTGTTTTTGAGTATGGAGGAGCTCCTGACACTTGCTACCCTGAGGCTTTGCATCCGGGGATTCACACAATTTGCCCCTTCAAGTTTTTCCTGCCCTGTAGGCAAGCATGAACATGAAAATATATGCACGAAAATATATACATTCAGCATTTATTAAACAAATGTTTATTAAATATCACCATCAGCCTGGCATTTTACCAGTCCTAAGGGAACAGAGATGGACGAGGCATGAAGGAGTTGCTAATCCAAAAATAAAATAGCTAGCATTTATTGAGCATTTACTAGGTGATAGGTAATGTGCACTTTCTAAATGTATTTTATTTAATCCTCACAATTACTCCTGGAAGTAGATATTTTTATCCCTATTTATATATGAGAAAGGAAAGTGCAAAAAGTATGAATAAATTGCCGAGTTCACATACCTTGAAGGGTGGGATCTTTGGGGCTACAGTCTATGCAAATCTGATTTAGAGCCCTTGAAACAAATCAGAGTTCAAATCTGCACTCAGAATGCATGAGAGTCAGGGTGTGTTTTTCCTGCTCTTATTGCATATTCCATGTTCCATTGCTTCCCTGGAAATGTAAGGGAGTTCTTAGAAAGTAGGACATAGAGAAACCGTTACTCTCACATGCATTGCTTTAAAGTGTCAAAATTGCTGCATTTCTTTTGGAAAGCAGTCTGGCAGTGTATAACTAGATACTTTTTAAAACTTTAAACCGAATTATAGCCCTTCTGGGAATCTACTCTGAAGAAAGAACCAAAGTCATAGAAAAAGCTTTAGGCTTGAGGATGATCTTTGCAATGTTATAAAGAGAGGTAGAAAATGTACTTACTCTGTGTTGAGATATGCAAACGAAATGTAACTTCCCTTTTCTTTTTTCCTGTAACTTACCTAATCTTCCCCTTGAGTGCTTATCCTGCCATTCCTCACCCTCTCTCTGCCTTGTGGGGAAAGGAGAAATCTAAGTGTGTTCTCATCTGGTTAGGTTAGCTCAGTCTCTTGGGATAATTCTCAGTTTTTCATATTCTTGCCCCTCTCTGTGGTCCTCACCAAAGTGGTATCTGGGTGTGTAGGGCAGGGTATGAATGTCCCCTCATGGCCATCAGATGACCTCAGAAGCACATGAACAGGTCTTTGCTCTATCCTCTGCCTTCCTGGCCACTGTGGTAATGACCCTTTTCCCTGAACATTCATCCGATGCTGAAGTTTGGGGATGATGAATCCATGGGGGCTCTTTTGGCACAGCCAGGGCCTGGTGGCTGACTCAGTCCCAGTTCCACCTCAGTGCAGGCTGGAGCATCTGAGTCTGAGGTCTGGTGGCGACCCTCACCCCTCATTCATCCTTGGTGTGGGTAGCTTGTTCTGCAGCCCTTAGCTTCAGGTTCACTCAGTCTTGTCTGAGAGTCAGCCTCTAGGAGCTGACTACTCAGTCACAACCTTTCCTCAGCTGGGCATGCAGGAACATCTGCCCTTTACTGTACACATGGAAGTGCTAACCTAGACTGTCTCTCTCCCTGATGTCCCAGCAATCCTGGGTTGTGACCCTGTGACCAGTGAAGCATCATTCGGAGTCCTGATGGGAAGCCAGGCTAGAGTCCCTCCTGCTTTCCAGCTTTTTCTTCTAAAATGACCCCATTTAGTGAGGTGAGATTATAGATGATATTTTTTCTTGCCAGTTTTTATATGTTGTTAGGTATGATCATAATGCTTTTTATAAATCATAAGAAGAGGATGCTTTTTAAACTATGGTCTATGGAAGAAGCTGGTTTGCACCCTAATTAAAGGGGGGCTCTAATACTGTGTTTGAGTACAAGCAGTCAAGCAGCATAGGACTGACTCTTAAAACATGTAGATGAGGCCACGCTGGGCAGGACAATCATTGTAGGTGGGTAATGGAGACAGGCCCCAGTGTCACACTGTGGTCTTCTCCTCCACACTACCTCCATCCCTCCTTTTCCATACTTGGAGACAGACTCACTGTCCCTGCAGTCAAATTAGAAAGTGAAGGAAATGTATGAATGTGAAGCCCTCAGGGTTCGCCACCTAATGGACTCTGCTGCCTTGGCCTGGAGAACTTGCTTTGTAGAGAGCAGACTCTTCAACATTTTCAGAAAGGGAGTCATTTGATTGAGAAAGGATGCAGGGCACAGTGACATTTGGCAAGGGAAAGGCTAATTTAGGATTTGGTTGGCAAGGTGAGCAGTTTCTTCTGAAGAGGAGTTCTCAGGAAGACCTTGGCCCCACATTCAGCCCCTCCTGGGTCTGCTGTATAACGGGATTAGGTAGATATTTATATTTACCTCCTCATCTCTTATTTAATAGGTGCCTCATTTAAGTCCTCCAATGCTTGTTCACAGTTTTCGTCATTTCTTGAATTTAATTCAATGACAGCATTGCAAAACCTTTCAGCAAGAAACTGCTATAATATGTTTTGCAGACATCAGAAATACCCCGAGGAGAAAGTTAATAGGAGAGAACATAATAAGCCTTTTTACGAAGAATAAAATGTGGGATATATTTTATCTTAACAGTTTTCAACAAAGCCCCTGGAGGTTGTTTTTATGTGGGTAGAAGTTTTTCATTAAAGTAGGAGTCTTTTTTTTTTAATTTGAAACTTTTTTTGTCTTAAATATTTCTGTCCCCAAGGGAAATCTCAGGACAAGCCCCCTCATCTCCGGAGGTCTCCGAATTATTGGTTAATATTGGTTGTAGAAACATCAGAACAAGCATTACACAAGGCTTCTTTTTCTTTTCCATAAGTATTTTCTTTTAGGGAACAGGTTCTTTTAGGTAAATTTGTCTTCTTAATAAGACAAAGAAAGGGGCAAAAATCATGTTAAGTGATCTTCGGCATTCCTTTCTATCGTCACAGGTAAAACAAATCAGAATCTGATTCATGGGGTGGTGTGTGTGTTTGTGTGTGTGTGTGTGTGTGTGTGTGTGTGTGTGTGTGTTAGATATGTTCACCGGCATAAATCAGATCACGGTGGAAGCTCAGCATAATTGTCAACACTAAGGTGCACTTATTGGGAGGGTGGGGTCACTGTTTTCACAAAGTCCTTAAGCCCCACTTTACAGTCAAAGCAGCATCCATAAATTCTCTCACCATTTCTCTTATAGTATCTTTAATTCTTTCACTTTTGATTCAAATGGCACACAATTCAAGTTTACTTATTAATTTTTGGTCTTAAAAATTATCCTCAGTTGATGCCATCAAGTAAAAATTCTTGAATTTGAGAACTTAAACATGTCTGGTATGTAAAATCCAGCAGCGAGGCTGCTTATTCCTTACAGTCCCTTGATTATAATTGTAATTAGTTTGGAGACAGAGGGCTCTGGGGTCAAATCTCTCATTAACTGGGATTTTTAGGTTTTTCTTTTTTTACAGGTTGGTTTTGAGCATTTCTTAATATCATGTTTTAAGAAAAGTGGAAGAAAATTTTGAGAGAAAAAGTGCTGAGCCAATTTCAAACAGCAAGAATGATCTGTATCAATTAGGCAATGAGCTTGAATTTGCATTCCATGCAGTGCACACTAACCTCTTGCATATATGGTATTTTGTATTTGGGGTAGATATGAGTTGACTGGCTTATAAAGTTCCAAGCAGCTTTATTACAAATAAGAATTAAAATATCAATTGATACTTGGTATGATTTGACTTTGTGTCCCCACCCAAATCTTACCTTGAATTGTAATCCCCAGGTGTTGAGGGAAGAACCTGGTGGCATATGATTGAATCATGGGGGCAGTTTCCTCCATGCTGTTCTGGTGATAGTGAGTGAGTTCTCATGAGATCTGATGGTTTTATAAGCACTTGGCAAGTTCTTCCTTCACTCACCTTGCTCTCCTGACTCCTTGTGAAGAAGATGCCTGCTTCCCCTCCCCCTTCTGCCAATATTGTAATTTTCCTGAGATTTCTCCAGCCATGCAGAATCGTGAGTCAATTAAACCTCTTTCCTTTATAAATTACCCAGTCTTGGGTATTTCCTTATAGCAGTGTGAGAGTGGACTAATACAACACTCAAGACAAGAAATAAGTATTTGAGATGAGGGATATTTTAGTTAATTTAATCAATCCATACATACATCATAACATCACTTTGCACCCTGTAAATATATACAATGATAATCTGTCAATTTATAATAAAATACAAAAAGTTCCAAGTCAATTACATTCTCTACTATATAATCATAGATACAAAAAGCAATGCCTACCTCAACCTGAAGTCAAAAGAAAAATTTACTAAGATTACACCACAGAGCACCCTACCACTTTATCACATGTCATGCAGTTGAAAGTGGATTCTTCTCCTACTGGCTCCTGTGTTAAGACTGTGTGTGTATGAGTGCCTGTGAGCTTGGTATTAACTAACTGGTCTGACTGTCCGTCTTGTGGTTTGAACACCGAGAAGTATTACAAATGCTAGAAGAGGTAGTCTCTCTATTTGCTTATAAATGCTTAGGTAATACAGAGCCCTGCCCTAATGATGGGGCAATGTCTTGATATTTTGGTCTTTAGCTCCACATAGAGGGGAAGAGTTCACAACGACCCATAGCAAAGCTATTTTATTTCATTTTTAAATTGAATTTATTTTAATTAATTTATTTTTATTTCAATAGCTTTAAGGGTACAAGTGGTTTTTGGTTACATGGATGAATTGCACAGTGCTGGAGTCTCGGCTTTTAGTGTAATCTGTCACCCGAATAGTATATATTGTAACCGATAGGTAGTTTTTCATCCCTCAGCCCCTTTTCCCCCTTCTGAGTCTCCAGTGTTTATTATGCAATGCTGTTTGCCCCTGTATAGCCATAGCTTAGCTTCCTCTTACAAGTGAGAACACACGGTATTTGGTTTTCCATTCCTGAGTTACTTAACTTAGGATAATAGCCTCCAGTTCCATCTAAGTTGCTGTAAAAGATATTATTTCATTATTTCTTAGTGGCTGAGTAGAATGAGCAAAAAAAAATTTTGACTAAGACCCCAAAAGCATAGCAAAAGAAATAACCAGCAGAGTGTACAGACAATTTACAGAATGGGAACAAGTATTCACAAACTTTGCATCTGACAAAGGACTAATATTAAGAACCTACAAGGAATTCAGACAAATCAGCAAAAAATAAAAAACCCAAATAATCCCATTAAAAATGGGCAAACAATATGAATAGCTATGCTGAAGTGTGACAGGAGCCCCCTAAAGGGCCATCTTTAGTTCTTGTGTAGCCACTATAAGAACTTCACTCCAATGCATTGTTTCCCACCAAAAATGAAGAGAATGGAGCTCCAGGGATGTCCCTTGAGAAGCCACATGAGAATCTGGAAGCAAGGGCTAGGAAGAACGGTTCTGGCTGGTGTGACAATACCACTCCCAGGGAAGCAGCTGGGAAAATCACAGAGACGCCAGTTTAGCCACAGGGCTATACCTCAGGGAGTGACTCCATGTAATGGCCAAGAACCATTATGTGCCACCCTGATCACCAAAGTAAAAAGAACAAAAAAACAAAAAGCTATCCAAAAACTTCTGTCTCCTCTCATTAAACTTGAGCCATGGCTATATTGAAGTATTTTGGCAGGAAGATGGGTAGCCAAGAAGGAAACAGGAGAAAATACATACTTAAATCACTATGGATGTTTTTTTAATTTTTGTGGGTACATAGTAGGTGTATATATTCATGGGGTACATGAGATGTTTTGATAACAGGCAAGCAATATGGCATAATCTCATTATGGATTTTGAGCTGTGAGTAGTAGAATCCCAAAATTCATATCTAATTTGGTTTAAAAATGCTGGAGGATTCCAATCAGTATACACACATGCACACCCACACAGACACACACGCATATACACACACAGACACACACACATAAACACACATATATCCAAAGTATAATCTATTTTTGTTTTTGATTTAATTTATAGAGATTTTCTGCCTGGAATCAATTTTGCAAGTTCAGATTTAGCTTAGAATAAAAAAAACACATCCATCAGTTTAGGAGATGAAGGAGTGATAGAAAAATATTTTCTGAAGAAGCATTTTCATAAAGTTAGAAATTACTTTTAGAATTCTATTAAAGTTGGGCTTGGAGAATTCATCTCTCACCATATGGCCTTGTGTCATAAAGCAGATCAGTGGCTGGGGTGCCTGTTGTGAGTGTGAGTATGTTCAGGAGTGATTGAAGCCAAATCTGTAGCTGAGCTGTGTCAGTAAATGACTTGAAAACTGAATGTGATACTTGAGTAGATTTTTTTCTAGTTTAAAATTTAGTCTGTCTTTTTTACCTTCGTAATATTTTATTCAACAAATTGCTAAGCTCTGATCGTACTTGGAGATGTGACTACCCATCAGTTTAAAGAAAGTCTCAAGGAAAGAATGGGGGTTACTTTAAAAATTAAAAATTTCATCTTAGGCGGTTGGATAGGTCAGATGGACTTACAGAGGTTTAAACTGCCCTGTGATCATACCTCCCCCTCAAAATGGGAAACAATTTTTATTTCTTATTCCATTTGCACTCTCTGTTCTTTGCCCACCTCCAAAAGCAGAATAACCAACCACCTATTGAATTGTTTGTTTGTAACTGCTTTGACCCATTTAGTCAAATCATAGAACTGTTCTAAGTTTCAGAATTGAACGTTGAAGTATTGACTTTTCTGTTCACATATTTAGAATTTTAGGTCCCAAAATGATAGGGCAGACTTACCCTGTAGTAATTTATTTGTGTTAGTGTTAAAGATGAAACATTGTAACTGACTTTTTTTTTTTTTTTTTGAGATGGAATCTCACTCTGACATCCAGGCTGGGGTGCAGTGGTGCATTCTTGGCTCACTGCAACCTCTGCCTGCTGGGTTCAAGACATTCTCCTGCCTCAGCCTCCCGAGTAGCTTGGACTATAGGCACCTGCCATCACGCCTGGCTAATATTTGTATTTTTAGTAGAGATGGGGTTTCACCACGTTGGCCAGGCTGGTCTTGAACTCCTGACCTCAAATCATCCACCTGCCTCAGCCTCCCAAAGTGCTGCGATTATGGGCATGAGCCACCGTGCCCAGCCTGTGTAACTGACTCTTAAAGTATTAAAGAAATATTTTAGAAGTAAAAAAGAACTTACACAAAAAGGGCTTAATTTGAGGGAGGCTTATTTCTGTTTACAGTGTATTTATCACCTTCCTTCCATCTCCTTCTCCCAAAAAAAAAAAAATGCAGTTTGAAATTCATGGAAGCAGAGTCAGCAAGTCATAAGATTTTTGAGTTAAGGTAAGAAAGATGGTTGGAGAAAATTAATGCATAATTTCTCAGTGAATAAAGTTGTAGCTCTCATATATTAAATAGGTAAGTTTATACACATATATAGAAAATGGCTAAAATATTTAAAAATCATGTTTTACTAATCTGTTTTAAGTTACACCATGTTCAGAGTTCTATGTAAAGTAGGGTTTTATTTTTCTTTTTAGGATAGTTGGTATAATAATAGTAAGAACTGTCCCATATGTTAGTGAATTACATATGCACATCTTGAAACTAAAATTTGTGGACACTGGAAAGCATCATTGTGACATAGACTAGGCATCTTAGTAATATATAAAAATGAATGTAAATGAAGGTTAAAATTATATTACTGTGAAACTCATCTTTGAACTCCAAGTTAAGCTTTAGAAATATGTATTAGTGGGTAACTGTTAAGAGCGTTGAATATACTACACATTCCTATACAAGCCAGAATTATTTCTTTGTGACTTATTATTCAACTTGGTAATTGCTTTTGATTTGCTGTGTTTTGTAACATGGTAGAATATATTTACTCTATTTGAAACTATTCATTCATATGAACTATTTTTAAAAATTATCTACTAGATGTAACATACAATAAAACTACCTGTTCTGAAACTTGGGGAAAGTTTAGGTCCTTTTATTATTTTATTTTATTTTATTTTATTTTATTTTTTAAATTATACTTTAAGATCTAGGGTACATGTGCACAACATGCAGGTTTGTTACATATGTATACAAGTGCTATGTTGGTTTGCTGCACCCATTAACTCATCATTTACATTAGGTATTTCTCCTAATGCTATCCCTCCCCCATCCCCCCACCCCACGACAGGCCCCGGTGTGTGATGTTCCCCGCCCTGTGTCCAAGTGTTCTCATTGTTCAATTCCTACCTGTGAGTGAGAACATGCGGTGTTTGGTTTTCTGTCCTTGCGACAGTTTGCTCAGAATGATGGTTTTCAGCTTCATCCATGTCGCTACAAAGGACATGAACTCATCTTTTTTTATGGCTGCATAGTATTCCATGGCATATATGTGCCACATCAGGACATAGGCATGGGCAAGGATTTCATGACTAAAACACCAAAAGCAATGGCAACAAAAGCCAAAATTGACAAATGGGATCTAATTAAACTAAAGAGCTTCTGCACAGCAAAATAAACTACCATCAGAGTGAACAGGCAACCTATAGAACGGGAGAAAATTTTATTTTTGCAATCTACCCATCTGACAAAGGGCTAATATCCAGAATCTATAAAGAACTTAAAAAAATTTACAAGAAGAAATCAACCCATCAAAAAGTGGGCAAAGGATGCAAACAGACACTTTTCAAAAGAAGACATTTATGCGGCCAACAGACACATGAAAAATACTCGTGATCACTGGTCATCAGGGAAATGCAAATCAAAACCACAATGAGATACCATCTCACACCAGTTAGAATGGTGATCATTAAAAAGTCAGGAAACAGGTGCTGGAGAGGATGTGGAGAAATAGGAACACTTTTACACTGTTGGTGGGAGTGTAAACTAGTTCAACCATTGTGGAAGACAGTGTGACAATTCCTCAAGGATCTAGAACTAGAAATACCATTTGACCCAGCCATCCCATTACTGGGTATATACCCAAAGGATTATAAATCATGCTACTATAAAGACACATGCACACATATGTTTATTGTGGCACTATTCACAATAACAAAGACTTGGAACCAACCCAAATGTCCATTAATGATAGACTGGATTAAGAAGTTTAGGTCCTTTTTAAAAAAAGTATTAATAATCATTGACTACATTTATGATAAAAGTGCTTGCTTGGTTTACTTAGATAATGCAGTTGGTAGAAATGGTAAATACTTAAAGTATTAACACCTTGTGAATGCATTGGATTTAATAAAATAAACATTTTGTAATAATCACTTGGTAAGAATTATAAACTTAATTTTTGCACTAAACTAAAATGAAACTTTTTTTTTAAACAATGTGTCACAGATGTAGGCTTGCATTATTTGTATGTTTGTGTAGGCTAGTCCATCAATTTCTAAAAATCTAAAGTTTCTAATTAAAACACAAGGAAAGAATCTTCTTTTTGAAGAAAGTAACTGTAGTTTTGCCTTTTTTTTTTTTTTACAATAACCACACAAAAAATAAAATACTTAGAAATATGTTTAACCAAGGAGGTGAAAGATCTCTATAAGGAGAACTACAAAACACTTATGAAAGAAAATGTAGATGATACAAACAAATGAAAAAACATCCCATGATTATGAATTGAAAGAATCAATGTCATTAAAATGACCCTGCTGCCCAAAGCAGTCTATAGATTCAACCCAGTTCCTATCAAATTAACAACATCATTTTCAACAGAATTAGGAAAAAAATCCTAAAGTTTATATTGAAAAAAATGAAGTGCAAATAATCAAAGCACTACTAAGCAAAAAGAACAAATCTGTAGGCATCACATTACCTGGATTCAAATTGTACCACAAGGCTATAATAACTAAAACAGCATAGCACTGGTAGAAAAGTAGACATATAGATTAATGGAACAGAATACAGAACCCAGAAGTAAAGCCACATGACTACAATCAACCAATCTGCAACTAAATTGACAAAAATAAACATCTAGAAAAGGACACTGTATTTAATAAATGGTGCTGGAAAAATTGGCAGACCATATGCAGAAGAGTGAAACTGGATCCCCTGGCTCCCACCGTATACAAAAATTAACTCAAGGTGGATTAAAGACTTAAAGGTAAGACCTGAAACTATACAAATCCTAGGAAAAGCTTTTCTGGACATTGGCATAGGCAAAGAATTTATGGCAAAGACCCCCAAAACAAAATGAGAAATAGACAAAAAAGCTCTGCACAGCAAAATAAATAATCAACAGAGTAAACAGACAACCTAAAGAATGGGAGAAAATATTTGCAAAGTATGCTTCCAACAAAGGACTAATATCCACCATCTACAAGAAACTCAAACAACTCAACAAAAAACAACAAACAGCCCTATTATAGGCCGGGCAAATGACATGAACAGACATTTCTCAGAAGAAGAAATACAAGAAGCCAACAAACCTATGAAAAATGCTCAACATCACTAATCATCAAAGAAATGCAAATTAAAACCATAATGAGGTATCATTTTATACCAGTCAGAATGGCTATTATTAAAAAGTCAAAAGACTGAGCACACTGGCTCACGCCTATAATCCCAGCACTTTGGGAGGCCAAGGTGGGCGGATCACGAGGTCAGGAGATTGAGACCATCCTGGCTAACACGGTGAAACCCCATCTCTACTAGAAATACAAAAAATTAGCTGGGCGTGGTGGCAGGCACCTGTAGTCCCAGCTACTCAGGAGGCTGAGGCAGGAGAATGGCATGAACCCGGGAGGCGGAGCTTGCAGTGAGCCGAGATCACGCCACTGCACTCCAGCCTGGGTGACAGAGTGAGACTCTGTCTCAAAAAAAAAAAAAAAAAAAAAAAAGAAAAATACAAAAAGTCAAAACACAACAAGTGTTGAAATGGATGTGGAGAAAAGGGAACACTTATACACTGTCGGTGACAATGCAAATTAGTTCAACCTCTGTAGAACTCTGTTCAATCTCTGTATAGAGATTTCTCAAAGAGCTAAAAATAGAACTACCATTCAATCCAGCAATTCCACTACTAGGTGTATACCCAAAGAAAAATAAATCATTATATAAACAAGACATTTGCACTTGCATATTTATTGCAGCACAATTCACAAGAGCAAAATCATGGGACCAACCTAAGTGTCCATCAATGATTGATTGAATAAAGAAAATACTATGCAGCCACAAGAAAGATATTCTTTGCAGCAACATTGATGGAACTGGAGGCCATTACACTAAGCGAAAAAACACAGAAACAGAAAACCAAATACTGCATATTCTTGCTTATAAGTGGGAGCTAAACAATAGGTACACATGGCCATAAAGATGAAAATAATAGACACTGGAGACTTCAAAAGGGGGTATAGGGGCTCCAAAAAATGACCTACTACTAGATACAGTCTTCACTATTTGGGTGGTGGATAAACTAGAATCCCAATCCTGATCATTACACTGTATACTCATGTAACAAACATGCACATGTACCCCAGAGTCTAAAATAAAATAAAATAAATTAAAAAAATATATCCATATTAAAAAGGAGATGACAGAGCCAAAATAAAAGAATTATGGGCTGACAGGACAACTGGATTAAATTAAACTTCAGTTTCATTAAAAAGGGCTAACTTGAAGATAAATCTTTTGACTCCAGCTCTTTAGAGGATCTAAACTGGCCTTGATGGACAGTGGAAGAAATCACAACATGGAATTCCTTGAATAATAATTTATTGACTTTAAATAATTTTGTCTAATGTTACATATACACAATTAAAAAAACCTCTTTGCACTGTTAAAATATATTAAAAATTTAAAAATTTTAAAAATAAAATAAAAATAAAAAAAGAGGCATCAAGCCATGGGACCACAGGGACCAAGAGGTAAGCTATAAAAAGTCCACTTCTACACTGAAGCATCCCCTACAGGATCCTGTTCAGAGACGCAGAAGGAGACAATGCTGCTGATCAGTGCTTTTTGTCATTTTATGCTCTCTGCTACCTGCCCAAGTTCTAGTCCAACCTGCTTTGTCACCCACTGCCTTCCTATGGTACGGCCTTCTCTAGTTTTCACTGTTCTCCGTGGTCAAATGGACATATCTCTAATCACACATATTCATTGTGTGGAATGTGTGCAGTGGTGGAAATGATATGAAAGGGCTATGAACACTGTAGTAGGGAAAGGAGGCTGGGGCACTGATTTTTTCCCATTTTCCCAATTCCTGCTTCAGAACCACTCTCCTAGGCCCCAGCTCCCTAACTCTATCTTAGCCCTTTGATCCACCTTTGCTTACAGTGGGGCAAAACTACATGGTATTCCAAGAACAGGGACTAATATTACAGCTCCCTTCCTTCTGTCTTCTATTTTCCATGATCACCCTTAAACCTGGAAACTGGGACCATTTCCCTGATTGGTAGGGCCTCCTCACTAGACCAAAAGGGAGAGGAATATATGTTTCGCAGTGGGCATTCAGTCAGGGAATATTCCGAGGACTGGATGTGAGATACAAGTTGGAGTTGGTCTGAGCATATCCCAGTTACTCGTTGTGACTCATTTGAACAAGTAAGTACAGCTCTCATTTGAAAAAATGACAAGAAAGCTACCTTGAATTTATCCCTCTCAACCCCAGCCTTCACCTTTTTCTGCTTCTTTATGCTCTTGTCCTCCAGCCCTCTTTTCTCCAGTTTTTCCTCAGTTTTCAGACCTGTATCCTATTCTCCTGTTTCATCCAACTTTTTTGGTTTCCTGCTCTATCTGTTACCCTGTCTGACTGACATCATCCCTGCCCACTATGCTACCTTAAGGATCCCTCTACCCAGCTCTTCTTCTATTAGTTTGAAACCATGCATTTGCCACTGCCACGTGCATCAGTGTCCCAGTTTCCATTATGCCTTTCTCCCTCTACTGCTCCTCCTAGCCCTTGTTTCTAGACCCCTGTACTCTAGTCCCCACTCCTATTCCAGCCACTTGCAACCAGACTGTGATTCACAAATCTCATCCTGGAGAGTTGGTTTCCTTCCTCTTGGGATGGTTCTTGGGTAGTTCAGAATTACCAGGACTGTGGATTCCCAGCAGCCTGACCTTGTGTACATAGGGAATGCAAGACGATGGCACGCCAGTATTCAGCCTCATCTGTTCCTTTCACCTCCTGCCTGATCAGCCAGCCTGCATGAGACTCTACATTTGTAAATGGTTTCTCCATGGAACTTGGTCTGTAATCACAGGGCAATCTGCAGGACCAGTGACATAGAAGGTAGAGGAGAATAAGGAGTGAAAAGCATCTAACCTATTCTCGAGGAGGGAAATGATTGGCTAAAATGAGTTCCAGTCATATGTTCATTACCTCCTGAGTCTGCCCCTTGACAATGAGCCCTTTCCTGGTGGTATCCAGAGGTGGTTCTAGTAACCAGGCTAGGTTCTGAGAAGTGAGGGCAGGGCCGTACTACAGGGGCACTGTTGCCTGGAAGACAGCATGTGACTCTGTCGCCTGAAGACAGCAGAAGGCTGGGGACCAGGACATCAGAGACGGGGCTGAGAGACCACCAGAATGGACTAAGCAGCACCAAGGCCATGGCAGGACACCCAAGGAAGAAGGTGATCACAGATGAGGTCCACCAGAACCAAATTTTGTGGCAACTGTTCTCAAAGGACTATAAACCCAGAAGGTCTACATAGAGTTTCATGTGAATCCCCTTCACAGGGCTTACACGATCATTAGGAAGCCCATATCTTGGCATGATATAACCTGGAGGAATCTGCAGATGCCACGTTTCTGAATGTCATTTGCCATGCTGCCAGAGACCAAGGAAGAAATACCCAGAGACACAAACTGAAAATCAGTAAACTGAGTGGACTCAGAGCCCTTGCAGCCTGGCCTTCTCATCTGTTCACACAACTCCAGTCTAGGGCATGTGGCTCTGAAGCAGGAAGTCTGGGTTTTATTGGTGAGGAGAAGAGTGAATAGGCTAATCATTCACAACAGCTTCTCTGCAGATATGGGAGATGGCCTTGAAGAGAGGAGACTGGGAGAAAGAAGCTTTCAGCAGAGTCCTCCACCTCTTACTTTCACGAGAAAGGACTGAGTCCAAAGGGGAGGGAGTAAAGACTTGGCTCATGGGTGCAAGGCATGCATGTGGAAATGTTGCACCTTTGAACCTCCAGGACATCTTGTGACAGACAGGCTTAACATAACAGGAAGGACAAGTGTGGCTGGCCAAGCCAGGCCTGCCCTGCTTGGACCCTCCTAGGCTTTGCAGAGAATAGATTGCGTATGCCTCCAGATAAGTGATCCCTCTGGAATTCCAGAGGGTTAACCCAGAGTGCCATGGTCACAGGCTGAACCACCCCCAGGTCTACAATATCACCACCCTGTACAAGGCTAAAATGTGGAGCCTGGGGGAAGATGATGGCCTCAAGTAGCATCCCAGCAGTGGAGTGGGCCTCTGGATTTAATGCCCTAAATGTGCACTGTCCAGGAAAATAAATATTACTTAAAAAATAAAATTGTTGATTTGTTACAACACAAATTCTTTACTTATTAAGGTTCAAAATAAATTAGTGCTTTTACTTCTTCCTGAACAATTCAAAGCCCTGAGAACATTTTAGTTCCATTTGTCTTCCTCCAAATTTATAAGTGATTTGTTTTCATGTATTTTAAATTCTCACTATATTTAAAACCCCACAGACTTTATTATAACTATATATACAATCAACATTTATTTAGATAAACACATATAACTTCCCTTTTCTTGACATTTATTCTTTCATACATCTCCATGCTTCTATCTAGGAATATTTTCCTTCTTCCAGAAGAACTCTTTTTATATTGCCTTTAGTACAGGTCCACTGGTAATTAATTGTCTCAGTCTTTAGTTCAGAATGTCTTTAGCCTTTTGGGGTGGATATTTTTGATAACTACAAAATTTCAGTTTGGCACTTACATTTTTCCCACACTTTGAAGATGTTCCTGTACTATTTTCTGGTTTCCATATTTTCTATCAAGAAGTCAGCTATAAATCTTGGTGCTCTTATGAAAGCAATGTGTTTGCTACCTGGCTTCTTGTAAATTTTTGCTGTCATTTTTTTCCCAGTAATTTTACTATAATGGGCTCGGATGTGCTTTTCTTTGTTTTTATCATGCTTAGTGTTCATCGTGATTATTGAATATATGATTTGAGGTCTTTTGTAAGTTTTGGAAAATTCTTAACTCTTAACCTCCAAATATTACTTTATTGCATTCTCTCCTCTCTGAGATTATAATTACGCATATATTAGATTTTCCTTCAGTATCCCATATAGCTGTTTCTCTTTTATCTATATGTTCTCTCTTTTTGTCTCTTTGCATGCATTAATTGGGTATTTTTATATCACAGTCCTCTAATCCTTTCTTCAATTGTGTCTAAACTGCTATTTAAGCCCATAATTTCAGTTATTATATTTTTGGTTCTAGAATTATCATTTGACCTATTTTTTAGTTTTATATTCTATCCATTTTTTCTTGTCTTTTGAGTCTTTAATCATACTATTTGAAAGTCTATGTTTACCATCACATTAATCTGTATCTCTGTGGCTCTGTTTTTTTTTTTTTTTTCCTGTTTCTCTTGGTTTTTAGTCATATGGGTTTATCTTCTAATGTTCCTGGTTATTTGTGATTCAGACAGTCATTATATACAGAAAATTAGAGATAATTTTAGTCTTTTGATGCTATTATATTCCTGCAGAGGGGATTTACATTTGCTTCTGGCAGGCAGCTAGTCTAGGGGCATTCAGGTCACATTAATCCAGTCAGGAATTGAGATGATTTAAAGCTGGGCTTCTGTCCCTGTAGTGATTCCTGTGTTGCACTGTCTATCTCTCTCCCTTCTTGACAAAGGATGAGCCCAAGTTTAGTTCCCAGGTTGCCAGGAATGATGCTTGCACTCAGCCCTAAGCTGTCAGTCCTCTACAGATACTGTCCATAGCTAAAGAGAAGCATTTTGGCCTAGGTCATACCCTCTTCCCAAAGGCAGCCTGCATGCAATGACTGGTTAATGTAGGGGTATAAAGTCTTGGCTTCCTTCTCCCAACTAGGGAAAATGCTAAAGGGCTACTTCAGCTTCAAAGCTTCCTGAGGAATTGGCTGAGTCTTTTCTTGAGACTATCATAGCTCAACTTCTTCCTATGCCCAAATTTGCTTCTTTCCCTTCCCTCATAGGTGATAATCCAAGGAAACTTCTGAATAAATTTCCTGAATGATAATATCTACCAGTAAGCCTTTTACTCTTTTTTTTTTTTTTTTTTTTTTTTTGAGACGGAGTCTCTCTGTCACCCAGGCTGGAGTGCAGTGGCACAATCACTGCAAACTCTGCCCCCAGATTCAAACGCCTGCCTCAGCCTCAGGCGCCCATCACTACGCCTGGCTAATTTTTGTATTTTTAGTAGAGATGGGGTTTCATCATGTTGGACAGGCTGGTCTCGAACTCCTGACCTCATGATTCGCCTGTCTCGGCCTCCGAAAGTGCTGGGATTACAGGCATGAGCTACCATGCCTGGCCCCTTTTGCTGTTTTTGGTTCATCATTTTTTTTCCTTGGGTGTGAGCCTTTGAGTCCAACCGTAATCTTTTGAGGTTTGCTAGGGTTCTTCTTCATTGGCAGACCATGAACTCTACCATTTGTCATCATAGGGTCTTTGGTAAGATTTTCTAGGTTTCTCAATCACACTTTCATAATTGGTAAACGCCTAAGAGGAAAAGTGGCTCCAAATGCAGGGCTTATCTCTTGTCTTCTCGTTTTTCCCAGATATTGGCTCTACAATTTCATATTGCACTTATAGCTCTCTTGGGCTTTCAAAAAATTATTTTTCAAATTTTGTCTCTAGTTGTTTTTACCCAGTCTGCTATTGTCAGAGTGGAACTTCTTACCCTTGTGATTTGAGTTAAAAGTTATTAGAAAAGTTTAAATTTAGAGGCAAATTAATTAAATTCCACAATTGTGTTTATACATCTATATTTGCCAGACATAGAGCTATATTCTTGGGCTAAAATTCATAGTTCATAATTTTAGCCCAAGAATATATTTTCTTACTGTCTTTCTTCCATCAAAGAACTTATAATTTAAAAATAATTTCTTTGATAGATACATCATTAAGGTATTATCATGATTAATAATGATAAAACATTCAGAATAAAGCTCTATTGCCTGACAAGCTGCCTTTGGTGGGAAAGCAGAGAAGAGTTGATGTACTAAGTTGCCTTAGTAAGTAGATTTAGCCCCATAACCATGTCTTTCTGCTGAAAGTTAATAGAAGCTTGAGCTGTGGGGGCATGAGTACAAATGATCAGGGGAAGAGGGTGACACTGTTATGAGGAAGCTTCTTGGACAAGAGCAGAAATAATACATACCTATATCTTGGAATCAACAATAATACTAGTCTGAAATAAGTATTTTCTGCTATTGAGCTTACAAGATTGCTGCATTGTGGAGTACTTGGGCAGGTAGTGTAGAGTGAACAGAAGCAGAAGATGCCAAAACCAAGAAGTATTTTCTAAGAAGGCACTAAAACTCAGCTGTGGACTACAGAGATCAGTGATCTGCTGAGAAATACCAGCTGGATCAGACAAGCAATGATGCCTTGTAACTCAAGTAGAAGAAAAGTGAGAAGGAGAAGGAACTTCACACAGAGCAGCCCCAACTTCATTGTGCTTGAGATGATAAGGCTGAGGTAAACCCTGATTGTCATACATTAAGACTGGAGTAGCACTGGTCAGAATCTAAGCAAAATGTAACTGGTATGGATGGAGGGCAGGACAGGAAAAAGGTTAGGACAAAGTACGAACTTCTTTACAAGGTGTGGCTCAGCCTTCAAAAGTTGGTCTGATACATTGGGGTCTATCAGAGGGTAGAGAGTCGGAGGAGGGAGAGGATCAGGAAAAATGACTAATGGATATTAGCCTTAATAGCTGGGTGATACAATAATCTGTACAACAAACCCCCATGACATAAGTTTACCTATAACAAACCTGCACATATACCCCTGAACTTAAAAGCAAAGTTAAAAAAGTGATGCTTCTGAAAGAATCGGGGTGGTCCATTAGTGTCTAGAGGGTGCTTCTAGAAGTCTGGTTTAGTTGAAGAGAAGGGATATATGTAGTAGGCGAAGTTTAGAACTGGAGAGGAAGATGGTCAATGAAAGGAGATCTGCCCATACTTAGCACAAAGGTGGTAGGATCAGCAGGATTCAGCTTAAGGGAAGAAAGCATAGAGAGTTTTCTTTCCACTTTCCCGTCTCAAAGCCCAGCCATCCCACAAGCCAGACTTGCAGACCCTTGAATGTGTCGTGCTGTTTCATGGCTCTCATAGGACGTTATCTCTGGAGCACTTTCTGCTTTGTTCATTTTTCCAACTTATACCCATTCTGAAGTGTCTAGTTCAAGTAACTTAGAAGGTTTTATTTTCCCCTTTAAGCAGAGTTGAACATTTTCTTCTTAGTATCAACTCTTCCCCTTCCATTTTTCTGTTGATTATCACATGTTGTGATTACTTGTTTACATGAACTGCCAGGTATGAAAGATGCAATTGTATTCACCTTTGTACTTTAGTCCTTCAATAGTATTCAGTAAATTTTTGTAGAACAAATGTCTTGAATTCAGAGCAAAGTCCCAGTGCTAGAGTTCATGTTAGATACCAGATAGCAAGAGTAGAGGAAGGCTGAGGAGAAAGCCACTTTCACAGAATGAGCCAATAAACTGCATAGTGATGGTTCATCCAGGGGAGTTCATGGAGGCCAAGGACTCACCTTCCAGTGATCCTAACACCAGATTTTGTGACTTTGGACAGGAAACACAGCAACTCAGTAGTCATGGTTAGGGCCACCAATTTCCAGGTCTGGGTAGTGAGACTAAATTTCAAGATGGTCTTTATGAGTTGACTTAGAATGGGCTCTGGACCTGGGGAAGAATGAATCTGCAAGTGGAGAGACACCAATGGCAGAAGCAGAGCAAACTAAACTAGACTTGACACCAATTGCAATAGCTTCAGTATTCTCTTTTTGAGGAAGATGAGGGGTGTGTGGATAGTAATGAGAGTCTTTTTCTTGAACTCTTTGTGCTGTGATTCACAAACTATTATGCGCATCAATAGCTCTTCTAGAAAGCATGGTAAAATTGATATTCTCAGACCTTATACTCCAGAGATTCTAATCTAGATCTGAGGCAGGGTCTGAGAATCAGCATTTATTATACTCCCTAAGTAATTATAATGCAGGTGGTCTGGAGACTACACTTTGAGAAACACTGATGAAGGAGTTAATACATCCTGGGGGCATGGCTGTTGCCAGTCTTGGGTCCTCTGGATGGAACAAGAAACAGAAATCTTTCACTCGTTGATAGTGGATCTTCTCACAAAGCCCTGGTTCTTCCTACTGTCTGCAAATTCAAACTGGAAGAGCCGTATCTTATGCTTTTAGAAAGTACTCACCCAACCCTTCTTCGTTTCCATCTCTTTCCAACACAAGAACTAGCACCGTGCAGGGCTCATAGCTGATACAAATAAATTCTTTTTTATCTCAGTTGAATAGCATTGTTTGAAACCAATTGTCTTATCACTGATCTCAAAACATAGACACCACTAGCAGAGCTCAGAATCCCAAAGGGAGAATGAATGGCATGGATTAGAAACACCATAGAAGTTTAGGATTGGTTATATGCTGTAGTTACAGGATTACAGAGAATTATAGCTTTCAGGAGGGTCTCTAAAGAGAATTTAAGTTTTGAGCTGGGTGCGGGAAAATTAGTTTAGGAAAATAATAACATCTTTAAGAGAATTATGGAGGAATCTGTTATCTATGTATCTATTTATCTATCTATCTTTCTATCATCAATCATCTATCTACCTATATCATATATTTATTTACACACATATGGCTGTATGAGACACACACACACACATACATATAGGATGAGACTTGTGTTTGACTAAAGGATGAAAACCTAGTCTCTATTTCTGTTTCAAAGACTTGTGACAGTAGAAATGTCTTGAAAGAGGCCATTTTTATACTCTTAGCAAAGTGACTAATGAATGTGCTTCTTTTCATTCTTAATTTACACATCTCTGATTTTCTTAGGATGACAACTGGCCTGTTAAGGAAGTCAGTGGTAATGGAAGAAGTCAAGACACATCAGAGTTCATTTTTGCTCACTCAGGTTTTTGGTGAGGGCTGACACATTAATTCATCAAACACTTACTGAATTCAGAGGTAGTTCTCACTTCTCAGGGGTAACAGTAGGAGGCAGTTCAGCTCTGTAGGGGGCATTGATTAGGCGAGAGATACTCCCGCAGCTAGTCTTTAGGGCCTTGATGTAACAAGTCTTGGAAAAACAAAAAGATCTGTGGACTCTGTGTATGTACGTGTGGACTCTGTGTATGTATGTGTGTACGCACACATCTTTCTCTGTTTGAGGAACCCCAGATATAAGAGTCAGGCTGCATTTGAAGCTTGGCATGAAAAAGGACTCAGAGTTAGTTCAGAGTGGCTTTCATTTTACTTTACTGCCACATCAACAAATAAATGGTGCAAATGATGTTTGTGCCATATAATTATATCAATAAGTAGATGGACTATTTCAGTGTCTCTTTAGTTTATTCTAGAAGCATGCTTGAAGTGAGGCTATCAATGCACCCTATGTAGAATGAGAATCTGGCACATTAGATGAGCCTGGAGCTATGGGCTGGATGTCTGTTGCATCAGAAGGCTTTGGGAGGTGCCCCATCAGCATTCAAAGGTCTATCTACTACCATTGTCTTCCTCCTTCAGATAATGCTGCTCAGGGCAGGCCTGGCTGTGGTCCTCCACATTTAGTTTTTGAAAGACAGAAGCTTTTTCTCACTTTTTGTTTTCTCATTGGGCCCTGACTGATTCTTACTTGACACAAGTTAGAGCCTCATGAATGAGCATAAATGAATGGTTATATGATATTAACTGTTAGTTTCTAACACTATTCTAGATCTTACTAGCCCGAAGAGTAATTCGAAATTTTACTAGTGAGCTTGTTGAGATTGGAAAATATGCACAAAAGTTACAAATACTTTCAGAAGACTGAGCGTGAGGGAAACTGAAAGTCTGCTCTTAACATCTGTTCCAGGGACACCAAAATGACACATCCATCCATTCATTGTTCATTCAACATACATTTTTAAAAGTCAAGTGTTGTGTTAAGTTCTGAATGTAAATAAGATGAATCACTACTACTGTGGAAGGAAGATAGAAAAATTGGCAGTAAATTACAAGGTATGTGAATGCAGAGATAAAGAAATTCACTTTACTTGGGGAAATCACAAAGACACGACTTTTGAATTGAGACTTAAAGGAAGCAGAACAGTGTTTGATTAAGAAATGAGTATACAGCAATCCATATAGAGGTACCAGCTTGCATTAGAAATGTTGATGATGTAGACTGTGGTGGGGTAATAATATAAGGTTGAACTTGTCTCAGAGGAGAGAGTTGCTGTGAGGCTCATCTTTCTTATTCAGATGATACTTTGTGTTCCAACTCATCCTTGATAATTACGCCTGCAATGACAATCCAAATAACATAAAATTGGAGCCAACACAGCACGACATCGTACAGCATAAGTCACTGGCATCTGTAATTCACCAAGCATCTCCAGCCTAAGAATGAACTGGGAAAGTTTCTTACCTTAGGACGAGGGTAGTAGAAAAATAGAGAGATGGGATTCATACTACTTTTTGATTTTCCTTTATTGCTCCACAATACCCAATTAAATAGTCTCTCCAAGTTTTGTTAGCACCTGGTGTTGAGCATTCCATATGATGGCACCATGCAAGTGGACTGAGGATGATTTACATATAGTAGTCCTTAGTATAGCAAGCTTGGGCAGAAGCCATTTAGAGTTATAAAATCAAATTTGCATATTGGCTGACTCTAGAAGTCAAAATGGAAGTTATGCTGTGTGGAGGAAACGATGGCAGGTAGATCAGTCCCAAAACCATTGTAATAATTCAGCCAGCGATTATGATGATCCTTATTTAGGGAGGTGTTTTGAAGGAAAATCTGTGCGGCTTGGTGATTGATTGGATACAGAGTGTGAGGCGTGGGAAGGGAGCTAAGGATGATTCAATGTGAAAGTTTTGGATGAATGGTTTTATTCAAAGAGTTATAGGCATTGAATAGATTTTTGCGGGACTAGAGTTGCACTTCAGACCTGCTGAGTGTGGGCTATGTGACTCCAGGAAGTTGTGCCTAGAAAGCAGCTAAATTTAGAGATCAGTAAAAGGTTTGGGAGCCATTAGTTGTTGAAATCATGGAAAATTATGTGATTGACTAAGTCTGCTACGCAAAATAAAAGGAAACAAAAATTTAAAAGTCAGATGGAGGAGGATGTTTTAGCAAAGGAGAATGAAAAATGGTGGCCAGAATGGTTGGTAGACAATGGAAATTTGGTAGCAGGGAAACTGTTGGGGTGGGAGAGTAAGGCCATGACACCAATTGGGAACATATTAAATTCTGCTATCTCTGTGACTTTGGTATCATGTACAAATGAAATATCTAGTAAATATTTGGCAATATAAATCTGGAATTAGACATTGGTGAAATAGTGGAACCAGAAACCAGATTATAGCCAATAAGGAGGTGGTAAAATGGAAGCTGAGGATGTGACTAATTCCTTCAAAAGATGTTGCTGTAATGTATATGAGGTTGGGGACAATTTTTTTAAAGATGGGAAATTCTTTGGCATTTATAATTGCTCACAAAAATGATAATAAAAGAGGCAGAATTTGAAATCATAGGAGAGAGTTACTAATAAATAGAATGTCCCTGGGGAGACAGGAATGGAGGAATCCAGAGAATAAGTAGAAGAATGACCCTTAGACAAGAGGAGAAATACTTCATGCTTGGTACCAGGAGAAATGAGCAATAAAGGTTGTGGCTATAAGCACAAATGTAAAGGCAGAAAGTCTTGGGGATTCTATTGCCTCTGAAGTGAGTGGGTATGTGGGGAAAAGCATTTAAATAGCCACTGTGAAGAAAGAGAGTGAAATCTGCCCATGAAAACATGGAAGAGTTGCTAGACAGCTACCAAGGCCCATGTGACTGTGGTATGCATGATGTTAGAGAAAGAATAATCTGCACAGTTGTGATCAGCAACACTGGTGTAGTTATAGTGATGGCTCTGACAGTTGAATTGATGTGCATTTGAGCCTTCGAGCAAGAGGGAATTGAGGTGATGAAACATGGAAACTATCCATTATGGGTTCCTAGGCATAGGAACCCATAGGTCCATATTCTGTTTTCCTCTGTTGGATAGGAAAAACAGTGACTAAAAGGGGGATTGGGGATTGATAGGAAGAAAAGGGACAGGACCCTGGTGAGGGGGAGGGTCCCATCATGGTATACAGCAAGTGAAGCAGGAGTATTTGAATGATACTTGGAATAGGAAATGTGATCATAAACGTTTGAGTATAGTTTCATACATCAAAGAGTTCCGGGTGATGATGATGTCTGGAGTATGACCTTTTTGGTTAGTGACTGATATGGAGTGAAGGTGGAAGTCATTAGAAATAACAAGCCCCATTAGTAATTAAAGGACTAGAGGATAAGTCATCCATTATTATGGCTACATGTGGAGTGGGTAAAAGGGAGAAAATAATTCAGTGAATGAAAGGGCATGAGCAGTGGGTAAAGAAAATAAAGGAGAACTGATACTGGCATTGCTGAGTGGTATGAGCCTCAGAGGAGCAGAAAAAAGGGTGTGGAAGTAGGACTGGATAATGGGAAAGGTGTAGGCTCTATCTTTGGGTCTTGAGGTCTGTGGACCATGGGAGAATGGGCAACCTGCACATAAGAGTGTTTTAGAGGCAATCGTGTCCTTAGGAGATAACCAGGCTTTAGTTAGGCCGGGAAGCACAGGGACTATTAAAAGAGCCTTTAAAAATAGAAGACAGTTTGCTTACTATGGAAGGTTTGTGAGGATGGACAACAGCAGCAGGAGTTGGGCCAGGGCAAAAATACAGAGTAAAATTAGGATGAAAGTGGGGGGTGACTAGAAAACCCAGTTAAACCCTGTGTGTGCACAAAAGATAATAATAGATCACAAAGAAGTGAGAATGGTGCATTAAATTGGCCGCAAGTGGATCATGAGAGGTGCAGCATGGTGTTAATTGTAGGAATAGAGAATTTGGGGTTCTCAAAGTCAGCTTCAGCCAAAATGAATTGCATTTTGGGAGGAATACTTGTCCTTATGGGTGTTCTGTTTAGGACTCAACATGGTCTGAACCACCCATCAGGTTCCTGGGAGAATCTCAAGAAAAGCCTTCTTGCATAGGAGCTTCCAAAGGGTGATTGAAGATGGGCCATTGTATGCTAAGGCTAGGGGTGGAGAAGGCCACAGACCTGGTGGTTGGAAGCCTGCTTTCTGTGTAAGTTCCATTTATAATTACATAATGATGTTAATTGAAATGACAAGTATTAGCAAAATAATTTTTCTACTCCAGAAATAAATGTAATGATGCTTAATACTGTTAATTAAATTTACTTGTTTCAGTATCTGAATAACAAAATAATTGATTTTAAACATTAGTTTCCATCACTCTAAGGCAGATATTTATGACTTTGGTGTAAATCATTGTTAGGAAGACAGAATATTATTTGACCTTTTGCAGTTAATAAAAAGTCAAAGATTTATTTATGAGTTTCTGCAGTGTCGTATTAATTTGTGATGAAGGAAATGTGTGTGGAAGTGAATATTAGGGGAAGATTATGAGGAGAGAAGCAATGGTGATTACTTTTGCAAATGGCACAACATTTTGCAAATTCTAATGTAGTATATAACCTAGTTAACTTTCTTTCACACAATGGGTCAATATGACAGTAGAAAGAGTTCCAAGATGGGACAGCAATCTGAGAAAATGTATGTT
Source organism: Homo sapiens (assembly GCF_000001405.40). Taxonomy (NCBI): domain Eukaryota; kingdom Metazoa; phylum Chordata; class Mammalia; order Primates; family Hominidae; genus Homo; species Homo sapiens. The sequence goes on along the minus strand of NC_000001.11, from coordinate 222,192,291 downwards.
GAGAGCTGTTTAAGAGGTTTTAGTCTATGAACTAATTCCTTGCACCATTATCTTTAAGAATCATGAATTGAACAGTATAAAAGGCATTAATTTTAATGCAAAAATATGAAATCTATAAGATAATTTGTGGTTTAGGAAGGCTTGTTTTGTACCTAGGAGACTGGTTGTATAGGACATGCGGTGGTAAGGAAAAGTTTCCTATAGAATGGGGACTTCAAAGGGGCACAGAGCAAGTCTGATTGTGGAGCAGGTGAAGAGGAGGGCAGGCGATCAGTATCAATAATGAAATCAGAGTGTTTAAGAGCAGCGTGCATGATGTGAGGTGCTCATGTGAGAAAGAACATTGGTGGGATCCAGACTGAAGCAGACAAGTGGTAATTATAGTGACAGAGATCAAGGAGAGGCCTAGAGTGGGGCAAGAAACTGTTACTAAGACAGACTGTAGATAAAAGGCAGAGTTTGGTTGACATCGGAAGGAGGGACAAAAACTCTGAAATGCTGAAAATACCTCACTCTTAGGCTCTAGAGCATAGTGTTTCTCTATGACTAAAACTAGATCAGCAAAACAGAATTCCCCTCTGCTCCCATCATGGGCATGACACAGAGTACCAAGCAACAGTGATGTGTTGCTGAGAAAGAAACAAGAACATTGGCATGGAGAGAGACCTTCTCTGTGAGGCAGGTGTTTAGGGACTGCTGAAAGTGGAGGGTGAAGCACTGACACTGAGAAAAAAAATCTGTGCACCCTACTCCCACCAAGAATGAATCGATCAAAGAGAAAACACCAAGAAGGTAGATTTAAATCCAAACAAATTAACAACACCTTAAACGTAAATGGTAGCTCACCTCTAGAGGAACTTGAAGACTGTGGTCTACTTAAGATAACTTTACCAACAACAAAATCCATACTCAGTTCAACTCTTGACTAGGTTAACTCAACCCCAAACACTAATAGCCTAATATAAGATGATACTTGGCCATTCTTGGAATAAATACGATTTGTTTCAGTTTTACTTTTTTATACACAGTGCCTGATATTAATTAAAAATTATAAAACATATAAAATACCAGAAGAGGCAACCCATTGTCAAGAGACAAAGCAACTGATGGACTAGACTCAGAGATGACACAGATGTCAAACAGAATCTGTGTTGATTAGCTGAGACTGCCATTAAAAAATACCTCAGGCCGGGTGCAGTGGCTCATGCCTATAATCCCAGCACTTTGGGAGGCTGAGGCGGGTGGATCATGAGATCAAGAGATCAAGACCATCCTGGCCAACATGGTGAAACCTCGTCTCTACTAAAAATACAAAACTTAGCTGGGCGTCGTAGCATGTGCCTGTAATCCCAGCTACTTGGGAGGCTGAGGCAGGAGAATTGCTTGAACCTGGGAGGCGGAGGTTGCAGTGAGCCAAGATCATGCCACTGCCCACCAGCCTGGCAACAGAGTGAGACTTCATCCAAAAAAACAAACAAGCAAACAAACAAAAACGCAGACTGGATGGCGTAAACAAAGAAACTTATTTCTCACAGTTCTGGAGTCTGGGAAGTCCAAGATCAAGGTACCAGCAGATTCCGTTCCTGGCAAGAGCTCTCTTCCTGGATTGCAAACACCTGCCTTCTTGCTGTGTCCCATATGGTGAAAGGAGAGAGCATTCTCATAGCTCTTCCTCTTCCTATAAGAGCATCAGCCCTATCAGATTAGAACTCCATCCTTAAGATTCATTTAACCTTAATCGTCTCACAGACTCTATTTTCAAATACAGTGGGGGTTAGGGCTTCAATGTATGAAATTTGGAGGGGACACAAATATTTAGTCTATAAAAGAGACCTTAAAATAACTACAATTAAAATGGTTTTACAACATCTAAATTGACAACATTTTAAACAGATGGAGATTTCAACAGACAGAAGGAAACTAAAATTATCAAATGGACATGCTAGAAATACAAAGATGATATCAAAGGTGATAAATTTCTTTGACTGGCTCATCAATGGAGTTCACACAGCAGAGGGAAGAATCAGTGAACTCGAAGACTGGTCAATAGGCATTATTCAAACTTATAAACACAGAGAATAGAGTGGAGGAAATTAAAAAACCTCCAGAGCATTCAAGAGCCATGTAACAATATCAGATGGTCAAGATATGTACTTAGAATATCCGAAGAAAAAAGAAGAAATATGGGTGAAGAAATAATGAGTGAGGATTTCTCCCAAATAGTGAGATTCATCAAACCAAAAATCTAAGAAACCCAGAGAATACTGGGCAGAATAAATTAAAACAACAAATAAACAAAAAAACCTACTCATTGTAATCACATTGCTAAAAACCAAGATAAATAAACTATATTGAAGGCAACCAGAGAAAGACATATTTTGTTGAGAGGAATCATGAATAATTAAAGCAGAGTTCTTGTTAGGAAATTTCCAAGCTAAAAAGAAAATGGAGGGACATTTTTAAAGTACTAAAACAAACAAACCAACAAACCAACAAAGGCAAAACTATAAATCCAGAGTTCTACTCTCAGTGAAATATTTTTTCAAAAATGAAGATGAAATAAATATTATTAAAATAAATGAGAGCTGAGAAAATTCATTACTAGAAGTCTTATGCTAAAATAACTACTGTTAAAGGAAACTCTTCAGAAAAATGTTATGTAATACCAGAGAAAAGTTTGGGTATATATAAAGAAATGTGAAATCATAAAAATGAAGGTAAACATAAAAGACATTTCATTTCTTATTTGCACTATTTATAAATATAACTAACCTTCTAAAGCAAAAGTAGTAACGCTGTATTGTGGGAATTATAATATATGTAAAGATAAAATGTGCCATAACAATGACATAAAAATTGAGAGGTAAGAGTTAGGAATATATTGTAAGTTTTCTTTACTTTCTTTTTCCTTTCTCCCTTCCCTTCCCTTCCCTTCCCTTCCCTTCCCTTCCCTTCCCTTCCCTTCTTCCCTTCTTCTCTTCTTCCCTTCTTCCCTTCTTTCCTTCTTTTTTTTTTTTTTTTGACAGGGTCTCACTCTGTTGTCTAGGCTGCAGTGCAGTGGCATGATCTTGGCTTACTGCAACCTCTGCCTCCCAGGTTCAAGCAGTTCTCCCATCTCAGCCCCCCTAGTAGCTGGGACTACAGGTGCGTGCCACCACATCCAGCTAATTTTTGTGTTTTTTGGTAGAGACGGGGTTTCATCATGTTGGCCAGGCTGATCTCAAACTCCTGACCTCAAGCGATCTGCCTGCCTTGGCCTCTGGAAGGGTGCTGGGATTATAGGACAGAAGATGAGTATGATATCCAGCTCAGGAATTTGATAGCTGTCTGATCTTGGACAAGTTTGTTAATATCCTCTCTCTATGGGAAAAAGGGATTCCTTCTAAGATTCAGTATGAGAATTAAATGAGAAAATGAGGGCTAAGTGCTTAGCACAGTGCCTGTCCTAACAAATGCTTGCTATTTGCACTCTTCTTCTTCTTTTTTTTTTTTACAAAGAAAATCACCACATGTGTGTCTTGAAGGAACTCAGAGTTTTGTCTTTATATTCATTTTATTCTTTAAGCACCTACTGTCTGCCAGATACTGGATGGTTGAAGTGGAGCATAAAGATGGAAGGTTCCTATCCTAAGATAGAAGGCCAATACACATAGACCAACAGTGAGTAATGTATCAATGGACAATTTAGCCAAACAATTCTGAATCTAAATTCATAGATATGAGCTAAAAGTGAGGTAGAAATTTAGCATGCATGCATATGCACGTGTGCACACGCATGGACATACACATTTAAGGGTGCTTTCTGCTTCTCTTCACCCTACCTCCTCATTCCTGCCTTGAACTAATTGCGTAGTAAATTTCCTGTGTATCTTTACGGATTGGATCTCATGATGAAAATGCTCTTTATGAAAAGTTATTTTGATGATCAAATGCAGGATGGTTTGGAGATATGGTATCAGAAGTCTGGAGACATCCCTCTACTGCCAGTATCCTCCCATGTAAAATAAAGATAGTAACAGGAATGGGGAAATGTGCATTATTAGTAGAAAAACAATTGTCCTCCTGACCCAGCATCAGGGAGCTGTTGTTATAATTGGTTTTACAGCTTGGGGAATGGCTTCGTATTGATCCTTCTGCACACTCTCCCATCCAGCATCCTTGTGAATAGTAATTGGCATTATGTGAAATGACTTCTCCCCAGGCGGGGGAGAAAAGTCGATTACCCTTCAATAAAGCTAAATTAACTGATTCACTTGCTATCTAAACCAAATCTGTGTGCTCATCCTCTTTCTTAAAGAGCAACCATAGGGCACTCAGTTCAAAAACACTGTGAGCACTACTGAGTGCAGAACACAGGGTGGCTGAGTTTTCCTTGGTGGGAGAGACGGCCTTCTGATGCAGAAATTGAAAATGCCAGAGACTCATTTTCCCCAGCTTCTCTTGCTACTGATGCATAAGCATGAAACCTAATCCTGGCCAAAGGGTCCTGAGGGAACATCTGCTGGGGAATTTCTGAGGCCAAGAAGTGTGGGGAGAAGATTCTCTCCCTGCCTTTTGGCTCAGTGATATGAGGATGTGGTGTATGAAGCAGCAGTCATGCAGCCGTCTTGCGGGCATAAAGCAATAAGACTGAGGATGATGCAGCTCTCTATGCTGAAAATGGCAAAGAGAGAAATGGAAACACCTGGATCCTTGTTGACATCATGTGTCACTGACCCTAGGAAATTCATCTCTGTTGAGATCATGTATTAGTCCGTTTTCATGCTGCTGATAAAGACATACCTGAGACTGGATAATTTACAAGGAAAAAGGTTTAATGGACTCACAGTTCCACATGGCTTGGGAGGCCTCACAATCATGGTGAAAAGTGAAAGGCACATCTCACATGGTGGCAGAAAAGAGAAGAGAGAGGTTGTGCAGGGAAACTCCCCTTTATAAAACCATCAGATCTCGTGAGACTTATTTACTATCATGAGAACATCTTGAGAAAGACCCACCTCCATGATTCAATTACCTCCCACCAGGTCCCTCCCACAACACGTGGGAAATGTGGGGGCTACAATTCAAGACAAAATTTGGGTGGGGACACAGCTAGACCATATCAGATCATAACAATGTCCTTAATGTGCCAACGTTTATTACTTGTCTGTTTACTTGCAGCTGAAAACACTCTGAAACAGAATGAAATGTACAAGAGATAGAGCACAGAAGTCTTGAGATAGTTGTAGCTTAGGTGAAGTGTAGTGTAGGTGAAAGGCAAAGCACATGTGATCAGAGCTAAAAAAATAAAAGTTAGAACTAGTGGAGCATGAGTGGAAAATTAGGAGCCTTGTAGTATCATATGCTGGAGAGTAATAGGTATAACGTCAGTGATTAGAAACAGGCATCGTTAGCCAGAGATTATGTGACAGAGGATGTGATTTTATTTTTCCCCTATTCCAGGTACCTAAACTTGATGATTGGTGTTTAAAAGAGTGTCATTTCTGTTTTGGATGTTTTTCATTAAGACCATTATTCTGTTACCAAGGTTGGGAAATGGGGAGCAGAGAGTGCTGGCAGGGGACAAGATTTGCTGTTAACAAGTAAAATATTTTCAGATGTTTCTTGAGTCCAGAAAATATTCCATTGTGTCCCAGAATCATTGCATCCCAAGGATCCATTGCTTTCAGACCTTGTTAAAGTGATGACTTTCTGAAGCAACACTCATAGCCATGGGGTCCCCAACTTCATCCTACCGTAGCTTTAATGGCTTTCCCTCACTAGCATATCTGTAAAATGAATGCACATGGAAATCACTGAGCCCAGGATGACTGAGCTCTTGAATCAAGGAAGGACTAAGTTTTTCTTACCTAATCATACACTCCTGCCTTCTAGAGTTGTGGTTTTCATTAATGGGTCATGAAACCAATTTATTGGAGTGAGACTAGCATTAAGAAAAGACAAATTGAATACAATAGTGTCGATTAAGTAGAATAGAGAATAATATCAGAGAATGCTAAGTATTAAAAATATATACATAGTGTCCCCAGAGACTTAGTTCAGTTTTAGATTATTCTCAAAAATACATTTGTAATTTGTAATTTTTAGTTTTAGTCCCTCTGATTGAATGTGGAAAACATTGACCGAAAAAAGTAATATTTCAAAGTTCATAAAACTAAGTAAGTATATATTACATTTAAATAGATTTCCAAATGATGCTGTTTTAAGTTTATAGCATTTATCCTTCTGAAGTTATTATGGCTTAAAACTGCACTAGGACTCATAGATGGGAATTGAACAATGAGAACACATGGACACAGGAAGGGGAACATCACACACTGGGGCCTGTTGTGGGGTATGGGGAGGGGGGAGGGACAGCATTAGGAGATATACCTAATGTTAAATGACGAGTTAATGGGTGCAGCACACCAACATGGCACATGTATACATATGTAACTAACCTGCACATTGTGCACATGTACCCTAAAACTTAAAGTATAATAAAAAAAAAAGAAAAAAAACTGCACTAGGACATTGGGGACACTACATTGCTTTGTGAGACTTGTTTCGTTTTGTGTGAGTGTATGTTGAGAAAAACATATTTGGAAACAACTGTTCTAGTATATTGGACGTCTCTATTAACTCCAGCATGTGGATCCCGTATGATTTATCAAGATGTCTTAGTTATGTCATCTGTGAGTATGGGCATTAATTAGCATTTGAGCCAGAATCCCTAAAGAAGTTGGATACTGGGTCCAAAGAAAATGAGGCAGAGAATCTAAATATAATTCAAAAGTCTCTGCTTCTCATTTTTGATCTTTTCTCTTCAGAGAAACCTATGTTTCTGGGAGAATATCAAGCTGAGGGGGTCTGCTGAAGGAAGAATATTGGTGTTACCTTCTGGAAAGTGCTAAAACACAGATTGTCCAGTTAGGAAGAGAGGCCCAGTAAAAAAGATGCCATACATATAGACTCTGCATGTAACATTCGCTTCCCCAGGTCTGTCTGTCTACTTCCATTCTTACATCATGACACACATGTGCATGCACACACACAAAAATATTTATTTGCTCCACATGTTGGGTTTTCATGTTTCCCAGAGTCACATTTGCAAATGTGCCAGCAAAGATCTCAGAGAATCTGCCCTCATATAATGAATGAAGCTTTTTCCTAATGCAACGTCCTTCTCCAGTTGGCTGGGAGACAAAATCAAACTCCTTTAATGAGTTCTGTTCTTTCTGGTGAAAGGCTTACTATTAACATCATTTTATCTCTCTATCGATCATCTATTTTTATATGTATCTATGTATCTATCTATCATCTATCTATCTTTCAAAAGATGATTGATGAACAATGGTTCTGAACCAGGTGCACTGCTAAACTCTGGGGTTACAAAGAAACATACAAAATTATTCTCAATCTCTAGGATAAACTCAAGGAGTTTACTGTCTCACGGCTGAGATGGACAATCATTCCACAGTGGCAATGCAGTGTTTCCTTGTAATGATAAAGATGTATTTAGTCAGTATGGGAACACAGGATGGTCAGCCAATTCAAAGAGAAAAACAGAGCATGAAAAAGCTTCCAAGGTTTTAATTAATGACAAGATAAATTAAATACAAGATACCTAGGGAGTGGAGAGTGATGGAATAATAATGGAGGGGGCAAGGATAAATGTGGAGAAGATTCTCCAAGCTGAAAATTATAACACGAGCAAAGGTACAGAGGCATTAGAGAGCATGGCATGGGAACTGCAAGTAATTTTGACACATAGGGCTTATGCAGCAGAGTGGTGGAAGGTGAGGCTGGAGAACTGAATGGTGTGGGTTATGAAATTCTTACAATTGGAGTGGGATGAATGAAAATCTTCCCTCCCTTCCTTCTGCTGAAGGCAAAGTCAAAAGTGAAATTGCTAGTTATCAATTTTGGGAGAATTTAACCCTAGTGCTATTTACAGCCAGTAAGTTGACTTTTGTAACTTAGGTCAGGCTCAGGAGAGTTGCAGGCTCTCAGAATAATAAATCAAGGTTTATTGTTTCATAAGACAAAATGGGTAAGGGGTGGGAAGATTAAAATTAACTCAAATATTTCACCCAAAATCTAAGAAATGACAGATAAAACAAGGAGGCAGGTGGGCTTAGAGTCTTACTAACCGGAAGGATATCCTTTCTTCATATGAGATGGGGTAGCTTATGTTACCCTTAGCAAGGTGAGCTTGCTTCCTAGGTAAATTGTGAGGAACTCAAGGATAGCTTTCACTAGTGGAGATGCCAGATACTCAGGACTCACCATTGTCCATATAATGTGACCAGAGACCACCTTGTGTTCCCTGGAATTGCAGTGTCTGCATAGAAGTGAACCTCTGTTTACAGCTGGCAGAGGTCTCATTCCTTGACTTGGCAAATACACAAACATAAAGAGAGTTTGAGGATTGAAATGTCTGTACCCTGTGGGGAAGAATCAATCTTTCTGAGGATGGGATGTGACCCAGTTTGCATAACATAAGGAAGTAGTCACCGGTCGGGTGCGGTGGCTCACACCTGTAATCCCAGCACTTTGGGAGGCCAAGGTGGGCAGATCATGAGGTCAAGCGATCAATACCATCCTGGCCAACATGGTGAAACCCCGTCTCTACCAAAAATACAAAAATTACCTGGGTGTGGTGGTGTGCGCCTCTAGTCGCAGCTACTTGGGAGGCTGAGGCAGGAGAATTGCTTGAACCCGGGAGGCAGACGTTGCAGTGAGCTGAGATTGCGTTACTGCACTCCAGCCTGGACACAGAAGACTCTGTCTCAAAAAAAAAAAAAAAGTGTTACCAGGGAAAGGGGTGGGATTGTGGGAGAGAGAGGGGATGGCAGAGAGAAAGAGCTTTTGAGGGCTTGAGCCTATAAGGCCTTTTTGGCCTTGTTCTTTTGTGTTACACAAGTGGGTAGTCTCGTAAGATGACATTATAATCTGTTTTTTCATATTCTGTATTACTCTCAGGAGAACTCCATGGCATTTCAATAAAAAGATTTTTTTTTTTTTGTCTATCATGTTTCTGCATGTATGTAGTCTGGGAAAGGCTAACAAAATATTAATAGGAAGTGCTCAGGAAAGAGATAACTAAGACCTGATTAGGTTTTGTGTGGGAGTTCTGATGGAAACCAGGCTAAAAGGATCATTGGCCCCTCACTGCACTCCCTGACTTTGAGTTAGATGTGAATGGCCATGGTTATTGGTTACTGCGTGAACCAGCAATGAAAGATAATAAGATTGGTTTGAAATATGAAACTACACATAAACCTAAGAAGTTCAGGTTTTTTCCTGAAGATAATGTTGTGTTATTGAAGGATTATATGTAGGATGTGAAATGAACATATTTACATTTTAGGAAAGTAAAATGAATTGGCTAAAGTTCAGAAGATGACTCAAATGAAATAAAGACCAAGGACTAGGAAACCTTTTACAAGCTCTTGTGGTAACCTAGTGTATTAGTTCATTCTCACACTGCTCTAAAGAACTTCCTTTATAAAGGAAAGAGGTTAGACTGACTCACAGTTCTGCAGGGCTGGGGATGCCTCAAGAAACTTACAATCATGGCAGAAGGGGAAGCAAACATGTCCTTCTTCACAAGGTGGCAGGAAGGAGAAATGCTGAGCAAAGGAGAAAAGCCTCCTATAAAACCATCAGATCTTGTGAGAACTCACTATCATGAGAACAGCATGGGGGTAACCACCCCATTGATTCAGTTTCCTCCCACCATTTCCCTCCCATGACACATGGGGATTATGGGAACTGCAATTTAAGATAAGATTTGGGTGGGGGCACAGCAAAACCATATCACCTAGACCTGAAGTAATGATGTTCTGCATCAAGGAAGACAGTAATATGGAGAATGCAAAAATATTAAGGAACTTTAGTAACTGATTGGATATGATAAGTTGCAGGAGGGAGTGCTTAGAAAGAGCTTCTTTTTTTCTGGCCTTGTGGGCTGGCTAGGCAGTGGAATATGTATGTAATAGGAATAAACTTATGGGGGTCCATGGGACATTCTGTTTTTTTTTCCTGTGGACATATGTTTTTATTTTTAGGAGTGGTATTACTGGTAACATTATAAGACACTGCCACACTGTTTTCCAAAGTGGCTGTATCATTTTGCATTTCTGTCAGCAATGAATAAGAGTCCTAGTTGCTCCATATCCTTGTCAACTTGTGGCATTATTAGTCTTTTGAATTTTAGCAATTGACATAGGTGTATGGAGGTATTTCATTTTAGTTTTAAATTTGCACTTACCTAATTGCATCAAATAAGTTTTAGAAATTCACTCTATAAATGATAGCTTCTGTGCTATTTAATTTTTAATCCATTATATATGTGTAGATATAAATATATAACTATACATTCATATCCTAAATTCATAGAGTTTCTATGAGAACGTCTTCACATTTTTTATTAAAGGTACATTTTTTTTAAAAGGCTTAATTTTTTTAGAATAGTTTCAGGTTGATAGCAAAATTGAGAAGGTACAGAGATTACTCAGCTATCCCCTCACCCTGCACATGCATTGCCTCCCCCATTAATAACACCCTTCATCAGAGTGCTACATTACAAGTGATAAACTCACATTAACTCATCATTATTACCCAAAGTTCATGGCTTACATGAGGGGTCACTCTTGGCATTATACATTCTATGGGTTTGCACAAATGTATAATAAGATGTATCCAGCATTATAGTATCATAGAGTAGTTTCACTGACCTCTGCATTTTGCCTGTTGATCCTTTCCCCCTTCCTGCTGCTAATTCATGGCAACCATTGATCTTTTTACTGTTTCCAGAGTCTTGCCTTTTCCAGAATAGCGTATAGTCATACAGTATGTACTCTTTCCAGATGGACTTCTTTAACTTAGTCATATGCACTTAAGTTTCCCCCATATCTTTTATGGCTTGACAGCTCATTTCCTTTTAGCACTGAATTGTATTCTATTGCCTGATGTATCAATGTTTATTTATCCATTCACCTACTGATGGACATCTTGGTTGCTTTCAAGTTCTGGTAATTATGAATAAAGCTGCTATAAACATCTCTATGCAAGTTTTTGTGGGGGTATATATTTAAAACTCCTCTGGATAAATACCAAAGAGTCCAGTTGCTGAATTGTGTGGTAAGAGTTTGTCTGTTTTTTAAAGAAACTGCCAAACTGTTTACCAAGGTTGTGGTACCATTTTGCATTCCTACCAGCAGTGAGTGAGTGTTCCTACTGCCCCACATTCTTACCAGCATTTACTGGAGTCAATGTTCTGGGTTTTGGCTATTCCAGTAGGTTCATAGTGGTATCTCATTGTTTTAATTTGCATTTCCCTGACGACATATGATGTGGAGCATCTTTTCATATGCTTAGTTGCCATCTGTATATATTCTTTGGTGAGGTGTCTGTTAAGGTTTTTGGTTCATTTAAAAAAATAATTCCAACTTTTATTTTAGATTCAGAGGGTACCTGTGTAGGTTTGTTACCTGGGTATATTGAGTGATGCCAAGGTTTGGGATGTAACTGATCCTGTAAGCTAGGTACTAAGCATAGTACCCAACAGTTAGTTTTTCAGCCCTTTCCCCCTTTTTCCTTCTCCCTTCTAGTAGTCCCCAGTGTCTATTGTTGTCATCTTTATGTCCATGACTGCCCAATGTTTAGCTCCCACTTATAAGTGGGAACATATGGTATTTGGTTTTCTGTTTCTGCATTAATTTGCTTAAGATAATGGCCCTCAGCTGTATCTATATTGCGGCAAAGGACATGATTTCATTCTTTTTATGGTTGCTTTGTATTCCATGGTATGTATGTGCTACAGTTTCTTTATCTAATCCACCATTGATGGGCACCTAGTTGATTCCATGTCTTTGCTATTGTGAATAGTGCTGCAATGAACATACAAGTACACATGTCTTTATTTGGTAGAACAATTTGGGTTTTGGGGGTATGTATGCAGTAATGGGATTGCTGGGTGGAATGGTAGTTCTATTTTAAGTTCTTTGAGAAAGCTCCAAACTGCTCTCCACAGTGGCTGAACTAATTTACATTCCCACCAACAGTGTATAAGTGTTCTCTTTTCTCTGCAGCCTTGCCAACATCTGTTGTTTTTTGACTTTTTAAATCATAGCCAATCTGACTGGTGTGAGATGGTATCTCATTGTGGTTTGATTTGCATTTCTCTGATAATTTGTGATGTTGAGCATTTTTTCACTTTTTTTTGGGTTCTTGAATGTCTCCTTTTGAGAAGTGTATGCTCATGTCTTTTGCCCATTTTAAAATGGGGCTGTTTGTTATTCCTCATTCAATTGTTTAATTTCCTTATAGATTGTGAATATTAGACATTTGTCAGGTGCATAGTTTGCAAATATTTTCTCCCATTTTGTAGATTGTCTGTTTACTCTGTTGATAGTTTCTTTTGTCGTGTAGAAGCTCTTTAGTTCAATTAGGTTCTACTTGTCAATTTTTGTTTTTGTTGTAATTGCTTTTGAGGACTTAGTCACAAATTTTTCCCCAAGGTTGATATCCAGAAAGGGGTTCCCCAGATTTTTCTCCAGGATTGGTATAGTTTGGGGTCTTACATTTAAATATTTAATCTGTCTTGAGATAATTTTTATACATGAGGACAGGTAGGGGTCCAGTTTCATTCTTCTGCATATGGCTCACCGGCTATCCCAGCACTATTTGTTGAACAGGGAGTCCTTCCTCTATTGCTTATTTTTGTCGACTTTGTTGAAGATCAAATGGTTGTAGGTGTGCGACTTTATTTCTGGGTTCTTATTTTGTTCCTTTGCTCTATGGGTCTATTTTTGTACCAGCACCATGTTGTTTTGCTTACTGTTGTCTTTGAGTATATTTTGAAGTCAGTAATATGATGCCCCCAGCTTTGTTCTTTTGCTAGAATTCCCTTGACTGTTTTGGTTCTTTTTTGGCTCTATATAAATTTTAGAATAGCTTTTTTTCCCAATTCTGTGAAAAATGACATTCATAGTTTGTTAGAAAGCGATGAATCTGTGGATCGCTTTGGGCAGTATTGCCATTTTAACAATATTGATTCTTCCAATCCATAAGCATAGAATGCTTTTGCATTTGTTTGGGTCATCTATGCTTTCTTTCAGCAGTGTTTTTTAGTTCTCCTTATAGAGCTCTTTCATCTCCTTGGTTAGGTGTATTCCTAGATATTTTATTCTTTAAATGGCTTTTTAAAATTTTTTATTTATTTATTTATTTATTTTTTTTGAGATGGAGTTTCTCTCTTGTCACCCAGGCTGGAGTGCAATGGCGAGATCTTGGCTCACTGCAATCTCCGCCTCCCTGATTCAAGCGATTTTCCTGCCTCAGCCTCCCAAGTTCTGGGACTGCGCCAGCACGCCTGGCTAATTTTTGTATTTTTAGTAGAGATGGGGTTTCACCATGTTGCCAGGCTAGTCTCGAACTCCTGATCTCAGGTGACCCGCCTGCCTCGGCCTCCCAAAGTGCTGAGATTACAGGAGTGAGCCACCACACCCGGCCTTAAATGGCTATTGTAAATGAAAATGCATTCTTGATTTGGCTCACAGCTTGAACATTATTGGTGTACTAATAATGCTACTAATTTTTGCACACTGGTTTTGTATCTGAAACTCTACTGAAGTCGTTTATAAGTTCCAGGAGCCTTTTGGCAGAGTCTTTAGTGTTTTCTAAATATAGAGTCATATCATCAGTGAAGAGAGAAAGTCTGACTTCTTTTCCTATTTGGATTCCTTTTGTTTCTTTCTCTTGCTTGATTGCTATGGCTAACACTTCCAAGTACTATGTTGAATTGGAGTTGTGAGAGTGGGCATTCATGTCTTATTCCAGTTCTTGATGGAAATGCTTCCAGTTTCTGCCCATTCAGTATAATATTGGCTGTGGGTTTGTTATAGATGGCTCTTATTATTTTGAGGTATGTTTCTTTCTTTCTTTCTTTTTTTTTTTTTTACTTTAATTTCTGGGATACAAGTGCAGAATGTGTAGGTTTGTTACATAGGTGTATGTGTGCCATGATGGTTTGCTGCACCTATCAACCCGTCATCTAGGTTTTAAGCCCCACATGCATTAGCCATTTGTCCTAATGCTCTCCCTACCCTTTCCCGCTAACCCCCGACTGGCCCCAGTTTGTGTTGTTTCCCCCCTTGTGTCCATGTGTTCTCATTGTTCAACTCCCACTTACGAGTGAGATACATGGTGTTTGATTTTCTATTCCTATGTTAGTTTGCTGAGGATGGTAGCTTCCAGCTTCATCCATGTCCTTGCAAAGTACATGATCTCATTCCTTTTTATGGCTCCATAGTATTCCAGGGTGTATATGTACCACTTTTCATTATCCAGTCTATCATTAATGGGTGTTTAGGTTGGTTCCATGTCTTTGCTACTGTAAATAGTGCTATAATAAACATATGTATGCATGTGTCTTTGTAACGGAATGATTTATATTCCTTTGGGTATATACTCAGTAATGGGATTGCTGGGTCAAATGGTATTTCTGGTTCTAGATCCCTGGAGAATTGCCATACTATCTCCCAAAATGGTTGAAATAATTTACATTCCTAATAACTGTGTAAAAACGTTCCTGTTTCTCCACAGCCTCGCCAGTATCTATTACTTCTTGACTTTTTAAGAATCGTCATTCTGACTGGCATGGGATGGTATCTCATTGTGGTTTTGATTTGCATTTTTCTAAAATGATCAGTGATGTTGAGCTTTTTATCATATGTTTGTTGGCTGCATAAATGTCTTCTTTTGAGAAGTGCCTGTTCATATCATTTGCTTTGATGGGGTTGTTTGTTTTTTTCTTGTAAATTTGTTTCAGTTCCTTGTAGATTCTGGATTTTAGACCTTTGTCAGATGGGTAGATTGCAAAACTTTTCTCCCATTCTGTAGGTTGCCCGTTCACTCTGATGATAGTTTCTTTTGCTGTAATTTATAGATTTAATGCTTTTCCCATTCAAGAACCATTGACATTCTTCACAGAATTAGAAAAAACTACTTTAAATTTCATATGAAACCAAAAAAGAGCCTGTATAGGCAAGACAATTCTAAGCAAAAAGAACAAAGCTGGAGGCATCCTTCTACCTGACCTCAAGCTATACTACAAAGCTACAGTATCCAAAACAGCATGGTACTGGTCCCAAAACAGACACACAGACCAATGGAACAGAAGATAAACCTCAGAAATAACACCACACATTTACAGCCATCTGAGTTTCAACAAACCTGACACAAACAAGCAATGGGGAAAGTATTCCCTACTTAATAAACAGTGCTGGGAAAACTGGCTAGCCATATGCAGAAAACTGGAACTGGACCCCTTCCTTACACCATATACAAAAATTAACTCAAGATAGATTAAAGACTTAAATGTAAAACCCAAAATCGTAAAAACCCTAGAAGAAAACATAGGCAATACCATTCAGGACATAGGCATGGGCAAAGACTTCATGATGAAAATACCAAAAGCAATTGCAACAAAAGCCAAAATTGACAAATGGGATCTAATTAAACTAAAGAGCTTCTGCACAGCAAAAGAGGTATGTTTCTTTGATGCCTACTTTCTTGAGGTTTTTTTTTTTTAATCATGAAAGGATGTTGGATTTTATTGGAAACTTCCCACATCTATTGAGATGATCACATCACAGGGTTTTGTTTTTAATTCTTTTTATGTGGTGAATCACATTTATTGATTTGTATATGTTAAACCAACCTTGCATCTGAGGAATAAAGTCTACTTGATCATGGTGAACATTTTGATGTGCTGTTGAATTCTGTTTACTAGTATTTTATTGACGATTTTTGCATCTATGTTTATCAGGGATATTGGACAGTAGTTTTCTTTTTTTGTTGTGTCTTTTTGCCAGGGTGATGCTGGCTTCATAGAATTATTTAGGGAGGAGTAACTCCTTGGTTTTTTGCAAGAGTTTCAATAGAATTGGTATCAGCTTTTCTTTGTAGATGTGAATTCATCTGGTCTGGGTTTTTGTTTGTTTGTTTGTTTGTTTGTACTGATTCAATTTCATAACTCTATATTGGTTTGTTCAGTGTTTCAATTTCTTCCTGATTCAATCTTGGGACATTGTGTATTTTTAGGACTCTTATCAATTTCCTCTAGATTTTCTAGTTTATGTGCATAGAGGTGTTCATGAGAGTCTCTGAAGATCTTTTCAATTTCTGTAAGATTGATTGTAATGTCTCCTTTGTTGTTTCTAATTGTGCTTATTTGGATCTTCTCTCCTTTTTCCTTGTAAGTCCAGCTAGCAGTTTATTGATCTTGTTGATCTTTATAAAACCAACTTTTTTGGTTTCGTTGATCCTTTCTATGGACTTTTGGATCTCAAATACATTCAGTTCCACTCTGATTTTAGTTATTTCTTTTTTTCTGCTAGCTTTGTGGTCAGTTTGTTCTTGTTTTTCTAGTTCATCTAGGTGTAATGTTAAGGTATTCATGTGAGAACTTTCTAACTTTTGGGGGTATGTTTTTAGGTCTATAAACTTTCCTGCTAACATTACTTTTGCTGCCTACCAGAGATTTTGCTATGTTATGTGATATGGTTTGAATCTGTGTCCCCACCCAAATCTCATGTCAAATTTTAATCCCCAGTGTTGGAGGTGAGCCCTGGTGGTAGGTGATTGGACCACTGGATGGTTCCTCATAAATGGTTTAGCACCATCCCCATAGTGCTGTTCTGTGATAGACTTCTCCTGTGATCTGGTTGTTTAAAAGTATGCAGCATCTCGGCTGGGTGCGGTGGCTCATGCCTGTAATCCCAGCACTTTGGGAGGGCGGGGAGGGTGGATCACGAGGTCAGGAGATCGAGACCATCCTGGCTAACACGGTGAAACCCCATCTCTACTAAAAATGAAAAAAATTAGCTGGGTGTGTTGGCGGGCGCCTGTAGTCCCAGCTACTTGGGAGGCTGAGTCAGGAGAATGGCATGAACCTGGGAGGCAGAGCTTGCAGTGAGCCGAGATGGCATCACTGCACTCCAGCCTGGGTGACAGAGCAAGACTCCATCTCAAAATAAATAAATAAATAAATAAATAAACAAAAGTATGCAGCATCTCTTCACTCTCTCTCTTGCTTCTGCTCCTGCCATGTAAGATATGCCTGCTTCCCCTTCACCTTCTGTCAGGATTGTAATTTTCCTGAGGCCTCCCCAGAAGCAGAAGCCACTATGCTTCCTGTACAGCCTACAGAAGTCTGAGCCAACTAAATCTCTTCTTTATAAATTACCCAATCTCAGATATTTCATTATAGCAGTACAAGAACAGCCTAATATAGAAAATTGGTGCCAAGGTGTGGGGCACTGCTGTAAAGATACCTGAATATATGGAAGTGACCTTGGAACTGGATAATGGGCAAAGGTTGGAAGAGTGTAGAAGGCTCAGCGAAGACAAAGATGAAGGAAGGTTTGGAATTTTCTAGAGACTTGCTGAATGGTTGTGACCAAAATGCTGATAGTGCTATGGACATAGAAGGCCAGGCTGAGGAGGTCTCAGATGGAGATGAGGAACTTATTGGGAACTGATGCAAATAAGAGGGAAAACTGATTTCATGGGCCAAGCTCAGGGCCCCGCTGCCCTGCACAGCCTTGGGACACTGCTCCTTGTATCCTGGCTACTCTGGCTTCAGGGGCCCTTGGCTCAAGGAGGCCCAAGTACAGATCAGGCCACTGGTTCGGAGGTTGCAAGCCATAAGTCCTGGTGGCTTCTCTGTGGTGTTAAGCCTGTAGGTGCACAAAATGCAAGAGTTGAGGCTGGGAGCCTCCATCTAAATTTCAGACGATGTATGGAAAAGCCAGCATATCCAGGCAGAAGCCTGCTACAGGGGCAGAACCCTCATGGAGAACCTCTACTAGGGCAGTGCAGAGGGGAAATGTGGGGTTGGATACCCCACAGAGTCCCCACTAGGGCATTGCATAGTGGAGCTGTGAGAAGGCCACCACCTTCCAGACCTCAGAATAATATATCCACCAACGGATTGTACCCTGTGCCTGGAAAAACTGCAGGCACTCAACAACAGTCCATGAGAGCAGCTGGGAGGGTGGCTGAATGCTGCAAAGCCACAAGGACAGAGCTTCCCAAGGTCTTGGGAGATCACCCCTCATACCAGTGTGCCTTGGATGTGAGACATGGAGTTAAAGAAGATTATTTTGGAGCTTTAAGATTTAATGACTGTCCTGCTGGGTTTTGGACTTGCATGGGGCCTGAAGCCACTTTCTTTTGGCTGATTTCTCCCTTTGGGAATGGGAACATTTACCAAATGCTTATACTCCTGTTGTATCATGGAAGTAACTAACTTGTTTTTTTATTTTACAGGCTCATAGGCAGAAGGGAATGGCTTTTCTCAGATGAGACTTTGGACTTTTGAGTTAATGCTGAAATGAGTTAAGACTTTGGGGTACTGTTGGGAAGGCATGATTATATTTTGAAATGTGAGAAGAAAAGATATTTGGGAGGAACCAGGGGTGGAATGATATGGTTTGGATCTGTATCCCTGCCTAAATCTCATGTTGAATTATAATCTCCAGTGTTGGAGGTGGGGGCTGGTGGTAGCTGATTGAACCATAGGGGCGGTTTCTCATGAATGGTTTAGCACCATCCCCTAGTGCTATGCTTGTGATAGAGTTTTCACGAGATCTCGTTGTTTAAAAGTGAGTAGCACCTCCACCCTCACTTTCTTGCTCCTGCTTCTGCCATGCAAGATGTGCCTACTTCCCCTTCCCCTTCCCCTTCCACCATTGTAAGTTTGTAAGTTTCCTGAGGCCTTCCCAGAAGCAGAAGCCACTATGCTTCCTGTACAGCCTGTAGAACCATGAGCCAATTAAACCTCTTTTCTTTATAAATTACCCAATCTCAAGTATTTCTTTATAGCAGTACAAGGACAGCCTATGCATTATGTCTTTGTTTTCATTTATTTAAATGATTTTTTAAAATTTTTGTCTTGATTTTGTTGTTTACTCAAAAGTCATTTAAGATCAAGTTATACAATTTTCATGTAAGTGTGTGATTTTTACTGATCTTCTTGTCTTCTTTGTATTGATTTCTATTTTTATTTCATTGTTGTCCAAGAGTATGGGTATGATTTTGATTTTTTTAATTTTTTGAGTCACACTTTATTGTTGAACATATGGTCAATCCATATGCAGATAAGAAGAATGGATATTTTGTGGTTGATGGGTGGAATATTCGGTAGATATCTATTAGGTCCAATTAGTCAAGTGTCAAATTTAAGTCCAGAATTTTGTTGATAGTTTTCTGCCTTGATGATCTGTCTAATGCTGTCAGTGGGGTGTTCAAATCTCCCACTATTATTGTGTGGTAGTTTAAGTGTTTTCATAAATCTAGAAGTACTTGTTTTATAAATTCTTGTGCTCCAATGTTAGGTACATACATATTTAGGATAGTTAAATCTTCCTGTTGAAACCTTTATCATTACATAATGCCCAGCTGTCTTCTTTTTTTGTTTACTATTGTTGGTTTAAAGTCTTTCCCATTTGATATAAGAATAGCAACCCCTGCTCTTTTTTGTTTGCCATTTGCATGGTAGATCTTTCTCCAACCCTTTACTTTGAACCTATGGGTATCATTATGTGTGAGATGGGTCTGTTGAAGACAGCAGATGAATGGGTCTTGTTTTTTAATCCAATTTTCCACTCTGTGACTTTTATGTGGAGCTTTTAGACTGTTTACATTCAAGGTTAAGACTAATATAAGAGGTTTTGATCCTATCATGAAGTTGTTTGCTGGTTACTTTGCAGTTTCTATTGTGTGGTTGTTTTATAGGATATGTAGGCTATGTGCATAAGTGTGTTTTTGTGGTAGTGGGTATTGTTCTTTTATTCTCATGTTTAGAACTCTCTTAAAACTCTCTTGTAAGGCTGGTCTACTGGTAACAAATTCCTATAGTGCTTGCTTGTCTGAAAAATATTTTATTTCTTTTTCATTTATAATGCTTAGTTTGGTGGAATATGAAATTCATGGTTGGAATTCCTTTTATTTAAGAATGTGTAAAATAGGTCCTCAATCTCTCCTGGCTTGTAAGGTTTCTGCTGACAAGTCTGCATTTAACCTGATAAGATTCCCTTTGTAAATTATCTGTCCTTTTTCTCTGCATGCCTTTAAAATTTTTTTCTTTGACATTGACTTCATATAGTCTAGTGACTGTGTGTCTTGAGTCTTGGTGATTTTCATTTTACACAGTTTCTTGCAGGTGTTCTCTGGATTTCTTGTATATAGATGTCTACCTCTCTAGCAAGATAAGGGAAGTGTTCTTGAATTATCCTCAAATATATTTTTTGGGTTGTTTACTTTTTCTCTCTCAGGAATGCCAGTAATTTGTAGAATTGGTTGCTTTACATAATCACATAATTTCTCAAAGACTTTTTTCATTTTTTTTATAATTCTTTTTTCTTTATTTTTATCTGAATTGGGTTAGTTTGAAAGATCAGTGTTCAAACTCTGAAAATCTTTCTTCTGCTTGTCTAGTCTATTGATAAAGATTTCAATTGTATTTTTAAATTCCTTAAGTGAGTTTTTCAATTCCAGAGCTCCAATTGACTTATTTTTAAGATATTTATCTCTTAATTTCCTGGATCGCTTTAGACTTTTCTTTGTGTTACTTTTCAACCTTGTCTTGGATCTCATTGAGCCTCTTGGCAATCCATGCTTTCATTTTTCTATATGTCATTTCTGAGCTTCCATTTTGGTTATGGACCATTGTCGGAAAGCTAGTGCAATCCTTTGGTGGTGTCACTACATTTATATTTTTCATAGTTCCAGAATTCTTGTGCTAGTTTCTTCTCACCTAGAGATGCTGACATTTCTAATTTTTATAATTATTTTTGTGTAGATAGGATTTTTTTCTTTCTTTTTCTTTCTCTATAATAATATTATTTTTTTCTTTCCCTTTCTCTTTTCACCTTCCCTAGGAGTGTGACTATAGAGTATGTTGCGTAGGGTCTTTTGGCTTTACTTCTATAGCCCTATTCACTTCTTTAGATAGGTTTTATATTGGGTTGTGCAGTTCAACCTACAGACCAGTAGATGGTGCTTATAGGTAAGATCTAGCTGCAGCCAACACAGCTGGTTATATACTTGATCCTTGTTTATTGGCAGAAGCTCTCGGTTGCCTCAGGTAATGGGCTGACATGTGGAATACACAGTGGTCTCAGCTCACTGCTCAGTTCTAGTGTGGAAGGGGCCATGAAGGGTAGGGTTGGATTAGGCAGGTTCACTTATATGTCCCCTGATAGCAGGCACCATCACTGCTGCTGAGGTAGAATCCAGTGGACAGCCACCAAGTACCCAGAGTTGTGCCTAGATCTGGAGCTGGGAAACATCCTTGGTCCCCAGTTCTTTGTACGGGGAGTAGGGTGGCCTAAACTCCTAATCTAGGAGAGTGGAAACTCCAGATGCCTGGAGATCTGCCTGGGTGTGGAGCAGAGAGGGTCCCCCTGCACCAAGATATCTGCACAGGATGGGTGGGGTGGCTCAGTCTTCTCATTCAGGAGAGCAGTGCTCTAAATGCCTGATCTGCCTGCGTGTGTAGCAGAGAGGGCACCCCTGCACCATGATATATGTCCAGGAAGGGTGGGACTGATGAGCCTTCCTAATGCAGGCTAGCTGGTGATACAAATTCCTGAAAATCTGCCTGGATGTGAAGCAGACAGGGCCTCTCTGCATCAGAATCTCTGTATAGAAAGTGTGGTACAGGTCAGGATGCTGATCCAGGTGAGTGGGTGCTCTGAATTCCCAGAGATCTGTGTGGGTATGGAGCAGAGAGAGCCCCACTGTACCACAATCTATGTCCATGAAGGGTGGGGAAGCTCAATCTGCTGTTCCAGGCAAGCAGGTGCTCCAAATGCCTGGATTTCTGCCCTGCCTGAGTGTGGAACAGAGAGGGCCTTGCTGCACCGCAGTCTCAGAGGAACAAGATGAGGCATTCAGCCATGGCACATGCAGACCTGTTCCAAGTCGCCAAGCTGGCTCTGGCTGCAAGTCTTGCCACCCAGGAGAAATTGCAGGTATAGCAGCTCTCCTCCCACCCCAGGCTCATGATGGGGGACAGCACAGTTCCAACACCTGCTGCTGAGATGCTTTCCATAGTTTAGGCTGTGAAGGCCCCTACCCTGTTCCAGAGCAAATGTTCCAATCTCTGGCCTGCGACTAAAGTGCCTCCATGGTCATGCTGCCAGATTACCAAAGATCTTTTTATATGCCCAGATTAAAAATGGCTTCCTGCTCTTAGTCTTGGGTCTGAGAAAATGTCTGTAGTTCTTCATGGTATCTTTCTGTCACAGCATCTCCAAGCCTCTCCCCAAGTTAGCTCCAGGGCTTGGGAGAAACAAAATACTCTCCCTAAGCCTGAGTTGCTCAGATTCCCATTGGAAGGGAGAGTTATGGGGGAGGATCTCTGTCCCTCTCATGTACTGGGGCTTGACTCATGTTTATCAGATGGATGCTGTCACAGGGACTGTTTTCTGGTGTTCTCGTCTCTGGGATCTGGGGTGTCCTTCAGAATTATCGTGGATTCCTATTTTTCTTCTTGAATTAAAGCTCACAGAGTTGACGTTTATGTACTATCTTGCTAACTCCACATGAGTGAGGCACACTGAAAATCTCTAATCTGCCATCTTGGGAAAAAAAAACTTCTAGTTTTGATATGCTGGACTTAAGTTGGTGGTTGAGAACAGATGTATCGTAGATGCTTGGCAACATAGATATGGATGGAGTTCAGGAGACGAGAAGGCTAGGAATGTAGATTGGGAATTATTAACTATAGCAACTAATTTGAAGCCATGGGAACGAATAAGTTTAACCAGAGAGTATGCAGCATGAAAGGGGGAAAGGGAAGATGAAGAATACTGAAAATCGCCAAATTTAAAGGATGGTTAGAGGAAATGGATGCAGCAAAGGGGTCAGAGATGCAAGAACAAAGGAGATATAAGGAAAAGCAGGAATGATGATATCACAAAATTCAGATGTGGAGAGATTTCCAAGAAACGAGTGATGGAGGTGATTACCAGATTTGGCAAGTAGGTATGTGTTAGTCTGTCTGTGTCACTATAAACAAACTAATACATACCTATATAAACAGACTAATACATACACATGCCTTGGACTGGATAATTTATAAAGAAAAGAGGTTTATTTGGTTCATGGTTCTGCAGGCTGTACATGAAGCCTAGTGCCATCAACTCCTTCTGGTGAGGGCCTCAGGAAGATTACAATCATCGTGGAAGGCAAAGGGAGACACCATGTCACATGGCGAGAGAGGCAGCAAGAGAGAGAGGGGGGAAGTACAAGGCTCTTTTAAACAACCTTTCACATGAGCTCATTGAGTGAGAACTCACTCATTACTGTGAGAGCAGCATCAAGCCATTCATGAAGGATCCACCCCCAAGATCCAAACACCTCTTACCAGCCCACACTTCCAACATTGGAGGTCACATTTCAACATCAGATTTTGAAAGAAGAAAACATCCAAACCACATCAAGGGGCTTTTGTTGACCTTGGCAAGATCATTTCAGTGGAGGGGTGGGAACAAAGTTTGGGTGAATGAGAAGTGAATAGGAGGTGAAAGAACAGACAAGGGAAGGTAAAGCCCACATCTGAAACTTTCCTAAGTGCCAATTAGACTAGAACAAACTGAATTTCTTTCTCCCTCTTTCTTTCATTCACTTCCTTCTTCCTCCCAGTTTTCCTCTCCTCTTCCTCCTCCTCTTCCTTCTTTTCTCTCTCTCTCTCCCTCTCCTCCTGCTCTTCCTCCTTGCCTCCTCCTCCTCCTTCCCTCTTCCTTCTCTTGCTGCCCCTGTATTTCTATTCACAAATGCATATTGAACACCTACTATGGTCCAGAAACCAGGGAAGACACCAGGTTACAAAGATAAAACCAACATAGCTAGTCTTCTGCAGGCTATTATCTAGTAAGCAAAACAAGATAAAAACGACATACTGGAAAAGGGATTTGTTATATATAAGGCAAAGATAAATATCCACATGGATATTTAATTTTTACATTGTGAGGAGAGAATGAAGATGGGGAGAAAAAGAGATGTAAAGTGGGTGAAGATTATGAAGATTGGGGCAAGAGGCATTCCAGGATCAGGAAACAGAATGGGCAAAGAGTTAGAGGAAATGCAGGAATTTGTATAGGCAACAGTGAGTAGTTCCAGGAAGGTACAGTGTAGAGCATGAAGAGAAGAGTGAAAGTGAGTCAGAAAATGTCAGAAAGCTTTCATACTTGGTCGGCAAGGGAGAAACTATGGGGGGTTTTGAGTAAGAAAGAGGTGACCAGACTGTCCTTCACAAGCATTTTTCTGGTAGAAAAGGGACATAAATGATTAAAGACCTCAGGCTTAGACAGAGGGCTAAGAAATAAAAGAAAATAGTTCTTCATAATGTGTTTAATCAATATTCATCGACAATAATGAATAATTAATTTGACCAATAATTTAGTAACCTGGAAAGATCATTTCATCGTTTTGCCTTCTTTTTCTGGCATTTGTTGTTTTCCTTAAAGAAAGAAAAAGCAAATCTCACTGTCTTTAATGTCACATTCATTGAATAAAAATAGACTAGGGTGATTACAATTTTTTAAAAATCAGCTAATTTACTCTTGCTATAGATTGATTTTTCTAAGCACCTGTTTCACAATGCAAGTCTTAAATCTATTGTGACTTTGGAGGTTGACTTTTTAATAGGCAGCTTATACACTTTCTAAAAACTATTATGATTTAGTTCATGCACACCGAAATGAACAAGTGACCAACACAGCTCTTTTGGAGGATGGTCTAATGATGAGTGTCCAGCCTCACAGTGAAAATAACATGTGGGCATCTGGAGTCTCTTGACTCACCTCTCAAAACCCCAATTCTCAACCCACTCAGTATGTGGGATATGAGTCAGACTCACGCTAACAGGGAAAACAGGCCCCATTTTGGGCACTGGGCATGAATGGCACATTTGCCTTGACATGTCCTGCCTATTTTGTAAGAGGTATTGCTATCTTAGATTCATGATTTGGTCTCCCAGGACAATGTTCCCAGCAGGGAATTAGAGTACCATGGGTGGCCTCCAGGTGGCGTGACCTGAGAGCCAAGGCCTCGTTTTTCACATAGATTGTTAATAACTCACCCTGATTCTTGGTTTATCCTTGACATTTCTGTTCTATTCTGGTAATATATTTTTTATTTTCTTTCTTTCAGCAACCATTTATAGTTGACATGGAGGTTGCTTCATAAAAACTCTTCTCCTTCTGAATTAATCAGTAGATGGAAACAGTTGGAGAAGCCTGGCTTTAGAACAACGGTGGTCAACCTCAGGAGAAGGATTCAGAATTTGGTCCTGTTTTTTGTTTTTAATTTGGCAAATAACATTGTATGCATTTACCTTACACAACATGTGCCACTGTTTTTGACAAAGAGCCTCAACAATTATTTCTGAAATTTCAATATATTTTTTAAGTTGCTTAGGCGCAGACCACTGGATGTGTATTGAAATCTCCAAAAAACATACTCTTGTAATCATCCCTGGCCTATGAGGGTCTGTGTTGGGTCTAAAAAGTACTTAGTAGATTTTTTTTGTGGTTTTTTTTTTTTTTTTTTTTTTTTTTTTGAGATAGAGTCTTGCTCAGTCACCCAGGCTGGAGTGCAGTGGTGCGATCTCAGCTCACTGCAGCCTCTGCCTCCTGGGTTCCAGCGATTCTCCTGCCTCAGCCTCCTGGGTAGCTGGGATTACAGGCACATGCCACCACGCCCGGGTAATTTTTTTGTATTTTTAGTAGAGACAGGTTTTTACCATGTTGGCCAGGCTAGTCTCGAACTCCTGAGCTCAGGTGATCCACCTGCCTTGGCCTCCCAACGTGCTGGGATTACAGGCATGAGCCACTGTGCCTGGCCTGTAGTTTTAAACATTCTTTAGATTTTGGAGTCACCAGCTTTGCTCTGGCATATCATTTTAGGGTTTTCAAAGAGAACAATTGGTTTTAACTACAATGTCAATTGAACTGGCCCGAGGAATCGAGGAATCGCTTTCCTTCTTACATGTCCCAAAGACTTCGTATGAATTAACCCTGGACCCAAGAACATGAATGACCCACCTGGCTTTAGCATGAAAGCTTTCTGTGCCATCCTTTCTAACATCCCACCTTGACCCACACTAGGCTTTACCTCTTCAACTCTCAGTAACACAAGACTAGGGCATTTCTTGTTGGCTGGTGCCTCAGCTTCTGCTTGGACCTCTCTAACCTTTCTGTCAGTTCCCCACATCCTTCTTGTATCTCGTCCCCCTCTTCTTGCCTCCAGCTGTTCCTGAACAGCTCTGAAACTCCAAATTTCCTCAAGCAGAGAAAATTTAGCCCTACTGCTTTCTCCTTCTTCAGGACTTCTTCCAGTTCCTGGCCTGGAGGAAAGCTTAACCTTTCACACAAAGCAGATGTTCAGCTGGGTTATTTTTCTAAAGTAAGAGCAATTTGCACTGCTACGAGCCAGGATATTCTCTAGAGTGCCAAGCAGCACAATGCATTCTTGTTTTCGACATCCATTTATTCTCTCTGTTCCTATTGGTGTCTGTATTCTTGCTATTGGTTTTAGATTGCAAGCTCTCAGAGCCTGGATTCACATTATTTCTCTGAGACTTCCCAGTATCCCCTCCTAAAAAGGTAGCATATCAAGTGCTTAATTGCTTTTTTTAAAAAAATGAAGAAGCTTAAAATAGGTTGAAAACTAAGTGGCCCTTGTGAAGGTAGAGCTTGAGTGATTCTATTGGGGAGCCACTTCTATTGGGAAGGTGCCCAGCTCTGAGAGTTCCAGAGCATCTCTAGAGTTAAATGTGAATGGGAGTGTCTCTGAACAGACCGCTTTCTCAAATACTTGGCAAGAAAGGAAGAATTAAAGATATTAAGTACAACAAAAACAACTCAGCCAATAACCCACCTATAAGATTCCAAACATTTGGATGGAAATATTACAATTCTGAAAACTATCCACCACCTTGAATGCCGATTACTGAGTTCTTTTCACAAATCACTCACTTAAAAATATTTTTAATTTTGGGGGGTACCTAAGTGGCTATATATGTATTTGTGGGGCACATGAGAAATTTTGATACAAGCATGTAATGCATATTAATCACATCATGGAACACAGGGTATCCATCCCCTCAAGCGTTTATCCTTTATATTATAAACAATCTAATTCTACCCTTTTCATTATTTTAAAGTACACAATTAAGTTATTATTAACTATAGTTACCCTGTTGTGCTATCAAATACTAGGTAAATTTGATCCTATTTTCTTGTACCCATTAGCCATCACCCTCTTCCTCCAAGCACCCCACTACCCTTCCTAGCTTCTGATGACTGTCCTTCTATTCTCTATGTCCATGAGTTCAACTGTTTTGATTTTTATATCCTACAAATAAGTGAGAACATGCAATGTTTGTTTTTCTGTGCCTCGCTTATTTCACTTAACATAATGATATCCAGTTCTGTCCATGTGGTTGCAAATGACAGGATCTCATTCTTTTTTATGGCTGAATAATACTCCATTGTGTATATGTATCACATTTTCTTTATCCATTTGAATGTTGATGGACACTTAAGTTGCTTCTAAATCTTGGATATTGTAAACAGCACTGCAACAAATACAGAGGTGCAGATATCTCCTTGATATGCTGATTTTCTTTCTTTTGGATATATATCCAGCAGTGGTATATATGGTATACCTGGACCATATGGTAGCTTTATTTTTAGTTTTAGTTTTGTTTTGTTTTTCTCTTTTGAGGCAGAGTTTTGCTCTTGTTGCCCAGGCTGAAGTGAAGTGGCGTGACCTCAGCTCACTGCAACCTCTGCTTCCCGGGTTCAAGTGATTCCCTGGCCTCAGCCTTCCGAGTAGCTGGGATTACAGGTGCCTGCTACCATGCCCAGCTAATTTTTTTTGTATTTTTAGTAGAGACGGAGTTTCACCATGTTGGCCAGGCTGGTCTCGAACTTCTGACCTCTGGTGATCCATCTGCCTCAGCCTCTCAAAGTGCTGAGATTACAGGCGTGAGCCACTGTGCCCAGCTATTTTTAGTTCTTTGAGGACCCTCCAAAGTGTTCTCCGTGGTGGTTGTACTAATTTACATTCCTACCAGCAAGGTACAAGGGTTCCCTTTTCTCCACATCCTTGCCAACATTTGTTATTGCCTGTCTTTTGGATATAAGCCATTTTAACTGGGACACAAATAACTCACTTTGTCTGGATTTTTGGGCATCTGGTTTGCTACATGAGAGTAGGAAAGAGTGGATTTTGCTCTGAGGGT
This sequence comes from Homo sapiens, assembly GCF_000001405.40. NCBI lineage: Eukaryota > Metazoa > Chordata > Mammalia > Primates > Hominidae > Homo > Homo sapiens. Next base: position 222,163,982 of record NC_000001.11, on the reverse strand, counting down.
GAACAGTTTTAGAGAGGTGACTTCCCACAGCTCAGCAAAGAGAATCAAACAGTGTTGCTGGGCACATCATGATTAGAGTAATCTGAGATGATTATCTTCCAGAGAGATAAAGAAACAAAATTCTGAGTTCGTCAGGAAAAAATTATGTAAATGCATAAAAAAATCATATAACAATTTAAATCCTAGCCCCACCATGAGTTGAAAGAAGAACCAAAATTTGTATACTAATTTGAATAAAATGTTTGATAGATTGCTTTAAAAATTGGGACTGTATGATATTGATGCAGAGTAGAAATGTAAGAAAAGAAATTGCTACTTATATTTATGTTCAGAAAAGGAGAAAGTTTTTTTTTTTTTCCCCATGCATAGACTATCAGACAGTTATAAGCACAGATATGGGAGCAGCCAGAATTATTGAGGGTGTATTTGGACATTGGAAGGCAAGTTGGATTGCAGAAGATAACTTAGAACTGGAAAGGGGAGGCCTGGGTTCTGCTGTAAAGCTCTGCCACAATCTTGCTGTGTGACAAGGGACAACATGTTTTGCTTCTCTGGGCCTCAGTTTTCTCTAGTGTGAAATGAACACTTTATGTTAGAAAGCCTCGAATTTATTTTTTATCTTTTAAGTGTTAGAATATTGTGATTTTATTTATTTATTCATTTTAGAGACAGGGTCTTGCTCTGTCGCCCAGGCTGGAATACACTGGCATGATCATAGCTCACTGTCTAGCTTCAAACTCCTGGGCTTAAGCTATCCTGCCACTTCAGCCTCCTGTGTAGTTGGTACTACAGGCACATGCCACCACGCCCAGCTAATTATCTTTATTTTTGTTTTTAGAGACTAGGTCTCACTATGCTGCCCAGGCTGGTCTTGAACTCTTGGCCTCAAGCAATCCTCCTGCCTCAGCCCTCTAATATGCTGAGATTATAGATATGAGCTACTGTGCCTAGATAGGATATTGTGATTCTAAATATGACAGCTACAAGACTGGTTTTGAAAATCCCAACCTTCTGCATTCTACTGGCTTCAGTGCTAATTTCTTTCTCCTTTTTTTTTTTTTTTTTTTTTGTTATTCCACTAAACAATAGTTAGTGAAGAACAGGGGTTCTCCAACTTTAGTGTGCAACAGAATCACCTGGAGGGCTTTAAAAATGCAGATTAATGGGCTCTGTCCCCAGAATTTCAGATTCAGTATATCTGGGTTATGGCCCAAGATTCTGCATTTTTAACAAGCTCCCAGGTGATGGTGATGTTGCTTGTGCCAGGACCATACTTTGAGAACCACCACACTAAATCATGAGATGCTAGGCCTTTACCTGCAGAGAACACAGAAAAGATCAGAAATAACTGCTCACCCTAACTGCTCCCTGCTGGGGCATCTAAGCCCAGGCTTAACTCTCTAGCTCGCTGTTTCCTATATGGATCCTCAGGAAAGATAAAGATGAAGGAAAGGCAGGGAGATAAAGTTTAGGCCTTTTCTACACTGGCTGCCTGGACTCTGGTGTCCAAGTGGGCAGAGAGCAGAGGAAGATTAATGGTTGGTTGCATGGATTTGGAAGCAGGATGCTAAGGGGCAAACTGGGTAAACTGCTTGTCTTCTCTAAGCTTCAGTTTCTCAATCTACAAACTGGATCTCCTGATATCCACATCAGAGGGCTGCTGACAAGCTTATATGAGGAAATGTACCTAAATGCATAGAAGCGTAGACAGTCACATAGTGAGGTACTCAATGGAGAGTAGAAGTTGTTATTATTATTAATTTGTGGAGCATTTTCAAAGATTGTCCTTGTAAGGAGACAGGGGCACTGTGTGTTAGGACAGTGTGTCTTAGACTAGGCCTGAACTCTGATGAGATTAAGTTTTCTGGGCAGGTCCTGGTTACAGTGGAAACTGACCCCTGTGCTAATAGCACATGTTATCCACACCACCAGAAACAGCAAGAGTGTTCCAGATACAGTTTACTAGCTTCAATTTTGGTAGCCCCTGTCCTCCAGTTATGTTCATATAGAGTCTGAATATGTTCATCTATCTTGACTCTAATTCCCAAGTGGTGCTTTGAAAATGGAGAAACACTGTTCATTTGATGGTGGATTTAAGATGAGTCATCCCCATTTTCGCTGGTTTTCACTTGCGAACAGGCAGTGGTTAGGGCATAATTTGATCCTCTTATGTTTCAGCATGTTCACATTATTCATTTTACGTAACAACTAAGCACTCTTTATGGGTAATCACAAAATCCAGCCTTCTGTGCCTATATATGTTTCACACAGTGATGTTGAGAGCAATAATTAATAATGTTTATTAGGAACTCGCTATGTGTCCAGACTTGAGGTAGGTGCTTTAGGGGAATAGAGAATAAAGGTTTAGGATAAACTTTGTCTTCTTTCCTAAGGCTTTTATCATAGTATGAGCTGGGCAGATAAGGTAAGAGTCTAAACTAGTTATCAAGCATTTGTTGATGAAAAACATCAAATTGTCTAAAATATTTAAAGAGGTTTATTCTGAGCCAATATAAGTAACCATGCCCTGGAATATGGTCTCAAAATGTCCTGGAAAGTGTGCCCAAAGTGGTCAGGTTACAACTTGATTTTATACATTTTAGGAAGATAGAAATTACAGGCAAAGACATATTAATAAATCAATACATGCAAGATATACATTTGTTCAGCCTACAAAGATGGGACATCTCCAAGTGAGGCCTTACAGATCATATATAGATTCAAAGATTTTCTGATTGGCAATTGATTGAAATAGTTAAGCTTTGCCTAAAGAGTTGGAGACAGTAGAAAGAAATGCTTGAGTTAAGATAAGGGGGGTTGTGGAAGCTGAGGTTCTTGCTATATAGATGAAGCCTCTAAGTAGCAGGTTTCAGATAGATAGATGATAAGTGTCTCTTTTTGTATCTTAAAAGGTGTCAGACTGTTAGTTTGATCTCTCCTGGATCCAGAAAGACCTATAAATGGGGAGAGATGCTCTACAGATGCAAATTTTCCCCACAAGAGGTGGCTTTGCAGGACCATTTCAAAATACGTCAAAGAAATATGTTTTGGGGTAAAAAATTTTGATTTCCTTCACAGCCTGCTATCTGTCATGTGATGCTATACCAGAATCATACTGAAATTTTGTATCTTATTGTCACAAAAAGTCTTTATCAGTCTTGTGATCTCTCTTTTAATATTAGTTATGATCCATTGTGCCTAAACTCCAAAAGGCAGGAGAGCATATCAAGGTATGTCTGTCCTATCTTCTTGTCATGGATGGGAATTCAATTTTTCAGGTTTCCCATGGCCCAGAAGAAGTCTGTTCAGTCAGTTGGGGGCTTAGGATTTTATTTTAGGTTTACACATTGAATTATTCAATTATTTTTTCCAAACCTCAGCCTGGAATGCTATTTCCTTCCCTTCGATTATCCAAATTCTACATGTATTTTAAATCCTGCCTCAACTTCCATCTCCTGTGAAAAGGCTTTCCCAAAATTTCTCTATAATGGGAAACAGGAAACTCAGGAGCTGGCCTCAAATGGTCTTTCATAGGACCACCTTGTTTTGATCTTGTCCGATGTGGGGAAATTCATGTCGGGGTCTTGGAAAACTTCCTCGGTCCAGTGGTCCAAGCATTTCCATCACATCTTATTGATTTTGAATTCAACCGTGAAGCAAAAAGACAAATGCTAAGCCTCCAAGGTTGAGGGTGCAGATGACTGGAGGATTAACGTGCCACGGCCTAAGTCCACCTTGAGATGTGGGTTGCAGGCTCCAGGGTTCAGTCTTCCAGGAGAGCCAGGAGCAGAGCCAGCTAGGGTGGAGCCTCTCAACCTTCTTCGCTCCCCATGCATGTGGTGGGGCTACCCACAAAAGGCAGCACCTTGGTTTTCTAACCATTTGAAATACATAACTTAGATGATTATATAATAAAGCTGTGAAAATAGAAATGAAAATATATGCGTGTGCTTATATGCACATGTTAGACAAATGGGACATCAAAGAAAACTTCTGTTGCCATTGGGGATATCTGTCTATGTAAATATAAGTTTCCCATAAGAATGTGTAACAAGAATATTATTAGTGTTGGAAATTAAAGTTATGAAGGCTCAAATAAAACAATCCTTTCCTACTTATCTGGGTCACAATAAAATAAATTCAATAAAATTTTTCACCCACCACTTTTCTCTTAAATGTGTACTATTATATAAAATAAATGAGAATAATGCAGAATAACTGGAACATAAAATCCCTGGGAAATCTGTGAACTTGCCCACAGACTGATATGTGTAAATTGATGGTGCCAGAGAGCCTGCCAGTATCTATGTGATATGCTCCAGGGTCGTCTCTGGAAGGCCTCCAATCACACACTCCAGAAGGTGGTCACCACCAGGAAGAAGGAGCTGAGTCAATTAACATCTTCTGGATATCTGTGGTGATATGCTAAGTTCTTAACTATGCTAAGTTCTTTGATATATATTCTTAAAACAGCTCTGTAAAACAATATTATTCCCATCTTATAGCTGAGGAAGCTAAGGCTTAGAAAAGTTAAATAACTAGTAACAAGTAGAGACAGAATTCTGCTTGCTGTGAGGATTCCCAGAGTATAAGGGTAGAAATAGATACATAAGAAGGTGTCTCCCTTTTAGTGATGACACAAAGGTAAGTTCCTGCAAACCGAACTCTAGACACAGTCCAAATATTCAGAAAGGATGAAATTGCGGACAGTTTTCAGAAGGAAAAGCCAGTAAGAGAGAAGGAATTCCTGGTACAGAAGGAGGATCCTAAGCTCCTGGGTAAAGTGCTCAACAGTAGATGGTCGAGGATATCACACGGACCAAACAGTGACCTGGAGGTGACCCAACACTTGTATCAGCAAAGGGGGATGCTGCAGATGGGACCCAAAGGCCTATTGAGGCAGAGCCCAGTGGCCCTTGCTGATGTGTCCTACAGGGAGTACCCCCTTGAGTGCCCCCTGGCCAGTCGCAGTGAGTGGAGAATAGGCTTGGTCTGGAACTCTGGCCTGAGCCTCTTTCTTTCCCCTGGTCCTTTCACTGTCTGACTTTCACTGTCCTTGCTTTGGCACACCAAAGCCAAGGCAAGAATCAAACCCTTCTCCTCTTGCCCATTGAGCCAGAGGCCCCACAGTTTCAGGGGAAGAAATCTTTGTAGCCTGTGTGCTCAGGCCATGGTCCAGTGCACACTCCCCTGAACTGTCCTTTTTGCCTCCTATTCCCAGGTTTCTGGATATAACAGAGGCTTCATACTCTGCAGGGCTTTCAAGGGAACATGCTGGGGAATTGTTTGGTAAAACTTCTTGCCCTATAAGATAATGGAATTCATCCTGTAGCATGTGATGGCTCTACCCTGGAGAAGGGGGACAGTGCCAGGGGCAGAGACAGCAACCCCACAGATGCCACATCTTTTACCGTCCATATTCCATCCCTAGCTCCACCTTCTGTCCCCCTTCCCTTGGTCCCTTGGGAGAATAAAAAATGGGGGACTTTTTGAAGAAGGAAGAGAGTTACTGGAGTGGTGAATTTTTGGATATTTGGATTTTTCCTCAGGAAAAAGCAAAAGGATTTTAGGACATGGGAGAGCTGGATGTCTACAGTGTACGGTTGTGAGGGCCACCAATTATAAAAATAACAAGAATCCTTTGCTTCATAGTGTACAAAGCACTGCCACTGAGTTACTTCGGATGTTAATAGCTGCTACAACAAGTAAGTTCTGTAGTCAAACTTCTGACTTTTGGGTTGAGGCAGTAACACTCAAGATTATGATGTAAAGGTGTGAAGAGGAAGAAACAATTTCTAACTTTATTCTGGATTCTTCTATTGAATTGTTCTGTTTCCTCCTGAAACTGGGTTGATTTGGGAACGGAACAGTACATTTGACTGGGGATCCCTGAACATCCTCAACCACAATAGAGTGGCACAGGATGGAGCAGGGAATGTAAACACACAGCACCTGGCTTTGCCCCCCAAGTAGCTAGGCAGAGGTGGTGCACTCTGTAGAAGGGGGGTCCTCCTGAGTCAGGTGGGAGCCACCCCTTTTTCTGCTGTGTCTTCAAGACTGAGCTGAGGGCCTGGCAGGCAAAGGGAAGGCAGCATTAAAGAGCAATTATTCAGATGCTTTATAAAAATGGCGAGGAAGACTTTATGCAAGGCTATTGCAATGGGGAGAGAGATTGAACTCAACTCTGAATACAACAGGGACAAGTGGAAATTTATAGCAAAATGGTAGGTTGAGGAAGTGCATGGAAAATTGCTAAGAGGAACTTGGCTAGGAATTAAGGGTTGGGGATATGTGGGAGGAAAGGAACTTGATTAGATATTAAGGATGGAGGAAGAAGAGATTGATTGGATGTCAAGGTATCAAGGGTGAAGGAGATTCTCCATACACTGGCTTAGCAAGATTCTTTGCTACAACTTGGCTCAGCAGGCCAAGGACGAGGCCTAGCCAAGGAGCTCAGATGAGCCTGACTAAAGTTTGATCAAGGAGGGAGTCCTTGTTAGTGGTTGATCTGCATTTGTGGGTGAATCAAGGAGACAAACTTTAGGGAGATTCATGGCTTTAGTGGGAAGGTGCTGTAGACACACCTTGAGTTGCTCCTCTCAAGACTTATCTTAATCCTGTTCTGATTTGTAGAATTTGAGAGCCAAGCATGCACAAATGAACATGTATTTGTAATTTAAATTGGCATCAAGCCAGGAAGGCTTCCTGATGGTGGTAGTGTAGTGTGTGTGTGTGTGTGTGTGTGTGTGTGTGTGTGTGTGTGTGTTTGTGTGAAGGGGGGTGGGTGGGGTAGGGGATGGTAGTCAAGCCCTGAGAGAGGAGAGGGACAGGAGAGGGTGAGAGCCATCCTGTATCACTCCCAGTCTCCTAAGATGCCTTAAAAGCTGTGTGTCCGGGTGCTCATTATTTTATTCCCCACACCTAGCTCAGGGCCTGACACAAATTACCTAAGCTAAAAAAATAAAAAACCTTGGCTGAATGAATAAAATAACAAATTATAAGCCTGTTGTAACATGCCTAGCTCCATGTAGGGTTTTAGAAACACAGTGAAGAAGATTCTAAGCCTTGACCTTCAGGAACTCACAAATGAGTGCCAGGCACACACCCAGGACACCAACAGTGCTATCTAACCAGGTAAGTGTGCAGAGAGACAGATATAGGAGTTCCAGCCTGGGGGCACCATGGAGCAGGCAGCAGCCACCAGCCTGGGGGGCACTAATATTCTCCTGCATTTTACTGTCTCCTTTTCCGTCTTCCTCCTAAAGTTCCAAATTTTAGTCATTTGTGTTGACTGTTAAAGAGACACATTTCAAACATCAAAATTTTGCTTTCATTCAAAGTTGAGAATATTTTCTGAAGATGACTTCAGTTTGATCTTCTCCTTGGGAAAAGCTATAGTTAGCATTCATTTGAGCACTTATGAGCCAGGTACTGTTCTAAGATTCTTCTTTAATCCTTAAGACAAACTGGTAAAGGAGGTACTGTTACTGATGCCATTTACGAGTGAAGAAAATGAGGCAAAAATAATGTGGCTAAGTTACTTGCCTAAGGCCACCAGCCAAAAAGTAGCAGGCTGGGGCTTTCAACCTGTCAATCAGGTTCGGCGCCCACCCTTTTCAGCCCGTCTGTTGGATGTGTCTGTAAGACATTCTCCTAACTCTTAAGAGACTGTTCCCCCACCTTCCTGCCTTCTGGAAAAAGCTCAGAACTCTTTCAGGTCAGCATGTGGATAATTTTTGTTCTTTTCATGAACAGGCTAAACTCCAAAATTAAAAGAATGAATGCAATTTGGGACACCTGAGTATTGAGACAGTTCATACCCACAAATATATATGGAGCATCAGCAGTGTCCCAGGCACTGTGCCAGGCTTTAGGAATTCAAAAACAATAGACAGGTTTTCTCTCCCCCTGGAGCCAGCAGGAAGAGGTTTGGGAAAAGACCCTTGGGTAACATGAATTCACTCCTTGTATGCTACTACCTTCTTAGGTACACAGGAAGGCCCTGTCTATAACTTTTGGAGTGTGTTAAATTATTTATAAGAGCTTAAGTTTTATTTTTCTCAAGGAATTTTGAAACTTGAAGGAAAGTAAAAAATGTTCCCAAGTGGTTTCTTTCAAGTAGGCACAGGCATGAAGTATTAGGATAGCAGTAAGAACCGTGGGGGTCTAGGGATGTGCCATAGCGCTCTCCTGGCACCAGACCTTATTTGATCCACTCTATAAAATGCACCCAGGACTTTTTTTTCCTGAAATAAAACTTTTCCTAAACAAGAACATGATGTCTTTATTTTCCAAACAAGAAGGCAGATCTCAGAGTTCAGGAAAGGTACAGAGATGTGAAAGGAGAGGGGATAGTGGAAAGTCAGCGGTAACCCAGGGATGACTTTGGAGCCAGATGGAGTGGCTGGAAATTCTTGCCTCCGTCACCTATTAGCTTTTTGAGCATCAACTACCTTGACATTAAGTGATACAACTTATACATTTCAGAATTTTGGGAGATGTTTGAAATAATTTTTATTGAAGTGCTAGGACATAAGAGGGGTTTAGTGAATATCCAAATGAACTCTCAGTCTTTGATTTGACCCCATTTCTTCTTGTTCATTCCACCACTTTGGATAGGGAACAGTGATAAATATTTTCTTCCATGAGAAACCTGGAATTGGTAGTCAACTCCCAGTGTTAAGTTATTCTGGATACATTCCCAGAAGTTCTCCCCCAGGTAGGGTTGCTGGATAAAACACAAGATACCCTGTGGAACATACTGACAAAAGAAAAATTTTTTTAAAATTTATCTGACATTCAAGTTTATCTAGCCATCTCATATTTTTACTTGCTGAATCTGGTAACCCTACCACCAAGGCCTTAGTTTTCTAACTTCCCACTTTTAAAAGAGCTCATGGCCCATGGCTTCTCTTCTTGAGAACTTCTAATACCAAAACAATACTCTCTGGATTCCTGCCTATTTCCAGGTCTCCTTTCAGACTTCTTCCTTGGTGGATCAAAGTACCTCTGTTGACTTTGTATGTTTCTTTCCATTTCTAAGGTCAATTTTCTTTCTTTTCTCTCTCTCTCTCTGTTTTTTTTTTTTTTTTTTTTTTTTTTTGAGACGGAGTCTTGCTCTGTTGTCCAAGCTGGAGTGCAGTGGCGTGATCTCGGCTCACTGCAGCCTCTTGGTTCCCAGGTTCAAGCAATTCTCCTGCTTCAGTCCCCTGAGTAGCTGGGACAACAAGTGCATGCCACCATGCTGCCCAGCTAATTTTTGTATTTTTAGTAGAGACTGGGATTTGGCATGTTGGCCAGGCTGCTCTCGAACTCCTGACCTCAAGTGAGCCACTCGCCTCAGCTTCCCAAAGTGCTGGGATTACAGGCATGAGCCACTACCCCTGGCCACTAAAATCAATTTTTAACAGCTTTGATCTCTTAGAGCTCTCAGTCATATCCCACTTGTGCATTAGAGACATATGCTGGGATTTGTCAGCTTAAAAAGAGGGCAAATCCTTACCCCAGAATTCTTGATATGGGAATGGTTTGCTTTGGGGAAAAGAAGGCACAGACAGTACTTATTTGATATCCTCCAGACTGCATAATATATCCGTGCATTCTTAGGCTTAAAGTTGTTCCACCAACTCTTTCCTTGAGCAGTTCAGTTCATCATAATTGAGTGTAATCATATGCCAGGTACTCTGCCAATATCTGTGGAGACAAAGAGTAAGACACTGCACCACTCTCGAGGATCTCACTGAGGAGGAGGGGAGACAAAGAAGCGAACAGAGGATGCGATGCTGTGTGTGGTGCAGGCTCTGGCAGAGGAAGGCTGAGGACAGTGCAGGAGCACGGGGTGGCGCCAGGCCTGACACGGAGCGCCGTGGAGGAGCAGACTCTGTTGACTAACTGGTGAGATACCAAGTGAAAAAAGGTGGTAAATGCATTCTAGAAAAATGAAACCGTATAAAGGCATGGCTACACCAACAACCAGACGTAAGCCAGGGAACTTCGTTATTCACACTGAGATCCATGACTAGCTGCTCCGAGTCAGGTTTCCCACAAGTCTTATTATTGTTATTATTATTTTTACTTTTATTACCTGCTCCCAAAACAGAGACAAAAAGAAGAGAAGAAAAACTATTGAAATTGTATATCCTTATATCCTTTTTGTCTTACACTATATTATCTTACACTATAAATTATCTTACACTATAAGTTCTTAGAAGATGAGAAACGAAGAATGTGTATTTTAAAAGTACCTGAGGGTCAGAGAGAGACCTGTTTAAGGGAAATACAGGGAACAACGTGACAGGTAACTAGCTTACTCAAAGTTTCCTTGGGTCACAGCATTGTGATGTCATATCGTCAAATCAGAGTGACATAAGCATTACTATGACCAGCTCCTGCCCTTGTCACTTGCTTGAACTCTAGTTTCTTGGGAGTTGGTGGTGTTAGGCTGTTCCTCAATGTATACATCCATCCCAGGTCTGTGCCTCTTTCTCAAACATTTGAAAGAACTGAAATCTCAAGCCAACACTTAGTCAATCCCCTTATATCCAGCATGGATCATCACAAAGGATTTGTAGCATCTCTCTCTCTCTCTCTAAATAGATAGTCTCACTCTGTCACCGAGGCTGGAGTGCGGTGGCACAATCATAGCTCACTGCAGCCTCAAACTCCTGAGCTCAAGTGATCCTTTTACCTCAGCTTCTTGAGTAGTTGAGACTACAGGTGTGGACCACTACACCTGGCTAATTTTAAAATATTTTGTGGAGACAAGATCTTGCTATATTGCCCAAACTGATCTCAAATTCCTGGGCTCCAGCAATCCTCCTGCCTTAGCACATCCCAGCACGTCTCAAGGTGCTGGGATGACAAGCTTGAACGACTGTGCTCAGCGACATCATCCTTTAAGCCTATGTGTGGAGGGCTGCTGATGTGCAGGACACAATGATCGAATGGAGTTATAGTGACAAGTGTGACATTCCAAGATCTGTGACCTTGCATGGTCTGCTTCTTAGGAAAAGAATAGATGAAGACATGGAAAAGAAGATACTTTATGGAATGATCCAAACTCATTAGCAGAACATCCTGCAGCTGGAGTAGGCCCTGGAAGGGCAGAGTGCTGAAGTGGAGTTGCATGGGATTGGGCAAACTAACGTTTCTGAGCCTCAGTTTCCTCCTGTGTGCAATGGAGACTATAGTGCTTATCTCTGAGGAAGAGTTGTGAGGATCAAAGGGGGTAAAAATGCTTGCTCAATGCTTAGCAATATGTCTGGAACAGAGTTAGAACATAATTCATGTTAGAGTGCTTTATTAGAATAGTCTGAGGTTGCATATTCTTGAGCCTGTGGGAATCCCAGGTTCTGCACCCCTACTGAACTATCCCCTTTCTATTACTTAAGCCAGCCATCTGCCCTCCTTTTACCCCTGTCTTAGTCTGTTTTTTGCTGCTATAACAGAATACCTGAAACTAGATAATTTATAAAGAACAGAGACTTATTTCTTACAGTTCTGGAGACTGGGAAGTCCAAGATTGAAGGATCGCATCTGATAGGATGCCCTTCTTGCTATGTCACTCCATGGTGGAAGGTGAGAGGGCAAGAGAGAGCAAGAGTGGGCCGACCTAACTTTTATAACAAACCCATTCCCATGATAGTAGTGACATTAATCCATTCATGAGGGCTCTGCCCTCATGACCCAGTCACCTTTTAAAGGTCCTACCTCTTAACACTGTTGCACTGGGGATTAAGTTTCCCGTGAATGAACTTTGGGCACGCATTCAAACCATAGCAACCCCAAACACATGCACCCCCAATCTAATGCCACATTCAACATGTCCTCAAAGTCTCAAACTCCTAATCAGAGTAGTCTTCTCTTGAGGCCCAGATTATTTAATTTGACACTTCAATGTCCAGGAATAGAAGACTGCCTCATACAAGATGTCTTTGTGGAATGTCTTCTGGAAGGTAATTCAGCTGATTGATTGCAAGCACTGTTGTACATTTCATGTCTGTCGTGTCAAAAATATAGGGTCAGAATACATTTACACTAATTAATTGCACTAATTTTTAAATATGTGAAGTTAGGGCCACTTGAATGTATTATTTAGATTTATGTGCAATAGATTAAAATGGCATAATTATCATACTCTTAATTACAATTATATATATATTTTATACTTTAAGTTCTGGAATACATGTGCAGAAAGTGCAGGTTTGTTACATAGGTGTGAAAGTGCCATGGTGGTTTGCTGCACCCATCAACTCGTCGTCTACATTAGGTATTTCTCTTAACGCTATCCGTCCCCTAGCCCCCCACCCCCCGACAGGCCCCGGTGTGTGATGTTCCCCTCCCTGTGTCCATGTGTTCTCATTGATCAACTCCCACTTATGAGTGAGAACATGCAGTGTTTGGTTTTCTGTTCTTGTGTTAGTTTGCTGAGAATGATGGTTTCTAGCTTCATCCATGTTCCTGCAAAGGACATATACTCATCTTTCTTGTCGGCTGCATAGTATTCCATGGTGTATATGTGCCACATTTTCTTAATCCAGTCTATCATTGATGGGCATTTAGGCTGGTTCCAAGTCTTTGCTATTGTGAAGAGTGCCGCAATAAACATACATGTGCTTGTGTCTTTATAGCAGAATGATTTATAATCCTTTGGGTATATACCCAGTAATGGGATTGCTGGGTCAAATGGTATTTCCAGTTCTAGATCCTTGAGGAATCACCACACTGTCTTCCACAATGATTGAACTAATTTACGCTCCCACCAACAGTGTAAAATAATTCCTATTTCCCCACATCCTCTCCATCATCTGTTTCCTGACTTTTTAATGATTGCCATTCTAACTGGTGTGAGATGGTATCTCACTGTGGTTTTGATTTGCATTTCTCCAATGACCAGTGATGATGAGCTTTTTTTATATGTTTGTTGGCTGACTAAATGTCTTTTTTTGAAAAGTTTCTGTTCATATCCTTCACCCACTTTTTGATGGGGTTATTTGTTTTTTTTCTTGTAAATTTGTTTAAGTTCCTTGTATATTCTGGATATTAGCCCTTTGTCAGATGGATAGATTGCAAAACTTTTCTCCCATTCTGTAGGTTGCCTGTTCACTCTGGTCATAGCTGCTTTTGCTGTGCAGAAGCTCTTTAGTTTAATTAGATTCCATTTGTCTATTTTGGCTTTTGTTGCCATTGCTTTTGGTGTTTTAGTCATGAAGTCTTTGCCCATGCCTATGTCCTGAATGGTATTGCCTAGGTTTTCTTCCAGGGTTTTTATGGTTTTAGGTCTTATGTTTAAATCTTTAAACCATTTTGAGTTAATTTTTGTATAAGGTGTAAGGAAGGGGTCCAGTTTCAGTTTTCTGCATATGGCTAGCCAGTTTTGTCAACACCAATTGTTAAATAGGAAATCCTTTCCCCATTGCTTGTTTTTGTTAGGTTCTTCAAAGATCAGATGGCTGTAGATGTGTGGTGTTATTTCTGAGGCCTCTGTTCTGTTCCATTGGTCTATATATCTGTTTTAATATCAGTACCATGCTGTTTTGGTTACTGTAGACTTGTAGTACAGTTTGAAGTCAGGTAGTGTGATGCCTCCAGCTTTGTTCTTTTTGCTTAGGATTGTCTTGGCAATATGGGCTCTTTTTTGGTTCCATATGAACTTTAAAGCAGTTTTTTTCCAATTCTTTGAAGAAAGTCATTGGTAGCTTGATGGGGATGGCATTGAATCTATAAATTACCTTGGGCAGTATGGCCATTTTCACGATATTGATTCTTCCTATCCATGAGCCTGGAATGTTCTTCCATTTGTTTGTCTCCTCTTTTATTTTGTTGAGCAGTGGTTTCTAGTTCTCCTTGAAGAGGTCCTTCACATCCCTTGTAATTTGGATTCTTAGGTATTTTATTCTCTTTGTAGCAATTGTGAATAGAAGCTCACTCATGATTTTGCTGTTTGTCTATTATTGGTGTATAGGAATGCTTTGATTTTTGCACATTGATTTTATATCCTGAGAATTTGCTGAAGTTATTTATCAGCTTAAGGAGTTTTAGGGCTGAGACGATGGGGTTTTCTAAATATACAATCATGTCATCTGCTAACAGAGATAATTTGACTTCCTCTCTTCCTATTTGAATACGCTTTATTTCTTTCTCTTGTCTGATTGCCCTGGCCAGAACTTCCAATACTATGTTGAATAGGAGTGGTGAGAGAGGGCATCCTAGTCTTTTGCCGGTTTTCAAAGGGAATGCTTCCAGCTTTTGCCAATTCAGTATAATATTGGCTGTGGGTTTGTCATAAATAGCTCTTACTATTTTGAGATATGTTCCATCAATACCTAGTTTATTGAGTGTTTTTAGCATGAAGTGGTGTTGAATTTTATCGAAGGCCTTTTCTGCATCTATCGAGATAATCATCTGGTTTTTGTCATTGGTTCTGTTTATTGATTTGCGTATGTTTAACCAACTTTGCATCCCAGAGATGAAGCCGACTTGATCATGGTAGATAAGCTTTTTAATGTGCTACTGGATTCAGTTTGCCAGTATTTTATTGAGGATTTTCACATTGATGTTCATCAGGGATATTGGCCTGAATTTTTCCTTTTTTGTCATGTCTCTGCCAGGTTTTGGTATCAGGATGATGCTGGCCTCATAAAATGAGTTAGGGAGAAGTCCCTTTTTTTCTGTTGTTTGGAGTAGTTTTAGATGGAATGATACCAGCTCCTCTTTGTACCTCTGGTAGAATTCGGCTGTGAATCCATCTGTTCCTGGTCTTTTTTGGGTTGGTGGGCTATTAGTTACTGCCTCAATTTCAGAACTTGTTATTGGTCTATTCAGGGATTTGACTTCTTCCTGGTTTAGTCTTGGGAGGGTGTATGTGTCCAGGAATTTATCCATTTCTTCTAGATTTTCTAGTTGATTTGCGTAGAGGTGTTTATAGTATGCTTTGATGGTAGTTTTATTTCTGTGGGATCAGTGGTGGTATTCCCTTTATCATTTTTTATTGTGTCTATTTGATTCTTCTCTCTTTTCTTCTTTATTAGTCTGGCTAGTGGTCTATGTATTTTGTTAATCTTTTCAAAAAACCAGCTCCTGGATTCAATGATTTTTTTGAAGGGTTTTTCGTGTCTCTATCTCCTTCATTTCAGCTCTAATCTTAGTTATTTGTTGTCTTCTGCTAGCTTTTGAATGTGTTTGCTCTTGCTTCTCTAGTTCTTTTAATTGTGATTTTAGGATGTCAATTTTAGATCTTTCCTGCTTCCTCCTGTGGGCATTTAGTGCTATAAATTTCCCTCTAACCATAGCTTTAGCTGTGTCCCAGAGATTCTGGTACATTGTGTCTTTGTTCTCATTGGTTTCAAAGAACTTATTTATTTCTTCCTTAATTTCATTATTTACCCAGTAGTAATTTGGGAGCAGGTTGTTCAGTTTCCATGTAGTAGTGCAGTTTTGAGTGAGTTTTTTTAATCCCGAGTTCTAATTTGATTGCACTGTGGTCTGAGAGACTGTTTGTTATGATTTCCATTCCTTTACATTTGCTGAGAAGTGTAGATTTCCATTAGGCCCACTTGGTCCAGAGCTGAGTTCAAGTCCTGGATATCCTTGTTAACTTTCTGTCTCATTGATCTGTCTAATATTGACAGTGGGGTGTTAAAGGCTCCCATTATTATTGTGTGGATGTCTAAGTCTCTTTGTAGGTCCCCAAGGACTTGCTTTACGAACCTGGGTGCTCCTGTATTGGGTGCATACACATTTAAGATAGTTAGCTCTTCTTGTTGCATTGATCCCTTTACCATTATGGAATGCCCTTCTTTGTCTTTTTGGATCTTTGTTGGCTTAGTCTGTTTTATCAGAGTAGGATTGCAACCTCTGCTTTTTTTTTTTTTTTTTTTTTTTTGGCTTTCCATTTGTTTGGTAAATATTTCTCCATCCCTTTATTTTGAGCCTATGTGTGTCTTTGCATGTGAGATAGGTCTCCTGAATACAGCACAGTGATGGGTCTTGACTCTATCCAATTTGTCAGTCTGTGTCTTTTAATTGAAGCATTTGGCCCATTTACATTTAAGGTTAATATTGTTATGTGTGAATTTGATCCAGTCATTATGATGCTAGCTGGTTATCTTGCCCATTAGTTGATGCAGTTTCTTCATAGTGCCAATGGTCTTTACGTTTTGGTAAGTTTTTGCAGTGGCTGGTACCGTTTTTTTCTTTCCATATTTAATGCTTCCTTCAGGAGCTCTTGTAAGGCAGGCCTGGTGGTGACAAAAATCTCTCAGCATTTGCTTGTCTGTAAAGGATTTTATTTCTCCTTTGCTTATGAAGCTGAGTTTGGCTGGATAGGAAATTCTGGGTTGAAAATCTTTTCTTTAAGAATGTTGAATAACGGCCCCCACACTCTTCTGGCTTGTAGGGTTTCTGCAGAGAGATCCACTGTTAGTCTGATGAGCTTCCCTTTGTGGGTAACCCAACCTTTCTCTCTGGCTGCCCTTAACATTTTTTCCGTCATTTCAACCATGGTGAATCTGACGATTATGTGTCTTGGGGTTGCTCTTCTCAGGGAGTATCTTTATGGTGTTCTCTGTATTTCATGAATTTGAATGCTGGCCTGTCTTGCTAGGTTGAGGTAGGTCTCCTTGATAATATCCTGAAGTGTGTTTTCCAACTTGGTTCCATACTCCCTGTCACTTTCAGGTACACCAATCAAACGTAGGTTTGGTATTTTCACATAGTCCTATATGTCTTGGAGGGTTTGTTCATTCCTTTTCATTCTTTTTTCTTAATATTGTCTTCATGCTTTATTTCATAAGTTGATCTTCAATCTCTGGTATCCTTTCTTCTGCTCAATTAATTTAGCTATTGATACTTGCGTATGCCTCACGAAGTTCTTCTGCTATGTTTTTCAGCTCCATCAGGTCATTTATGTTCTTCTCTAAACTGGTTATTCTAGTTAGCAGTTCATGTAACCTTTTATCAAGGTTCTCAGCTTCCTTGCATTGGGTTAGAATATGCTCCTTTAGCTCAGAGTAGTTTGTTGTTACCCACCTTCTGAAGCCTACTTCCGTCAATTCATCAAACTCCTTCTCCATCCATTTTTGTTCCCTTGCTGGTGAGGAGTTGTGATCCTTTGGAGGAGAAGAGGCTTTATGGTTTTTGGAATTTTCAGCCTTTTTGCACTGGTTTTTCTCATGTTCATGGATTTATCTACCTTTGGTCTTTCATGTTGGTGACCTTCGGATGGGGTTTTTGCTTGGTCTTCCTTTTTGATGTTGATGCTATTGCTTTCTGTTTGTTAGTTTTCTTTCTAACAGTCAGGTCTCTCTTCTGCAGGTCTGCTGGAGTTTGCTCGATGTCCACTCCAGACCCTTTTTCCTGGGTATCACCAGCGGAGGCTGGAGAACAGCAAATATTGCTGCCTGCTCCTTCCTCTGGAAGCTTCATCCCAGAGGGGCACCCACCAGATGCCAGCCAGAGCTCTCCTGTATGAGGTGTCTGTCAACCCCTGCTGGGAGGTGTCTTCCTGTCAGCAGGCATGGGGGTTAGGAACCCGCTTGAGAAGGCAGTCTGTACCTTAGCAGGGCTTTAGTGCTGTGCTGGGAGATCCACAGCTCTCTTCAGAGCTGGCAGGCAGGAACGTTTAAGTCTGCTGAAGCTGCGCCCACAGCCACCCCTTTCCCAATGTGCTCTGTCCCAGGGAGATGGGAATTTTATCTATAAGCCCCTGACTGGGGGCTGCTGCCTTTCTTTCAGAAATACCCTGCCTAGAGAGGAGGAATCTAGAGAGGCAGTCTGGCTACAGCGGCTATGCAGTGCTGCCGTGGGCTCTGCCCAGTTCAAACTTTCCCACAGCTTTGTTTACACTGTGAGGGGAAAATCGCCCACTCAAGCCTCAGTAACGGTGGATGTTCCTCCCTCCACTAAGCTCGAGTGTCCCAGGTCGACTTCAGACTGCTGTGCTGGCAGCAAGAATTTCAACCCAGTGGATCTTAGTTTGTTGGGCTCTGTGGGGGTGGGATCCACTGAGCAAGACCACTTGGTTCCATGGCTTCTGCCCCCTTTCCAGGGGAGTGAATGTTTCTGTCTCGCTAGCATTCCAGGCGCCACTGGGATATGAAACTCCTGCAGCTAGCTTGGTGTCTGTCCAAATGGCCACCCAGTTTTGTGGTGGTATAGGCACCCGAGGGAATCTCCTGGTCTGCGGGTTGTGAAGACCATGGGAAAATCATATTATCTGGGCCGGATAGCACCATCCCTTATGACACAGTCCCTCATGGCTTCCCTTGGCTAGGGGAGGGAGTTCCCCAACACTTTGAGCTCCCCAGGTGAGGCGACACCCCACCCTGCTTC
Organism: Homo sapiens; assembly: GCF_000001405.40. Taxonomy (NCBI): domain Eukaryota; kingdom Metazoa; phylum Chordata; class Mammalia; order Primates; family Hominidae; genus Homo; species Homo sapiens. Next base: position 222,145,652 of record NC_000001.11, on the reverse strand, counting down.
TGCTCACCCTCCATGGGCTGCACTCACTGTCTAACCAGTCCCAGGGAGATGAACCGGGTACCTAAGTTGGAAATGCAGAAATCACCTGCCTTCTGTGTTGGTCTCGTTGGGAGTTGCAGACCGGAGCTGTTTCTATTTGGCCATCTTGCCTGGGAATTATTGCCCAGGCATTATTCAGATTTATGTAAAATAGATTAAAGTGGCATAATTATCATTCTTTTAATTACAATTATAATACTGGCTCTCACCCAAGAAAAGTGGTTTGAAGACTAAATTATAATTCTCTTAAAGCTTGGCTTTTATCAACAGAGACATAGCTTAAACCTTTCCAATCATCTGTTCAACTGATTTCTATGTAGGCCTAGTATTTGAAAGGCAAGTGACAGTTTCAGTCACCTTTCTAGTAACCTTTCATATCAAAGAGAGACACAGATGTATAACACAGCATAAGGAAGGTGAGAAGAAAGCACTAGGGTAAAGAATTAAGTGAATATGCTTTATCATCTGGGTATAATATTCAAATAGCTGAGAAAATCTACAGATAGATCATCTTTTAAGCAAATATGATAAAAATTTAATGTAATAAAACAGACAGATTAGGGAATGAATAATTATATTAAAGATGAATGCTTTGCTTTACAAAACAATTCACCATAGGATACACAAATACCACTTTTCTTGGTATATTTAAAATGTGACTACTATTTAGAAAGTAATTAATACACAGATTTGCAGAAAATTATATAAAATAATCTAACTGGTGTAACTATATAAGATATGTATTTTATTTGCAATCCAATTGGAATTATGGATCAAGGATGGCCCTGAAAGAAAAAAGTAAAGAAAAATACGAACTTGGCATTGCCTAGATGGTAAGAATAGGAAGTTAGTATTGTTATTTTTGTGTCTTAAAAAATATGTGCAACAAACAAACATCACTCAATAACTGAGGAAGCTGAGATATTTGAGAGAAGCTGTTGTGATTCAGTTTGCAGAAGAAAAGACTGAGAAAACCTTTGTGAGATTCGGGTCAGTGAGGGCTTAATGCAGAGAAAGGCTACCAGCTGGGCCCCTTACTATAGTGCTCCGGTAATGATGACGGTCATGGCTGGAAGTGGTGGTGACATATATCAAGAACTTACAGTGTTCTAGGAACTGCGTTGGGTATTTTAAATAAATGATTTCTTTCAGCTCCCGCAGCAACCATTGAGTTGGGATAATATTGTTACCCTTTTCTACGGCTGAGGAAACTGAGGCTTAGGAAAGTTTTCCAAGACATCATCAGCAAGCCCAGATGTGTTGACTCCAAAACCTAGTGCTTTCAAACATTGTATAGAGAGTGTAGACATTTTATTGTGAGACCCAAGGAAGACTGTCCCAACAGTGAGAGATTCAAAATTCTAACACACTGCTAAATATTCATGGTAATATTTGTTGACAGAGAAAGCATACTTAAAAAGAGATTGGCTCTTAGTTGCCTTGGGTAATCTAGATGAGGATCAGGGTAGACATAAAAGGATTTTGCAACCTTCACATGTGGTGAGTCTGTAGCAATTAGTGGCTGCACCTCTATAGTAATTCTTTTATTCTTTATAAAATTTATTATTTTTTATTTTTGTGGATACATAGTAGATATATAGATTTATGGATTTATTTTGATACAGGGATACAGTGCATAATAATCACATTTGGGTAAATGAGGTAGCCATCACCTCAAGCATTTATCCTTTGTGTTACAAACAATCCAATTACACTCTTAGTTATTTTTAAATGTACAACAAATTATTGTTGACTATAGTCACCCTGTTGTGCTATCAAATACTAGATCTTATTCATTCTGTATAATTATTTTTTGTACCCATTAAACATCCCCACTTCCCCTCTCCCCCACTACTCTTCCCAGCCTCTGGTAAACCATCCTTCTACTTCCTATCTCCATGAGTTCAATTGTTTTAGTTTTTAGCTCCCAGAAATAAATGAGAACATGCAAAGTTTGTCTTTCTGTGCCTGGCTTATTTCACTTAACATAATGGTCTCCAGTTCCATCCATGTGGTTGCAAATGACAGAATCTCATTCTTCTTTTTGTGGCTAAATAGTACTCCATTGTGTGCTATTTATGTATGACATTTTCCTTGTCCATTTGTCTGCTGATGGCCACATAGGTTGCTTTCAAATCTTGGTTATTGTGAATAGTGCTGCAATAAGCATGGAAGTGCAGATATCTCATTATTATATTGATTACTTTTCTTTGGGGTAGAAATCCCCCTAGTAGTAGGATTGCTGGATCTTATGGTAGCTCTATTTTTTTAGGAACTTTGAAAATATTCTCCATAGTGGTTGTGCTAATTTACATTACCACCAGCAGTGTGTGAGGTTCCCTTTTCTCCACATCCTCGCCAACATTTGCTTTTGCCTGTCTTTTGGATAAAAGCCATTTTAACTGGGGTGAGGTATCTCATTGCAGTTTTAATTTGCATTTCTCTGCTGATCAATGATATTGAACACCTTTTCATATACCTATTTTCCATTTGTATGTCTTCTTTTGAGAAATGTCTATGCAGATATTTTTCCCATTTTTAAATTGGATTATTACATTTTTTCCTATAGAGCTGTTTGAATTCCTTATATACTCTAGTTATTAATCTCTTGTCAGATAAATTGTTTGTAAATATTTTTTCTCATTCTGTGGGTTGTCTTTTCAACTTTGTTGTTGTCAATCAACTTTGTTGATTGTTTCCTTTGAGGTGCAGATGATTTTTAACTTGATGTGATGCTGTTTGTCCATTTTTGCTTTGGCTGCTTGTGCTTGCGGGATATTATTCAATAAATCTTTGGCCAGTCCAATGTCCTGGAAAGTTTCTGTAATGTTTTCTTTTAGTAGTTTTATACTTTGAAGTGATATAGTTAAGTTTTTACTCCATTTTGATTTGATTTTGGAATGTGATGAGAGATGGGGGTCTAGTTTTATTCTGCATGTGTATATCCAGTTTTCTCAGCACCGTATATTGAAGAGACTATCCTTTTCCCAATGTGTGTTCTTGTCACCTTTGTTGAAAATAAGTTTGCTGTAGATGTATGGATTTATTTCTGGGTTCTTTATTTTGTTCCCTTGGTCCATGTGTCTGTTCTTGTGCCAGTTACCATGCTGTTTTGGTTATTATAGCTCTGTAGTATAATTTGAAGTCAGGTATTGTGATTCCTCCAGTTTTGTTTTATTTTTGCTCAGGATAGCTTTGGCTATTCTGGGTCTTTTGTGGTTCCATATACATTTTTTGATTGTTTCTTCTATTTCTTTGAAGAATGTCATTGGCATTTTGATATGGATTGTGTTGAATATGTAGATTGCTTTGGGTAGTATGAACATTTTAACAGTATTAATTGTTCCAACCCATGAATATGAAATATCTTTTCATATTTTTGTGTCTTCAATTTCTTTTGCCAAAGTTTTATAGTTTTCATTGTAGAGATCTTTCAGTTCTTTGGTTAATTCATAGGTATTTAATTTTATTTATAGCTATTGTAGGTGGAATTACTTTTTAAATTTCTCTTTCAGATTGTTCACTGTTGGCATATAGAAATGCTGCAGATATTTGTGTGTTGACTTTGTATCCTGAAATGTTTATATTCAGTTTATTCAGTTAATAAACTCAATTTGTTTATTAGTTCTAATAGTTTTTTTGGTGAAATCTTTAGGTTTTTCCAAATATAAGTTCATATCATCTTCAGACAAGGATAACTTGACTTCTTCCTTTACAATTTGGATGCCCTTTATTTCTTTCTCTTGACTCATTGCTCTAGCTAGGACTTCTCCATATTGAGCAACAGTGGTGAAAGTGGGCATCCTTGTTATGTCCCAGATCTTAGAGAAAAGGCTTTCAGTTTTTCCCCATTCACTATGACACTAGCTGAGAATCTGTCATGCATGGCTATATAGTGTTTAGGCATGTTTCTTGTATACATAGTTTTTTGAGGGGTTTTAATCATGAAGGGATGTTGAATTATTGAATGCTTTTTCAGCATCAATGCAAATGATCATATGGTTTTTGTCCTTCATTCTGGTGATGTGATGTATCATATTGATTGATTTTCATATTTTGAACCATCCTTGCATCCCTGGGATATATCCCACTTGGTTATGATGAATGATCTTTTTAATGTGTTGTTGAATTCAGTTTGATAGTATTTTGTTGAGGATTTTTGTATCAATGTGTATCAGGGATATTGGCCTGCAGTTTCTTTTTTTTTTTAATTTGTCTTTGTTTGGTTTTGGTATCAGGGTAATACTGGCCTCATAAAATGAGTTTGGAAGTATTCCTTCCTTCTCTATTTTTTCAGAATGGTTTGAGTAGGGTTGGTATTAGTTCTTCATTAAATTTTTGGTAAAATTCAGTAGTGAAGCCATCAGATCCCAGGCATTTCTTTGCTGGCAGACTTTTTGTTACAGGTTCAATATTGTTGTTTGTTATTGGTTTGTTCAGATTTTGGATTTCTTTATGGTTCAATCAGGTAGGTTGTATTTATCTAAGCATTTATCCATTCTTCTAGGTTTTCCAATTTCTTGGCATATAGTTGTTCATAGTATCCTTTAATGATCCTTTGAATTTCTGCAGCATTGGTGGTACTGTCTCCCTTTTCATCTTTGATTTTATTTATTTGACTATTCTCTCTTTTTTCTTAATCTGGCTAAAGGTTTGTCAATTATGTTTATTTTTTTAAAAAAACAACTTTTTTGTTTTGTTGATCATTTGTATTGTTTTCTTCATTTCATTCTTGTTCATTGATTTTTGTTATTTCTTTTCTTCAACTAATTTTGAGTTTAGTGTGCTCTTGTTTTTCTAGTTCTTTAGCGTATATCATTAGTTTTCTTATTTGACATTTTTCTACTTTCTTGATGTAGGTGCTTATAGTTATAAACTTCCCTCTTAGTACTACTTTCACTCTATCCCGTAGGTTTTAGTATGTTGTGGTTCTATTATTATTTGTTCCAAGATATTTTTCAATTTATTTCTTATTTTTTTCATTGACCCACTGGTCACTCAGAAGCATATTGTTTAATTTCCATGTGTTTGAATAGTTTCCAAATTTCTTCTTTTTATTGATTAGTAGTTTTATTCCATTGTGGTCACAGAACATACCTCATATTATTGCAATTTCTTGAATGTTTTATTACTTGTTTTGTGGCCTAAGACATGATCTGTCCTTGAGAATAATCCATGTGCTGAAGAGAAGAATGTGTTTTCTGCAGCTGTTGAATGAAATGTTCTGTAAATATCTATTAGGCCGATTTGTTCTGTAGTGCAGATTAAGTCTGATGTTTCTTTGTTGATTTTGTGTCTGGATGATCTGTCCAACACTGGAAGTGGGCTGTCTCCAGGTATTATTGTATTAGAGTCTGTCTTTCTCTTTCTCTTTAATAATATTTGCTTTATATATCTGGGTGTTCCAGGGTTGGGTGCACATATACTTATGACTGTTATATCCCTTTGCTGAAATGACCCCTTTATCATTATTGTCTCTTTTTATAGTTTTTGTCTTGAAATATATTTTGTCTGATGTAAGTATGCTACTCTTCATCATTTTTGCTTTCTATTTGCGTGGAATGTCTTTTTCTATGCTTTTACTTTCAGTCTTTATATATGTGTTTCTTTACAAGTGAATTTTTTTTGCAAACAACAGATTGTTGTGTCTTGTTTTTTAATCCACGCATTCATTTCATGTCTTTTGATTAGAGAATTTAGTCAATTTATACTGACTATGTTATTACTGAGAAGTAAGGACTTACTCCTGCCATTTTGTTGTTTGTTTTCTCATTGTTTTGTGGCCTTCTCCTCCTTCTTTCCTTCCTTCTTGTCTTCCTATTAGTTAAGATAATTTTCCCTGCTGGTATGTTTTAATTTGCTGCTTTTTATTTTTTGTATATCTGTTTTATGTTTTCTGATTTGAGGTTACCATGAGGCTTTCCAATAACATCTTATAACCCATTATTTCAAACTGATGACAACTTAACATTGATTGCAAAAACAATCTAACAAGCAATGAGAAAATCAATAAAAACTACCCTTTAGCTTTATCCCACCATTTTTTAACTTTTTGTTGTTTTTATTTATATCTTATACTGTCTATGTCTTGAAAAGTTGTTGTAGTTATTAGTTTTGGTATGTTCATCTTTTAATCTTTCTATTCAGGATATGAATGATTTACACACTACAATTACAATGTTATAATATTCTGTGTTTTTTGTGTACTCACTATTACCAGTGAGTTTTATACCTTCAGGTGATTTCGTATTGCTCATTAATGTTGTTTTCTTTCAGATTGAAAAATTCCCTTTAACATTCTTATAGGACAGTTCTGGGTTGATGAAATTCTTGAGCTTTCATTTGTCTGGGAAAGTCTTATTTCTCCTTCATGTTTGAATGTTATATATTATTTATTTAAATTTATTGATTTTTATTGATTTTCTCATTGCTTGTTTATTAGATTGTTTTTGCAATCAATGTTAAGTTGTCATCAGTTTGAAATAATGGGTCATAAGATGTTATTGGAAGTATATATGTGTGTATATATGTATATATAAGTTGTCATCAGTTTGAAATAATGGGTTATAAGATGTTATTGGAAATATATATGTGTGTATATATGTATATATAAGTTGTCATCAGTTTGAAATAATGGGTTATAAGATGTTATTGGAAATATATATGTGTGTATATATGTATATATACACATATATGTGTATATGTATATACACATATATGTGTATATACATATACACATATACGTATATGTATATATGTGTATACACATATACGCATATGTATATATGTGTATATACATATACGCATATGTATATATGTGTATATACATATATGTGCATGTATGTATATATGTGTATATACACATATATGTGCATGTATGTATATATGTGTATATACACATATATGTGCATGTATGTATATATGTGTATATACACATATATGTGCATGTATGTATATATGTACATATACACATATATGTGCATGTATGTATATATGTACATATACACATATATGTGCATGTATGTATATATGTACATATACACATATATGTGCATGTATGTATATATGTACATATACACATATATGTGCATGTATGTATATATGTACATATACACATATATGTGCATGTATGTATATATGTACATATACACATATATGTGCATGTATGTATATATGTGCATATACACATATATGTGCATGTATGTATATTGTATATATACACATATACGTATATACGTATATACACATATATGTATATATGTATACATATACATATATACGTATATACGTATATATACATAAACGTATATATGTATACATATACGTATATACGTATATGTACACATATATATGTATACATATACGTATATGTGTGTATACGTATACATATATACGTATATGTGTGTATACGTATACATATACATATGTGTGTATACGTATACATATACATATGTATGTATACGTATATATATACGTATATGTGTATATATGTATATATATACGTATATGTGTATATGTATACATATATGTATATATGTATATATATGTGTGTGTATATATGTATATATATATACAGCAGATATGCTATTCTAGGGCACTTTTTTTTTTCTTTAGCTTTTTAAATATGTCATGTGACTCTCTCCTGGCCTGTAAGATTTCCATTGAAAAGTCCGCTGCCAGCTGTGTTGGAGCTCCATTATAAGTTATTTGTTTGTTTTCTCTTGCTGCTTTTAGGATCTTTTCTTTATCCTTGATCTTTGGGAATTTGATTATTAAATGCCTTGATGTAGTCTTCTTTGGTTTATGTCTGTGTGGTGTTCTATAACCTTTTTGTACTTGTATATTGATATTTTTTTCTAGGTTTGGAATGTTCTCTGTTATTATCCCTTTGAATAAACTTTCTACCCATCTCTCTCTCTCTACCTTCTCTTTAAGACCAATATCTCTTAGATTTGCTCCATTGAAGCCGTTTCCTACATCTTGTAGGCATGCTTCATTTTTTTATCCTCTTTCTTTTGCCTCCTCTGACTGTATATCTTTAAATAGCCAGTTTTCAAGCTCACTAATTCTTTCTTCTGCTTCATCCATTCTGCTATACAAAAGAAGATTATACTGTACTGATTTCTCTGGATCTAATTGTTCTCTTGAGTGCTGGTGAATTTGACTTTTTCTTTTCCTCATATATACTTGTAAAAATGCATAGAATTTTTAATATTTTATATGTAAATAATGCTTCTTTTTGTCTGACTGAAGACATTATCAGCTTGAAATGCTAATTTTTTTGTATCACAGCAATTCAGTAACTAGAAGATTTCTTATCTGAAAGCAGTTTTTAGCCTCTCAAGAAAGAAACAGGTTAGTAGAAGAAACAGGCTATGCTTATTTTCTCCACTAGAAGAGCATTTTCCATTTGTATTAAGATTACATAAAACTAACCATTAAAAGTAGCTTATTTAAAAAGCAATTTATTTAAAAAGACAGTTAGTGTAGTCTGTGCCAACATAAACTCAAATAATTGACTCAGTTAACTGAGGCAAAATTTAATAGTGTTTAGCCTGAAAAACTTGTTTGGGAGTGGCCTGCTTTGGAGAAGGGGAGGAGTAATGTTAAATCCCTTTTTATGACTAGAATTTTTAATTCATTTTGAAGTAACCTGGTTTGTAACAATGATGCTTTCTGTCTTAAAGACATTAGCTCCCCGACTTCCTTTAGGTCACAATAATCCTAATATATCTTTTTCTGTCCTTTCAAATTTTCTCTGTCCTTCTGTTTTTGGTTGGTCTCTATTTATTTTTTATACAGTTTAACAATACAGGGGTGTCTCATTTTATTTTATGTTGATATATTGCACTTCTCAAATATTGCTTGTTTTACAAATTGAAGGTTTGTGGCAATTCTGCAGTGATAAGTCTCTTGGTACCTTTTCCCCAGCAGTATGTGCTCACTTGTCTCTTGCCACATGTTGGTAGCTCTTCCAATATTCCAAACTTTTTCATTATTATTATATCTGTTATGGGTATCTGTGATCACTGATCTTAGATGTTACTATTGTCATTGTTTTAGAGCATCATGAACCTTGCCCATATAAGATGGTGAACTTAATAAATGTTGTGTGAATTCTGACTGTTCCACAACTGGCTGTTCGCTCATCTCTCTCCTTCTTGGGCCTATTTCCTGAGATACAACATATTGAAATTAGGTCAATTAATAACCCTACAATGGCCTCTAAGTATTCAAATGAAAGGAAGAGTTGCACCTCAGTAACTTTAAATCAAAAGTTAGAAATGATTAAACTTAGTGAGGAAGGCATATTCAGAGTTGAGATAGGCCAAAAGCTAGGCCTCTTGTGCCAAACGGTTAGCCTAGTTGTAAATGCAAAGAAAAGATTCTTTTTTTTATATATATACTTTAAGTTCTAGGGTACATATGCACAATGTGCAGGTTTGTTACATATGTATACATGTGCCATGTTGGTGTGCTGCACCCATTAACTCATCATTTACATTAGGTATATCTCCTAATGCTATCCCTCCCCACTCCCCCAACCCCACGACAGGCCCCAGTGTGTGATGCTCCCCACTCTGTGTCCAAGTGTTCTCATTGTTCAATTCCCACCTATGAGTGAGAACATGCAGTGTTTGGTTTTCTGTCCTTGCGATAGTTTGCTCAGAATGATGGTTTCCAGCTTCATCCATGTCCCTACAAAGGACATGAACTCATCCTTTTTTATGGCTGCATAGTATTCCGTGGTGTACATGTGCCACATTTTCTTAATCCAGTCTATCATTGATGGACATTTGGGTTGGTTACAAGTCTTTTCTATTGTGAATAGTGCCACAATAAACATACATGTGCATGTGTCTTTATAGCAGCATGATTTATAATCCTCTGGGTATATGTCCAGTAATGAGATGGCTGGGTCAAATGGTATTTCTAGTTCTAGATCCTCGAGGAATCACCACACTGTCTTCCACAATGGTTGAACTAATTTACACTCCCACCAACAGTATAAAAGTGTTCCTGTTTCTCCACATCCTCTCCAGCATCCATTGTTTCCTGACTTTTTAATGATTGCCATTCTAACTGGTGTGAGATGGTATCTCATTGTGGTTTTGATTTGCATTTCTCTGATGGCCAGTGATGATGAGCATTTTTTCATGTGTCTTTTGGCTGCATAAATGTCTTCTTTTGAGAAGTGCCTATCCTTTGCCCACTTTTTGATGAGGTTGTTTGATTTTTTCTTGTAAATTTTTTTAAGTTCTTTGTAGATTCTGGATATTAGCCCTTTGTCATTTGGGTAGATTGCAACTCAGGATTAAGAAACTCACTCAAAACCACTCAATTACATGGAAACTGAACAACCTGCTCCTGAATGACTACTGGGTACATAACGAAATGAAGGCAGAAATAAAGATGTTCTTTGAAACCAATGAGAACAAAGACACAACATACCAGAATCTCTGGGACACATTTAAAGCAGTGTGTAGAGGGAAATTTATAGCACTAAATGCCCACAAGAGAAAACAGGAAAGATCTAAAATTGACACTCTAACATCACAATTAAAACAACTAGAGAAGCAAGAGCAAGCACATTCAAAAGCTAGCAGAAGGCAAGAAATAACTAAGATCAAACCAGAACTGAAGGAGGGAGAGACACAAAAAACCCTTCAAAAAAAAATCAATGAATCCAGGAGCTGGTTTTTTTGAAAAGATCAACAAAATTGGAAAAGGTTCTTGAAGGAAATTGAAGTGCTACTCCAGTGAATACACAGATGATAAGAAAGTGAAACAACCTTGTTGCTGATATGGAGAAAGTTTTAGTGGTCTATAGAAGATGAAATCAGCCACAATATTCCCTTAAGCCGAAACCTACTCCAGAGCAAGGCTCTAACTTGCTTAAATTTTATGAAGGCTGAGAGAGAAGAAGTTGCAGAAGAAAAATGTGAAGCTATCAGAGGATGGTTTATGAAGTTTAAGGAAAGAAACCATCTTGATTACAAAAGTGCAAGGTAAAGCAACAAGTGCTGATGGGGACGGTGCTGCAAGTGTATTTCAGAAGGTCTAAATAAGATAATTGATGAAGGTGGCTACACTAAACAACAGATTTTTTTTTTTTCAATGTGGATGAAATAGCCTTATATTGGGAGACAATGACATCCTGGACTTTTATAACTAAAGAGGAGATGCCAATGCCTGGCCTCAAAGTTTCAAAGGATAGGATGACTCTCTTGTTAGGGGCTAATGCAGCCGATGACTTCTAATGAAGTCAGTGCTCATTTACCATTCAAAAAATCGCAGGACATTTAAGAATTATGCTACATCTACTATTCCTGTGTTCTCTAAATGGAACAACAAAGCCTAATGACAGTATATCTGTTTACAGTATGATTTACTGAATATTTTAAGCCTGCTGTTGAGACCTACTGCTCAGAAAAAAAGATTTCTTTCAAAATATTACTGCTCAACAATGCACCTCATCCCCCAAGAGCTCTGATGGAGATGTACAAGGAGATAAATATCGTTTTCATGCCCACTAACACAACATCCATTCTGCAGCCCATGGTCAAGGAGTAATTTTGACTTTCAAGTCTTATTATTTAAGAAATACGTTTTGTAAGGCTATCAGTGCCATAGATAATGATTCCTCTGATGCATCTGCCAAGTCAATTGAAAACATTCTGGAAAGGATTTACCATTCTAAATGCTATTAAGAACATTTTTTATTCATGGGCGGAGGTCAAATTATCAACATTAACAGGAGTTTGGAAGAAGCTGATTCCAACTGTCATGCACAAATTTGAGGAATTAAAAACTTCAGTGAATGAAGTAACTATAGACATGGTGGAAATAGCAAGAAAGCTAGAATCAGAAGTGGAGTCTGAAGATGTGACTGAATTGCTGCAATCTCATGGTAAAACTTGAATGAGAAGTTGCTTCTTATGGATGAGTAAAGAAAGTGGTTTCTTGAGATAGAATCTACTCCTGGTGAAGATGCTGTGAATATTGTTGAAATGACAACAAAAGATTTGAATATTATGTAAACTTAGCTGATAAAGCAGCAGCAGGGTTTGAGAGGATTGACTCCAATTGGAAAGAATTTCTACTGTAGATAAAATGCTCTCAATCAGCATTGTCAATCAGCATTGCATGCTACAGAGAAATCTTTAGTGAAGGGAAGAATGAGCCAATGTAGCAAACTTCATCATCTTCTTTTAAGAAATTGCTACAGTCACTCCAACCTTCATCAACCACCATCCTGATCAGTCAGTAACCATTGATATCAAGGCAAGACCCTCCACCAGCAAAGAAGATTATGACTCACTGAAGGCTCAGATGATTGTTTGCAATTTTTTAATCAAAAAAGTATTCTAAAAATTAAAGATATGTACTTTGTTTATATAATGCTATTAGATACTTAGTAGACTATAGTACAGTATAAATATAACTTTTATATGTGCTAGGAAACCAAAATGTTCACGTGACTTGCTTTATTGCAATATTTGCTTTATTGTGATGGTCTGGATATAATCTGCAATATCTCTGAGGTATGCCTGTATTGTTCTTATAACTTGAGAATTTAGTTCCTTTATAATTAATGTATTAGTATATATGGATTTATATGTACCATTTTATTTTGTGCTTTCTTCTTATCCCACTTTTTTTGGTCTCTCATCACCAGCCTTCCTTCTTGCCTTTCTTTAGATCAATTGAAATCTGTCTTTAAATCAATCTAGATATTTTTTCTTACTGTTTTTCCTTCTTTATATTTTGAAGTTACATATGCCATGCTATGTTTTTTTAATGGTTACTCTAGCCATTTTAAAATATATGCTTAACAGAATCTGAGCTTATCTTTACTTACCTTGTGATACACAAGACATTTTCATGCTGATAGCTTCCTATCAATATATTTGTTTTTCTAGCTCAGTACTTTAGTTTGGTTCCTATTTTGTTAACTTTTCACATTAGACCTTATTATTTTGTTTAATATAGTTAATTTTTAGGATAAACCACTTATTTACCAATATTTTTACTTACTATCCATTTTTACATCACATAGCTTCCATATAGATAGTTTGCCTTCTATCTGAAATACATCCTTTAACATTTATTTTACTGATGTTCTATTGGTTATAAATTCTCTAATTTTTTCTCTAAATGACTTAATTTTGTGCTTCTTGAAAAATCAGTCTTCCATGCATATGCATTTGGTTAGCAGTTATATTCTTTCAGTACTTTGAAGCTATTGATTTTTTAAATTGCAATTGACAAGTCTTATTAGTCTAATTGTTACTCTTTTGTAAGTGATCTGTCTTTTCTCTCAGGATGCTTTTATAAATTTTTTCCTCTAATGTTCTGAAGTTTTTTTTTATTGTAAATTTACAGAACTCTGGGAAAGTTAGACTTCCTGAATCTAAGAATTGATATCCTTTAACAGTCTTGGTCATTATCCATTTGAATGTTGCCTTCTACTCAGTATCTTCTGTATTCATGTCTTTGGAAGCTCCAATTAGACTTTAGTAGACTTTATCACTCAGTTCTTTATATATCTTCTTCATATTCTTCATCTTCTTTTCTCTCTGTTCTACATTATGAGGAATATTTTTCAATCTCTCTTCCAGTTCACCAATTCTGTCTTTAACTGTGAAAAATCTCAGATCTAGTCTATCTAATAGGTTTTTAGTAACAGATTAATATATTTTTATTTCTTGACACTTTTGGTTTCCTTTCAAATTTGCTTCATTGTTCTATATAGTATCTGTTTATTGCCCCTATTTTAAAAGGACCATTTAATTAAAAATATTAAACACAATTATTTTGTACTCTATGTCTAGTTATGCCCAATTAAAAAAGTTTTGGTAGTTTGACTGTGCTGATTATTTTTTCTGTTGGGTATCAACCCCGGGCCTTATTTCCTTGTGTGTTTTGACCATATGATATTTATCTTCTTTTGGAATTTCACCTGTGGCTATTTTTTGAGGCCTGGATTAGAGGTTATTCCTCAGGAGAAAAATTACAACTGCTTTAGACATATCCCTGCACTCCCTTCTCTCCCAGGGCACTTTGAATTAAATTTCACTAGAAGTTTTTTGAATAACATATAATGCATGACTTTGGATAGAAAGACATTAAGAAACTTTTTGTTTATAAATTCCTAGGTAAGACTTTTTTTTTCTTTTTCTACCCAATGCTAGTTTTAAAACAGATGTGTCTCTTATTTGCATGCCAACTTTATTGCTCATTAACCTTTACACTCAAGGATAACGCTTTGAAATTATGCCCCCTCTTTTTTGGCCCTCCCATTAAACTTCCCTCTTCATCAGCCTCTAGGCTTATATTCTATTCCCACTTCTCTCTCTATAGTTCTCCAAGCAGAAGCTCAAAGGCTCTATATTTTAGCAAAGATAGTAAGGACAAAAGATGACCCTACTGCTCACTTACCTCCTTATGTGTTTGCTCAATTTTTCTTACTAGTACTGTAAGCTTAGCAATGTGTTTCTAAAGTGCATTTTTATTGTTTTTATTGAGAGAATCATTTGAGGCATCTTATCTGCCATGCTGCCAGAAACAGACACTTCTAACTTCTCTGCCAGCATCATGAAGAGAGTGAAGGAAACATTATTATCTTAGTGATATTCCACTTAGAGTTTATCCTTCTGTTTTAGTCCATTTTGTATTGCTATAAAAGAATATCTGGAATGACACACACTGGGGCCTATCAGAGGGTAGAGGGTGGGAGGAGAGAGATCAGGAAAGATAACTATTAAGCCCAAGTATTAACTGGGCTTAATACCTGGGTGATAAAATAATCTGTTCAACAAACCCCCATGAGATAAGTTTACCTGTGTAACAAACCTTCACATGTACTCCGAACTTAAAAGTAACCAAAAAAAAAAAGAAAAGAAAAAGAAAAAGAGATTTATTTAGATCATGGTTTTGAAGGCTGAGAAATTCAAGGGCATGGCCCTGGCTTATGGCTCACTACATAGTGGAGAATGTGAAAAAGACATGTGAAGAGAGGGAAATCTGGGGGCCGTGGCAGCTTTGTAACAATCCACACTTGCAGGAACTAATCCTTGCTTGCGAGAGCTAATCCAGTCTTGGGAGATCGAGAACTCACTCACTACTGTGAGAAAAGCACTAGGCCATTCCTGAGGGATCTGCCATCATAACTCAAACGCCTCCCACTTGGCCCCATCTCCCACTACCACCACCATATGGTGCTCAAATTTCAACATGAGTTTTGGTGGAGACAGACAAATCATATCGAAGCCATAGCACCTTTTCCTAATCAGTTCTCCACACACTGCCAGGTCATATCTGTGAGGGGAGGCCCAGAATAATTCTTTTCAGCTGGTGAATAAATTGTAAAATTTCAATGGTTAAGCTCTTGACTAAATAATACTTTGTGATGACTTCCGTTTTCATTAAACTTTCTTCCTGTGTGATCTCTAGGCAAAACACGTTTGTCTGACATTTAGGAAACACTGAATGAATAAATAGAATGACTAACTACCTTTTAAAAAATTATATTTGTTTTTAGTTACATATTACACTTTAGTCATTTTAAATTAACAAATAGAAATTGTATGTATTTATGGTATCAACATGTTTTGATGTGTGGATACATTTTGGAATAATTAAATGAGGCTAATTAACATGTTCATCGCCTTAATACTTATCAATTTTGGGGGGTGAGAACAATTAAAATGTATTCCTTAAGGAATTTTTAAGTACCCACTACACTATCATTAGCTATAGTCACCATGCAGTACAGTATATCTCCAGAATATGTTCCTGCTATCCAACTAAAACTTTGTATCTTTTGACCAGCAAACATCTCCCATCCTGTCTCCACCTGCAACCCCTGGAAACCACCATTCTACCCTTTACTTCAATGAGTTTGACTTTTTCAACTTTTACAGATAAGTGAGATCATGCACCACTTTTCTTTCTGTGTCTGGCTTATTTCCTTCACTATCATGTCCTACTTGTCCATCCATGTTGTTGAAAATGGCAGAATTTCCTCCTTTTTAAAGGCTGAAGAGTATTTCATTTTGTATATATAGAGAACCAGATTATTTTTAATCCATTCAATTGTTGATGGACATTTAAGTTGATTCCATATGTTGGCTACTGTGAATAACATTGCAGTGAACATGGGAGTGCAGACATCTTTAACATACTGATTTCATTTCCTTTGGATCTATACAAAAAGGGGAATTGCTAGATCATATGATAGTTCTATTTAGAATTTTTTGATAGACCTGAATTCATACTGCTTTATGTAAGGGCTGTGCTAATTTGCAATCCCACCAACAATGTGTGAGGTTTTCTCTTTCTCCACATCCTTGCCAACACTTGTTATCTTTTGCCTTTTTGATGAAAGCTTTTCTAACAGATATGAGGTGACAAAACCACATCTTATTATGGTTTAACTTGCATTTCCCTGTTGATTAGTGGTATTGGGCATTTTTTTCATATACCTATTGGCCATTGTTATCTCTTTTTTTGAGCAATGTCTATTTAGGTCCTTTGCCCATTTTTAAGTTGGATTATTGTTTTCTTGCTATTGAGTTATTTGAACTCCTTATATATTTTGGATATTAGCCCCTTATCAGACATATAAATTGCAAATATTTTCTTCTATTCTATAAGCTATGTATTCGCTCTGTTGATTGTTTTCTTTGCTATGCAGAAGATTTTTAGTTTGGTGCTATTCCATTTGTCTATTTTCGCTTTTGTTGCTTGTGCTTTTGAGGTCATATCTAAGAAAATCTTTGCCAAGATCAGTGTCAAGAAACTTTTTAAAAGTAGAGAAAGAAATGCGAATTCCACTCCAAAGCTTCATTTGCCAAGTTTTCTTAGAATGACTTTTACCAATTTATGAATTATTGTAAACAGAATCTATAATGGAAATACTGAAAGACTTTTGCCTAAAGTGGCATTATTGAATGCTGCTGTGATGCTACTGTAATGTAATAAATTATTAAATTGTTGCAAAAAAAACCAAAAACAAACAAAACATTTTTTTCTAGTTACAACTACCTTTTAAAAAAGCAGTTTCAAGGTGTCAGGCAGTAGACATTTAACAGGTTGCAGGTTGCCAGAGAAGTCCAGAAAACACACACACACACACACACACACACACACGCACACACGCACGCACGCATATATATTTTGCTATAGGGATGTGATTGCTATTACAGAAGAAAATACTTCATAGTGCATCTAAGTATAGTTGAAATCTTAATGATTAAAACTTTTTCAAACTTCTCCCTTTCATTTCCACTTTTCTTTCCAAACATACTTTTCTCTAAGTGAGATTATCATAGCAGCCTCTTGATGGCTGCCAGTATGTTAGGTCTCCATTGTAATGAACAACATTGCCAAAAATTGCTCAGTGCTTTAACTCCCTACCACCTTATGAAAAGTTTTTGCCTCTACTTGGTACCCCTGGTAGCTTTTTGACTCTTACTTATCCCTATACTGTTTAACTGCTTGCTGTCTTGACATTCCTTTATTTGTGTAGCCCGGATCCTGGCCTTGGCTCTCTGTCCAGCGCCTTTGAGTAATGCCTATTCCATCTGTGGGTCTCTTTAGTCTCTGTGCATCATCCCTGAGTGTTGCTTTTTGTATTCCTGTCTGTGTTTTGAAAGGCCAGATCTTCCTCCAGCCTCGGTGGCTCAGCACTGGCCACCAGAACTAAGGCTGAATACATCTGCCTCCTTCCCTGTAGGATCTGGGTGATTCAGAAAAGGAGAGAGGACAGTTTGGGGAGATGAACACATTTGCCTTGTTCACTTCTCTCATTCTCATTCCTGTCTCTCCTTCTAGGAACAGCAGTCTTTCCTGGGATGTGCCAAGGGATTCCAGAATCTCAAAGCTGAGTTCCTTTCATTTCACCCTGCTGATAAAGCTTTAAAGACCCAACTAGAATTGAGGAAGCTCAAGCTTAAATAAACAGAGGATTATCTTGTCTCTACCCCCTGCCTTTTTTTTTTTTAAAGCTGGAAACCTTCTCTGACATTTTATGTCCTTATCTTAAATCTCTGAAGGTATTTTAAAAAGCTGTGCTCCATATTGACCCCTTGTGATAGACAGAGATTTTTTTTTCTATTCATGAATTCATCAAATGTTTATTGAATGCACAACACCCTGTAGGCACTGTTCTGAGAAGAAGAACAGTGTGAATAGAACCAAGAAAACAAGCAAACAAATAAACAATACCTTGGCTCTCCAGGAGCTCACATTCTTGTGAGACAGAAAAAAATCAATAAATACACCTATAAAGTGATTAATTATTAATTACGTATTAATTGTTAGTAATTATTAATTACTAATGATTGCTGTGAAGAATAGAGCAGGATAATGGGCTAGAGAGTGGTGAGTGTGCATTAGTGTGTGTGCATATTGGCATATAAAGTAGCTAGAGAAAGGGTCCCTCATAAGGTGACATTGGAGGGGAGATCTGAAATAGGTGAGGGACATTCAGATGGCCGGGGAGGAGTGTCCTTGGCAGAAGGAGCAGCAAGGCTGAAGGCCCGGGGAGGAAGTGTTTGGAGTAGAACAAGCAGGCCAGTGTGGCTGCATGTGGCAAGTAAGGGGGAGAGTGGGAGGACTGTGGTGACTGAGGTAGCAAAGGGTCAGATTGCCTGGGTCTGGAGGTCCAGGAAGCCTAGGGCCATTTGTTTCACAGGATTTACATAATTTTTATATTTAATTGATAGAAACATCTGTATACTGCCAGAACATTTTGACCTCATTGTACCCATCAGAGTTAGCTGAGAAGTTCATTGAAATAAAAAGTCATGGGCTTCACTCCATGTATTAACTAAAAATCTCCAGTGGACTTGGGAATCCATATTTTTAGCAAGCTCTTCAGGTGATTCTTAGGAAGGCACATCAGCACTGCTCTGTAGACTGGCATTTGAAGATCACTGCAGATGATGAGAGTTTAAAAATGGCCTTTTGAGAATACCAGCTTTAAATGAAATCCATTGCAGGGAATATAAATGTATCCACATTCTGCCCTTTTAGGTAATGGCTGTAATGATTTGTTGTGGGGCTTGGGTTGGTATAGTAGAAGAGGTATGTGGATCAGAAGAGCACTGGAGCAAGAAGCTCAAAGTTGTAAACCTTTGAGCTAAGCTTAAGGTTTAACGGCTTCTTCCCATGATGCCAGTGGACATTATGAACTTAACAAGGTATCACAAATCTCTCTGAGCCAGAGGGCCAACCATCTTCAACATATTACCAGGGCCCCTGGGAGGCCCTGGCTATAGGGAGCTTGCCAGCAATAAAATATTTGCCATTCGTCTTTCTCATCCATTGACGGAAACGAAACAGTGCAAAGTCCAATATAGCTTAAACCAAGATAACAAAATAGAGGAAGTGAATTGTTCCTGTAGTAGGTTGAATGGTAATTCCCAAAGAGGTATTTCTATGTCCTAACCCCTGGGGCCTGTGAGTAGGTCTCATTTGGAAAAAAGGCTCCTTACAGATGTAATTCAGTTAAGGATCTTGAGATGAGCTCATCCTGAATTATGCAGGTGGGCCCTAAATCCCATGACAAATGTGCTTATAAGATACAGAGAGGAGAAGGCACAGACACAGTGGAGGAGGCCAGGTGAAGAGTGAGGCAAAGATTACAGTGATGCAGCCACTGACCAAGGAATGCGTGGAGCTACCAGAAGCTGGAAGAGCCAAGGAAGGTGTCTCCCCTCGAGGCTTCTGAGGGAGCATGGCCCTGCTGACACCTTGATTTCAGACTCCTGGTCTCTAGAACCCTGAGAGAATACACTTCTGTTGTTTTAAGCCACCAAATTTGCAGTAATTTTTTATGGCAGTCACAGGAATCTAATACATTTTCCTCTACCTTCTAACGTTAATCTCATGGCAATAGTGGTACCTTTACCCTGGCCTGTTTCAACCTTGACACAATTGTGGTCATACATTTTTTCCTTTTGTCTTTGAGCAGTCAATATCTTTTTATATGCAATTTGAATTTGTAATGTTTTCCTTCTTATATATCCAGAGTTCTTTCTTCCAGTTTCTTTCTTAGGATTTTCTTTCTTGTTTCATTTTGTCCAAAGACATGCTTCTACTAGTTTATTTCTAGAAATATACCTTTTATCAATTTCCCTCGTGGTTTTACGCAGTGGCTAATGTCTCCCATAGAACCCTTAGGAAAGGGACTGGATTGCCTTTGACTATAGGGTTATGGTTCTTTCATCCCTGGAGGACTAGGGACTCCAATAGTTCTCTGAAGCCACCTACCTTTTCCTGGAAATATTGCCAAATTATCAGTGGAAGAACAGAAACATCTGCAGAAATGCAGATGGTGACAGTGTTTGGACTTGTTTGGGGCCTAGTTTGGCCATAGCTAGCACACACCTCTGTCCTAATTTCACAGACTGACATTCAAGGTGGCCAGGTTTGGGCTGCAGCCACTCTTCCAACTTTCCAGACTCCTCTCCTGCAGCTCCCCTCTGCGGGTGCCTTGGCTCCATTGCTTCTCATATCTAGACTACCCCTTCCCTCCTGTCTACTCACCAAAGTCCTATTTATCCTAAACAGCCCATTGCAAATCTCATTTTCTCTTGGGAGATGATCTTGACTTCCCTTGGATCCAGTGATCTCTTACTGCTCTGGACTGGCTCATAACTATACAAACTTGGTTGGCATTGATATGGTCCCTTGGGTTGTTAATGTCCTTCTCACTCTTGATAGACTGAACTTTAGAGGTCAGAGGCATACCTTGCCCTTTGTATCTCTCCTGCACCATCCCACATTTAGTTGGAGCTCCTCCTTGTGGATTGAGCCAACCCCTGCAATGACTCTTTTCTCTCCTGCTTGGAAAAGGGCTAATCATAAAGACAGATGGTAGCCCCACTTTCTAGTTGGATTACAAACCTTGGTGCTCTTCTGGGAATGCCTAATTGTTCTTCACGGGTAGTTAAAGCCTGCTTTATTTGTTTTAGCACTAAATAACATCTCTGATTTGTAGGAGTTCAGTCAGGCAGCCAGCCATCGGGTAGACTGGGTAACTGGCAGTGGCAGCTCTCTACCACAGCCTGGACCAACAGCAGCCCCATGGCCTAGACTTTCTTACCTGTCCTCCTGCCAGCAAGGGTTCTATGGGTGCACCTACAATGACAGCTGGGTACTGACCTTCCACCAGACTGGGTGCTGGGGAAATAGAAAACACCAACACATTGTCCTTGCCCTGGAAGGCTTTGTTGTGTTGTCAGTCTCAACCCAAAGATTCAGGCTGATTGCCCCTGGACCGTCCTCTGCTTGGGCAAGATTGTGGATGCTCCCTGTCAGGTGGGGGTGGGGTGGGACAGCATGGAGGCCTGGGTCACATCATGGCATGGGCTGCGGAGTTAGAGGGACTGACTTCCACACTAGCTATTTGACTTCTGTGATGTGGATGTTCCTTACCTGTAGAATATAGAATTATAATAGCTGCTTCCTGTAATGATGAGGAATAAATGAGATCATGGATTTAAAGCACTGGAAAGAAATGTAGTCAATGGCAAGCCTTCAATAAATGGCCACATCAAAATCATGGTGTTCTCACATCATAGCCTCTTGGTCTGTGCCTGCCCCTACTCCCATCTGTCTGGCCTTTTGTACATTTTGTCTGTTATTCTCTCTGACTCCCACCCTTCCCCACGGCTTGCCAGCTCAGATATTTGAACCCCTTCTCTCTTTCCCTCTCTCTCTCTCTCTCTTTTTTTTTTTAAGAGACAGAGTCTTGCTATGTTGCCCATGCTGGACTCAAACTTCTGGGTTCGAGGGATCCTCTCACATCAGCCTCCTGAGTAGGTGGTACTACAGGCACATGCCACTGTGCACAGCTCTTAACCCTGTTCTTACCTCTCATAGCTGCATGCTCTTGTCCTAACTTCCGCAACTACCTTTTTCAGTTGGCATTATCTTGGTGACCCCTGCTTCTCTTCTGTCCAGAGGCCTGTCATCAAAAGGAAATGGTGACGTCTTTCTTCCATTCCACTCCTTCAAGAGTCTTGCCATTATGAGAAAGGTGCATCCACTTTAAAGTGGGAGAGCTTTGACTTAGGGTTTGGATTCCTTGTCAATATTCAGCCATGTCATCTCACAGCATCCTTAGAAAGGGAACAATTTTGGTCCATTCTGCCCTAAAAAATTACAGCTTAATACAATTTCTTTAATGTGTGTGAGCCAGTGATAAAAGTTCTAATCTCTGCAAAGCATGAGAAGTGTTAATACAGCTTGGGAAAATACCCGCACATCCTCAATTTCCTGGCATAATTCTGTCCCTTGCCAGCGCAGAGCTTATCTCCAGAAGGCAGTGGGTGCCAGAATGACACTTTTTAGACCAAGAAATGGAATATATTTTTTCTTTGCCTGCAGTTTCCTTTCAGTATTTTGGGGAAGCAATGGGACTCTCAGAGGGGAGAAACTTGATTGGTTTGGCTATCTCCTCCTTCCATGTCCTTTCCTGCTTGCATTTCTTGCAGTTTTACTAGTCGTTGGCATCCTATAGGATTCTAATTTTGAGAGAAAAAAGGAAAATGCTTGAAAAGACCTTCCTAGAAGGAAACTAAACTATGTAGCTGGTGAGCTGGACTCTTTAGTACCCAATTATTATGGTCACTCTCTCCTTGTATGTCCTATTAGGTTACTTAATAGGACTTACCTATACACGGGTTCAGTAAGAGCAGGGGCCATGTCTTATTTATTTATGTGACCTCAGCACCTAGTCTATTTATTGGGGAGGCATGTTGAGAGAATGAATAAATGATTGAATTAGAAATAGGTCCAAGAACAAGCTCGTCTTTAGCTTTAATTGGCTTTCCCATGTAATTAGGTGTTTAGGTAGGTTTTTATTCACTTACTAGACAATCTTTGAGCATCTCCTGTGTGATAAACACTTTGCCAAATGCAGAGGAATCAAAGGTAAGACAAGGCCCTTGTCCTGGAAGAACTTGTTATGAATTCTCCTGCTTTCCTCAAAACTATTCCAGATCTGTAGTGTTTTCCTTTAAAATGTTTTTCTATTAAAAAAAAGAATTAAAAATTCAAAGTAATGTAAAAATCCATGTACCCTGGTAACATTTGGTCGTACAGTATATGCTTTAATTTCCTAAAAATAAAGTATTATCTATAATACCGAAGTTGCCTATGTTCTCCTTAGTCCAGTTTTTCTCCCTTCCAGATCAACTACTGTAATGAATTTGTGGTATATTCAGTTCACAATTTTTATGCTTTTATTACTTAGCAAGTGAGTATATAATAAATTATATCGGAGATAAATATTTTTGTAAATATTAAGCCAAGGTCTTTAATTTTCATCTTTTAAATCTTAAATACTTGAAGCTGGCTGTTGTATTCAGGGCTCACAGTTATTTCTTCTCAGCACTTTGAAAGGCTTACTGTGTTCTTTCCATCAGCCAGCCCCTGCCTTTCTTCAGTTACGGAAAATTCTCAGCCTGTGTCTTTTTGAATATTGCTTCTCACCACTCCTCATATTCTCTCCATCTGGAATTCACATCAGGTGTATTTTGAAAACTCTCATTCTAGTATCAAGGCTTATTAAGTTCCCCCTTTCCTTCACATTTTTATACTTTTATCTCTGTGTTTGATATACAGGACAAATTCCTTAGTTGTATCTTCAAATTCACTACATCTCTTTCTGACTGTATCCAGCCTAGAGTTTATACCATCTCTTGCACTTTAATTCTAATTACTACATTTTCGCAATTTCTGGATTTAAAAATTGGTTCTATTTTATACCCATTTGTTCTTGATTCATATCTCCCTCTTCAAATGTTTATTTTAAAATTATTTTGATATTGCTTTATTTTTTATTTAATTGGGCATGATTTTGTTTTCCAATTGATGAGTGAATTATTTTTCTTAATATTCATTTTCTTCATGTACTTTGGAATTATTGACTGTAGGGCTCATCTTGAGTAGGAGACTCTTTTTTTCTCTGCTTATTACTCTGCTTACTACTGCCTGTGGTGAAACTGGGCCTAGGGTCCAGATCTCAAAATATCCATCCTACCAAATGTTTACTCAGCACTAACAAATATCTGCAGGTGTTTTATTCCTTTCTGTGGTGTCTTTGGTTGATACATAACTAACATTTCCATTGATAACTCCTTCAAACATATAGCATAATAACACATTAAATTTTCTGAATGGAAGCCATCCCACCTACAGACTTGTAAACAGGTCATTTAGAAAGGATGAATAGCCCGAATTTTTAAAACATTTTTAAAAATTTTTAAAAAATCACAAAGCAAGAACTAACCGAGATGAGACAAAAGATTTATTGTTTGGCATACTTTAGGATTTAGAATCTGTTAATGTTGTTGTTGATGAGGTTGAAACTAACTTCCAAAACCAGGGTGAAAGAAGCAGGACATGTGGCCCAGGCTTAGGTATTTGACTCCTGGATAGAGGTTGCCCTGGCCAGCCTGGCCTTTCCTCTCCAGTTTCTTCACTATCAAGGCAACTCTCTGGCATTCATTTGGCCAGCTGTTTTTGTTGTTGTTGTTATGCGTTTTATGTTACTATGTTTACTCTAATGTTACTATATATTATGCCTTAAATACAGACTGTTTAGACTAAGGCAGATACATTAAGACTAAGGCAGATACATTAAACATAACATATAGGAACAAAGTATCATAGATTGGATAGCTTATAAAGCAAATGAAATTTATTTCCTACAGTTTTGAGTCTGGGAAGTCCAAGGTCAAGGTGCTGGCAGATTTGGTGTCCGATGAGGGCCTGTTTCCTTTGCAGATGGACCTCTTCTCAAGGTAACCACACATGGCAGCTAGCTTTCTGTGGTCTCTTTTTTTTTTTTTTTTTTTTGAGATGGAGTCTCACTCTGTCGCCCAGGCTGGAGTGCAGTGGTGCGATCTTGGCTCACTGCAAGCTCCGCCTCCCGGGTTCACACCATTCTCCTGCCTCAGCCTCCCGACTAGCTGGGACTACAGCCGCCCGCCACCAGGCCCTCTGTGGTCTCTTTTATAAGGGCACTAATCACAACCATGAGGTCATGAGGGCAGGGTCCCATGATCTAATCATCTCCCAAAGTCCCCAGCTCCTAATACCGTCACCTTGAGGGGTTAAGATTTCAACATATGAATTTTGAGAGTCACAGGCATTCAGTCCATAGCAGTATTACTTGCCCACAGTAAAATTCACCTATGTTAAATGTATATTTGATAAATTTTGGAATTGTGTGCATTTTTTTAACCAGCAGCAAAGTCAAGATATAGACTATCTCTCTCACTCTGAGAAGTTCTTTTGAGTCTGTTAGGAATTAATCCCTCTCTCCATGCCTGGCCCCAAGAAACCACTGACTTGCCTTCTGTTACTTGAGCTTTGCCTTTTCTAGAAATTCATATAAAAGGAATCATAGCTTACATAGTTTATTGTGTTTGCTTTATATCACTTAGCATAACGGTTTGGAGATTCTTCCATGTTGTTGTGTGTATTAATATTTTGTTCCTTTTTATTGTTGAAAAGTATTCTATAGTATAAATATACCACAACTTCAGATAATCTATTCTCCAGTGGAGAAACATTTAGGTTGCTTCCAATTTAGGGCAACTACAAACTATACTGCTATGAACATCAGCATATACATCTTTGAACACATGTTTTTATTTCTCTTCTGTGAATTCCTGGGTCATACGGTAAGTGTGTGTTAAGTGTATTAAGACACTGACATTTTGTTTTCCAAGTGGCCATAGCATTTTGCATTTCCACCAGCAATGTATGAAAACTCCAATTGTTCATATCCTTGCAAATATTTGGTATTATTAGTCTTTTTAACTTTAGCCACGCTAGTGGGTTGTGGAATGGTAATTTAGAGTGGTTTTAATTTTTGTTTTTCTGATTAGTGATGTTGAGCTTTCTTCATGTGCTTATTGGCTATTCATATATCTTCTTTGTAAAGTGTTCAAATCATATGTACATTTTAATGGGTTGCTTGTTTTCCTATTACAGAGTTGTAAAAGTTCTTTATGTATTCTGAATACAACTATTTAAAATTATGTCCTGTAAAAGTTTTCTCCTGGTCTGTAGATTGCCTTTTCATTTTTTAAACTCTGATTTGAAGAGCAAAAGGTTTTAAACTTGATGGAGTTCATTTTATCATTTTTTCATAGTTTATGTATTTGTCCTGGTTAAAAAATTTTGCTTAATCCAATGTCAAAGATCTTTTTCCTTTGTTTTATTCTAAAAGTTTAATAGTTTTAGCTATTGATTTTACAAACTTTAAAGGAGAAAATGAGAAAACAGTTTATACTCACAAGGATGGCTATAGTTGAAAAAATGCTAAATAACAAGCATTGGTGAGATATGGAAAAACTGGAACCCTCAGACATTGTTGATGGGAATGTAAAATAATCAGCTCTTATGGAAATAGCTTGGCAGCTCCTCAAGAAGTTAAACACAGAATTACCATATGACCTAGCAATTCCACCTCTAGATATATGCCCAAAGAAATGAAACCAGAGACTCAAACAGTTACTTGTGCACCAGTGTTCATTGCAGCATTATTCATAATAGCCAAAAGGTGGGAACAACCAAAGCGTCCATCAAACGATGAATGAACAAACAAAATGTGGTATATACATACAGTGTAACAGTATTCAGCAGTAAAAATGAAGTTCTGATGAATGCTCTTACGTGGATGAAGTTTAAAAACATTAACCAAATGAAATAATCCAGACACAAAAAGACAAATATTATATGATCCACTTATATGAGACACCTAGAATAGTCAAATTCATAGAAACAGAAAGTAGAGTAGAATTTATCAGGGGGTGGGGGGAGGAAGGAATGGGAAGTTATTACTTAATAGTTATAGAATTTATCTTTGGGGTGATAAAAAAAGTTAGGGGAATAGATGTTGATAAAGGTTACATGACATTGTGAATATAATTAATGCCACTGAATAGTATTCTTAAAAATGGTTAAAATGGCAAATTGTATGTTATGTATATTTTAGCACAACTGGAAAAAAAGTAATATACCAAACAACATGAGTTTAGTACAAATTAAATGGGTATACTTTTACAATTTGGTACTTTTAAATGGATGAATTATATGGTATGTGAATATATCTCAGCAAAGCTTTTCTTTCTTTTTTTTTTTCAAAGCAAACCTACCTGGGCTGCACTTTTAGACACAGAATGTATAAGCTGAGGGACAAGGTGGATCTCCTTGACCATTTACCAGGCACAACAAACTTGGGGAATTCTTCTTTCTCCAAGGCCCCTAGTTTAAGAGGAATGCTGTTAAGCTCAAGTGTGTTTGGGGGAGAGGGTCTTGGTAGAGTATCACATGACAAAGGTGAAAAGAACTAGAGATGGTTACCGTGGCTGGTAAGAGAAAGAGGAAGGGACACATGAGCTTTTCTTAAATGTCACATGGAAGAGGATTTAGAAAACTTATAGCAGACAGAGAACCAATGCACATGGGCGGGATTGTAAGGAGGCAGATTTCAATGTAATAAGAGAAAGAACACCCCTGAGAAGTGGAGGGAGGCACTAACCCTGTGGGGCAACAGGGGACGTTCTTGGAATTCCTACTAATCAGTCCACAGCTGAGCATGATTCTAGTCAGAGGTATGTCATATAGATAGAAGAGTAGAGTCTAGTCCTTCAGGGGCATTTGTTGAAAGCTGTGAGAGCCCCCATCAAACAGGCTAATGTATGGGACAGGGATCTGGTGAAGGAGGGAAACTAAGGTAGAATCCTACTTGCACTGGAGCAGCAGTGGTGGGGTTTAGAGGAAGACAGTGCCTGAAGTGTACTCCAGTCCCAGGAGGGACTTGGATTTTGCCATAAGTCACTCCTACCCTCACAATCCACCACTTATGAAGGAGGGGCTGCTAGGAAGGGATGATGGGTCTCATACCATCTTGTCCAACTAAATTTCCTTTTATTTACCAAAGATTCTTAGAAGATGCCCTCCCTCTGCCTTTATTCATGGCCTCAGGCAAATTACTTTCCCTTTCTGGGCCTTTCTTTCTTTCTTTCTGTAAATTTGGGCTATTATTTCTCATCACTGTTGCTTCATGCCTGATGTTCCAGACCTACCAAATGTGTTGTTGTCCTGGGTTTTTCTATTAGATTCTGACCTTGAGGTCAGAGATCGTAGCCTCTTCTTTGGGAGGTTACAGTGTCCAATACATGTCATGTTCATGGAAGCTCTCAGAATCACTGATAACCTCCAACAAGCTCATTTACTCCAAGGGAGAGGAGAAAGGTCTTTGACGTCACCCAATCCTACTAGTATTCTTGTGCCTTAGATTTCCTCATAAAGAAACATCAAGAGGCTGACTATCTTCAGCTTGAACACTTCCAGTGAGAGGAAGCCCAGTCCCTCCAGAGACAGATGTTTTATATTTGAAAGCACTGCATAAGCTTAAATAAGGACACCTCAGGTTGCAATTGCACTGATATTAGGATAACCATATCATTTCTCACTAAACAGGACATTCTGATAGCCAAAGGGGATACTACTAATAATTACAGTAGGACAACAGATGTAAACTAGGGCTGTTCCAGGAAAACTGGGATATACAGTTATTCTCACCATTAGAAAAGGGAAACTTTCCTATATTCAGCCAAAGAGTTTTTTCAGAGTCAGGAAACTTTTGAAGAGGGTGATCCTTAGCCCTGGATATCCTGGATTTTCTCTTTATGTTAGTGTGTGTGGTGGGGTGGGGGCATGAGGTACAGGAGTAATGGAAGACTGCAATTGGGGCAGGAACTGACAGCCCACAAGAATATTCCTCCCACAACCCCCAGAGCAACCAGGCAGACACCCCCATTTCCTATAATGAAAATAACCCCATCATGGTGCCCCCTTCTCTACTGTCATTGATGAAGGAGGTTCCTTCTGTAAACAGCCAATTCTGAGCTGCCCCACGGCAGCTGTATGTCACCAGCAGAGGGATAGACAGTGGAATTATTATATCCACACAGATCTCCCGAGAACATCTGTCTCCTCCTCTCTCCACCACAGCCTTCCAACTCCCCTTTCCGTAAATTCAGGGGCTTGCAGAAACATAGAACTTTCTAGGAGGGCTGAACAGTGTTGTATAGTGCTACTGCTTTTGCTAACGCTTCTTCAAGGAATTCTTGGTTTTACACTGTTTACACTTTTCCCCTGTCATTTTTCCTGTACCCTCCTGAGAGTTGGCCTGACAACTTTGGAGAATAGAGATTTTTCCAAAAGGAAACACCTTCTGTGCATTGCTTTCCCAGGGCTCCATCTGCTGTGTATTTACTCAGCCAGATGTGAAAGCCAAGTCCTCTTTCTGTCTCTCCCACTACCTGGGTCCTTTCAGAGTTTGGGGGTGGATGGGATGACACTCCCAAAAAGTCTTGGAAGACTTCTTTGTTGGTAGCATCAAACAAAGTTTCCTTGGGGAACTGAGAAGCTGCAGTGAGTTTACAAAGCATTCACATTACCTAATGTGGTGTGTCCCATGACCTGGAGTGAGCAGCAGGTGAAATGATATGGACCCAGCTGACAGACGAATAAGGTCACATGAGTTTTCTAGACAGCAGTATAGAAAAGTTCACAACTAGGATTTCAACCTCTGTCTTTTGACTCAAAGGCCACCACATCATACTAGTCTGTAAAATATTAATATCCTTTTCCATGTGTCTAGAAATTTGAAATCTCCCTAAAAGTCCTGAGTTGTAACAAAATTATACTTGTGTCCCATAAATTTATACACATAAAATAAATAAGTAGCTTTAAAAACAAAAACAAAACAAAAGAAATTGGCAATTTAAAATCTCTACATCTTTTATTCACAAATGCTCTGTGAAGCAGGCAGGGAGAACGCATATTATATGTTACTCTATCTAAGAACGATGTCTGGTGAAAATACCCATTACTTCCCCGTACATGGCCATTAACTCTAAATGAGCTTAAGTGGACACCTCAGGTTGCAATTGCACCAATATTAGGATAACCATATCATTTGTCACTAAACAGGATGCTTGATAGAAAAAGGAGCACTACTAATAATTACGCTAGGACAACAGGCATAAACTAGGGCTGTTCCAGGAAAATTGGGATGTACATTCTGTCTCACCATTAGAAAAGGAGGGAGGAAGGGCTGGACATGGTGGCTTACACCTGTTATCCCAGCATTTTGGAAGGCCGAGGCAGGAGGATTGCTTGAGGCCTGGAGTTTGAGACCAGCCAGCGCAAAATGACCAGACCCCATCTGTACCAAAAGTAAAATTAGCTGTGTGTGGTGACAAGCACTTGTAGTCCTAGCTACTCAGGAGGCTGAGATGGGGAGGATGGCTTGAGCCCAGGCGTTCAAGGATGCAGTGAGTAGTGACTGACCACTGCACTCCAGCCTGGGTGACAGAGCAACACCCTGTTTCAAACAAACAAAATAAAATAAAAAGGGAAAGGAAGGAAGAAGGGAAGAAAATTAACATATTTAAAACCCTACTACGTGTTAGATGTTGTGCTAAGTATTTAACATAGTTTAGGTTATGAGATAGGTTTGGTTAGGTGTGCTATACATATTTGGAGAAATAAAAAAAAATTCTGGCAGACAGTATAGGTTAGTGATTAAGAGCATAGTCAGAAGGAGAGTTTCTAGCACATCGTTCATCAAATAAATATTTACTGAGCACATATATTCCATGCACGGTTCTAGTTGCTGGGGATAAAGCAGTAAGAGACAAAGAGCCTATATTAGGGGGAGAATAAAAGCAAATAGGCAAATAAAATCTATCTATCTATCTATCTATCTATCTATCTATCTATCTATCTATCTATCTATTTATCTATCTATCTATCAGCTATCATCTATCTATCTATCTGTCTATCTATCTATCATCTATCTATCTATCATCAGCTATCATCTCTGTAATTTCATAACCAGGTGGTGATGAATGTGATAAAAAAAAGAATAAAGCAAGATAAGGGGATAGAGAGTGAGGCAGTGCTATTTTCAGACTGACCAGGAAAGGGCATTTGAACAAGTCATTTGAACAGAGATCTGCTGGAAAGAAGAGACTGAACCTTGTGGGCAGTTGAGGGAAGAGTGTCCAGGCAGAAGGAAAAGCAAATGCAATAGCTCTGAGACAGGAGTTTGCTTGGTGCATATGAGGGCCACAAGGCCAGTGGTGGAATGAAGGGAAGAGGCAGAAGGGCAAGGGTGGCACGTGCTGAGATTTGGGATGTAATGAGGGGCTTGAAGACCATTGTAGGGACTCAGGATTTTAAACTGAGATGGGAAGTCACTGGGTGTTTTTTGAGAGGAGTAATATGATCTATTTGCATTTTTCAAAAACAACTTTGTTGCTATGCAGAGGTTTGGAGCAGGATGGTAGAGGTTGGGGTGGTGAGCAGTGGTTAGGTTTTGGATATATTTTGATTTTAGAGCCAATATGTTTTGTTAATGGATTGGGTGTTAAAGATGAGAGAGGCTGGGCACAGTGGCTCACGCCTGTAATCCCTTTGGGAGGCTGAGGCGGGCAGATCACGAGCTCAGAAGATCAAGACCATCCTGGCTAACACGGTGAAACCCCATCTTTACTGAAAATCCAAAAAAAAAAAATTAGCCAGGTGTGGTGGTGGGCGCCTGTAGTCCCAGCTACTCAGGAGGCTGAGGCAGGAGAATGACGTGGAACCTGGGAGGCAGAGCTTGCAGTGAGTGATCGTGCCACTACACTCCAGCCTGGGCAACAGAGTGAGACTCCATCTCAAAAAAAAAAAAAAAAAAAAAAGAGATGAGAGAGACATAGGAATCAATGATGACTCCAAGATGTTTAACCTGAACAACTTGAAGGTTGGAATTTCTATTCCTGAGATAAGAGGAAAACTGTAGGAAGAACAGATATAGGGGCCAAAACTAAACAGTTCTGCTTTGGGCATGATAGGTCCAAGATGCATGTTAAACTCCCAAATGGAGATGTTGAGTAGGGTTTACTTCCTATTTATTTCTTAAACTGTGCTTATACAATATATTCAGTCTTCCTTATGTAAAATATAGCTCCAATAAGAGAAACAAAACTTTGGAGCAAACTGGAGATGACTATAGGCGGTAGTTTCAAGAGTTTTGCTATAAGGCAAAGCAGAAACTTGCATGGTTAATTGGAAGGGCTTGTAGGTGTCAAGAAGGTTTTTTTGTTGTTGTTTTCCTTTTTTTTTTTTTTGTAAGATGGGAAGTGTGTTTGGGTATTGTTGGGAATTACTGAGCACATAAGGAATAACTGTTGATGCAGAAGCAGGAGAGGAAAATTGCTGGACCTGTGCCCTTGGATAGGTGAGAAGGACTGGGTCCAAAGGGAACAAAAGAAGAAATTGGCCTGTGTCAAAAAAGCTTGGGAAAGTTAATCCTTAGCAACAATGGGAAAGGGACAGTTTATGGGCATAGATGCAGGTAGGTGAGTAGATAGTATAGGGGACACTTCCTGAAATTATATTCTGATTGCTTCAGTTGTCACAGTGAAATAAGAAGCAAGATTATCATCTGTCTACGAAGAGCAGAGGGAAGATAGGAGTTACAGGAGAGTAGAAGGTAAGGAAGAGTAATTTAGGAGAGTAGAAAAACAAATGGACTAGGACTACATATGAGCCCAACTGACGTTAAAGCAAGACCATTCAGTATGCCTATGTATTTTTCTCTAGCTATGTGCTGACTGAAGGAACACAAAATAAAGAGTTTAATTTAACCAAATTTGAGATTTTGCCAGTTTAGAGAGAGGCCAGAGATTTGAGAGTATATGCATGTCTCTATTTTGTGTTGCCATAATATAATACCACAGACTGGGTAATTTATAAACAACAAAAGCTTTTTTTGGTTCATAGTTCTAGATGCTGGGAAGTCCAAGAGCATGGTGGCAGCATCTGGTGAGGATCTTCTTGCTGCAGCATCTCATGGAAGAAGGCTGAAGGGCAAGAGTGTGCTTGTGAGAGAGGGAGAGAGCTCTGGGGGTCAAGGTTGCTTTTGAAATATACCTACTCTCTTGATAGTAAAACCACTTCCTTAGTAATGACAATAAGGATATTAATCTACCACTTTTTGAAGGCCCTACTTCTCAACACTGTTGCATTGGGGATTAAATTTTCAGCACAGGAACTTTAGGGGACACATTCAAACCATAGCAATTCAACAGAATGATTATAATTATAGGTTAAGGAGGGAGGCAAACACATGAGAAAGGTGTGGGGTGGTGGTGGGGGTAAGAAAAATGTTATACATCTAGTGGATTAGAACTTTCAGTGAGTCACAGCACTGTTGAAGCATGGAATTCATGGGAGGGAGCAGGTATAGTGAGTGTGGGGCATGTGAAATTAAGATCATGGTAGGGCTATAGTTGCTGCTAATGACAAGGTTTATGGTATAACCAAGAAAGCTGGTAAATGAGGTGAGGTAGAAAATAAGATAATTGGCCGGGCGTGGTGGCTAACACCTGTAATCCCAACACTTTGGGAGGCTGAGGCAGGCAGATCACCTGAAGTCAGAAGTTCAAGATCAGAGCCTTGCCAACATGGTGAAACCTCATCTCTACAAAAATACAAAACAAAAAAAAAAATTAGCCAGGCATGAGGAAAAAAAAATTAGCCACATGCCTGTAATCCCAGCTTCTCAGGAGGCTGAGGCAGGAGAATTGCTTGAACCCAGGAGGCGGAGGTTGCAGTGAGCCAAGATCATGCCACTGTGCTCCAGCCTGGGCACACTGCGAGACTCCATCTCAAAAAAAAAAAAAAGAAGATAATTAAAGGTAAAACCAAATTGAGAGGCCAGGGTTTTGGATGGATTGTTTATGTTTATTTTTGTTAAAATAACAAAGAATGATGACAGGAGCAGTGTTGAAAGACACTGATCACTGATAAAGACAGTGATCCAGGTAATAAAATTATCAAGAAATGAGGAAGAGTGATTCAGAAACCAGCAGATCTTTGCTACTGGTACAATGGGAGGTCCCTGGACCAGCAGCACCTGCATCACAGGGAGCTGGTTAAACCGCAGAATCTCAGGCCTCCCCCAACATCTACTAAAGCAGAATCTGCAGTTTAACAAGCTCCCCAGGTGATTCACATGTGCATTTTTAAATTTGAAAAGCACCTCTGTAGATGAGTCCAACAATGAGAGGTAGCAGCAGGTCTGATGGCCTCAGCTTCAGAACAGCTGAAAATTTTAGGAAGGAGACAGAGACTATTGTCTAAAAGCAGCAATAAGGAACAAGGACACCTGCCCCACATCCAGACCCAGAATTTAAAGGGGTGTGGGGGCCAGGCATGGTGGCGTACACCTGTAATCCCAGCACACTGGGAGGCTGAGGCAGACGGATCATGAGGTCAGGAGCTCGAGATCATTCTGGCCAACATGGTGAAATCCCGCCTCTACTAAAAATACAAAAATTAGCTGGTGTGGTGGCACGTGCCTGTAATCCCAGCTACTTGGGAGGCTGAGGCACAAGAATCGCTTGAACCCAGGAGGCGGAGGTTGAAGTGAGCTGAGATCGCGCCACTGCACTCCACCCTGGAGACAGAGGGAGACTCCATCTCAAAAAAAGAAAAAAAAAAGGGGGGAGCCTGTAGGAAAGAAAATAGCCGCTACTTTAGAGGTTTGTAGGAGAATTAGCGTCTTCAGTGGATAGAGTTGTGTTTTAATTGGTGCAGGAGTAGATGTTGGGTCTGTGGGAGATCTTGCTAATGATTGACCATGAGTTTCAGATGGAAGGTTTAACGGTTGAAGAGAAAAGGGTAATGGGGTGAGATTTGGTGACATATGGAATATATGGGTATAGAGGCCAGGAATTAGAAATGACCTGTGGTTTTGTGCTTTGCATGGTGACTGAGGGAAGCATGAATATTGGGCAAGACTGGATTAAGCCTGATGATTTCTTAGGCAGCTGTGGGTGTTAGGGTGGAAAGGCACTTGTGAAAAGCCTTGCCAGGACAAATGTGGAGGTCAGTGGGTTCCCCCACATGTTCAGAACTTGCTCTCTCTCTCTCTCACTCTCTCTCTCTCTCTCTCTCTCTCTCTATATATATATATATATAGAGAGAGAGAGAGAGAGAGAGAGAGAGAGATTTTATATATATATAAATTTATATATATATATAAATTTATATATATATAAATTTCACATCACACACATACACATACACAGTTGGCCCTCTATATCTGTGGGTTCCACATCCGTGGATTCAACTAACCTCAGATCAAAAAT
Organism: Homo sapiens; assembly: GCF_000001405.40. NCBI lineage: Eukaryota > Metazoa > Chordata > Mammalia > Primates > Hominidae > Homo > Homo sapiens. The sequence goes on along the minus strand of NC_000001.11, from coordinate 222,110,367 downwards.
ATTTTGAGAGAAAACAATAACAATAACAATACAATAGTAAAAATAATACAAGTAAAACAACTAATACAATATAACAACTATTTACACAGCATTTTCATTGTATTAGATATTGTAAGTAATTTAGAGATGAGTTAAAGTATACGAGAGGGTGTGTGTAGCTTATGTGTAAATACTACACCATTTTATAACAGGCACTTGAGCATCTGTGGATTTTGGGATCCATGGGTGTCCCGAAGCCAATCCTCTGGTGATACCAAGGGATGACTGTATTCTGTTTCTTCTTACTGCCAGGCAACTCGCCAAGTAAATACTGGAGTTGGGCTTCCAGGGCAGATGTATCTAACCAGTAAGTTGGTGCCCTACCCACCACACTAGTGGTTTTAAAAGTTTAGTCTTCATCAGACACTTGACAAAACACAGATTGTTGAGCTTTGTCCCTAGAGTTTCAGATTCAGTAGGTCTGGGGCGGCATGGAGATTTGTGTTTCTAACAAGTTCCCAGGTGATGATGACACTGTTGGCTCAGGGACCATATACTGAGAACCACTGCACTTCCCCAAGCTGTTTTCCAGAATCCTTTATATTTCTTTCAAGGCAAGGCCATATCAAAGAGCAGGTGTTCACTTCCCAAAGGGGAAACTGAGGACATCAAGGTATCCGTGGGTTTAGAACCTTTCTTCTGTGGAAATTCCTTCAATGTTGTTCATACGCCTGCCAGTTGGTAATTGGGCCTGTCACCACGGGACACAATACTTGATCTATTGATAGAGGGGTAGCCCATCCAATGGCCTATTCTTCCCATAACTGCCACAACCATCATTATCCACAATCATTTATTAAGTACACAATTCAGATTTGCTCCTCTGTATTTGTTTCTTGTCTAAGCTAAGCTACAGGACCAGACAAGGGGGTGTGTTCCTTGGCTGTGGTCACGTCTATTGGTGCTTCTCACACCTGTGTCCCAGGGTTTAGAAACCTTCATATTCCTGAAAAACAGGGTCAAGACTAATGTGAGGCTATGGGCAGACCTGGGAAAAGACTGATGAGAGGAATGAAAGGAGAGGAGTCTGGAAATTACACCAGACTTAGAAGATCTGGGTTCTAGTCTTGGCCTTTCCTTTCAATTGGCTGTATAATCTTAGGCAATGCCACTTTACCTCACCTGGCCTCAGTTTCATCAACTTTAAAATGGTGATGATAATAATAATAAAATCATGCTATAGCAATCTTACAATTCAATAGACACTAAGTACTCACTGCACGTTAGATGTTGTGAAACATGGCAGGGATGTAACTGTGAATAGGACCTAGACCCTTTCTTTCCAAGTAAGATGGACGAGCACTGGCCTCACAGAGTTAGTAAAACATTCATATGAACATGCTTTCTTTGGCACCGTGTAATTGTAAGGTGCAATAATTAATAAAAAGATTGGAACAAAGTAATGCATAGGCTGAGATTAGCAGAATGAATTGAAGAGTTGATGTGTCAGCAGGAAACTACCTATCCATTATAATTATCTGGAGAGTTTTTAAAAAATAAGAATACATGGACTTAAACCCCTAACATTCTAATTTAATTGGTGGTGGTGGGAGAAGGGTCTAGATAGTGATTTTTAAAAACACACCATGTGATTCTAATGAATATCTAGGGTTGAGAACACTGCTTAAAGATTTGCCCACCTGAAGGGGGAGGAGGCTTTTGCTCCCGAGTACTGAGACCAGATTTAACCAAGAGGTCACCTGTTCCCTGATTACCTGGGCTTAGATCTCTGCCCTCAACCTTAGGGCTCTGTGTCTCTGGGAGAGGTGAGAATTTCCATTGCACCTTTGAATTAAAAGGAAATTGCTTGAGACTGGAAGGTGATGAGAATGCCTGAGGAGCCAGCCTGTCAGTTGCCATGAATCCAAGGCAGACGGAGAGCTTCAAAGCAGTTCTTACAGGAACTGGGTTGCCAAGAAAGGAAAGTGAGCAAAATTCATCCTCAGTAGCTAGGGAAACGATGTCCTGGAGAGGTGAAGTGGTTGGAGTCATGTTCCAGATAAAGAGATGGAGGCTCTCAGACCAGCACCGGGACAATCGAGGAGTCTGCAGCTCTGGCCAGCAGCTCTGTCTCTCACTGGGATGTGGGGAGTCCAGGAGTCCAAGAGCCTCAGCAGGCAGAGACAGAAGGCATGTCCTGAGTGATTCCCTGCAGCACCCTGCAGCAAGAGGCACTGTTGCCCTCCTAGCAGGGCCCCTCAGCTCTGTTCCAGATTACCCAGACAAGGGCAGGGAGGAGAGAGGAGGACTTTGATGAGACCAGACCGGCCACAATGGCAGGTCACCTGGCCCATCTCCTCCTGCTCCCTGTCAGCCCACTTTATAGACCCTGGTGTCTACTCTGATGTCTTTCTTGCCTACCTGTTCCCTGCTTGGACTAGAGTCCTCCTCTGATGTTGGCTCTGACACTCTGCCCAGCTTATGCTTGTCCCTTCTCTGTCGGTGGGAGTGATGCACTGCCCCGTTCTCCAGACCCTGGAAGGGGAGCAGTCCCATTGACAATGTAAGATCACCCTCAACTTTGATGGCCACACCTACCTGCCCTCTCTCAGGCCAACACAACCACTTTGAATGTCCTGGGTGGTAAAATTATCTGAGCTCCCTGTTCGGTGAAGCCTAGAGAGCAAAGGTTTGAAACAGGCTGGCTAGAGGTGTCTGGGGCTAAGCCTCAGGCTCTGAGGATGTGGATCAACAAGAGGTGGGCCATATTCACTGGATCCCCACCTCCCGGAGCAGGGGCTAGACCTTGTAGCCCGGTGAGTGTCCTGTCTGGACCAAATGCCCTGTCCTACAGAGTTGCCAAGAATGTGTCCTGTGTCATTCACAGACTAAGTTACGCCGTTACTCCAGGATAACATCATCCCTGCCTAGGGCACCAGTGAGCCTCTGAATACAGATGAGATCCTGCATATGAAAGTGCTTTGTAAACAGCATAGTGCTGCGTGCATGCAAATTGTCCTTACAAATTGCACATATTTACTTAATTACAGTGAACTTTCCTCTTTGGTCCAGCCTGTCTTGAAATCCATCAACCTGATACCCAAAGTGGGATGATTCACTTGTTTGAAATACGGTAGACTGGGCAGGGGGGTGGGGGGTGCATTGAGTTTATCTTCCTCCCAAGCCCTGCCCTTCGGTTACATTTTGTCTCCCATTTCTCCTTCGTTAAGTGAGAAAACTTGGGGAGCGATTTTTACTATTTCTTTTTGCATATGCATTTATCTGACCAATTCATCCTGATTTTCTCTCAGTAGCTCTTCCTTCCCCTTCCCTGGATCTCTGTTGTAGAAACAAGGGCTGTGGATCTGGGACTGGAATTTCCAGGGTCAGCTAAATCTTAGCTGTGAGACCCCAAGCCAGTCTTGGATCTTATTTTTTTTTCTTTTTTTTTTTTTTTAAACCTGTGACTCCTGTGACTCTTTACCTAGAAGATATAAACTAGGTAGAGTGCTAGTCTATAGGCTGTAATGCACTCAGTCAATGTAATGCAAGGCTCATTCATCTAATAAGCCTTTTTTGTTGTGATAAACATTATTAAGCTTATCAGGACATACATCAGTATTTCTGGCTCTCCTCCCTTTCCTGGCACATGGGTGTCTACATTTCCCAGCTCCCCTGCATGAGCTGGAATGGGAAGTGACATGTGTCATTTCTGAGTGGAAGCACTTAAAAGCAGGGACACAAGTCTCTCGCTGTGCCCATCGTGGAGGCAGGTGTTGGAACAGAGGTGCTGCAAGAACACCAGGGGCGCTGAGCCACTCCATGTGACGGCTGCCTCAAGAGCTACCCAGACCCACAGTTGGCTTCGTGTGGATGAGCAAAAAGCTTTTGTTGTGTTAAGCAATTGCCTTTTGTTGGTGTTTGTTGCCACAGCTACCTAATTCATTTATTTCTTGTCTTCACTGTGACAGGAGTTTTCAGTCAACCCCAGAGCCTTCTGGGTCCCTGGGGGTGTTGTTGAGTTGCCACGAAGGAGGGAATGAGGTGGCCAGGGGAAAATGAGATGCAGGTTCTTCTCCAACCAGACTTCCACTTTTATCTCATCTATATATTGGGGTTCCCAGGAAGAATACTTTTGAAAGCAAAGCTCAATTTCTAAAAAGTTGAGAGTCACTGCATTATTACAATAATTTCTTCTTAACTCTGCCTTTCTGAAGCCACTAGAATTTTCTTCCATCCTTGACTTTATGACCCATGTTGCATCCATGTTCTTATTACAAGCAAGACTTTAACCCTTTAGGCTTTAAAGCCTCCCCTTCCCCCGCTCCCGATGCCACACTGACCATCCTCATCTCATCCGCTATTCTCTGCCCTGGCTTCTTGGTCCAGTGCTTCCTGTGTAATTGCAGGACAGTGGGACTGGAAGCAGAGAGGAGTGGAGATCAGGGACCATCAGGAGATAATCCGGGATCAAGGCTTGGATTTGAGGTGGGAGATCAGTGGAATGGTGTCTTTGGTATAAAGTCATAGAATTTGGGAGTTGCCTACAGAGAGTAGCACATTGAACACAGGGTGCCTGGAGTGCACTCTCATATGTCACACTTCATGCAATGAAGAAGTGTGGCTCTGTAGGAAACCCCATGTGCCAGTTCCTCTCTGGACTGCACACCTTCTGCTTGGAGGTGTGGGTTTGGGAGAGTGGAAGGGAAGGGATGGGTAGTGGCTCTAACCAGCTCTGGGTCACAACAAGCCACAGCCCTGCCTCTTTCAAGGGAACAATAACCAGAACCAGAGGACAATGGGACTTTGTCATGTCCTGAGGTGGAGGAGGTAGCTGTGCTCTCCTTTGCTCCCTGGGTGGCGGTAATGTCATCAATGACTCAGAGCTGGCACTGTCACTGAAGGCACCTGTAATATAGCAGGAGCAGCTCTCTCCTTCCCCTAATCTTCTGTTTAGCATTTGCTGGGTATCATTAGGTCCTTCAGATGAACAAAGCAAGTATTGGTAGGGGGGACAAAATGGGACAAGACTGGGTTTCTGGCATGAATCCCACAATGCAGTCTTCACACAGGCTGAGAATAACACGGCATGGAGGCTTTTACAGAAGTGTCACTTGTGGATTGCACTGTAAGCTGCAACCCCACCTCCTGATCCGGCTTGGCAGCAAGTGCATTGTGTACATCTTAGAATAATCTCCCAGTGCAAGCAAAGAGTCTGGCTGCAGAAAGAAGCTATGATGAACATTAACGTAAATAATTGAGCAAAAACCTCACTGTTGGACTGTTTAAATCTTTTTTGTTTTCTGCTTACAGGTCAGCTGTTGGGCCCAGCCTCACATACAGACACAGACCTTTGAGACTAAAATAGCCATGACTAGGCAATGTCACTGGTTGTCTTAATAACTGCCTTCAGTCATTAAGATGCCTGAAATGGATTTATCACCAACGATCAGATCAATTACTTGGTGCTCAACTGCAATCTAAGTCTTTAAGTCTTTCTGTACCTCCACTTCAGTTATTTCATTAAGATGGATGGGCTGGTAATGCCACCCCGGGGGGAGGTCAGGCTAGAGAGTTCTGCCTGAATGGAGCCTTAGGGATGAAAATAAACTCAACATACAGGGGCAAAGAAGCAGAGAAACACGATTCTTTGTTCACCTCCCCTGCTGCACAGGGAGCCACTTGGTCTGCAGCTGGTGGTGACAGATCACACAGAGGGGCTACAGGCACTCACGCAGGACTCCCCCTCAAGGGTTGTGCATTTGCTGAGCATGAACATGGCTTCATGGAGGGCATGGAGATCTTTAGAGCTGTTTGTCCCAGACCTGGCCTTCTTAAACTTCATCTTTGTTGCAATTTGGGTCTCTGTCAGTCCTAGTAGGTCCATCTCTGCTGTGATTGGGAACAGACTTCAGTGGAGAAACTAAAACGTTCTTCAGGTCAGTGGCCTGTGCCTGTGGGTCCTGGTGGACCTCCTGGAGTAATTATAACAAAACAGTGCAGGGAATAAACAGCTCCTGACCTCTTCTGTTTTGTAATGATTGGCATCCGCCAGCCTGGTGTTCTAACAAAGGTCCTTGCCGGCTGCTGGCCTTGCAACACTCTGACTCATCCTCAGCCCACCTACCTCTGCTGGGGCACCCTATGGACCCTTGCTGTGCAGCTAATTCATGACACTGTTGCTCCTGCCCTGCAGGATGCTGGGACCCCAAGAGGCTCCATGCTCCCCAGTCAAACACAGTCCCGCCCTTGCATGCATTTGTGTCACACTGAGTGTCCCCTTCACTCTAACTTACTTTACGATTCCCTTTGGCAGTCTGGGGAGATAGTTTTTGGGGCCTTGGCCACCCCAAGAAGACGCCACCTGTATCTCCAGGGATTTAAGTAGAACAAACATTTCCAGCTTCTTCTTTGTAGAACTGCTTCACTCAAGAGTAGCCCTGGGCTCTAGGGCTCTGTTCAGGACATTTACTCCCAAATGGCTGGCCTAACCCGCCCTGAGCCTTCCATGGTGACATGCTCCTGGGCACCTTTTGATGTTAGAGGTAGGCTTTTCTTCACAGTATAATTTAAAACTTTCTGTGGATATCATAGTTCTCGTCGTTCCTTTACTGGAATCCATAATGGGGAAACTCTGGGTGAATAACCTGCTTGGACCTGCCTGGCCCCCGGGCCCCCTCCCTCAGCACAGGGTTCTGTGGGTAGCAGACAGGCCAGGCCAGTGTGCTGGACCTTTCTTGGGAAGTAGAACGTGGCTACTCCCACCTGTGTTCCTTGTCTCATCAGTTCTTTCTATTCAGTTATAGACAGATTTCTTTTATTTTTTAAGGAAGAAAGTGTTTAATCTTTATGATTCACTCCAGAGCCTGAAAATATTGATTGCGAAAAGCCATTTGATGCTCTTGAAACCTACGGAACTTTTTAATGAGCTGCTAAAAGTTTTTTTTTTTTAATCACATAGATTGTGTTTTATTGAATCTGAACAGCCAGCCTTCTTTGAGAAAGGTCGGAAGGTTGTTTGAACTGAGGTTTTCCTCAGGCTGAGGAGGGAGATGGTTGCTTTACATGGGAAGAAGCAGGAGAAATCCTCTGTGTCTCTGGGTCAAGGGGCTGGTAATAATTAGGGCAGATTCCTGTATCCGCTACCTGCCGACACTGGTCTAGTGTATTACGTGTATGTCATCTCATAGACCCTCCTGACACCACCACCAACCAGGACGAGGGAAAGTGTCACCAGATGGAGACTTGGCACAGTCTCTGACCCCCATACATGCAATTTCAATTTCTCTGATTGAAGTGATATAGAAATTCAGTTCCTCTTGTCTCACTGTTCCAGTCCTATAAATAGCTAATTTTTTTTTCTAAAAAATAGTTAGTTTAGTTTTAGAGAAGGTAGGCCACAAAGAAGGCTTGTGTTTAAGTACCAGCCCTGACAGTTTCCATCCAGGTGACCTTGGACAGGGCAGTTTTTGTTTCTGAGGCTTGTTCATTTACGACACAATTCCTGAGTGTCTACCACTGTAGGAACTGTGCCATATTCTGTACAGCCGCTTGACAATAATGATGGTCATGACAGTTCTAATGGCAGCTACCACTTATTGAGCTGGTCATATATGTTAGGCACTGGACTGTTTTATGTGCAGCTTTTCATTTGGTTCTTCCATAAATCATTAAGATAGGCAGTATCAACATGGGGAAACTAAGGCTAAGAGAATTGAATTAACTTGTTTAACAGTCACACAGCTTATAAATGACACAGCAGAGACAAACTCAGTTCTGTTAGACTTCAAAGCCCATGTTATAACCACCAAGTCACCAAGATGACTCGTGGTAATCCTTTGTTCACAGGTTTAGAGCTTAGAGGAGCGATTAAACCTCTATGTAACTATGATTGGTGTCCTTTGAAAAATATTAAGTTATCAGACAAAAGATACTAAGAGACCAAGAATTCAGACTACAGAGCAATTGTTTCCAGCTGTGGGGATCAAGGAAGACTCTGTAGAGAAGTTATTATTTAACTTGGAAACCTGGCTATGATTTGTGAATGAGATATGTGTGCAGGTAGTGGTTAGGAAGGGGCCCCTTTCTTTCTGGGTGCTCTAGCAAGTGCTACGCTAGAAATTGGTATGGGGCAGAATAGAGGTATGGGGGAAGAAGGGGTTGGTTCTGTGTGGCATCTGGCATAATACATTCTTAGTCAAGGTAAGCATATGAATTTAAATATCTATGTTTGCCATCTACATCTATCTATACCTACATTCCTGTATCTATAGCTCATTCATCTTATAGGGCTTAATTTCACCCTTGGGAATATGCCTCTCATATGAAGATATGAATATATACTGTGATGTTTCCCACAGCATTGTCTGTGTGTTTGTCAGGGGCTGGGAAGGCAGAGAGCATGATACACAGATGCACACTGTGGCTGATCATGCCGCAGATAGAAGCCCACAGAACGATATGCATGCACCTTAAAAGCATAGTGCTGAATGGGGGGAAGAAGATAAATAATTCAATACTGTCTGTGTAAGTGAAAAATATATGTACGCCAAATAATAATGCATATTTTATAAGGGCATTTACAGATAAAAAGGTAAACATTAAACACATAGATATGACTGCCTATGGATGGGGCATGGGAATGAAGAATGGGAATAAAAGTGATAGCTAATTAAATCAAAGATTAACCCAAATCAAAGATGATGATATATCATGAACTAAGGCTCATAACTTATTCAACCCTCTGAGATTCATCCCTTCCACTCACACCTGGCTCGGGTGGGAGGGGCATCAGGAAAGCCTACACCCTGATGGCAGGTCAGGTGTCCACTCTGTGTGCAAAGAATTCCATGATCTTTGGACATGGCTCTGCTCCCAAGATCTAGACAATATGAGTAACAAATAGGCCCAGGATCTTAGAGACCGAATACAACAAAGAAGGGTCTGACCAGTAAGTTATCTGCATATGTGTTGAGTCAGAGAGAAAAAAAAATCCTCACCTGAAGGAGTGGAGCGGAGGTGGGAAGTTCTCAGAGAGGGAAGGTGGGACAGGGACAGAGCCTTGGGGAGAGTCTGGAGAGCACATGCACTACACAGGAGGATGGGGGAGAAGAGAAACATGACACCAAGGGGGCTGGGTAGCAAGCTAGAGAATGTTACCTATCTATGAAGCTTCCAGCGTGTTGCTCAAGCAGAGGTGGCCCCTTAAGGAGGTTGCTCCAGGACAAACACTGCATGCACTGCCCCAGGATCCAGATAATAAAATTGTCCAGCGATCATGAATGTATCGTCATTTGGCCTGAAATTCGTTTCCATGCTTTGCTAACCTAAAGGAAGTCAAAGATTCACTGATGTCATGCAGGGTGGAAGTGTATAGTGGGGACAGTGTTCTTTAGTCACGTCTTTCTCTGCTGTATGAATGGTCAAGTTTTCCCTCTAGGTAGTCAAGCCACCCAGCTAGCTGGGTGGTTCACCTCAAATAGCAACACCAGCTCATCGGACAGCTCCCTCAAAAAGCAGTCTGACTGGCAAGTTCTTAAGTTGACTTCTGAGTTTTCTTTTTCCACAATTGAAATTATAATTGCTTTTTGCATTTCCTCATAGAGCTCATCTCTTTTCCTGAAAGAAAAATGCATTCATTAACAAAGGCAGGAGGATCCTGGCATATTCAGTATCAGCAACAGAGAGAGTAGTATGTGATGAGGTCAGTGAGGAAGGGCCAAGGAGATCAGGTGGGAGCCGGTGGCCACTGCAAGGATGTTGGCTTTCGTCTGAGTGAGATGGAGCAACAATGCAGGGTTTAGATCAGAGGAGTGACATGATTTGAGCTGGGATTTAAACAAATTTTGGAAAATAGGGACCACGTCTTAGTCACTTTTGTAATGCTAGTGTCAGAAAATTCTTTGGAACCTGAGAAATGCTTAACAAACTTGAGCAGAGTTGCAGTACATTACTAAAGACAAGCAAAAAAAAAAAAAAAAAAAAAAAAAAGCACTGTCCCAGGTCATTGATAAGAGCACTAGTTGTGTTTGAGGTAGAAGATAAAAAGATTCGTTTGGGGAATATTGTATTTATTATTTTAAAGTCTTAATATTTACATTCTGTCCAGGACTTCAATGCCCACATGCCAATAGCTCATCCCTCAAAGGGTATCTGTCATATTGATAAAACCTCCTACAGCTCAAGAGTCTCTGTGTCTACCTTGCACCTCTACCTGGCCAGGACTGATTGGCTTTCAACAATTTAGTTTCCAATCTTCAGGTTTTGAGAAATGTGAAGCACATTCAGATGTGAATTGTATTGATAATCCAGGCCATTATTATTATAATCCCTAGGAAATCATGAAGCCAAAAGAGCTTTTTCATTCAGCAACAAAAAAGCTTTTATCCTCTATCCCCAGCTGACATACTTTCATAGAGGACTTGTCTTTGATCTGCCCTCTTTGTTTTTTGTTTGTTTGAGATGGGTTTGTTTCTTCATTCGTCAAGGCTGTGAGCTCACTAAAGACAAACTTCAGGAAGGAAAGCAAATGAAGTTCTGATTGTGAATTCCTGGTCTCTTATGGCAATTCCGGAACTGCCCCTTTTCAAAAGGATCCTAAGTACTTTGGTGGGAGCCTAGGTAGAGTTTGCAAGAGGGGCAGCCTGTTTTAGGGCTGTAGCTTGGATTTTCAGGTTTAAACATTAAAGTTTCTGCCTTGTCTTTGCTATGCATAAGCTGATGACCTGGGCAAGGCAACTCATCTCTTAGCACAAAGGGAGGCAGAAGAAGCATTCACTGAATTCCATTTATGGGCTCACACTAGGCCAGGTGCTAATGATGCATGATAGTCTAACCCTTATAACAACACTATGAATTGAATATATCTCCTTCTTACAGGAAAGGCAACAGAGGCTCAAAGAGCTTCAATAAGTGGCTCAAAGACATATGGCTGATGAGTGTTAAAACTAGAATCAGCATGTTTCCAAAGACCACACACTTGCCCTGCCTCCTTCTGAACCTGGGCTTATTCATCTCTAAGATGAGTTCCTTAGTTTTCCTTCAAGGTCTTTCCAGCTTCAAAAATTTGTGATTGAGTGAGGTTGGATTCTAACAGCACAGGAATTCATTATATAGGGCTGGAACTCAGTTGGGTTCATAGCAACCCTCCTCCTTCTTCTAGCTAAGACTTTCCATTCATAAAGGTTGGTTCCCACCTCCAACGTGACACCCCAGTCTCACTCCTCATCACTCTTCTTTGCACTGCACTAGAAATTCTTGCTTTCATCTCCCAAACTTGCTCATTTGCCTCTTCTCCTTCTGCAGAAACCTCTTTCTCTTTTTCTCCTCACATAGTTTTTCCCTCCTCCAACATAGCTCTCTGAAAAACTTACCTTCTCTTTTTCCAGGCATATCTTATTTCTATCTGAAAGGTTTCCTGGTTAAATAAACAATTCGAATGGCTTTGGAAAAGTCACTTCACTCGGCATTTAGTTCTCATTTGTGAAGTGAGACTGCTGTATTACATGGTCTCTGTAGGCTCTTCCAGTGCCAAAATTCTCATTACAAATAAATCTCGAATCTCTTTCTTTCCCTAGCAGCTGTGGGCTTTGTTTCTACATTAGGTCAATGTGCAGTCTCTACCATACTTCTTTGTTTTTATTCCTGGGTTTTTGCCACATGCAGCATTTAGGTGGTTCTAACTGAACTGTAAACTCTTGAAAAGAGGGGACCTTGTGACTTCCTTCTTCCTAACCCCTCCACTCCTATCTCTGGTCCACAAGACTAATCCACAAACTCAGGGGTTATTCAAATAATGCCATCAACTGTTGGACAGATGACAGATGGCAAGTGCCATCCACAGCCTTGTTTTTCTGGTGTCCCTGTCATATTGTCGACATTCAGCTTTTTCAAAAATATCTTTAGTTACTCATTAGTCTGAGAATTAGGCCTTAGCTGTTGGCTATTCTATGAATGGCTCTTTCGGTACAAACTAACTGAATCTGTGTCTATGCCCTTAATTGGAAAGATAAATTTAAATGGAACTGTCTCCTTGTGATGTCCTCTGAATTTCAGAAATGAAATTTGGGTCCTCTCAGTCTGATGGAATGCATAACACTTCCAGAGTTATCAGGAACCTGTCAGAATCATTATGGTTAGATATAAGTGTTTTTCTAAATGCTGCTATCCATGGAGTCTGATGTTTGAATTGCAGTGGTGGAAGACAGTATTTATGCAGTCATTCATTCAAACATCATTTTATTGAGCACTGACTATGTGTCAGACACTGGGGTAAAAGGATAAGTAAAACTTGGTTCTTGCCCTTAAGAGGTATTTGGCCAAAAAGGAAAGGGGTACTAAAACAGTTACTATAATGCACAGAGATACACTGTTATAAAGTATATAAGAGTATAAACAGACAGGGAGAGTCTCCAGGGATGATAGGAATCGAATCAAGTTGAGCAGTCAGTCTGGTCAGTCTGTTTTACAGCCTCCTGCCCTGCAGCCTGTGTGGAATGCAGTCACCTTGTTGGTTTAAACCAGGTCCTGACTGATCCTGGCAACTTCTAGATGAACTCGAGTGAACTTTCCTCATTACTATGCCAAAGTCTCCACCCTGGGAGGAGCTATACCTGCATTACCATGACATGCAACCCATATGCTGGCATGATGACTCATCATGTCTGTGCAACTGGGACCCCTCCTCTACCTGCCATGATGCACCCTTCTCCATTGCCGCATAAAACCCTCCTGTCCCCTTCTCTCCGGGAGACACTGCTTTGGAGAACACTCCCAGTATCCTCCTTACTTGCACCAAGTAATAAAACTCTTATTGATCAAAACCTGTGTTCTCGTGGAGTTACTCACCAGCTGAACAAATCCTGTTTTATTGAGGGTAACAGAGGTCCTGAAGAGGTAGGAATTGGATATAACCAGAGGCATCACAGACGATGCCACAGAGTATGTGAATTTAGGGCTAAGCTTTAGTAAGATCTGGCAGCAAAAGGCAGAGGGCATTTCAGGGAGAGAAACACCCAAAGGCACAGGGTAAGTATGGAGAATGAGGGCATGGGTGAAGGGACTGGCGAAAATCAGATTAAAAGGTAAGCAGGGGCCAGATAGTGAAAGGCTTTAAATGCCCTACAGAGGAAGCTCTATGCCAGTGGCTCTCCTGCTGTAGTGGGCTGAAGGCTTATAAAGGGACTTGGCTGAACATGTAGATTTCTGGGACCTACTGATTTGATTCAGCTGGCTTGAAGTGGAGCTTAGAAATCTGCATTGTAAGCCAGCCTCCTGGATGATTCAGATGTAGGCAGTCTGCTGGTAATCTTGTGCAGATATTGTTGTCAGCAGTGGAAAATACAAAGAGTGACATACAGCCTCATACTGGGCTTAGAAAGACAAGTCTAGCAGGTGAGTATGGCAGCTGAGTTGAGGGAGAAAGGCTCATCGTGATGTGGTCAGTTAGCATTTCACTGTGACGGTTCACACGAGAAACGCCCAATGCCTCAACTGTGGCAGTAGGCAGTGGTAATGCAGAGACAGAGGTGAGAACTCTTGCAGAGGGAGAATCCTCAGAATTCAGCAAATGAATGAAAGTTGAGGGGAGAGAGAGAGGGGAGAATCACAAGTACATTTAGTAGTTCTCACAGGAGTAATTAGGGTCTAGTGTCATTAATGCAAAGTAAAATATGTTTGAGTGAGAAGATAAAAAGGTTGGGTTGGGGCATATTGAGACTTCAGTGTCAGTGGAAGCTACAACTAGAGATTTAATTCAGGTCTTCTCCAGGTTTGCTTTTGGGGAATATGAATATATGTAGGGGATAGTTGAAGCCATGGGATTCTATGAGACAAAGTGATAACTTTGGGATAGAGACCAGAGAAAGTCAAAGACAGCGCCTGAGGCACCTCTGCCTTTAAGGGAAGAGAAGATGGGGCGGGACCTAGAACTAACTTAGGTGAGTGAATCTCACCTAAATTAAAGGGAGGGGAGAATTTAACTGAGGACTTTTTCAACATCAGGCTGAGACTGAGGCACAGTTTGCCCCCTAGAGGCAAGGAGGGGAATTGCGGGGAAGAGCCAGATGTGCTGAAAGGCAGAGGGGGGAAGTCCACACACACAGACGAGGGCTAAGAAGTGAGCTAATGGACGTGTCAATATATGTTTGTATGCACACGCATATACCTGTGCATGCATGTGTGCACCTGGGTGTATGTGTGGGCATGAAATTTGTGTTCATTATGTGCTACATAGGTAAGAGCCTTCTTTGTGACAGGTATGTGACAATCCTGTGAGTGAGGTGGGGGAATAGTAGCCAAAGTGTGCAGGACACCAAGAGGTCAGAAATCAAAGAGCAAGGGAAAGTAAGAGCCAGGAGCTGTGGGGCAGGGCTGGAGGAACTCCAGGGAGGGGCGCTGACACATATTGGCAGGCCGGGGGAAATTGAACATGGCCAGAATGAGACTCAGCAGAAGACAACAGTGCCAAATGCAACAGAGGGATTTACAAAACTGAGAAATGTCCTGGAGATTGCCACTTGGAAGGTCATTGTGACCTTTGACAGCGTGGTTTCTGTGGGGTCTAACTGAAGAGTGAACAGACGGTGAGAAGGTTGTTTGAGCAAAAGGAAGGAGAGAGCTAGTGACTCTGAAGTTAGAATCAGTGATGATACGAGATGAGGCAATTTTGCCCATTAAGCATATTGGTGCATCTTGGGGACTTAAAAAGATTTGTTTTGGACGACTTGCACTTCAAAAATTAGTCTTTTTCCTAAGAGGATAATAAAACTTAAAAGTAGCAAAACATGTTTTTCTGCAATATTTAAATAGCTTTTGATCCTGTCTGTTGTTAACAGTTGCTTCTCCAGGAATTTTAGGCCATTGGCAATAAACCAAGTAAATATTCTAACTAGAAAATAAAATGGCCCTTTACTACTGAAGTGTTGTTTATAAATAGCTCTCTCATGTTAACTCAGACTCAGTGGGCATATGTGTGTGTGTCTGTTCACACACAAGTGTAGATGTGGGATGTCTGTGTGCTCATTTAATCAACTAATATTTTTCACCTTCTATATGTTAGGCAGTGTAGGTGCTGAGCATATACCAGTGAATAGAAAAGCCATGATTAAGCTAATTATTACAGTGAGTTGAGATATGTATGTGCATGGGCAAATCCTTTCATGTTGTGTTGGCAAGGGAAGAAGACTAATCAGGAAAATAGGGCAACTCAATGGGCCAAAAAATTAAAAAAAAATTTCAAGATGCCATCTATTTCTACATAAAGATGATCTTATGCAGTGGTGTGCTGGTAAACTGGCTCTCTAGGAAGTGCAGGGAGAAGCCCTGATATGTAGCATTTACCAATTATCATGGTGTAAATATTTTCACTGGGGCTGATTTCAAACCTCCAACTTGATGTCATTGAATGAAGCTAAAGGAAGAGATGTACACAGTTAAGAGATATACACAGTATAAGCCAGCTCCAGCATCCCACTAACCCTTTGTGCAGGCAGAATAATAATAATGCTTTCTTTCATTTATGGAGCTGTTTGAAATTAACAAGGTGCTTTGACATATTTTCCTTTACCTGCACCTCACCCTGAGTGTGATGTTAGAGGATATGGTTTGAGGAATATGGAAAAATCTCTTTGGCTAGCCACAAAGCCTTACATTACCACTGAGGTAACTCTCTTTGGTATAGCATTCATGAATGAAGACCATGCCTTTTAAATAGTAAAATACAAGATATGTAAGTGTTGTTAATCCAGGGTAAGACAAGAAAGATCTCAATTACAGGATACTATTGGAGAAAGAAGTCCCAAAAGAAGCCATGGAGAAGGAGGATGGGTAGATATGTAAGGAAAATGGTCAAAAGAGAGATCCAAGGATATTAAAGACATTTTTTCTATGTCATAATTTTGCTTAGGGTATGACCTACTCCTAGATCATAGATGTTACCAGATATAGTTCATGCTCCATTATCTGCTCTAATGGAGGAAAATTGGACAATATAATTCAAAACAATGAACAACCTTGAAAGATATATACAATTGGACTTGCAGAGAAGATAATGACTGTTTCTTGGTATCTGTAGCATCCTGTGAATGGTTTACCTATTCTACCTCTGAGCTTAAAGAATCTACTCATGACGAGGCATATTGCAAGGAATTGACAAGTGTCACATAATTAGTACCAATCTAGACTTTGTTGTACAAATGAGTGCAGGATTCGGATGGTTATACTTCCTTTTAAGTGATTTAATGAAGTATCATTTTAGAGTTAGTTCTAATTAAAAGATTTTTAAAAAAAACTCTTACTGTGTTGTCCTAGAAATAAAAATACTTTTTCTGACAGAAACATAATTAATTTGATTATAAGGTTTAAAGTGTATTCTGTGTGTGTGTGTGTGTGTGTGTCTGTGTGTGTGTGCACACATATGCATAACTTCAACTGCTGCTGAATACAAGAGAAATCAATATCTGGCCACTGGTGGTCATAGGCTGTAATCACTTGGCAACCGTTGATATATTGGTGGCCGGCAATGAGGAGAATGGTGGGTGTGCATCCTATCAATTTTAAGAGCATATTTTTCCTCTACCAGTAGCAGTGGCTCAGCATTCTATTTGTAATTTCTGGCCTTGAAAGTAGGAGTTAATAAATGACAATAACTTTTAGCACACCAAGCCACATGCTTTTTCCTGTCCTGCAGTTTAGCTTCAGTGTGGAGGGAGAGAAAGAAAATTTTGAATCGATAATGGAAGTGGGGCACGGGGTATTGGAATGTAAACTTGGATATAAAATGCAAGCCAAGTGGTGGCTTCAGTGAAAAAGGCTGCCATTTGATGGCTGCAAACCATATGCTGAAGTTTCTTTCTTTTGTTTGTCATTAATGAAAAAAAAATTTTTTTATTCTTAGCTCTGTGGTCCCAGCCACCACCAATCCAATCAATGACCAACTTTGACTTTTTCTCTTCAGTGCATTTTTCCTGTTTCCTCTTGTCAATGTTTTTTTGCCTCCACTGCATTCCAGGATTTTATTACCTCACATAGGGATAAATGCAAAACCTTTCTAAAGGTAATAATAATAATCACAGTAACTAGTACCTAAAATCTGGGTAATGTTCACATTTGGCTGAGGATGTCCACCTACCTTGTCTCGTTTAATCCCTATAGCACTCCTGGGATATTGGAAACTGAAGCTCAGAGTGGCTGAGTGATGTGCCTAGGCTTACAGAGGTAGCATGTGTGGGTGAACCTTTACCTTTTGACTCCAAATTAAGTGCACGAGCCCCTACTCAGACTGTCCCAGCCTCTCTTTGTGCTCTTACTTTCCCCTTGTTCTGAGAAAATATATACACAGTTGCTGGAACATTCATCCATAAACTACTTTCTGTGAGAATCCTTTTCCCAACAGATCCAGCTCAACTCCCTTTGCCTCTTTCCTGAGGCTCCCCTGAGCACTCAGCGGTGTGCTAAACAACCATTGGCCACTGGTTTCTTCCTACACTGAACATCAAACTTTTCTAGCCTATGTCGAGGCTGAGAGCAATTAAAATCCCCACATCTTTTTCACGAGAGCTTATACATCTTTTGGTCATGTAACAGTAAGTGCTGATAGTACTGATAGGAAAGTTGTTCATCAGAAAGTCCTATAATCTCTATTTAAAAATATTCTTCTTTCGTTCATCTCTATGATGAAAATCTACTCATCCTTCAAGGCTTATATCAAAAGCTATTTTTTTCCCATGGGATATTTTCCTGATTCTCCAATCAAACACAATTGCCCTATCATTTGACTTCTTTCTTACTTGTTGTGTTGCAATTGTTTTCATTGTCTTATGCCCTTTAGCAATCTGTGTAATCCTTATAGTCAGGAAGAAAGTTCACAAATAGAAGATGCTCAGTAAACATTTGTTGAATTCAATTAAAATTAATTAGTTTAAAAGCACTTCAATTACAATAGATGCTCTTTTATCCAGTTACTGTTACAGTATTTTTTGATTAATCAAAAATGTTATGTTAACATGGACAATCATTTTACAAAAAATAAAAATAAAAAAGCCCTGTATATACCATAAACCCATTTAACTTAAAACCTACATTAATTTGTCAGATTTTTGAATGCAGAGTCAAGGATCCTCTTTGAATTTGCATTCATTGACTCAGGTTCCTGGTTTCCTTTCTTGTTTCAGTCATATCCACAGTGAATAATTTGACATTTCCAATTTGAGTTTCTTTATTGTGGAAAGACAGCTTACAGACACTTGCAATGCAATCTGAGTATTGTAACTATTAAAAAGTTCTATCAGGTTAGGCAACATAGGAAAACACTGTATCTACAAAAAAAAGTATTAGTTGGGTATGGTGTCATTCACCTGTGGTTCCAGCTACTCAGGAGGCTAAGGTGGGAGGATCCCTTTAGCCTAGGAGGTTGAGGCTGCAGTGAGCCATGATTGTTCCATTGCTTTCCAGCCTCGGGGATAGAAAGAGACCTTGTCTCAAAAAAAAAAAAAAAAAAAAAAAAAGATTCCCCCAGTTCATAATAGTTGTCTCTATTAACTAAATGGCAGTTCTATAGAGTTGCTCTGTCCAATATAGTAGACATGTGCCACATGCGTTTACTGTGCATTTGAAATGGAGCTAGTCAAAAGCAAGGGATGGCAGAAATGTAAAACACCCACTGGATTTCCAAGATTTAGTACAGAAAAAGAACATAAAATATCTCAATTTATATGATTATATGTTGAAATAATGGTTTGAATATGCTGAGTAAAATACAATAGATTATTAAAATTAATTTTATCTGGTCCTTCGTACTTTTTTTTGAGATAGGGTCTTGCTCTGTTGCCCAGGCTGGAGTGCAGTGGCACAATCATAGCTTACTGTAACCTTGAATTCCTGAGCTCAAGTGATCCTCCCACCTCAGCCTCCTGAGTAGCTGGGACTACAGACACATGTCACATGTCTGTCTCCTCTTTTTACTTTCTAAATGTGACTACTAGAGAATGTAAATTTACATAAGTGGTTTGGATTTCATTTCTCTTGGATAGCACTGCTTTAGAGAGTTATGGTTATTGATTCTTCACAAAACACCCATTGTCACTTTCACAGAGATGACTACTCCTTCCTTTTGATACTAAAATTTCTTTTTTTTTTTTTTTTTTTTTTTTTTTTTTAAGACGGAGTCTCTCTCTGTCGCCCAGGCTGGAGGGCAATGGCGCAATCTCAGCTCACTGCAAGCTCCGCCTCCCGGGTTCACACCATTCTCCTGCCTCAGCCTCCCGAGTAGCTGGGAATACAGGCGCCCACCACCACGCTCGGCTAATTTTTTTTTTTTTTGTATTTTTAGTAGAGACGGGGTTTCACTGTGTTAGATGGTCTCGATCTCCTGACCTCGTGATCCGCCCACCTTGGCCTCCCAAAGTGCTGGGATTACAGGCATGAGCCACCATGCCTGGCCCTAAAATTTCTTAATTATATTTAATATTACATTAAATTACATAATGATAGTAAGAAGAACAACTATTATAATCAGGTTTGGAAGCAAGTGCAACTGAATTTTGGCATGCTTACTTTTCAACTTATGGGAGCAGAAGTCCATGGGAATTCAGAGAGTCACATGTTGTGCCTTTAGGTGCTTCCACCTCAGTTAGTGTGATGTTGAACAGAGCAGAAGGGGAGTGTAGTTTATTTACCGAAGCCATTAAGTGGAAATTGGTTAAGAGAGCTTCTTCTGGACTCCGTCATCCTAATATATAAAAGAGCAGCAGCTTGGAGATGTTCCCTTTTTGTTATGCTGTTTTAGAATGACAATATCACAGCTCACTTCCCTGACATGCTCAGAATTGTAGATGTGAGAAATGAATTTCAGGACTAGCCTGACTAAATTGAACACAGATTAATTCTATTATGGGAAATCAAGCAAATAATGGTTGTCTTAATGACGACATATAGCTGATATATTGAGGGTAAGAAGTTGTCCATATCCCACTAGCAAGTTAGTCCTTAAGAGGCTGTTGGGGTTTGGGTTTGCTTTCAAGCTGCAAGGATAAGGAAAGAGGCATGAGGGCGCTCAGAGAGGAATTTGCTTTTGGTCAGGATCTGGCCTGCAGCATAAAGTCACCCCTCATCCCTCTGACTCCATCGTGGTCTGCTGGAGTCATGAGGAAGCACTGACTTTCATATAAGAAGACAGCTCTCTTCACCCACATCCTCTTCTGACTAGAAGGGGTGACTAGGACAAGCCATGTAAGTGTCTTTACTGTACTGGCGATGTGCATGAATTGGGTGGAAGATGGAGAGCAGGGAGGTGCGTATGCACTGATCCATCCGTACCTTACTTCTCTGTGTCTGGCAGCCTTTCACTGTGGTTGAGGGCCTATCCGTGAAGCATCGCAGTTCTACTGTCTCCGCAGGCTAGCATGTTAAATCTGAGTTCACCAGCAATAATGGCAAAGAAAAGACAATGGTTATTTCCTCAGCAACTCTCTTACTTTCTCCCCGAGTATCCAGTTCTATGGGAATGAATGTTTTAAAACTAGATGAGGTGGGTGTCATGCAAATCTAAACTTGATCTAAGCAAATGTCAGGCCCAAACTACTGGACTCATTCAGGCCACTAAATTGAACAGTTTTAGCAGCATGTACCCAAAACTGATTTCAGGGAAAGAACATTTGTTAGAACATGCTTTTTGTTGAGCACTGTTGGTTTGCTTGCAAATGACAACAAAGAAAATGATAACCAGAGGAGAAAAGAGTATAAATGCAGTTCTCTCTGTCCTACTCTGTTTTGTAATAAATAAATGAACCAAGCATATTGAATCTCTCGGTACTGTTTATTTTACAGTTGTTCCACTCCATAAGTTCCCTCCTGGAGGATGTGTGAGACACCAGGCTGCATGTTAGAAACGGCTGTGCTCCGGAAGGCTACCAGGGTCATCGTGAGGGCCTTGCAGATTTCAGAAATGAAGTGACCTGCCTTGAGTCTTCCCTCAGCCTCCTCACTCCACTGTAGTCTCAGGAGAGTGAGGACAACAAAACTCTCTTCTCCCCACATTACCACTTCAGCGCTGACCTGTGGCTTGAGAATCTAATCTGTGTGCACCGTGGCAAAGTCTTGGTTTTACAGGTCTCACCTGACAGCTAGTCCTGATTTTTCCATGATGTGTGGGTAAAAAGTGGGTTCTTGAAGGGAAACCTCAATGTAGCTTAGCTCTTGAGAAAACAGTATGTGCATATGCTTCTTGGATAGAAAAAGAAAAAGGAATGAGAGAGGAAAACGAAGTCTTATAGAAAAACCTGGCCGGATGCGGTGGCTCACACCTGTAATCCCAACACTTTGGGAGGCCAAGGTGGGCAGATCATGAGGTCAAGAGATCGAGACCATCCTGGCCAACATGGTGAAACCCCGTCTCTACTAAAAATACAAAAAGTAGCTGGGTGTGGTGGTGTGCACCTGTAGTCCCAGCTACTTGGGAGGCTGAGGCAGGAGAATCACTTAAACCTGGGGGCGGAGGTTGCAGTGAGCCGAGATCACGCCACTCCACTCCAGCCTGGCGACAGAGCGAGGCTCCATCTCAAAAAAAAAAAAAAGAAAAAAGAAAAAAGAAAAACCTGCAAAACATTAAGAAGGAAGTGATCATTAATACTGAGACAAACTGCTTTCTTCTATATTAAGTATATGAGAATAATTTTGTGATTTGTGATTTGTTTCTCCATTCCAAACCTGAGAAAGGGGAGGCAAATTATTTTTATGTTGCTATTCATATATAGGCTGTTACCTGTATAAAGTTTAAATATATAATTCTGATACTGTGGTTAAATGAGATTCTAAGACCAGTGAGTAGGGGCAGGTGTTAGGAATGGTCAAATCAATAATGTAGACATTGAAATGTTCACAAATGATAGACTGTGATATTTACTCTTATACTCATGATTTTTTAGTGGCTGTGGAATTTGGGGCAGTGTTTCCAGTCCCATTCTGTCCATTTTATTTGTTAAGGTAATCATCCAAGACCATACCTGATGGGGGAAAGTGTATATGGAGGGATGTAACTTTCTAAGAGGTTGTCTTAAAAGGAGGACTGATGACATTCCTTCTCCTTAATTTATATACTGTGTGTTTACTGTTCTCAACTTAGAGCTCAGGTTACTCCAGTCAAGACCACAGCAAATTTGGGAAGAGAAGACCTCTAAGAAATTGCCTAGCATGATTGTTAATCAAAGTACTGCTAGTAATTCTATTATTATTACAGACATTTCTTATGTTCCAGGACTGGCTAAACACTTTATATACAAAATTTTATCTCATTTAATCCTTACAACAGTCCAGAAAAAGGCATTGTAATCCTTGTTATACAGATGAGGAGATTAAGGTTTAGAGAGGTAAGGTCATTTGCCCAAGGTCACTGAGCTTGGAAATAATGAGACTAGGATTTTAATCCAAATACTTGTGTTCTTAAGAATTACACTGCTTTTACATTAAAGCTGCTAGAAACATTTTTTTTAAACCTATATTTCAAACAAGAGTCAAAACAAAACCAGAAAAGTCCAAAGCCAATTTACAGCCTGATTTCTTCTTGGCCTTGTAATGCTGAGTGAAAATTGCTGAGCCTTTGGTTTGGGAGAAGCATTTGAAATGCAATACAGGAGAAAATCTTGATGCCAGGAGTTGCCTCATGTTTGCCTTTAAACCATAATGGCCCCGAGCTCCAGTACTAGAGTCAGATTTATTAATCACCCATTATGTGCCAGGTCCTGCAGTTCCTTTGGGTGATGGAAAGTGTCGGCTTTACAGTTGACAGAGCACACTTGCCGACATAAATCCCCACACCGCGCCCTGGAGCCAATTCAGTGTACACGCCAAAGCAGGAAACTGAGGCTTGGAAAAAATAAGGTCCAGGCTTAGAAAGTGTGAAAGAAAGGACTCAAATGAGGTCATTTGCTCCCTGTCCGAGGGCTAACTGTACTGCTTCAGGCTCCATTATGAAAAACGCACACAGAGTTCACCCATACCTCATGCCCTGTCCCTCCCATTTTCAACCTGTCATCCGTGACAAACCTGCTTTTTCTTCTGTTGCTTTCTGAAACTTCTTTTGAATTTGC
Source organism: Homo sapiens (assembly GCF_000001405.40). Lineage (NCBI taxonomy): Eukaryota > Metazoa > Chordata > Mammalia > Primates > Hominidae > Homo > Homo sapiens. The sequence goes on along the minus strand of NC_000001.11, from coordinate 222,087,307 downwards.
TTTCTCAGCATCAGTAGGGTCAATGTGAACTGACTTACTTTGTAAGTTGTGAATAAATGTTCATTTTTTTTCTAAAAAATACAGTGCAATGAGAATGATGGACTGTGCTTTTCTATTTCTTTTTGATTCTTGCTGTAGAATCTAACAGAGCTTAAAACTGTTTAATTGCCTCCCGGAATATAATCTTTATCCAATTTTCCTTCTCTTTTAGACACAGTGTCTAAGAGACCAAGAAATCAGTTAGCATCCCAAGGAGCCCTGAGTTGTGTGCGTGGCTTTCTGTGTGATGCCTGTGCTTGTGTCTCTTCTCTTCCTGCTTCTTTGAAAATGTGCATCTCCCTCAATTGATGTAGCCCTCTGCCTTTTAACCTCTTTAAATATCTGTTCAGTTAGATATCTCCTTTTTATTTTTTATCATAGAAAAATTTGAACATATACAGAAATAGAGAAACTAGTATAATGAAGCCAGTGTACCTGACTTCAACAATGATCATTATTACATGGATAATATTCCATTATCTGTATTCCCACCCATCCCCAGCACCTGCATTATTTTGAAGTAAATCCAAAATGTCATCTCATTTCTTCTATAAATATTTCATATGCATCTCTAGAAAATGAGGACTATTTAAAAAAGCATAACCACAATATTGTCACACCTAAGTTAATAGTAATTCTTTAGTATAATTAAGTATCCACTCATTGCTCATATTTTACTGGCTTTTTAATTGTTTTAATTTACTTGAATTGGTATCCAACAAGGTCTCAACTGTGTCATTGGTTGATATGTATCTTTAAATGTCTTTTACTTTACAGATTTCCTCTCCATCTCATTTTTTTTTCTTATGGTTGATACAGAAGAAAATGGCTGCTTTTGCTGTAGAGTTTCCACAAGGGATTGGATTCTGCCGAAATCCCTTCTAGTTGACAACTGCCCACCATGCTTCTGCTTTCCAGTGGGTACCTGCGAATGGTTTTGAGTTCTGTTTCCAGGGCTGTCTAAAGCACAGTTGCCTTCCCCCCACTCCCTCTTGCACAAGTGCTGATACTATGAGGGTTTTGTACCTATCAATGGTTAATCTCCATGTTGACATAAATCCTTTTATTTCAGGATTCACCTAGTTTTGTTGTAGCAGTTTTCAAATGTATCTCTGATTTTTTTGAATCTATTCTAGTTGCTCTACTTTTTATATGTCAAATTGAACATTTTCAATAACGCATAACAATAAAACCCATTCAGGTTTAGGTGAAATGATGCCATGTCATTGAATGGAGTGATTCAAAGGTATAATATAAAGACCCTTTTGCTACTACTCAAAATGTTTGAAAAGTGCCTGCTAACATGCACTGGAACCAAACTGATCAGTACTATTCCTTTACTGTTTTATGGCATGTTTTCTGATAGACAACTTCCAGCTGTTAGGTCAACAGGCAACAGCTCAGATGTGAATGCACATATGCATGTGTGTGTTTGCATGTGTTTGTGTATTTAAGAAACTGGTGTTAATATTGGCTCTAGATTTTTCTGTGTTGTGCTCTAAGCTCATGGAACTGTTGGTTTCTGTGGCTTATGTACAGAAGATAGTAGACACTCATGCAGTTGCCCCCCTTAACCTATTTATGTGCTAGTCTCTGTGTAAAGAAATTGTAAACATAATCTAGAACTGAAATGTACATTCCATAGATATTTATTGTTATGGCATAGGTTCTTTGTGCAGGTCAAAATACGTATGTACAAACAGAGGCATTCTGGGAAGATGGAGGTGCCTGCAAAGTTGTTAAATGTCTTTGAATATCCTCTTTAACACAGTCAGAGAAAATAGATAGCAGAACACAAATCCCATGGATAACATTTACAATAAAACTAACAGGATAGACTCCTGAACCCCAAAATGCAACTGGGTAGAAAGAAATTGCCAAAAGCCCCAAGACTTACATGAGAGCATTGTATCAGTGTCTGTGTAGGAGGAAGCAGAAGAAAGCAATGGAGCATTTAGTGAATCAGAGAAGAGGAGAAAGCCAACAAGTATTCACTGGAAAGCAGAGGGGCCCAATTGGAGAACAAGAAATAAAACTTGGACAGGTTTTATCATTCCCAAATAGTGGACTCATCATGAGGTCTCCAGGGTGTGGAACAGATTAGGTCCTGTGACCTCTTAGAATTTACCAGCTGTTTCAGGACAGTGCCTTGTACGGAGGAGAAATTGTCAGAAGTGGAATTAAAATGAATCACCACCAGGGCAGTAGAAACAATAGGAAAAGAATTTACAGATAAAATTGTGGGAGGGAAATGGAGTGAGAAAGTCTCAAAAAGCAAGCTGTCACACTTTTTAACATTACCCCAAAACAACAGGAAGGAAAGCTTTCTTAAGTTAGAAAAGCTATTTGAACCATGCCTCTTTTTACACTTCAAGAACCTAATTTCACATAAAAGTGAGCGACAGTAATGAAACACGTTAAGAAACTGTCATGACAGAGCAACACAAATCAGAATTAGAGAATTCAGAAAGATGATGACAGATCTTGAAAAAGAATTTGAAATAGAAGAAAAATAATTTTTTTTCAGGGCCGGACGCGGTGGCTCACGCCTGTAATCCCAGCACTTTGGGAGGCTGAGGCAGGTGGATCACGAGGTCAGGAGATCGAGACCATCCTGGCTAACATGGTGAAACCCTGTCTCTACTAAAAATACAAAAAATTAGCTGGGTGTGATGGTGGGCACCTGTAGTCCCAGCTACTTCAGAGGCTTAGGCAGGAGAATGGCGTGAACCCAGGAGGCGGAGCTTGCAGTGAACCAAGATCACGCCACTGCACTGCAGCCTGGGTGACAGAGTGAGACTCCATCTCAAAAAATAATAATAATAATTTCAGAAAAAGAGGACTAAAAGGATAAACACAAGAGAAGAAACACAGCAGATTATACCTTAAGATAAATGGAACCTTAAAAAGAGAAAAATTTTAATAATTAAAAAGAAATGGCAACTGTAATATAAAGGATTTTATGAAAGTGAAAAATAATGAAGCTAGACAAAGAAGGTCCAACATTCAGAGCATCCAAAAAAAAAAAAAAAACATAAAGAAAACAGCAAATATTAAACCACCAGTGGAGAAAACATGCCTGAAATTAAGAAAAAATGTTTTGGACTACATGTTGAAAAAACATATTGCATACTTAAGGATATAATCTCAGAATGACAAACACCAACACATATTCTCCTAAAATTACTTGAGGTTAAAGTGAGACAAACTAAAAATTTTCTTTAGGCATCTTAACAAAAAAAGAAAGTGATTTATAGGAAAAAATAATAGATTCTTATCAGATTTTTTCAACATCACTTTGTGCTAGAAGAAAATGAAATAACATAGTTAATATAATCAAAAAAGAAAATGTGAGTCCAACGCTTTGTATCTATCCAAACTTATTTTCGAGTATAAAGGGCATAGAAAAAATGTTATCAACATGAAAAAATTCAGGGAGTATTGTTCTTGTCTGGCATTCTTGGAGTACCTGCTAGAGAGCAGATTTCAGACAATCAAAATGTCTAGAAAAACATTAGCATAATTAATGGTGGTGAGCATTAAATATATATTTACTTATAGAATTTAGACTTAAGAAGGACTGAAAAGGGAGAGAGTATAATATGTAATGACTATATGCTCCTATAATGTAGAGATAGTAAAATATAAAAAATCAGGAGAAGATTGGAAGATGGTAATGCAGAAGATGTTTTGATTGTTTTAGTATTAGACTTGTTTTATTGGGACTTGTGAGTATTTAAAATGGGATGAAGCACATGAGTAACTATAGGCTAAGTTTATCATTCCATGTATTTATGAAAACCAGGAATCTTGATCTGGAAGAAAGGAGACACAGATGTTTTATCACAGAAGGAGTTAAAACAAAAGCCTACAGATATGTGTTTGTATATAGATAAATATATACACACATATGTATATATCTGTATATATTTATTAGTATATAAATATAAATATGAAATATCAGTATGGGTTCGTGAAGCACTTTATTTCTAAAAATGTAAGTATAAATGTAAACTTTCTAGCTTTGTCTACTGCAAAGGTCTAGAAACAATGACTAACCAAATAACACTGATCTCCCTTTGTGAAAGACTATAATCTTGATAGAAATCAGCGATTCTTGGAGATTCCATTTCTGGTGCAAGAAATGTACCAGATGAGCTCAAAACATCTTGTCATGCCAGATCACAGAGAAACTATTAAAGACTAATGGAGTTTGTGTTAAAAACACATAGGAGATAATTTTATGAAGCTTCCATTAGCCAAAATGAGAAAACTTGAATGACAGTAAGAATGATAACGTCAATTGATTAAGACTCAACAGTTATGTTTGAGTTCATGAATTCATAATAAAAATTTAACTCGTCATTTTTGAAGGATGATATAGGACAAATTTATCATCTTGAAAACTGCAGAGAAAAGGATGAAGCATTTTTCATGCTTTCCCTGCATGAAATATAACCTACTGGGAAATCAAAGAGTAGATGACAGGAAGGGTTTTATTATTATTAGAGTATTACAGCTAATAAATGGAAAAATTAATGATAGAATTAGGATATCACAATTTATGGATGTAGTCATGAACATCAAAGGCTTCTAACATCAGAAAAAAAAAACAACCAGAGAAAATGGGGCTTCCTGTTAAAAAACATACCACCACCACCTACATATTTGCCCAGAGAATTGAACATGAGTCTGACCCATTTTCCAGATCCAGCTGCCCATTTATATAAAATACTGAGGACAAAGGAACATATTGAACTGCACCATGGGTTATCAAAGAAAACAAGAGCTAGTCACTAGTTAAAGCAGTAAAATCGATTTATTCAGAAACTACTACAATCGAAAAACAAGACTGGTGTTGAGCTGAACTCAATTCTGAATACCAGAAGGAAAAGTGAGAATTTAAGCTCAAAGAGCAGGGTGAGGGGGCCAGTGGACGAAAAATAACTAAGAGGAGTTCTCCAGAGTAGGAGGATTCTAATGACTTCACAAGATTCTTGCCAAAGATAGGCAAGAGTGATTAGGTATTGTTACGGATTGAGTGTGTCCCCTTCAAAACTCATGATGAAATTGGATTCCCAATATGGTAGTGTTGGGAGTTGGGGCCTCGTGGAAGGTGTTTAGATGATGGAGGCATTGCTCTTATGAGTCACAGAAGTGAGTAGTTCTCACTCTCACAGGAATGGATTAGTTCCCCACGAAAGCAGGCTCTTATTAGCAAGCCCAGCCTCTCATGCATGTCTCTTTGCACACACCCATTTGTCTTTCTGCTTCTGTGCCATATTGACACAGCATGAGGCCCTCATCAGAAGTAGAGCATATGTTGGTGTCATGCTTTTGGACTTTTCAGCCACAAGAACCAAGAGATAAAGACATGTCTTTTCTTTATAAATTATCCAGTCTCAGGTATTCTGTTATAGCAACACAAAACAGGCTTAAACAGATATCAAGGATGGGGGATATGGAATTTAATCAGATATCAAGAGTGATCAAATATCAAGGATGGGGGAATTTTTGCTAAACTGATTCATCAGGACTCTTGCTGCAATTTGGACTGGCCAGGCCAAAGACAGGCCCAAGAACAAGGCCTAGTCAAAACGAGGGCTCAGAGGCGCCTATCTAAAGTTTGGTCAAGGAAGGAGTCTTAGCATATGCAAGCAGCTGTATCAAGGTGGTGGGAAACAGGTTAAAGGGCTTAGCCCTTTTAATAAGCTGTTACAAAGCACTAATTTGTAACATGAGAGTCTTAGAACAGCTTGTTTCCTTTTCTGAATGTAATTGCTCATCTCACCTCTAGTTTTATTATTCTCTCTAGACTACCAATGTATTGCAATGAAAGTGGTTTGTAGAGACCCTTAATAAATCAATACCAACAGATTTTCTTTACTGAAGAAAAGAAAGGGATGGAGGGAGACCTGTAGATTAAGAGAGTTAAATCATATAACACATTAAAAATAATAAATAGGCACTATTGAACTATTGAGACAAAGGATATACACATGGTCTAATGGTTGGGTAATATTTCCTAAAAAATATATCCAAGTCCTCACCACCTAGTACCTGCAGATGTGAAATTATGTAAAAATAGGGTCTTTGCAGATGTAATTAAGTTAAAGATCTTAGGATGGTATCATCCTGGATTTAGGCTGAGCCTTTAATCCAATTATAAGAGAAAGGAGAGTGAGATTTTAGACACATAAACACATAGGAAAAGACTATGTGAAGTCAGAGACAGAGATTGGAGGTAGAGACAGCTACACATCAAGAAATGCCAAAGATTGCCAGCACTCACCAGAGGCTGGGAAGTAGGCATGAAATGAATCTTCTCTTAGAGCCCCCAGAGGAACCAACTCTGCCAATGCCTTCATTTTGAATTTCTGGCCTCTAAAACTGAGAGGGAAAAAATTTCTGTAGTTTTAAGCCACCTACTTTATGATAAATTTGTTATTATAGCCCTAGAAAACCAACAGACATGGATATATCAAAAAATACGAGGAAGTGATTACCATGCAAATAATAATTATTCCCTGTCCAAAGAGGAGGCTGAGATTAGAATGAGGTACCTGAAGGTCTTCTGCGGAGGCTGAAAATTTCTGTTCTTGACCTGGATGGTGAAGGCAATGGTGTTCACTGTATAATTCTTGAGTTCCACAATTGTTTTATGTGATTTGCTGTTTCTGGGTCTTATCTTCCATACAAATGTTTTTAAAGTCCACATATAATCCTATGGCTCCACCCCATACAAAATTCCCAACATTTTTTTCTAGAAGAAAATTACATTTGTCTGATAATTTGTTCTTGACAAATCCATGTTAATTGCATCTTCTACCCTTTCTTTCCATTTTTGCCAATCAATATTTTGTCTTTTTAAAAATCCTCCCATTATCAAAAGCATCGTTACTGATTTTGTTTACCAGTTGTATATCCTCATCTACCTTCTTTAAAGAAGTGCCTTTTTACTGCTGGGTTTGATTGAAGCAATCAGCCTAGCAATGGGTATCATTGCTCTTTACTGATTTGAATACACTACTTTAAAAAGCAATCTTGAACCACTTCCCTCCCAAGTCCAATTTAGTTTTTTACCTTCCATCATAAATGATGCATACTCTATATCACAATTGACCTTTTAAAATACGCTATGAAAAGAGAGCCTAAAAATAGCATTAAGCATTTCCCCTTGGGTTTTTAATATTTTCTATTATTTGTTTTTCATTTTTCTACCTGTTGAGTATGGAAAATCCCTTTTGGTCCCCCCAGTCTCTTCTTTTGGGTGAAGAAGAAAGCAAAGGTTTCTCCATTGTCTTTGTGTATCTGATTAGATATACTGCTTATTGTTTGTCTATACCATAGCACTGAATCACAGTAAAAATCATATTCCATTTCCCAGGAACCCTACTGAACCTTAACAAGTAATTTTCCAGCTTATGACTTATTTGTTGGGCTTCTGAAATAAAAAATCTCTATGTATCATGGAGCTTCCTGTGCTTACTTACTAATATGCTGTACTTTTTTTCCCTTGGGAGGACTTTTGAGGATTGACTTAAATTGAAATGGAAAAGAGTAAGTAAAAACACAAATAATTCCAGGGCTAGATATATTACACAGGCTTGCAAACTGGCTTACCTTTGATTCCTGAAGCACCTTTCCTTGCCCACTTTCTATCCTCCTGCCCCTATCTCCTATCGCCATCAGTATTGGAGAGACACCAGATTGGGTTTGTTCTAAATTCTTGCTCTGAATTTCCTTTACTTGGCTGTGTAAAACTGAACAATTTGCTTCAACAATCTTGATCTCTGCTTTCTTGAATAAGTTTTTGTCAAAAAACTTTTTGTTCAAATTAACCTTCTTCAGAAAAGTCCTACAACTAAAATAGGTAAAAGCAGAAATATTCTCTCTCTCTCCCTCTCTCTCTCTCTCTCTCTCTGTGTGTGTGTGTGTGTGTGTGTGTGTGTGTGTGTGTGTGTGTGTGTGTGTGTTTATCATTTGAAAGTGGTGGGGAAAAGAGGCAAGGCCTGGCCAATAGCTTTTTTGGCCCATGGCCCTGGCACAGTATAGAGCCATTGCTTGGGCTGACTAATTTCTTGAGTTCCTGCTATTTGAGGACATCCATTTGTAAATTAGTTTTCAGGCTTAGTCATGGATATGAGTAGTGAAATACTAACTTAGAAAAATACTAGTGTGTTTTGGTTTTAAATATATTATTTTAGTATCTTAGAGTAATGTGTCATAAATACAGGAGCTAGGTTTATAGATAAGATGAAAGATCTTAATGTATTAAAAATATGTATCTATATATGTTCCATATAATGCCAATTTACAGACAACTTTTCAGAATGTGATGGTACAATTATGTGGTCCAAACTTCACCAGGAGGATCTCTTTGGCAGGGACACCATGCTTCATTGGCCAATCCCCAGCATTCCAGGATCAAAACTTGATTCTATCTTTGTACCCAGAATTAGGCTGAGGATTGTGAAGCCACCCTTTTAAGGGAGCACTGTAGAGCAAGAATGCAGATTTACTGATTTACAATGAGAAATATAACTTCCAGTCTAATTAGGCAGTCAAGCCAACTGGTCAACATATTCTCTTCTCTTTTGGAAAGTAATTTTTGATGAAGCCAAATTACCTTCACAAGATTGATTATCAAGCAGAGAATCTGAGTTGGATTTCTTTAAGAACTGGTGACATCAATTTATGATTGCTTGGCAAGCCCATCTCTCTATAAATGTATGTCTATAAGAGAACTGGTTCCAAACACTTTTAGTTATTAGACAAGATAGGACTGCCCATTATATAAGCAGGTAAAGACAGAGCTACTCTTGATTGAGGTTGGGGACCTGGAGTTCTGCCTGTTGGGCCCCTATCACATCAAGCATCCCCTGAGGCACCCCCAAAGAATTGCCTGAAATCTGAAGAGCCTTAGTTTGCCTTTGTTCCCTATTCAGGGCTCTTGGGCTTTCATTTCTCACACTACATGGAGATAATCTCTTAGTTAATGCATTTTTCTTCAGATTCATTAGGTTAGTTATAAGTTGTTTAAATGTTAATAGTGCTAGACTTTTCTGATCCTTTGGATTTGGGTATTATTATACAGCCTCTGTCTCATATTCACTATTTTTTTAGGATTAGATTCTGCTTTTTAAGGAAAGTTTCAGGTACCTAATATTATCCATTGCCTAGATATTCCTCCTCCTTACTTTGCTTTCAAAATATCATTTTGTACTCATAAGGGTGGTACCATATTCCATCCTTATGTAATGAAATACAAGGTAGACCATACCATCTGATTTCACAAATTCTTTTTCCTGGGACCTGATATTTACAGATACCATTTGCCAATTTTTCTATTTAGTTACTGGTACCTTCCCACCCTGTTATATAAAAGATCTGAATGATATCCCATGTGAGGGATATTAAAATTTTTTTGATATGTGGGATTACGGAAATAATTGACAAAACAAAAACAGAATATAACAAAACAGTGGAATAGAAGTCAAGAAACAAAATGTTAATCCTAAGTTTGCCACTAATTTTGCTTTGTATCATGAGAGTCTTAGAACTGCTTGTTTCCTTTTCTGAATGTAATTGCTCATCTCACCTCCAGTTTTATTATTCTCTCTAGACTACCAATGTATTGCAATGAAAGTGGTTTGTAGAGACCCTTAATAAATCAATACCAACAGATTATAATTTTTTTGTTAAACAAGTACTTCTTGAATTTCTTTCTTATGCCAGGCTCTAGGCTAGGTGCTATGTTGGTACTTAATTAGTCAGCTTAATTATAATAACAACCCCCAAATCTCAGTGGCTTCCAACAACAAGCATTTATTTTTCATTCATGTTATGTGGCAGCAGCAGGAGGTTGGCTGCTGTATCTGTGCTCCATATGCGTCCTCATTCCAGGACTCAGGTTAAAGGAGCTGGCCTTATTTGCCATACTTTTGGCAGAAAAAATGAGCAAGAGAGACAGAAAAAAAAATCCAGTGCTGGTTCAGTGATGGTTAATATGAGATAAATTGAACGTCCTTGATCCAAACTATTAACCACACAATGGATGGGTTTGATCACTTGGCAGGTGACAGTCCAATGACCACAACCAAGCGGATTTAACCAGGGGATTTTGTTACTTGCAACAATTAATAAGAGTAAAGAGGACTTAAATATTGAAAATATCTTTTAAAGCTTCGGCTTGGATGTGATATATATCATGTTAGCTTATAGTCCATTGGCTAAAACTTATCACTTAGCCCACCCACCATCACTGGAATGGAAAAATATGTCTCCTCCTTGTGGGAAGCATTGCGAATTCTATGGCAATGGCCGGGATATAAATTCCTCTTATAATGAAGGGATATAAATTCCTCTTATAATGAAGGGTAAAGGTGAATAATTGGGAAAAATAATATCATCTTTCCCAACTGCAAAATTATTCAGACAGCAATCCTGTCTGCTAGGTGCTTCTAGTCTAGTAGGGGGACTATGTAGGTCATATGGGATCTCTCTCTCTCTAGGCAATTCAATGGTAACCTACTTCTATCCAGAATCTAGTGGCTGTTTTGAAAACAATTGTTTCTATGCATTTATATAACCCATTCCTTTTCCAGATGTCTTCATGCTTTTCCGATAATTTAAAAAAAAATTTAGTGCTGCTGGGCAGAGAAATAATAATTGTGACCCAATGTTGTCAGTGAGAAACAAGGTAGAGGGGATTTTGAAGTTGCTCAAAATTGCTTGAGACTGATGCTGATATGAGAAGCTTCTTCTCTAGAGGTTTGCTGCTTGATCAGATATAATCCAAGGGGATTTAAGCATTGCTACATCTCAGAAAGAATAATGATTTTGGTGTTGAGTATATTTGGGTTGAAATTCCAACTATGCTACTTAATAGCTATGTGACCTTGAGCAAATTATTTAACCTTGTTGTGCATCAGTTTGCTTATGTATAGAATAAGAATAAGATGGCTGGGTGCGGTGGCTCACGCCTGTAATCCTAGCACTTTGGGAGGCCGAGGCGGGCAGATCACAAGGTCAGGAGATCGAGACCATCCTGGCCAACATAGTGAAACCCCATCTCTACTAAAAATACAAAAATTAGCCAGGCATGGTGGTGCATGGCTATAATCGCAGCTACTCGAGAGGCCGAGGCAGGAGAATCCCTTGAACCTGGGAGGCGGAGGTTGCAGTGAGCCGAGATCACGCCACAGCACTCTAGCCTGGCGACAGAGCAAGACTCCGTCTCAAAAAAAAAAAAAAAAAAAAAGAATAAGAATAAGAAATACTTCGCTATAAGATTATTGTGATGAACAGAGGAAATGATGGGAAATGATGTATATACAGTGTCTAGTTTAGAGCTTTGCTGTGGTGGACACATTTCATAATACTAATTACCTTTTCTTTTAGCAAAGACCTGCTATATGTAAGCAACTGGTTCTATGAGAGTTTCCTTCCCAGGATACAAAAAAAGGTGTTTTTCTTTCTGACTACACATTGTTTTTATGTCAGTGGAATTATTTGCTTTATAGAAACTGTGATTGATTATTCATTCCTTAAGGGCAGAGACCAATTCTGTTTTATGACACAGTTTTTAAATGCCTGTAAGTATAATCAGTTTAGTGGATCTGGGAGTAAAGATCACAAATAACTGGTTGAATGTTTTCAATATATGGAGGCTCTCCAGTTTACAGAAGTCATATTGAGAAATAAATAGTCAATGTGGTTTCAGATCCAGGGCTGCTGCACCAAGTCTAGGGGTACCTTCATGTACACTAGGATGAGAGAGCTGCCTTCAGGAGTATGCAGCACAGGAGATCCATCCAGACCTAGCTCACTCTATACCCTAATACCTTACTGGGTCTGTTTCTTACCTGCAAACTGGCAGTAGTAATAACTCTTTTGCCTACTTCCTTGGGTGATTAATCATGATAATACAGTCCATCCTCATTGTTTGTGGATTCTGTATTTGCAAATTTGCCTACTCACTAAAATGTGTTTGTAGCCCCAAATCAAGACTCACTGTGCTTTCTTGGTTATTCGCAGATATGTGCAGAGCTCTGAAAAATTGGAATTCCTGATGTGCACATTTCAGCTGAGGTCCCAACAAGGAGACCGTGTTTTCTTGTTTCAGCTCTCACACTATAAGCAAGTATCCTTTCCAGGGTCTATTTAGTGCCACGATTTTCATATTTTGGTGCTTTTTTATTGGTGATTTCACTGTTAAAATAGCCTCCAAGTGTACCGCTGAAGTGTAGTCTAGCATTCCTGAGCAATAGAAGTCTGTGATGTGCCTTATGGGAAAAATATCTGTGTCAGATAAGCTACTTTTGTAGCACTCTTGGGCTGTGAGTTCAGTGTTAGCGAACGAGCAATGTTTGTAAGTGGAAAAACACATAAGATAAGGTTATGTATTGACCAATTGATGAAAATATTGTTAACAGAGGCTCACAGGAACCTACCCTGTATTTCCCGTAGGAGTGATGGTTCAGTATTCACTAATTCAGTTTTTGTGGCAACTTTCTAGAACATAAACACCTACTGTGAATAACAAGAATCAACTGTATATATACCATCTTTATTGAGCAGTGTGTTTAAGAACTTTACATACCTTTTTCTCTTTTAACTATGAAAACAACCCAATGAGGTAGGTACAATAATTATTTCCATTTTACAGGTGAGAAAACTAGTTCAAAGAGGTTAAAAATCCTGACCTAATGTTATTCAGCAGACCAGGGAGCTAGGGCAAGGACACAGGTCATTTTGTAACCCAGGGTCGCTGGGTTTTTTTAATATTTACCCTGTGAAAAATTACCCACTTGTAACTTTTGCACCTTCAGTTGTTGTTTCAAAAAGTTCCAGGAAGAAGAGATGCCAGAGCTAGAGATAAACTTTGGCAAACTCTCCTCATTACCATTGCTAAAAACCTCCTCTGGGGGAAGCTTATTCACCATTTTTTATACCTACAACATATAGAGAAGCACGATCAGAGATTGCCCGTTCTGCCCTCACCCCACGTCTGCATATAGAAGCCTCGTGTTCACCGGTGTTCAGAGAGGCAGCACTCTGGAGAACTATCCCCAGTGTCTTCCTTACTTCTTATTAATTGTTGCAAGTAATAAAATCCCCTGGTTAAATCCTCCTTGGTTGTGGTCATTGGACTGTCACCTCCTAAGCAATCGAACCCATCCATGGTGTGGGTAACAGTTTTGCTCAAGGATGTTTAAGATATTTCATATTAACTGGCATTGAAAAAATCCCCAAACAATGCATAGTGGCTGTGAAGGTCCACCCAGCTTGGCCATCAGGATGATGGTGTTGCGATTCTATGACTAGAGTCATCTAGACCAGACAGACACTCGGGACTCAAATCATCTCTTAGTCCTTGAGTTGGAGAAGTTGAAATGCCAATGGCATGAGAGTCAGTCTGAGATCCAGTTGTAAAATGGCTGCCTTGTGAGGAAAAGGAATAAAGATAGGAAAGCACTCCTAATCCTGGCTTCAAGGGTTACTCATTTCCAGAGAATGTCCCTCCCTCCCACTTCCACCAGAGGCCTACCCATCCCAAGCTTTTCAAAAGCCACATGTTGTCAGCAATTTATAAATGTGAATAATGTGATTTATACTCCTTTGATTTAATATAATGATTAAGCTTCTTTGTACTCTGTTCCAATTCACTGAGAATGAAACAATACATTTTCTTTAAAATCCTTTGCCCTTTATTAGTAATTTTCTCCTTCCAAATTTGCTCAACTTTGGCAAATGAAAGAAAGATAAATTTTGCTTTGATTTGGTAGCACAGAGTGCAAAGGGGAATTAAAACATTACTTTAAAACTCAAGGGAATTGAACAGGGAACAGAAATTAAGTTAGTTGAAGCAAATTACCTTATGGTTGTAAATCAACAGAGGTTCAAATAGATGCAAGGAATTTATTACTGCTTCCAAATAATTATTTTTTTTTTCAATAACAGTGCTCAGCTGTATTCCTATGGGCATTTAGGCACTCCATAGACAACCTTTAATTAAATGGAGGGGGCTCCTCTGACTCTAAGTATAACTTGATCAGTTTATGATGGGCTGGGATTTGGGGATAATCACAACCTTTTCCTCTTCCTCCTAACCTGTGAGTGACCCAGGATTCACCCCCTAGTGAACATCTTGTTTAAGAAAATATTAAAGCAAAATGATGTAAAGAGAGGCTTTAGAAAAGCCCAATAAAAAGACTCAAAAAGTTTTATTACAAGGGATGCTTTGAAATGGAGACTGGGAGGATTTAATTGGTACCTGGAAAAGAAGAAATTGGAATAGTCCTCCAGAAGTAAGGCTTCCTGTACTGTAGCTTTTTGGCTCTAGGAGAAAGGGGAATGAAAGGATGGAAGGAGAGGGAGGGATTCTTCAGGGCTTGTATGCCTGTGCACAGTGAGGGTGCAGGACTGGATTTACCCAAAAAGGTGGAACACTTCTCCTTCTCTCTGTTCATTCCAGCCAGATATACCAGAGAGAAGCTGGACACAGCTACAGAAGATCTAGGTCTAGTCCCAGTTTTGTGAATCTGGGCAAAGCGTGTTAACTCTCTGACGTCCATTCCCTCGCCTGCAAGATGGGATTCGTGTTTTGTGCTTTGAATCTTTCAAAGGATTTTGGTGAGGATCAATTAAGACAACATGTGTAAAATACTTTGTGAAAATGTAAGATGTTTAAAAATGCAAGAATATCAAATATCCTAGGGAATTCCTGAACCTAGCTTTGTATCAGATTCATTCAGAATGAGCTTTAAATAAAAAATACATCTCATTTCACAGACTCCAGCCTCAAATCACAAGGGAGAGGGCCTGAAATCATAAAACAAAAACAAAACCAGAGCTATAGAAATAAAAGAATAAGAACATAGATGCGTGGCATGATGATGAAGATGATAAATTTAACCACTAAGATGCACTTTGAGTGAGAAATAGGCAAGGCCTCATTTTTGCTAATCCAGTGGAGTATGAATGGAACCTTGTCTATCTCGGGTTCTGAGTGGCAAGAAACCGTAGGTGATGCACTTTTTTTGGGGGGTCTGGGGGGACAGATCCTGGATATTGATGCTAGTTCTTCTTTCATGAAAGGGCAAGACGAGAAAATAAATGTTTTTAAGGACCTTCTGTGTACCAGAAATGGTGCTGGGTAATTTTCAAGCATTGAAGAGGCCCCCATGGACTCCCAGGCCACTGAACTAATGCCTGGTTGATCCCAGAGGGTGAGAGAAGCCTGGCTGGAATAGGGAATCTTTCTTTTTGAGCAGAGCTGGAGGTTCTATTAGGCAACAGCAGCTTTTTTTTAGTCAGGCCCCCTTCCCACACCTCTGTATTGAGCTGGTGCATCTGCCATCTTGCAAGGGCAGCTTAAATACTCCTCCGTCAGGGGAGTAACATGGTGCTTAATCAACTAATTCTGTTAAGAACTTGGAAGAGGAGACGAGGTATTGTATAGAAGTTTCTACAATCCCGAGGAGAAAAGGAAACAGAAATGTGTGGCCTCTGCTTTAGTGTGCAGATCAATGCCGAATTAGCATGAGTGGCCTTGCCAAGCACACCATCACAGCATGCAGAGCTGTGCTTGCAAATCGGCTTCCACTTAAATCTAAAGATCACAGCAGCTTAGAAATTTTTGGTTTCTACTTCTGCTCACTTATTCCTTAAGGATCACAGCTGACTGTTTCAAAGCAGCCGCAAACAACTGCCTATTCATTTGCTTATTCGGTCTGTGATAAGCTCATATTAGGCATCTCTCCAAAACCACTTCTATTGGGATCACATGGGTCACAGCAGGACACTTCAAAACAGTTCTCCAAGAACATTTAGAAACAGGTTGCAAATGCACATCGATTATTTCCAGTTGCTTTAAAAAACCAATGGGATTTTACACTCATTACCTTTTTTTTTTCCTTTTAATAAAGTAACTGCTGGTTGAAAAACATCCCTTGGTTAAAAAAACAGACTCAAAGTAAATTGCATATCCTTTCTTCAAGTCACAGACACATAGGAAATGCACCAATTGTAATGGTCAAAGTTGAAAAGCTAGGAGCTCCCGTGAGGGTACGAAAATCAAGGAACTATTTTAATGCAAAAGACAGTGGTGGTATAATGAACTATTAGGTCTTGCTTTGTGTCTTTGTAATCTCCCTGAGTCTCTCATAATTACCAGTATTCAAATATATGTAAACCTTGATGATGTGTCCCTTTTTATAATCTATCATTAGGTTAACATAGTTAATGATATATGGATTATGCTATGTAGGCCAATATATTCATTTTGTGATATTCACTGTCCAATTCAATTTTCTCCATTCGCTGTTTTTTTCTAACTGCCAGATATCCTCTGAATTCATTCCTGTCCCTCCATTCCCACCAATGCCTTCAATTCTCATTTCTCACTTGGAGTGTGGTTGCAGCCTCATAACTACTTTCTCCTTGTCTATTTTGCCTTGCCTTGAATCACCTCTTCATTTCTTACTACTCTTCTGGGCCTCTCCCCGCTGCTTGTAAGACTCTGATATTTCAGCTGTGCAGACAAGGTGGTGCGTGAACAAATCACTATCTGCATCTTAATTTTCAACCCCCAATTCTCTCCTTAAACAATAAACTACTTATAATTCTTACGTTTTTCATCCCTGCATTAAAGCTCTTTTCCTAAATCATCCATTCTCTCATGTTTTCATCCAGTTTTATAGGAAGAGTTTTCAGACCTTCCCTTTAGGACAACCACTCCACCAGTGTCCTGTCCTTCCCTTAAACCTTGATAGGTTTTGCTCTTGCGCATATTTCCCTTCTCTCCAGTGGTTTGCTCTTTATGTTGACTTATTCTGTTGCCAAGTAGGCACACAGTATCCTTACTCTTGGAGGCAATGGGTATCACTTCATTTAGCTTGCTGGCCTCTCTAGCCATTGTCCTTTGGTCTTTCTTGCACAGCCATCATCTCAAATGAGCGGTGTGTAGTGGTGTAGAGCTCGCCACCTAGTGTGTCTTGGCACCCTGATGTCTTACCAGTCAAGGTTTCAGAAGTCCCAAGATATTGGCACCTTCAGCCCTCAAGGTGACTAGAGAGCCACCAGGTTTGTCACACCTGGCCACAGACGTGCTTATCTACCCTGGTGTGCCATATAAAAATGATAATCTCCTATGTGTGCCATGAATGTGAAAAACTTAGGGAAGCCCATACAAATCCTTCCTCACTACTCACTTCATTCATAACCCTATTCCCTATCCTATTGAAAGGTGTTGGAACAACCTCCTGATGGAAGGATCCAAGGAACTATTTTGTCCTTCTTGAACTTTCTTCATCATTTCCTACATTGAAGTTATTCATCTTTTCTCTTGTCTTGGTGGCTGTGACTTTCTATTAAGTAGCTCCCTCATCTTCCTCCTTGACTATTCTAGCACATTATAGTTCATTGAGTTCCCCTTTGGTTCCTCTTCTGCGAGTGTGCTGTCTTTAAGTTCTCTTGCTATCACCTTTCTGTTCACTTTATTTCAGATATTTAATCTACCTTTCCTGGCTTCCATTATTTTCTCAGGTTGGTAACTGTCAAATCTATATTTCTAGTCCTGTCCTGTCTAAACTCCTCCTGGCTCTGCAATATTCCCCTTGTATTTCCAACATGATGCCCACCATCACTGCATACTCAGTATATTCAATGCTTAACCCAGTATTTAACCAGCTTCTCTGTCACTTGCACCATGGGTTCTTAGACATTTAACATTTTCCCCCTCTTGGATTGTGTAGACTTTATAAAACATGACTGACCATAACTCTTTCCTATGGGTCCCCATGTTGGCAATAAGACATTTCAACTCTCTCCACACGGCATTTAGTCCCACCATAAAGTGATTCTAATCTGTCTCCAGGCTCCTTTTCTGCCATTCCTCAACATGTACCCTTGCCCTATCCATACTGGACCATCAAATTTCTTTGAACATTTCCCACTTCTATGCCTCTGCTCATGATTCATCCTCTTTCTGGTATGCTCTACTCATCATGCTTTTAACTTCCTTTTGTAGCTGGAGTGGGTGCTGTGATGTGTTCCCTCTCTCAGGACTCAATTACTTATTCCCCCAGCTACAGGGAGTGTTGATGGCAGAAAAGTGGGAGATAAGCCATACTGTTAATGATTGACATGGGTTACAGAGAGCTCCAAGCCTAAGGCCACACTCCCCTTCCTGGAGGTAGCCCACATCCTATGACTGGCTGATTCTGGGTTACATAAGCCTGGCCTCCCTTACCCAATTAAAGACAACTGGGCCATTCCAGTTTCATAACTCACCCAAGGGTGAGTAGAGACCTTTATTGTGTCTGCACCTCAGCCCAAATTTCCATTCTACCAAATACTTCTTCCTTCACTCTCCTACAGGTATTGATCCTAAGAGCACTCCCCATTGAAGTTCCTGCATGCAGATGTCTATTTCAGAGTCTACTTCTTGGGAAACTCAGTCTGTAACAGCTGCCTTCCTTTAATTTTCTTGAACGTCTGACCTCAAGTAATCCACCCTCCTCGGCCTCCCAAAGTACTGGGATTACAGGCATGAGCCACCGCACCTGGCCCTTGTATTTTCTAATATGAATTATTGAGGTCTATTCTGAGCTGCTATAGTATTTTGTTTGTATGAGTAGACTAGGATTCATCCCATTAAAATAGAGTTTATTTTGGACTTCTGTCTTTGCACTTGATTACCATCTCCAGGAAGATACACCTTCCCAATATTCTCAACAATACTGGCTGAATTGGCATTTTCTCAGCAATGGACACCTGACTGTTGTTGGCTGAGGAGAAACATCCTTTGCAACAACTCCACTTTAGAAACAGGTTGCTTCTGTGCCCTACCCATAATCTTATTTATCTCATATATTAATCTGGTAGGCTGGATTACATGGTGATGACAACTCAAAAACTCAGTGTCCTCAGACAACAAAGGTTTATTTCTGACTCATACTACGTGCCTCCTGCGATTGAGCTAGGCATTTTGTTTGCTTTAGTCTCCTTCCGGGGTCAGGTGGAGAGAAAAGTCACTGTCTAAAACATTGCTAGTGTCTGCGGCTGAGGAAGAGGAACCTCTTAAGGGTCTCACCGCATCGATTAAATGCTCTGGCTCAGAGTGGTCACTTGGCCCTTTTGTTCACAAGTCATTGTTTGGAAGTAATCACATGGTCCCACCAAGTCATAAGAGGGCTAGAAGTATAGTCTGTGTGCCTAGAAGACGGAGAGCTGAAATGATTCAGTTAATAGCTCCAAGACCACCTCACGCCGCTAGAAAACCGTGCCCTCACACCAAGTGTGCTGGTTTCTGTGTCTTCCCTTGGTACTGAGAGCCTGATCATACAATGTGAGAGTTGCTACATCCACAGACATAGTTCCTGACTCCAGTCAGCCCTGGGGTCATCAAGAAGCCCAGAGCAGAAGTGCAGGAAGCAAAACCCTGGAGGAGGGTTGCTTTGCCTTGCACACTTTCGAAGGGAGAATCTGCCCTGAGTATAGACGTCTTCCTCTTGAAGAAAGGTAATGAGAATAGAATGAGTAAAGTAATCTGATTCTGAATGAAAATTTTGTTTCATCAAGGGATAAACCACTCTGTGAAAAGTCAGAATTTTGATGCACGTACATATCCACACATACTCACACATACGTATACATGAAGCACTTCTAAAATAGTATTTTTGAGTACAGAGTCAACTCATAGTGACCTAAGTAATCCAGCAAGGCCCTACAGAGAGCTATGTCAATGATAGACAATTAGCACAGCAATTTTTAAAATAATTAATTGTCCTTTTAAAGTAGTTGAAATTGGATTTTTAAAATTTGCCTCTTCAGACTAATTTATGTGTGCAAATTGCATTACTTCTAAAGAAAGGGCTTGTTAGCCAACATTTTGTAGGGTTGCATGCTTGAGTACTAAACCTGGTGTGTGGGTTTCCTTGATTTTTTCCACGCAAAATGTAATTTGCTGTATAAAAGGAATAAGACATTTTTTTCCTTATTCCCTAAAATATTTCTAGGCTGGGTGCAGAGGAAGAACAAATCCTGTATAATTGCTTTAAATAATTGTTTGAAAACCTGAATGGGGTTTCAGTCTGGAAATAGCTCCCATAAAGAATCAGAGAATTCCTGGACATTTATGTATATTTATATGTTTTAGACCAGCTCCATCCAATATAACTTTTGTGTTGTGGAATTGTTCTATATCTACACTGTCCAATGTGGTAACCACTAGCTTCATGTGTTTATTGAACACTTGAAATGTGCCTAGTACAACAGAAGAGATAAATTTTCAAATTTCATTTCATCTTAACTTATTTAAATTCAAATTTAAATGGCCACATGTGATTAGTGACTACTGTATTGGACAGTGTATCTTCAGACACTTGACCCAGAGCAACCTTGAGCCTGAGTGATCTGACAGCCTGGGAACGTTGCTTCCTGGCCTGGCTGTGGAGATGTTTGCCTGTCTGTGATGTAGACCTCACTCTACCCTGCTGTACCTCTCTTGCCTCTGCACACATGAAGGATCAGAAGTCCAAAAATGGCATGTGGCTTTTAAACATTTTTAGATTAGGTAACTTTGTGCAATTCCTTTAGGATTCCTTGGATTCTTAAAATTTGCTGGGCCCTGGGGTAGTGCACCTCAGTGTGAGGTGGTTTCACAGACAGAAAAGTCTTGCCAGGGATCCTAAGATCCCTCCTTGGACCTCCCTGCCCCCTACTTTTCCTGCCTTCCCAGGTCACAATCTCATTTCCTTTGGCTGTGATATTAGTTCTTTGCACTCTGGGAGATCTATTTTATTTAGGTTTCTTGACTAGACATTTTGGATGTATTTTAGGAAGGCAAATGGTCTTCTCCCCCTTGTCACATTTGGTGAAAATTAAAAGGACAGAAAATCATCAGGACTCTTAGAAAACATGAAAAGAGGTTAGATTCCATAGTAACCTTAATACTCCTTAATTTGGAGTCCTTAATACTCCAAATCACCCCAACTCCAGCTAGCAAAACTGAGACTTGGTGTTCTCCAATCCCCAGTGAGCTAGAGTTTAACCCACACAAATCTAGAAGACTCCTTTCCAGCAGATGGATCCTCAGCACATTTGCATTGAAGTCACTACACACAGAGTCAAGGTTTAAGTAATTCCAGGTGCTGGGAGAAGAAGATTAAAGACAAAGTCAGAGTTGGAAACATCCCACTCCTCACTGGCACCTCAGCACAGAGTGAATGTAATTTAATGTTGTGTTTAATTTAATTCGGTTCATGACTTTGAAATAATGTGTCTCATATTTAAAAATAAAAGTCATTACTACATAGTAATGTTACTGACTTTTATATAACTGTGTAAGAACATAAACATCAAAATGAATTTTCCTCTTCTAAATGGACAACTCAGGAGGGGAGCTGCTTATTTCAACAATAGTGCCCTTGCTAAGCCACTCTTAGATCTATCTTCTGGGTGTATAGTAAACACATCTTTTCAATACTCTTCAAAATATTAAATCAACTTCACTATTCGATGGTGGATTCTATCTGGAGGAGTGGCAGATGGTTATAAAGATTACATGGAATCACAGATAGATTTAACTTATTTTCTTTTTTTTATTTTTGAATACCCAAGATTCATTCAGAGTCACTTAGGTAAGAAAAGCTGGATGATAAAACTGGGTAGCACAACTTAGGCCAAAATCTTCATGTCATTTAATCTTCCCAGCAACCACACAACATAAGTGTAAAGGTGTTTCTGAAACACAAGGGGTTCTGTCTACGAACTGCTGCTCACCGTAAGGAAAGCCAATCACTGAGACAACAAGTATTGCCAAGGAAGAAGGCTTTAATCAGGTGCTGCAGCTGAGGAGATGGGAGATCAGTCTCAAATCCATCTCCCTGACTGACTAAACCAATGCATTTTGATGTTTATATTCTTACATGGTTATATAAATATATAAATGTTACTATGTAGCGCCTGATTGAAGCCTTCTTTAATACCTATTGTCTCAGCTTATATAGCAAGGAAGAAATGTCACCATGTGTGGGAAAACAGGAATTAGGGATGGGTAAGGAAGAGGAGTTGGTCAACAGAGAGCAAGTCCTTGGTTAGTCAACCATGACGGGTAGGAGGTCTGATGACTCATTGTCCAGATGCAGTGATCTGGTGAGTTTCAGCTCCTTAATACTGTCTGGGAACACTGATGGTTGGTTTCCTGAGAAATGAACTCAAATAAGGCAAATATAACCTCAAGTTTAAAACTGGGAGGATCAATTTCTATGTTTATTCAAAGAAACCATAAACATCAACTCTATGGGACTGATATGGTTTGGCTGTATCCCCACCCATATCTCATCTTGAATTCCCATGTGTTGTGGGAGGCACATGATGGGAGGTAATTGAATCATGGGGGCAGGTCTTTCCTGTGCTGTGCTCATGATAGTGAGTAAGCCTCACAAGGTCTGATGGCTTTATAAGGCTAAGTTTCCTAGCACAAGTTCTCTTTGCCTGCTGCAATCCATGTAAGATGTGACTTGTTCCTCCTTGCCTTCTGCCATGATTGTGAGGCCTCCACAGCCATGCGGAACTGTAAGTCCATTAAACCCTTTGTCCTGTATAATTTACCCAGTCTCATGTATGTCTTTATCAGCAGTGTGAAAATGGACTAATACAGTAAATTGGTACTGGGAGTGGGGTGCTGCTGAAAAGATATCCCAAAATGTGGAAGTGACTTTGGAATTGGATAACACACAAGGTTCGAACAGTTTGGAGGGCTCAGAAGACAGGAAAATATAGAAAAGTGTGGAACTCTCTAGAGACTTGTTGAATGTCTTTGACCAAAATGCTGATAATGATATGGACAATGAAATCCAGGCTGAGGTGGTCTTAGATGGAGATGAGCAACTTGTTGGGAACTGAAGCAGTGGTGACTCTTGTTATGTTTTAGAAAAGAGGCTGGCAGCATTTTGCCCCTGCCCTGGAGAATTGTGGAACTCTGAACTTGAGAGAGATGATTTAGGGTATCTGGTGGAAGAAATTTAAGCAGCAAAACATTCAAGAGTTTACTTGGGTGCTGTTAAAGGCACTCAGTTTTAAAAGGGACATAGAGCATAAAAGTTCAGAAAATTTGCAGCCTGACAATGTGATAGAAAAGAAAATTCCATTTTCTGGGGAGAGATTCAAACAGGCTGCAGAAGTTTGCATAAGTAACGAAGAGCCAAATGTTAATCACCAAGACAATGGGGAAAATGTCTCCAGGGCATGTCAGGGACCTTTGCAGCAGCCCCTGTCATTACAGGCACAGAGGTTTAGGAGGAAGAAATGGTTTTGTTGGCTGGGCCCAGGGTCCTTCTGCTGTGTGCAGTCTAGGGACTTGATGCCCTGCATCCCAGCTGCTCCAGCTGTGACTAAAAGGGGCCAAGGTACAGCTCAGGCTGTCGCTTCAGAGGGTGGAAACCCCAAGTCTTGGCAGCTTCCATGTGGTGTTGAGCCTGTGAGTGCACAGAAGTCAAGAATTGAGGTTTGGGAATGTCTGCTTAGATTTCAGAGGATGTATGGAAATGCCTGGATGCCCAGGCAGAAGTTTGCTGCAGGAGTGGGCCTTCATGGAGAACCTCTGCTAGGCAGCGCAGAAGGGAAATGTGGGGTCAGAGCCCCCACACAGAGTCCCTACTGGGGCACTGACTAGTGGGGCTGTAAGAAGAGGGCCACTGTCCTCCAGACCCCAGAATGGTAAATCCACTGGCAGCTTGCACTGTGGACCTGGAAAAGCCACATACACCCCCACTGTATCTAGGAAGTAACTAACCTGCTTTTAATTTTACAGGCTCATAGGTGGAAGGGACTTGCCTTGTCTCTGATGAGACTTTGGACTGTGGATTTTTAAATTAGGTGCTGAAATGGGTTAAGACTTTGGGGGACTTTGGGGAAGGTATGATTGGTTTTGAAATGTGAGGACATGAGATTTGGGAGGGGTCAGGGGTAGAATGACATGATTTGGCTGTGTCCCCACCCAGATCTCATCTTGAATTCCCATGTGTTGTGGGAGGGACATGGTGGGAGGTAATTGAATCATGGGGGCAGGTCCCCAGCCATGTGGAGCTATAAGTCCATTAAACGCTTTTTCCTTTTAAATTACCAAGTCTCATGTATGTCTTTATCAGCAGTGTGAAAGTGGACTAATACAAGGACAACTGGGTCAGTTTTAAAGGCAGAGAATCCACTCTCCCAGGTGCTAACCTAAGCAAGCTGAATGCTGATTGGGCCATGGTGCCAGCAGATGAGTCCCTGCATATGGAAATGGTTATTAAACATAGTGGTGCTGCTCTGCTTCTCCCTATAGGTGACAGGAAGGGTAAGAGGGCCTGGCACTTTTTTGCTGAGTTGGAAGCTTGGCTGCCTTGCTTTTCTCTTGTCTCTCTCTTGCACTCATACTGCTAAACCAGTTTCTGTCTTGCTACCTCAGGGCAGGCCTAGTCAAACCTGACCTGCAGACATCCTCTTCTGTTCAGTCTCTTTTCTTCATCTGGTTGGTAGAGGGTGAACAGATCCTGGGATGTGGCTTTGGACTTGGAATAGCAGAACAGGATGGGATAGTTCCCCCCTTAGGATGCCAACCTTGACTACATGATAAAACTCGCCTTATCAGATTCTTCTGGTTGAATTCAGAGGCATAGGTTGTGTTTACAGTAAAGTGTTCATTTGCTTCCCTTTGATGCTTTGTATGTGCAACTGTCTTGGGAAGTGGGGAGAAATTATCTTGTTCTGCTGTTAATAGCCCTTTAATCATGACATCGTTTCTAGTGGCATTGTCTTTGAGATTTTATAGAAGTATAAATGGATACTTAGAAAGGCTATGTGGCTTGCCTCAAGTCTTAGATTATGAACTGGGATTAGAATAGGGTCTACTGGAAGTGGTGGGCTAGAGCTGGCTGGCATCAGCTTCTGAGAACTTATTATCATCATTTCTTACAACTCCATGTGCAGTGATGTCATATTGATTTCTTGAGATGAGCCATGATTGGAGTATCTACACTGTGGAAATGGGAAAATGCTATAAATCAGAGCTCTCTTCCTCCCCACTGGAGAGCTGGTTGTTAAACATTTATCAGAAAAACAAAACAAAACAAATATTTACCAGCACACCACTGGGTCTATGTGACTCCAAAGTCCATATTATTTTCACTGTTTTGTGGTTGTTTATATGATTAACAACACTGGTATTGAAAGAGTTGGGTTTCTACCACTTAGCACATTTGGATTGCATGTGTTATTTGTGAGATTAGGGACTTGTTCCAGGGTAGGCCACGTAACTGACTTTGGTACAAAGACCAGGACCCAAAAGAAAAACACCTTAGTGTACACTGCCCTTTCGCACCCAGCCTCCCTGGCTCCATACATGTATGCTGCCTGTGAAGGGGATTAGATAAGTGTGGATAGCTCTGTGTGAACACATCCCCAACTTGTGCTCCACTAGTGGAGAGTTACGGGCAGTTAGAATTGCTCATTTCACATTAGTAAAACAATAGAACTCATTGTTGTACAGGAGGCAGATAGAGAGTATGAAAAGTATGAGAAGCAATCCAAGTTCAGGCCCTGCTTGCTAGTTAACTTAACTTTTCTGTGCTTCAGTGTCTGTATCTGAAATATGAAGACATTATCATCCTAGAAGTAAAGAACTGGAGTTAGTTTTATGAATTAAAAATACCTATCACAGTGGTTTTATTAGACACATAGTAAATGTTCAATTAACAATGGCTTTTAAATGCAGACTTGTCACCAAATAAATTCTCCTGTAGCTGATGCCTGAAGTTTATATATCTTGGCAATTTGTAATATATCTGTGTTTATCTGTTCTCCTGATTAGAAAACCCACTTCCAACAAGAACCACATCTGAGTGAAATTCTAACCCAGAACTTCATGTTATTTGTATTGGATAGCAGTAGGGTGGTGGGGACAAGGGGCTCTGGATTTCCATTCAAATTCCATCTGTGCTACAAGCTTATTATCTTTGGGTTTCTAAGTTTATTTTCTCCTATGTAAAATGGAAATAAATAACATCCTCTACCTCATAAACTATGAGTATTAGCTGAGACTTTTGTGAAAGTGCTCAGCACATTTCTTGATACATAGCTCAGTACAATGAATGTTTGCAGTTTTTGCTACCACTGTTATCACAGACTTTTAAAAGTCTGATGTGGTGATCCACACATGTTTCGAGACAGTCATATTTTAGAGGTCAGCCTGGCTGAAAGGAGAGCATTGAGAAGCGGGTCCAGGGAGGTCCTACTGCTCTGAGAACTCAAGAATTGTGCAGGTGAGCTGGTGTGAATGAAGACCCCAGCTTCCGACTTAATGACAAAGTTGGTTTATATGCAGTAATTTCATAAAATAAAGGAAGAAAAGCAAGTTTGACTCCATGTGGTGCAGGGAAGGGCTAGGATAAACAATGTGAAAATGCTGGGCCATTTGTTACTATTGATTTATGTTTTGGGTGATGGTGTGGTAATTGCTCTTGCTTTGTGTGCCTGTTTCCTAGAAGCTGTGATGCTAACAGGAGGTGGGAGAGTTCAATATGGATCAAGATAATTGAAAGCGAGTTTTGCACAGAGAGCCAAGTGGTATAGAGCAGCCTCCTTTGTGCTGTTTTCAGTGTGGGAATGTGCATTTGCTTATAATTTAATGAAAATGCCCATGAGGAAAAATGATGCAGTGCCAAATTTTTAGCCTCTTTGAAGAATTTCCTAAGTGTTAGAGACTTTGAAATTAGACTGAAAGGCTTACATAATCACTAATTTGGTTGCAAGGTTCTGCCCATTCCTGTAAAGCAGGCTACTGCTTTCTTTGACCCCTCTGTGACTTTAGCTGAAGGCAGATTTATCTGAATTTTTACTGGACAACTTCGAGTGTCCAGTAAAAATGCCAATTGGCCAATCCACAGATGTGACCAACCTTTCACAGAGGCTTCAAATGCTTCCTAAAAATAGCGATGCTATTGAGACTATACTGGAAATGAGAATATCACAGTTTAGTCAAAACTCTGCAACTATTTTATGATAAATTTACATTTATAAGTGTCCATTTCTTCATTCACAAACTGAAAGCATTGAGCACTAGGCCAATGGCAAGCCCCCTTCAAGTTCTGATTAAATATATGATTTGTCTCCCATAACAAAACACATATGCACATGTATTTAATTTCAAGGGATCTGAGTCTTTTAGAACCTTTGGTTAAATTATCATAAGAGTTTCTTGTAATTCTGAGATCAAGGGCCAATATATTTTCTTAGGAAAAATTTAATGATTCTTTTCATTTTCCCTAAGTTAGACAATCAAACAAATTAATTTCATGTTCTTGTTCTCACATCCTGCAAAATCTATTCCAATGGATGTTTGCTTTTATCTTCGAACATTTTCTCTGAAATTATTACTACTAAAGAATGAAGCATTGTACATTCTAATAGTGTTGTAAGTCTTGCCTCATAAAACAGTGAATTTTGAGTGAAGATGACATGTTGCATAATTTTGCTATGTCTATGCAAATGAATGGTATAAAACTTTTGTCTTGGGTAGAGGGTATTGTGCAGTACAGTCTGACTTGTAAATGTTGTTTAATACAGGGAACTTTGTATCTGCTTTGGGTGTTCTCCTCAGGGGACAAAAATGTCAATTTTCCTTTTTAGAAAGGAATCAGTTGGAGAAAATGATGTTTGTGAAAGTAAGATCCACTCATCACTGTCCTAGATTCATGTCCCTTTTAGATACAGATAGACCCTGGGCAGAATAACAGTGATTGGGCTGTTTCCTAATGCCCATGCTGCAGAATCCCTGTGTGATGGCTCCCCAGCACTTGGTCTCCCCGTTACTTGCAACAAAACTGCTCAGCTGTTCAGAGGATTTCTGCTGGGCCTTGTCACTCTCCTTGACCTCAGCTCACAGTAAGCTGCCTTCTAAGGAGCTTGCTTCAATGCAGGGGCACTGCTAGTTTTGTCAGGTCAGGTGTTAACACCTGGGAAAGGTCAGGCTACCATGAGGCTTTGTGTTTTAGTCCGAGGGATCTTACCACATGGTGGAATGCCGTGGGTGTTGGCTTAGGCGTGACCGACTCTTCCCTCTGGCCCCAGGCAGAAGGCCACATGCTTGGAGCAGAGCAGAGGACATTTCCCACTTCTACACTCCACATGGTTTTGGCCTTGCCGGAAGAGGTCACAAAGTGGCTTTGGAATTCACTCACACAACATGAGGGTACTTTGCACAGGTAGAGAATGGTAAGTATATTGCAGCTGAACTGGAACTGGAGTCAAGCCCCTAATGTCTTGTCACAACTTTATCTGGTCTTGCATTTTAGAATATTTGTGTTCCCATTGAGTCAAGGACAAAAACTGAAAATTAACAACTGCTTGAGGGTCTGGCTTCAGTTTGAGAAAGTGCAGAGCTTGGTGGCTCAGTCCCTTCAATCTCACATTTGTTAAACTGACGAACTGGTGTCCTGTCTAGGATTCTATATTTTCCTACATAAGTTAGGTGTATTTTCAGAGGAATCTGGAGCCTTTGTTGAAACTAGCAGTTTTCTTTTTTGTTTGTTTGTTTTTTAGGTTGAAATACACACTACCTGAAGCTGGATAACTCATGAACTCTGTTGACAATTATATTCTTTGTCTTTTTAATTAACTCATTTGGAGTTGGTGTCCTGAGGACCTAAGCCTAAGAATCTTCAAGATGGAAGAGTAGAGTGAACAATGAATGAGCCAGAGGGCTCTTGTCCTCTGTGTGCAGCTCTGGGCAGCCAGCAGGTGGATATGGGACTTGGCCTGCTGGAGGGGCCCTGGCAAGAGGAGCTGGCAGGAGCAGATGGCAAAGGTCAGTGACTCCACAGTCCTTTTCCCCTACTGCGTAAGAACCACACTAACATAAAAACAACGAGAGTAAAAAATCAAACAAAAAAGATTTCTGGAGGATATCAGAAAAAATATACAAGACAATAATAAGTTATCAATTAAAACAAATTAAGGCAAAAAAATTAAATATTGAAAAAGTAGGTCAGGTCCTGGGGTACAGGCTGGGGATCTTATTGCAGAAATTCAGATTATAAGGTAATTAAACCAGAGTACTATGATTGAGCCGACAGATTTGAGGACAGAAAATACAGACCTGGGTAAATGATTACCCCATTCCTTTTGCCTCTAGGGAGAAAATACACCAATTATTTAGAGGAAGCCAAGCTCTTCCTATTACTTGGCTCCTACAGAAGGTCTCCCCTGGGCTTCATGCACTGGGCATAGAGAGACTTAGTGGAAGGTGTTCCCTGTGGCATCTGCACATAAAAAAGAAGTGGGTTTACTAAGGCAATTAAAGAGTCCCTCTTGGAGGCCACAGCCCTGATGTGTTCCTGAATGACAATAAATTCTGTCGGGAGCACAGCAACATGGTGTCAGGGTGTAGGTCTCTGATGGCTTATCCAGTGCTAAAGAGAGTGTTAATGACACACTTCAGCCAATAACACTATCGTGTAAGTCTTAGAAATATTTACCTTCAAATTCAAATCTCATCTCTGCTGGCTCCTACCTTTGTGATTTGGGGGCTCTCTGTGATTCTCTAACCTCTCTGAGCCTGTTTCCTCATCTAAAAAATGGGATGATTGCCTCATGGGTTTGATTTGAAGATTACGAGAAACATGGACCCAAAGTGCTGTACATGGTGCCTGTCACATAAGACACAAGACACAAGACACACTACATCCCAATAAAAGCCTCTCATCCCACAAGAAGTCTGCTCCAGAAAAAGATGTAGCATGGTGATTTCCAACCTTGTTGAGTACAAGAAATCTTTTTGTCATCACATGTTTCTCAGACTCGCACATGACAGGAGTTTTACTTTCAGTACCACTCAGGGAGAAAATGAATGACTGTCACACTTCAAACTGAGTTTGTAATTGGTTAATCCTAAGAACATGCCCACGCACTTGCAAAGGCGTAATACTATGTGAGGGAGGTGTGTGATCCTCAGGCTTCTCAGCATCACCCAGGGCCCCACCAGGGCTCTGGGGCCCATGGCTTTACCAGGACCAGATGTGGTCCTTGTGGGTCATGTTGTTGGTCTATACCCCTTGCTTCTGCACTGGCCCCACTCCTCATCCAGAGCAGAGATTGAGGAGGAGGTAGGCCACATGCTCCTGGGAGCTGAAGCTCTACTTTCAGGAATTAAGGCTTAATAGGGTCAATGGGCATCTGAATATCCCCAGGGGGGATTCATCTACTTTATAAGCATATGTACTGGATTGAATAGTGTTTCCCCATCCCCAAAATTATGTCCACCCAGAACCTCAGAATATGACCTGATTTGGAAGTAGGGTCTCTGCAGATGTAAGTTAGTGAAATTCAGACGAGGTCATACTGGATTGGGGTGGGCCTTATAAGAAAACCATATAAAGACACAGAGAGACACAGAATGCCCTGTAAGGAGTGAGGCAGAGACTGGAAGGATGCATCTATCGGCCAAGAAACACCAAGGCTTGCCTGCAGCCACCACAAGTTAGGAGGGATGCACAGAATAGATTTTCTCTCAGAGGATCTAGAACGAACGACTTTGCCAATACCTTAATTTCAAACTTATGGCTCTCAGGACTGTGAGAGAAAAATGTCTGCTCTTTTAAGCCACTCTGTGGTATTTAGTTATGGCAGACCTAGCAGACTAATATACCATATATTCTCATTCTTTCATAGTCTTTATTGGTTGCTTTCCCCCTTATGACTAAAGTAATAAATATCAATCATAGAACTTTTATAAAATACAACTATGCAAAAAAAAATATATTATCTCTTACTCCACTGCCTGAAGGTAAGTGTTCTAAACATGTTGATCTTTCTTTGCCTGGACTTCTGTGTACAAATGTGTGTGTGAATTATCATTTTTTAAAAATTTACATGATCAATATGTGTGCTCCTGCATTTCACTTCTGAGAAGGTAAGAACAGAAAACACAAACACGTGTAACTCATTTCTTTTTAATATCTGCAGGTAACATTCATAACAACTTTGAATCTTTCCCTATACCAGAGAGAGTGGCCCACTTGGCAGGGAGGCCCTCGCATTTGTGATGGACGGATGCTGGCAGATGTCTAGTGAGTTTAGCACTTAGCTCTAGCTTCTGTTCAACTCCACAGTGCCCAGGAGATAAGACAAAATTGGTAGAATGTAAAATCCTTGACAGCCTCTGGGTTTTAGGACTTAGCATGTCTTTATCATCAAGTCTGTTTACAAAGAAAAGTCTTCTGAAGGTTTTCCCCATGGAATAGAGTTATTTCAAAACGGCATGTGGTGAAAAGTTACATGAGCTTCCAGCAGCCTTGTCCGCTCCTGACAGGTTACAGGGAGAAATTGTTCTTGGCAGCCCAGGTTAGCCCCTTGAAGTAAGCCTGTTAGGTCCCTGGCTCTGTCGCAGTGTTAGCTGTGTCTGCCACTGATGGCAGAGACAGCAGGAGCGAGACACTGAAGCAGAGTGCAAGTCCTTGGATGATGAGAGCGGCAAGGCTCAGCACCCGCCTTTCCTCGGACGTGAAGGGGTCTGTGTCCTTCCCTTAACATGGAGCCAAATGTCTAGTGTTGGCCTGAAGGAGCTCAAACTAGTGCAATAAAGGGGTATAGAGTCTCCAACTGTGAACCTGAAAATCTAGACAGGTCTTAGTTAATTTAGCAAGTTTATTTTGCCAAAGTTAAGGACATACACGCCTGTGACACAGCCTCAGGAGGTTCTGATGACATGTGCCCAAGGTGGTCGGGGCACAGCTCAGTTTTATACACTGTAGGGAAACACGAGACACCAGTCAATATGTGTAAGAGGTACATTGGTTCAGTCCAAAAAGGTAGGACAACTTGAGGCAAAGGCAGGACAACTCCAAGTGGTGCAAGGGCGCCCAGGTCACAGGTAGGTAAGAGAGAAATGGTTGCATTCTTTTGAGCTTCTGATGAGCCTATCCAAATGAAGCAATCAGATATGCATTTATCTCAGTGAGCAGAGGGGCGACTTTGAATAGAACGGGAGGCAGATTTGCCCTAAGCAGTTGGGCTTGAGTGATTTTGGGGCCTGAGATTTATTTGCCTTTAACACAACTTTCCACTACCTAAGGAGACCTCACTACCTGTTGATGTAGGAGCTGCGGACTAAACCTGTGTTTGTCTGGTAGCTAATTATCAGCACAGAGGTGGTGAGGCTGCAGTGCCTGACCACACCCAGCATGCCGAGGCGGTGGGCCTAAGGGTTTTCTTTCTCTCTCCCCCTACTCCCTGCCTCCCTCTTTCCCTTCCTTCCTTCTTGCTTCTGTTCAAGTAATTTGAATTATTTGCCAAAATATAAAACTTTGGAGATTTTGTGCCAAAGAAGGAGATGGATTCTTTGGTTTGTCTAGAAAAAGCAGAAAACTTGGCATCACTTGCCTGCTTTCCTGCATAGCAACTATGGGTCAAAGCTGAGTGGTGGCTCTGTCTAGCCTGGACCTGTGTTGTCCACCTCTCCATAGCCTCAGGCTCAGCCTCCCTCTATTATTGCCTGGGCCCTGGGGACATGCTGAGGGTGCCCTGCCTGCATGAACAGAACCTGCTGTGTTCCAAGTCATGTGATCACGTGCCTCCCCGGCACGCACAGAGGCCTGGAGGCCCTTGCTCTGGTTTCCTTCCATGAATGCATCTCACCCTGGGAGTCACACAAGCCGCCTGACCTCAGGTTCCTCATGTGGGCAAGAGGACTGGGCTAGATGGAGGTTTTCCGACTTTTCGTAGCCCAGGGCAATGCTGAGGACACCTTACTTAGAACTGGTGGCATAGCAGCTGCTGAGCACTGGCAGCCTTCTCCCCTAGATTCAGGCAAGAAGGGGGATGCATTGTCGGTAGGAAATTCAAAACTCTCCTAAAACTTACTGAAAGTCTGCCTGTTACTTTTGACCACTCAGTGACAAAATACCCTACCAAAAAATATTTTGCTGGTCTGAGTTCTCAACAATTTATGTGGCTGCTGCTGAGTTTTCATAATATATAAACTTAAACATAGCATGGCTTATTAATTATCCTTTAAAAAACGTTGTAATTTACATAGAGGTTTATTTGAAAAGCTCACAGTTAGGCAGCCACCCCGTCACACATGAATATTTCCCTGAACATGTTTGCTTGTCAATGAGTTTGTAATTGTTTAGAATCCTTCGCGTGCTCCTAGTGCAGCTCCTGTCTCCAGGTACTGCAGAACTACATTTTCCTGCACTTAAACAGTAGTTTCAAAATAAATAATAATTGCGCAATGGACAGAGAGAAGAAATAGAACTATGTTTGCATAAGTTGCCATTCTTTGTGACCACTTGGAATTTTTATTTGTTTAAAATTTTAAAACATTGAAACACTATAGACTGTAAGGTGTAATATCTATATATGTGTTTGTAACTGTCTACAGATATTCATGTGAGTTTAAACTATGAAATAACTTACTAAAATGGAATAGTATCTGCAAAACTTAAATTTATTCTTTTTAAAATATTACTGTTTTAAAACTGAAGAGCAAAGCTAGAAAACATAAACAGCATTACATCAGCAGTACAATTAGTCATCTAAATTGTGCTCTTTATAGACACTTGTTTTATTGAAATGTACTTATTAGTTACTAGAGAGTCATTTATATGACATATTATTATATTCCACTGCAACCAAAGAATCACATTTCAAAACTGTTAGGTAAGTATAAAACTTTTGAATAAATAGCTGTGCTTTTTCTCCCTTGTTGTACTGTAATATTTATTTTCTGTCATATTTTAATTTTATTTTCTTATTTAAGAGCATGATTTTCTATATATGAAATTGAATGAAAGCAAATTTTCTCTGTTTCCTTCTAAGTTATTAGTATTCTTTTCATTCATGATTGTTACTAAAAATGATGTGGCATAGAAGGGCAGGGTGTTAACAAATGACTTGTCAACGGAGCCAAATGCATGGGGTAGGGCTGCTGGGAAGCCCCGTGGTGAGGCAGGTGAGGCTGAACTGTTTGGGTAGGAACCAGGTGCTGGTGACCCCTGGACCTTCCCTTCCACACCTCCTTTGCAGCCCCAAGCTCTTCCTAGGAGCACAGGAAAGCATCCTGGCCCTTGGAGACATTCTGCAAATATTAGAGTCCCCTTCCAGATATGACCTGACTGCATCTGAGTCTTGCTACCTCTGCCCGCATCAAAACCACCATCACTCCTCTCCACAAAAATGTCCAGACTGGTTTTCTGCTTCCACTCTTGTTCCCCATGGCAGTTAGAGTAATGTTAAAAGTGCGTCACATTTGTTCACCTCCTGCCTCAACACCCTCAGATGGCTGCATCCCTTCACTCTGGGAGTAAACTCTAGCATCTTATCTTGGCTGCCAGCCTTCCTGCCTGTCTTGGGCATCTCACCTCTGCCCTGGGTTCTGTACTGTCACTGTAATGCACCAAGCTCACTTCTGTCTTAGGGCATGGCACTTCTCTTCCTTCTACCTGGACTGTTTTAACCCTAAGTCACAGTGTGACCCAGTCCTCAGCCCACTCAGATTGTGCTCCAATGTTCCCCTTCCCAGAGACATTACTGGCTAAACCAACCTGCGTTCCCCAACTCTCAGCTCTTGACTCTGCTGCAGTTTGCTTTACAACCCTTAGCATTACCCAGTGCTTCATTTATTTATGATTTCTTTACTGATTTATAGATTGACTCTCTCACCCACTAGAAACTGAGCATCAGACGGCAGGGGTCAGCTTTTTTCTTGGTCGCCTCCTTAATCTCAGATCCTAGAAAAGTGTCTGGTGCATTGTGGACACTCAGTAAAAACTTGTTAAACTATTGAATGAATGGATCTCAGAGGCTTCTTCTAGCTTCATGTTTCTAGAATCACCTATTAATCATCCACCATTCATGGGATATTATGTTAGGGGCTGGCAGTTTTCTGAAGAATTAAGAACGTGGTCTTCATTTCCAGGGAGCTTACAATATGAAGTGGGAGAGGCTCAGGATGGATGAGAGATCACAGCAGATTTAGCCATCATTAAATTACTAAACAGAACAACAAACCAAAGTAGCCTGAGGGTTAGGGTGAAGGAGGCCAAAAAGTGATCAACAGCTAAAGGAATAATTTGGTTGGTCCCCAGCCCAGTCCCTCTCAGGCTTACATTAATTGTCACCTGAAGTCCTGCTTATGTGTTATCTTGGTGAATGCTTTAAGGGCTCATGTCTGCTGATAGACTTTTTAATTGCTCCTTTTTTTTTTCTGGGATTCCTGTGTATGCCTATATAATTTGTATAAACATGAGAGTATTGGTATAAATAATAAGAGTAATACTTTCTGTTTACCCTGCTTTTATAATTTTCAAAACCTTTCATTATCTTTTTTTGAAATCCTCATTTGGTAGTTCTTTTTATCCTTATTTTACAAATGGGGACAGTGAAGTTCAGAGAGGTAAGCTTGTCATACAGCAGACAATCTTGGTTTCATTGTTGTTGTTGAGACAGGGTCTGGCTCCATTGCCCAGGATGGAGTGCAGTGGCGCTCCAGATCACAGCTCACCACAGCCTTGATCTCCTGGGCTCAAGCAATCCTCCTGCCTTAGCCTCCTGAGTAGCTGGGACTACTGGTACACACCACCATGCCTGGCTAATTTTTTATTTTTACTGTTTTTGGAGAGGTGGGGTTTCACCATGTGGCCCTGGCTAGTCTCCAACTCCTGAGCTCAGTCAACTCAACTGCCTTGGCCTCCCAAAGTGCTGAGATCACAGGCATGAGCCATCATGCCTAGCTCAGAATTGACAACCTTTTGAAGGTAAGGGAACTGTATTAGTCAGGGTTCTCTAGAGGAACAGAGCTAATAGGATAGATATACATATAAAGGGGAGTTTATTAAGCATTAACTCACATAATCACAAGGTCCCACAATAGGCCATCTGCAAGCTGAGGAGCAAGGAGAGCCAGTCCGAGTCCTAAAACTGAAGAACCTGGAGTCTGATGTTTGAGGGCAGGAAGCATCCACCACGGGAGAAAGATGTAGGCTGGGAAACTAGGCCAGTCTAGTCTTTTCATGTTCTTCTGCCTGCTTTATATTTTAGCCATGCTGGCAGCTGATTAGATGGTGCCCACCCAGATGGAGGGTGGGTCTGCCTTTCCCAGTTCACTGACTCAAGTGTTAATCTCCTTTGGCAACACCCTCACAGACACACCCAGGAACAATACTTTGCATCCTTCAATTCAATCAAGTTGACACTCAATATTAACCATCACAGGATCTAATGCAAGAAAAGTGTGTCTGGAACTGGTGGGTTCTTGGTCTCACTGACTTTAAGAATGGAGCCGCCGACCCTCGTGGTGAGTGTTACAGCTCTTAAGGTGGCACGTCTGGAGTTTGTTCCTTCTGATGTTCGGATGTGTTCAGAGTTTCTTCCTTCTGGTGGGTTCGTGGTCTCGCTGGCTCAGCAGTGAAGCTGCAGACCTTCACGGTGAGTGTTACAGCTCTTAAGGCGGCGCCTCTGGAGTTCGTTCCTCTCGGTGGGCTCGTGGTCTCGCTGGCTTCAGGAGTGAAGCTGCAGACCTTCGCGGTGAGTGTTACAGCTCATAAAAGCAGTGTGGACCCAAAGAGTGAGCAGTAAGCAAGATTTATTGCAAAGAGCGAAAGAACAAAGCTTCCACAGTGTGGAAGGGAACCCGAGCGGGTTGCCACTGCTGGCTCCGGCAGTCTGCTTTTATTCTCTTATCTGGCCCACCCACATCCTGCTGACTGGTAGAGCCCAGTGGTCTGTTTTGACAGGGCGCTGATTGGTGCGTTTACAATCCCTGAGCTAGACACAAAGGTTCTCCACATCCCCACCAGATTAGCTAGATACAGAGTGTCCACACAAAGGTTCTCCAAGCCCCCACCAGAGTAGCTAGATACAGAGTGTCGATTGGTGCATTCACAAACCCTGAGCTAGACACAGGGTACTGATTGGTGTGTTTACAAACCTTGAGCTAGATACAGAGTGCCGATTGGTGTATTTACAATCCCTGAGCTAGACTTAAAGGTTCTCCACCTCCCCAGCAGACTCAGGAACCCAGCTGGCTTCACCCAATGGATCCCGCACAGGGGCTGCAGGTGGAGCTGCCTGCCAGTCCCGTGCAGTGCGCCTGCACTCCTCAGCCCTCAGGTGGTCGATGGGACTGGGCTCCGTGGAGCAGGGGGCGGCGCTCATCAGGGAGGCTCCTGCCGCACAGGAGCCCACGGAGGCGGGGGAAGGCTCAGGCATGGCGGGCTGCAGGTCCCGAGCCCTGCCCCGTGGGAAGGCAGCTAAGGCCCGGCGAGAAATCGAGCGCAGCACGGGTGGGCTGGCACTGCTGGGGGACCCAGTACACCCTACGCAGCCGCTGGCCTGGGTGCTAAGCTCCTCATTGCCTGGGCCAGCAGGGCCGGACTGCTGCTCCGAGTGCGGGGCCCGCCAAGCCCACGCCCACCCGGAACTCCAGCTGGCCCTCAAGCGCTGTGCCAGCCCCGGTTCCCGCTCGCGCCTCTTCCTCCGCACCTCCCTGCAAGCTGAGGGAGCCGGCTCCGGTCTTGGCCAGCCCAGTAATGGGCTCCCACAGTGCAGCGGTGGGCTGAAGGGCTCCTCAAGTGCCGCCAAAGTGGGAGCCCAGGCAGAGGAGGCGCCGAGAGCGAGCGAGGGCTGTGAGGACTGCCAGCACGCTGTCACCTCTCAAAAGCACCCAGAAGGCAGTCGTAGACACTCCCTTGTCACTAACCACTTGCTGATCACTGGTGAGGAATTTACTTTCTTGAATCTTACTGACCTGGACTCTGAAAGAAGGAGTTTAACTAGAATCACTGATTCTCAAATGTGGGTGCACATCAGAATCACAGGGCCTTGGCCTTACCCTGCAGGTTCTGCTTCAGTAGGCCTGTGGTCAGGCACAGTAGTAAATATTTTTAGGAGATTCCGGGTGATTTGCTCAGCATCCAAGTCTATGCCTGTTGTCCTGGTGCTATCTCCGAAGAAAGCCCGCTTTCCTTCTGAAATGCTTCTGGGTTCATTTTCCTCAAGGTCCCTTTCCAATCTGACTCCTGCTCCTCTGAGAAGCAGAGAATTTCCCCAAGGTATGAGTAGTAGGAGGTGTATTTCTCTTCTCCTCCCAGGTGTGGTGGAATCTTTAGTGAATGGCAAGCAGCCAGCCACCGTCCCTTTAAGTAAAAACTCATTCTGTCACAGATAAGCCCCTCTGAGCAGGAGTTATACTAGTAAAGAGAACCATAAAGGCTATTACAAACCTTTGGGATTCCTCACTTTCACTTAAGCTAAACAGGATAAATCACTCCCTCCCCAGTAAGAACTCTTTCAGCCACTTTCCTGGCTGAAAATCACAAAATCAACATTTCCAAGTATCCTCTAATGTACTTCATTTTTCATTATTCTTGTTAGCTTGTCTGGTAGTAATATATTTGCATGACAATTAGTCTCGTTTCAATTAAACATTTGGGTAATTTTGCTGGGGCCATATGGCCACCAATATTGTTACAATTTTAAAAATAAAGGTCTCAAAATACATGAGTATACACACAACATACAGATAAACAGCATTTGACTTCACCTCTTCTCCTGCTTTTCAATATAACATTTTAAAAAAAATGAACAACAAATTACATTTTACCATTCAGCAGTTTCAATTAAGGCCATCACTGCAATATATTTTTCAGGAAGGAAAAAAAAAATAACCTTCACTTCGAGGGGCCCATAGTTCATTAGGATGAGTCAGAGAAACCACAGTATGAGCTTGCGATGGAAACGCTGCTGCTATTTGTTAATTATAACCATCACTCAATGCAGACAGTCAGGCAGAAAGACCACAGCAAATAGCCCCAGTTAGAAAATGACATGTTTGGTGAAAATTCCCCAAACAAGAGCCTTCCTCAGTGACCCAACTTCCTTATACCCCTTACTCTCTCAAAAACCAACTGGCTGGACAAAAATATGGGAAAAAATAACAAAAGGCTTGGTTTGCTTTCCAGAAGCCCATCCACGGACCAATTATCTTGAAGGCCCACATTGTCCAGCAGTGGTATGTGTGCCCCACTTCTTACAAAGGAGGACCTATGTGCATCCTGGAGGGAAACACTTTGTCCAGGCTGGTCTCCTAAGTGGAGCTCAGGGAATGAGCTATTTGTGTGTGTTCCTTTGGGAAATGGGGAAGGGGAGGTGAGATGGGTGTGAAGGAGCTTGAAAAAAATCTTTTTCATCTCTTCTCTTTCCCCATGACAAGCAAGGAGATAATGATCTACCTCTTGTCTTTTTCTGTTATGAAAACTATCTTCCTAGCCCCCGTGGTAGTAGGAAATGAAGCGGGATTTTTGATATCAGTTTAAGAGTGAAAGCATTAGTTATAAACTTGAGCTTCAGATATGTCAAAATCCTAGGTTTCATCAAGACAAGGAAGCTCAAGAGTACAAAAATTTCATCATCTTTCATAGAAAATCTCCGTGCTTTGGTAAAAATCAATAGTAATAAAAATAAAATTAAAATAATATAAATAACGATGATGAGGAAGAGGATGATAATATTGTCTCAGTGTTACCAGTAGGTTGAGTGGGAGGACTCACAAGCATATAATTATAAAAATAACTTTGCTTTTGTTTCTCCTAGTCCCTTTAAACTTGCTTGTTTGCAGACAGGCCTTCCTTTGTCCTCATATGAAAATGCAGAAAGACTTTCAGACCGTTCTGATCACTCTTAGGCAATTGCAAGCCCTCAAGCACTTATGTCATACACAAGCTCAATTCAGTAATTAACAATATCCAGTGCTAGCTAAAATGAACAAGACAGAAAATACCAAGCATTAACAAGGGTCTAAAGCAACTAGAACTCTCATCACTGCTGGTGGGGTTATAAATGTTACAGCCACGTTTGAAAATTGTTGGGCAGTATTTACTAATATACACACACATGCACACACACACATATAAATAGTTGTCTATGATCCTATTAACTCCAAGGTGCCTATGAGTCTATTAATCCCAGGGCCTATATACAGAAATGTGTACACAGATTTACCACATGCCATGTATTAACATTTTCACACTATATGTGATAACTCTAAACTGCAAACTACTAAAATTTCTATCAACAGTGGAATGGATAAATAAATTTATGTACAGTCATTCAAATGAATACTATACAGAGAAAGTGTAATATACAAGAACATGCAAAAATATGGATGACTCTCATAAACATAGTGTTGAAAGAAGCCAGACACAGAAGTGTACATATTATAAGATTCCATTTATATAAAAACTAAAAACAGGCAAAATGAATCTGTGCTGTTAGACAATTACTCTAGTAGTTATCACGTGGCAGAGGTGAGAGGAGAGTGACAGGAAGGGAGTGTGAAGGCAACTCGGTTGCTGGTGAGTTTCTCTTTATTGATGGTGGGGATTGTCACATGGGTGTGGTCTGCGAGCACTTGTGCTGTATGCTTGTGATATGTGTCCTTTTCTATATGTATATAATATTAAAATAAAACATTAAAAATGTTCATTCCTATGTGATAGTCAAAGCATTCAATTTCATTCAAAGTTAAGACTTATACCCTAACTCTAGCTAGGCCTATTATAGCGTATGGGCACTGTTTCTGACCCTCAGGGAGTTGGGAAGAGTTGGGAGCAAGGAAATGTAAGGAGAACTATTTTTTTTTTGAAACAGTCTTGCTCTGTCGCCCAGGCTGGAGTGCAGTGGCGCGATCTCGGCTCACTGCAAGCTCTGCCTTCTGGGTTCACGCCATTCTCCTGCCTCAGCCTCCCGAGTAGCTGGGACTACAAGCGGCCACCAACACGCCCGGCTAATTTTTTGTATTTTTAGTAGAGACGGGGTTTCACCATGTTAGTCAGGATGGTCTCGATCTCCTGACCTCGTGATCTGCCCGCCTTGGCCTCCCAAAGTGCTGGGATTACAGGCATGAGCCACCATGCCCGGCCAGGAGAACTATTAATAAAAAGCTCGACAGGCATGAAGCTGTTACAGCAAATGTGTTGATGTTCCTCCTAGGTCTCCACCCATTGAGTGCTGTGACTATTGGCTGTTAATGGCTTATAGTTCTCCCCCTCTTGGGAGAATTTGCCTTTGACCAAATGGAAGCCACCTTTTCTGAGTCATGGCCCTTCCCCTCCCTATTTAACTCCCCAACTTTCTCCCCAGCTGCTTCCTCGCCTTCCCCCACATTGCACTCAGCAGCCAATGACCAACTGACAGGGAGGTAAAAGCCTGGCCTCATTTCTCCAGGACAGACCAGAGCTTGCTGTGGGACGAGTCAGGGGCTAGCCTTGAACAGAGACCACATCCTTATTTTGCTTCTCTCCTTTTTATTCTGCTTTGCCGAGAGCACTCCCCCAGTAAACCACTTCACAAGAATCCCTATTTCAGACAATGCTCCCAGGAAGCCCAACCAAAGACAGCTGGCTCAGACCTCAGCAAGCTTGGGAACAGTTACAGTCTGGTGCTTTCTCCTGGTTTTCTTATAAGGCTTCTCTGCTCCCTGGTGGTCTTTTACCTTCAGACCCTCGGATGCTGTGATGCTTTCTGCTCTAGTGGTCACATATCTTCTCGTTAGCCCCTGGAAACCTCTGCCGACCATCCCAATGCCAGCTCCCCAACGTGGCCTACATCTGGTCCTTGAACACTCTGAGTGCATCATCTTAACAAACTCCAGGGGAGTAAGCTGCCTAACACCATCATCTCCCCCTTAGCAGGCCATCCCTCACGTTGTAAGGGTGAGAGAAGGGCACCAGTCCGCATCACTCCTCTACCTGCAAGGGGACATATCATAGACTCCTGAGTCATCCCCTGAGCCTTCTCCTAAGGGACTTGAGGGGAGGAACAGATGCCCTCCCATGCCACACTCTTTGAGGGTTGTGAGGTATTCATAGTGCAGGCTTCTCCAAAGAGAGGATCATGAAATGTGAAATCATTATTGGGTGGCTTTTTGGATATTTCTGTATCTGATATTTATTAAATCATGATACTTCAATTAAAACTTCCAACTTAGAATCCTGTTACATTGAAATATTTGAAGAGTGCATTAGCGTCCACCAGAAAAGGTATGTTTCCTCTGCATTACTCATTAGTCCCTGGATTATCTTGCTATTTTGCCTCTAGGTTTGAGACGGAGTCTTGCTCTGTCTCCAGGCTGGAGTGCAGTGGTGTGATCTCGGCTTACTGAAACCTCCACCTCCCAGGGTCAAGTGATTCTCCTGCCTCAGCCTCCCGAGTAGCTGGGAGTACAGGTGCCTGCCACCATGCCCAGCTAATTTTTGTATTTTTAGTAGAGATGGGGTTTCACCGTGTTGGCCAGGATGCTCTCTATCTCTTGACCTTGTGATCTGCCCGCCTCAGCCTCCCAAAGTGCTGGGATTACAGGCGTGAGCCACCGGGCCCCATCTCCTCTATAGTTTTTTTGTGGGGCCCATCAGAGACTGAATTCTCCACATGGTCTATGGGTGAAACAAAATCTGGAGGCTACTTCTCTAATTTGAGAGGACACCTGTAGATATGAGAGCCCACAATACTGTTCTTCCCATCTATGGCACCCGGGTTTTCCTCTCTCCCATTGTGTTACACATTTATCTGGTTCGACATGAAGCTCCTGAACCAGACTCTATTTCAAGATGCCA
The DNA here is from genome assembly GCF_000001405.40 of Homo sapiens. Taxonomy (NCBI): domain Eukaryota; kingdom Metazoa; phylum Chordata; class Mammalia; order Primates; family Hominidae; genus Homo; species Homo sapiens. The sequence continues at coordinate 222,044,609 of NC_000001.11, read as the reverse complement.
GGGAGCTTGCGGGTATGTGTAGTCCACTGGAAAGAGCCCTAATAATTCTGCCTTCAAGTCCCAGTCTAGCAAAGTCATTGGTCCTTACTTTCCTCAGCTTCAAATGAAGGAGTCATGCCTTGTAACTCCCAAGATCCTCTTCTATTCTGATATTCTGGCTTTCATTATCTTGAATTCCATTGTTAGATTGAATTGACCTGTCAGCTTAGAAACAATGATTGGCACAACATCCATATTCAGAGACAGCCTCAGTCTGACTGTCTGGTCTTTGTCGGCACAACGCGGTAGGCAAATCTCAACCTGTGAGTCTTCTTTTAGAGACCTTAAAACAATCTTGAAAAAAAAATAGCAATGATGTAAGTCCGAGAAGTAGGGCCCCTTTACAAATAGCAACGCTGTGGGTTCATACAAACAGATCTGATGTAGCTCCTATTTTAATTGAATCACCCACTTGGCAACTGAACAACAACAATAAACTGCTTGTTGCTGGCTTATGTCTCTGTCAGAAAAAAACAGTGTTCACTCTCAAAGGCTTCTGGGCCTTTGCTTTATTAAGAAACTTGATAAATATAGTTCAGTAAGTCTGTGGTCCATCTCAGATTTATAGCCAGCTTGCTAATCTAACCAGATAGGATCTCAGGGCAGAAAAACATATGCCTGGTTTTTGTTTTGATGAGACAAAACCCCCAAAATGGGAAGTCCATGTTCTCCTGACTCAGTCTCCCAGGTCTGAGTGCCTGCCCTGCTGTAGCTGGGCTGCCACCCCAGGCCTTCCCCCTCCTGCCCAGCCTGCGGCTGCTTCTGTCCTTCCTGCAGCTGCCCAGACCTTTGCTCATGTGTGCAACCTTTTCAGAGGCCTGTTGACAGGTTTGAAAATAAAGCAGGCGATGTAAAGAACACGCAAGTCATAGATATATGAAAATCAAGCAGTTTGGCTCTACGGAGCGGGATTAGTGAGGATCAGCTGTGCAGCCAGCCTGCTCCTGGGAGGGAGGCCGAGGAGGCTGCCTGAGGCTGGGGCGCTGGGGCACTCTCTGCCTCAGCTGTGCAGCTGCAGCTCTGGGCCATCTCTGTCTATTCTCAGACACTCCTAAGCTGTCCCAGAATGCCAGGGCACATAGGCTGCCAAATTGCCCAGGTGGGTCCAATAGTAGTTGATAATGTGGTGCTTGGGAAGGGACCTTTCCTGTCCCCACACGGTGAGGGGCAGGGCTTCTGCTGGGGCAAGAGACCTGAGACTGGAAGCTGAAGTGGGAAGGGCAGAGAGAAGACCCATTAGGGGCAAACAACCCTCAGGGGACACTGGTAGCTTTGCACAGTGTCAGACTGTACTTGTAGATATTGGGGGAAAGAGTAAAATAACTATGATCTGAGAGTGATACTCAGGAACTCTGATGTAAACGTGAGGTGATGATACTCACACCCTGGAGATGGGGCATCTGCTTCTCTTTCTATTTTCCTACTTTTTTTCTGCTGTTTATTCATATTGTTTTGCAAAATAATTATTCTGCATCCAAAAGTCCATGAGACAGCAACTTCTATTTCTTTATGCAAATACGTCAATACCTCTCTGGGAAAAATAAATAAAATAAAAGGTTCTGAGTATTGGGAACCATGCTCTGAAAAGTATCCCAATGATATGATAGGAACAGCATGAGTACCCTGCAGTGACAGCTGATTCACATGGGGGACTCACAGGCATCTCATTTTAAAAATGAACTGACTCTTCTGTAGACCCTGCAGCCTACCCACAACTTGGTGTCCTCACCTCCATCCCTGTCCCCGTGCTGTTGAGCTTGTTCCCTCCAGGTTCAGGGTGGCTGTCTGGTCCAGTCTGACCAAGCCCCCTTCTAGAATAGGCACTGGAATTTGAGAGATTACAGAAATGAGCTTGGGACCTTTAGACTTTTCACCAGATGGAAAATTTGCAAACATGTTTTTCTCTATAACCAGGTTGAGTGATCACACTGTCATTACTAGACTGCCAACTTCATCAAAATATTAATAATTGTCTTAAAAAGCTGATGAAACCAGAATAGTCTGAAAATAGGGATGGAAGATGATTCTCATGGAAAAGAGAAGGCTGAGTGGTCTGAGTGGTTACAATGTGAGCTCCAGTCTTAGAGAGTCCAGGAACTAGAGAGAGACACGGAATGTACACTGATGGAATCGAGAAAATGTCGCAAGTGAATGCAAAGACTAACCCAGAGAGGTTACTTGAGGACCTGCCTTTTCTCCCATAATATGTGCTATGATTCAGTCAAACTAAGCCACAAGATATTCCTTTAATTATCCTGTGCATTCCTCTCTTTGCTCAAATGTTCCCTTTTCCAGGAATAAAATTCCCACAGTACCATTAACCTCCAACATTTCTTGAGGAATTTCTTTGTGACAATGTACTGAAGGCTTGTGCGTCACATCAACTATCTCATTTAATCCTCGTAACCACGTTATGAAGTAGGTGTTAACATGAGCTCTGTCTTGCAGCTGCAGAAATTATGACGTAAAAGCTTAAGTAACTTGCCCAAGGTTAGGTTGGTAATAAGAGGCAGAGCTGGGGTTCCATCTTAGGCAGCCTATTCCTAGATGGTACATCTTTAACATCTATGTGCACCAGTAGAGAGAATGCTGCTGTTCTAAGGATCCTTGAAGGACCAGCTTGAATTCATGAGACTTTCTTCCCCCAGGATAAAGCGCTCCCTTGTTGGTGTCCCCACAGTCCAGGCTGGTGCTGATGCCGTCCTGCCGTCCTGCATCAGAGCCACTCATGCCCGTGTGCGCACTCTTTGTCGGGGTCTGACACCGTTGCATCGTATATCACCTGTGTTGTCATGGTCAGTGCTCAACAAATGCCCCTACTGATTCAAGTATATGAGCAAGTCAAATAAAAAAATAATATGGCCGGGCGCGGTGGCTCAAGCCTGTAATTCCAGCACTTTGTTAGGCCGAGGCGGGCGGATCACAAGGTCAGGAGATTGAGACCTTCCTGGCTAACACGGTGAAACCCTGTCTCTACTAAAAATACAAAAAATTAGCCGGACATGTTGGCGGGCGCCTGTAGTCCCGGTTACTTGGGAGGCTGAGGCAGGAGAATGGCCTGAACCCAGGAGGCAGAGCTTGCAGTGAGCTGAGATCGTGCCACTGCACTCCAGCCTGAGCGACAGAGTGAGACTCCATCTCAAAATAAATAAATAAATAAATAAATAATGTAATAATTTATTAGGCCTCTGCTGTAATAATTTATTAGGCTTCTGCATAAATTATTGCATTTTATCCATACAACATTTATGATTCTTATTTTTCAATGAGGAACCAGACTTAGGAAGATTAATAACTTGCCTGAAGTCACAGAGGTAGAGGGGCAGCGTAAAGATTCAGTTGCCAATTTGTCAGATTCCAAAGCTCTTTTACTGCACCATCTCGCCTTCCAAGCGTGGGAGAGTGGGGAGGGAATTATGTGTCAGTGTTGGGTGAGAATGGCTTGGTAGAACTTGGAGGTGAGCTTCTCATGAACAGGGCTTCCTGGGACCTCTTATCCTGTCTTACATGAGTCACCCCAAATTATTAGAAATCAAAGCATCAGTTGAGGAAAACCACACCAGCCCCCAGAAAGCTAATTGAGCCCCGTAGTCTCAAAGCAAGTCTAGTCACTGCTCTTGAAAAATGCAATTTAGCCATTCCTCCTTACTCCTTACAGCTGATCTCAAACACATGAAATATCATATGTAATTAGAGTCCATGAACATTCGTGTCACTTTGCACAATTAAAACTGTGTTCTGCTATTCCTGGGAAACATATTTTTAGTTTAAGCTGGGGTGTAATGAGATCTCTAAAAATAACACCGTGAAAGGTGAGGCTAAGTGTAGGGGTTGAGTTCACCCCAGTGCCGAGGCTATAAAACATTATTCATGGTCCATTTAAAGCTCTTGAGCCCTGGGCCAACTTTTTTGCTCAGACAGAAGTTTGGTTCATCCTATTTGGACCCAACTCACTTTCCATTGAAATGGCGGTGGCCTGAGTGAGAGGGACTTAGACTAGGCCATTAGAGGAATTTTACAGCAGCTGAGGCAGCTCAGGGCCACTTTCTCTCCGAGGGGCTCTGGTTACACTCAGGCTGAAAGGCTTGGATATCGAGTGTTGAGACCACCCCACAGCTCGCCAGCTTGCTGCCCTCTGGCATGATGGCTCCTTTCAGAATCAAGCTCCCCAGGTTTTGGCAAGCCTATGGCTACAGAAATAACAAATGATCTCCCAGCTTGGCAGTGGGAGGGTTCTGGCATGCCTGTAACCTCAGACACAGAATATGGCACCCAATAGCGTGCGGAAATGGTGATACAAGGCTCGTAACAGATGTGAGAAACTTCAAGATTTCAATAATTCAGGGCTTTGGAGGGGATATGATTTTCTTGGACAGAAAAGTGCCGTATTAAATGCACCACCCACAGTACTTTAAACGCACATACACACTCTCACACCACATGGAACACATCCGCGTGTGTGCCCATTGCCAGGGCTTCTGCTCCCTTGCTTAAGGTAGACCTGACATCAGCAGCAGATGGTCATTATCAAGTTTCTTATCTCATCCTTGTTGCCCCAAAACATAATTTCTCCTGCCCTTGGGGCTGTGCTAATGAGGCTGATGTTACAGGCTGGATTCTGTGGATACTCTAGTTGATTTCACTCTCTTTCCTGATCATGAATGTTGTTTGCTTCCTTGTTCTTCTGGTTCATCTGTTTATTTACATTCAGCTTCCACCAAATACAGATTTGGGGTGAGGTCAGAGATTCCATTCTATTTGCTGATTTATAAATTAATTTCTTTCTTTCGTTCTTTCTTTCTTTCTTTCTTTCTTTCTTTCTTTCTTTCTTTCTTTCTCTCTCTCTCTTTCTTTCTTCTTTCTTTCGTGTGTGTGTGTGTGTGTGTGTGTGTTTGTTAGCTTGTTTTTGATACAGGGTCTCACTCTGTCACCCAGGCTGGAGTGCAGTGGTGCAAACATGGCTCACTGCAGCTTCTGCCTCCTGGGCTCAAGCAACCCTCCTATCTCAGTCTCCTGAGTAGCTAGGACTACAGGTACATGCCACTATGCCTTGCTAATTTTTGTCTTTGTTGTTGTTGTTGTTGTTGTTTTGCCATGTTGCCCAGGCTGGTCTCGAACTCCTGGGCTCAAGCAATCCACCCACCTTGGCCTCCCACAGTGCTGGCCTTACAGGCGTGAGCCACTGTGCCTGGCCACAAATATCATCTTTCTTTAAGTGTAAACATGGTCCAGTACAAGCTAGTCCACTACAGGGAGAAGTGCCCAGACCCAAGTCTTTGTCGTTGATGCTAGCAGGGTTATTTTGGGGAGGTTAGCAGCAGAGACTGAACTAATCCTAATTCTGTGTATGCAGTCTCAGGCCAAAGGACAATACTGAGGACAGACTCTGTGACCTTTGTCATGCACAGGGCACGTGACCACACTTACAGTGCCTTGTTCAGAGGCAGGCAAGAGCCATTTTAAATTTTTGTTGTAACTTGAGTAAATGTAAAAAATTATTGTTATCATTATTATTTTGCTGTGCTAAGAGAATTGGGTAGTCCTTCTTGGAACTGAAGTGACCGACCACATATTTGGAAATGTGTGACTATTTGCTTCATCTTTCATTCCTAGGCTAAAATAGACTGTCTTCCCTTCCCTACCTAATTAGAGAAGTCATTCCCTAGTCACTGAATCCTTGACTTTAAAGGCAGCAGAGCATTTTTAGATGATCAAGTACATCTTCACCAATTTTATAATTGAGATCAAAACCCTGGTTGGAGAAATGACTTACTCAACATCTCCTGAGATTCAGTTCAGATTTGGAGATACTTAAAGACACAAGTTAACATTTCTTGAACCTTTCCTTTCAATTCCATCAAATAAGACCTGCCCTATATAGACTTTCAGTAGTTTATCTCTAGTGGTTTTTTTTTTTTTGTACCCCTTTCCTCCCTGGACAGCTCACTGAGTATACTCTACTCTCTTTCTTTCTCAACAGGCCCTTATCTAAAACAGTTATTAGGAAAGGACCAGACAAATGTACTCACATTCTGGCACAAATGACTGATCATAGTTGCTTCCTAATTTGTGTGTCTCATGGGGATTAGATTGTACTGAAAAGTGTTAAAATCTAGTGACAGAATTCACGGCAGCCTCAGGCCAATGGTAGGCATTTTGGGGAGGCGGTGGCTAAAATTACACCATGGCTTGGAAATTAGAAGGTCTGACTTAGACCTGTTGAAGACTTGTGGGATGCAAGATCTGGTAGAGGCCGTTAACTCGTGCAGTTTGCTAATAGGTGAGGAAAGTGAAATCCAGGGGAAGGAAACTGAAGTTTTCCCATGGGCAAGCAGCTGGTTAGTTAAGGGCAGGGCAGAGATGGGTCTCTAGGATTTACATTTAAAAAGTGGGCTTAACAAAATGATTTACCATTTGGCTGTTCATTTATTCATTCTTTTAAGAAATATATTTTTGTATGCCTACTCTATGTCCAGCAGGGTTTGGCATTAAATGATGAACAAAGAGACACTGGTCATGCCCTGTTGGGGCTTATAATCAATGGGGTGGTGACACAGAGGAAGAAAGACACACTCACCAGAAATAGATAATTACAAATTGTGATAAGCCCCTGTCTTGCTGAACTTATCACCAACATTTGACACAGTTGATTAGTCCCTCCCTCTTGAGATGCTTTATTTAGCTCTTGTGACACCACTCTCTTGATTTTCCTCCCACAGAGCAGGCTTCTCCTTGTCCTGCTTTTTAGCTGTTTCATTCTCATATCCTTAGCTTCTAAATATTGGAATGCCCCAGAAGCCACCCCAGTCTTCTCCTGTGAACTCCTAATTTGTATATCAAGCTGTATACTTGACTTCTCTACTAGGCTGTCTAACAGATACATGTTACATAACACATTCAGAATCACACTCCTCTTTTCCCATTCTCATCTCCAACCTTCTCCTCCCCCAGCCTGTTCATCTTAGGAAATATAAATGTACTCTTTCAGTGACTCATATCAAAATCTTGGAGTCATCTTTGATTATTTTCTTTCTCTGATACTCCATTTCCAGTACATATCTATAAGTCCTGTAGCTCTTACCTTCAAAATAGATCCAGAACACAACCATTTGTCAACCACTTTATAACCTCTATCACTCTGGTCCAAGATATCATCACTTCTCACCAGGAGTATTGGAAAAACCTGACTAATCTTCCTCTATTTGCACCAGCCTGAGTGGCCCCTTCCAAATGTTAGTTGGATTATTTTGCTGAAAACACTCATCTCACTCAGAATAGAAGCTCAAGTCCTGGCAGTGGCTGGCAAGACCCTACGAGACCCAGACCCCTGCCATCTGTTTCCAACTCCCATCACTCCCTCCCTCCCTCACTGGTCTTCCCGCTTTTCCTCAACCCTGTGGAGTCCACTTAGGCTCAGGGTCTTCTCGCTCACTGCTTCTTCCACAAACGCCCACACAGCTTGTTCCCACTCTCCCTGAAGGTCTCTGCTCATCCATTATGCTCTCAGTGTGGCCTTTTGAGTCCTCCCGTGAAATGACATTCCACCCAGGAATGCCCATCTCGCCTCGCTTTATTTGCTTTATTTTTCTTAGCACATTTCATCATGTAACATTGTCTGTATTTATTGGTTTGTTTCTTCCTTGTCTGCCTTACTCCCAGCCAGAATGTAGACTCCAGATACGCAGGAATTTTTGTCTGCTTCCTTCTCCTTGTGCCTAGAACAGTGCTCAGTAAATATTTGTTAAATGAATGAATGAACTGAAGCTGAGATCTGAAAAGTCTCAGTTAAAAGGCTAGTGGGAGCTGTCTGTAGAGAACCACCCCAGCAGAAATTACTATAGGTATAAAGAAAATAAGGGATAAAGCTGGGCCCTGAGAACCTAAAAAGAAGGGAGACAAATGGCCTGAAAGGAAGCAGAAGTTGGCAGAGACCGGCTTGTGCGGAATCTTGGAGCCATGATGGGGACTTTGGGTTTGAGCCTGGGTGAGAAGGAAGGCTATAGACAGGCTTTAAGCAGGGAGTCCTTTTAATGTGGAAGTTCCCATAGGTGCAACATCACAGTTCTTGACCTCAAGAAAATCAATGTCTATGAGGGGAGCCCACACAAACACACAGTTAACAGCATGAAGTGCCTGGCTGACCTGGGAATATATCCCTCTTCCTTGAGGGCGAGGAGAGGAATCAGAAATATTTTCTAGAGGTTTTAATATTTTCAAAGACATTATGTAAGAAAACAGTTTTAGGCTCATTGCAAAATTGTGAAGGTGGTTCAGAGAATTCTCATATACCTGCTTCCCCTACACATGCACAGTTCCCCTATTATCAACATCCTCCATGAGAATGGTGCATTTGTTACAAGTGATGAACCTACATTGATTCATCATTATTACCCAAAGTCCATAGCTTACACTGGGGTTCACGCTTGGTGTTGTACTATTTGGTGGGTTTAGACAAATGTATAATGGCATGTGTCTACCTTTATAGTATCATACAGAGTAGTTTCACTGTCCTAAGATTCCTCTGTGCTCTGCCTATTCATCCCTCCCTCCCCTATTGGCTGCCACTTATCTTTTACTGTCCCCGTAGTTTTCCCTTTTTGAGATTGTCATATAGGTGGACTCACATAATATATAATCCGTTTAGATTGACTTCTTTCATTTAGTAATATGCACTTAAATTTTCTCCATGTCTTTTCATGGCTTGAGAGCTCATTTCCTTTTAGCACTGAATAATATTCCATTTTTCTCCTATACCACAATTTATTTACTTATTCACCTGCAGAAATGGCATCTTAGTTGCTTCCAAGTTTTGTCAGTTATGAATAAAACTGTTATAAGCATCCATGTGCAGGTCCAACTTATGGGTGAATATAAGTTTTCATCTCCTTGGGGTAAATACTAAGGAGCATTATTGCTGGATCGTACAGTAAGAGTATGTAGTTTTGTAAGAAACTGACAAATTGTCTTCCAAAGTAGCTGTAGCATTTTGCATTCCCACCAGCAATAAATTAGAGTTCCTGTTGCTCCACATCCTTGTCAGCATTTGGTGTTGTCAGTGTTCTGGATTCTGGCCATTCTAATAGGTATGTAATGGTGTCTCAGTGATGTTTTAGTTTGCATTTCTCCAGTGACTTATGATGTTGAGCATCTTTTCATATCCTTGTTTGTCATCTTAATATCGTCTTTGGTGAGGTGTCTGTTCAGGTCTTTGATTCATTTTGTAATCATTTTTTTTTGTTTTCTTATTGTTGATTTCTTTGCATATTTTGGAAAATAGTCCTTTATCAGATATGTCATTTGCAAATATTTTCTCCTAATCTATGATTTCTCTTTTCATTCTGAGATTTTAATTTCCTGACCTGAATCTGTAAGGAGAAATAGATCAGGCGTGTGGTGCACGAGACAGAGAGAAAGCCAGAGAGAACCGTATGTGCAACAGTGCAAGCGTCTGCCATCTCAGAGAGTGGTGTGAGGCTTGAACTGCTAAATAAAAATGTGCTTTTCAAGGTTGAACCTAAGTCTGGCTGACTCCCAAGTCCATGTCTTTTCACTACACCATGCTGAGAAGTGGTTTTGAGGCCAAGTGGAAGGAGGCAGCTGGGGTAGGCTGGAGGACTTTCAGAGATCACAGGCTTGCTGGCTCCTGTCAGAACAGGAAAAGAGCATCCATGCTGACAGCTACATTTCACAGAAGAAGGAAATATGGCCCAGGGAGAGGAAACCACTTGTTCAAGATCACACAGCTTGTGAGAGGCAGGCTCCTCATCCAGTTTTGCAGGGGTGGTGTAAAAAAGCAAAAGAAAATGTCATTTTACATTGAACTGAATTGAGAAAATACTCATGAACTTCTTAGGGATGGAAAACATTTTGCAGTTAGTACCTATTTTTCCTACATTGTGTGTGTGTGTGTGAGTGCCCACACACATATCATACTTTTCCAAAGGAACTCATAAATGCCTCATCTTAGTTCTGCTTCTCTGGTTTGATCAATAAGAATTTTAAAGCAATTAATGCTTAATTCTCCTAACAACTAGTTTTTATTTTATCCAAAGTAAAACTTCCAAAAAAAATCTGTTTTATTAATAATAGAAATCATAGCAATAATATTAATCACTGTTACTATATGACAGCAGAAACCTGTCATCTTTTTATGCCCAATCCAAATGGCAACTGGAATAGAGTTAACATGAGTACTAGCACCACCCTAAATTCCCTGGTAGGTGGAATTTACTCTCCCCTGCAACCTCCACCACAGTTAAGTTGTGCTTACTGGCAGTCTGCAGTGCAATTTGGGAAACTTCTGTCAGCTATATACATTTTAAATACAATTCAGGCAATGCATAGACATAGCCAAAGTGGAGCTTGAAGTCAGCTGAAAGAAGTCTGAAGGAGGGGCTCTTCCATTAGGAATAGGCCTGTTTTGACCACCACAGAAATATACCTCTTCGGTCCTAGAGCTGAAAAGAATATTAAAGTTTCAATTAGACCATTCTGCGACTTCAGAGAGAACCATACTCAAGCCAACCCAAGCAAAATCCATCCTGATATTCTAGATCAAAGATCAACAAATATTTTCTGTAAAGCACCAGATAGTAAGTATTTTAGGCTTTCTGAGCCATAGGGTCTCTGTCATAACTACTCAATTCTATCCTTGTAGAAGAAAGCAGGCATAGACATTAGGCAAATGAATGGGCATGACAGTTTTCCAGTAAAACTTTATTTACAAAAACAGGTAGTAGGGCTGAATTTCACTTACAGGCAGTGGTTTGCCAACTCATGTTCTAAATCTCTAGAAGAGAAATTGCCTAAGCTTCTCTAGGAAGTGTTCAGCTTTTATGGCTGGACATTCTTCACTATGTCTAATTCATATCCCTTTGCATATCCTTTTGTATAATACAGATCCTTCTACTATAACCCGGGGAGATGGAGAACATCTGTTTGGGGCATCCTTTTGTTGGAACGACTAACTCTGCCGTAAGGAAAAGGATGAAAGATTAGCATAAAGTTTGCTAATCAGAGGACAGGCATTCATATCCTGGCTTCACTACTTGTTGTGTGATCTTAGACAAGTTGCTAAACCATTCTCTCTGCCTTAGATTTTTCATCTGCAAAATGGTTCTACTCATGATACTAAAATCATGGTGCCATTGTGAGCATTAAGTGAGATGATGCATTGCAAAGCACTTTAACCTAGTTCTTTAATAAATGTGAGATGGAAAGAAAAGGAGAAGTAGAGAAAGATAAAAAGTTAGATTACTCTGACATTGAAAAATGCAATTATTTGAGAACAGATAAAGTGGGAGACCCTATTTGGAGATTTTAGCAAAGAGAGCAAAGATAGTCATACATGTTGGGTTGAATAATAATGTATCTATCACACTATCTTTCACTACGTGTCATAGTCTATATCATTCTAAAATTATCTTGCCCATTTGTTACTTCCTTATTGCCTGTCTTTCTCCACTAGAATGTAAAATCCTAGAGGGATGGGCCGTATCTGTGTCATTCATTACTATACCCCCAGTACCTAGAAGAATCTTTGGCACATAGTAAGTATTCAATAAATAATTGTTCAATGGAAGAAAAAATGAATGGGAAGATTGTCTCTTCTGTGCAGTACCCAGCTTCAAGAAGAATCCAGTATAGTGACAAAGGAACCTGCTTCCAGTCAGCCATCATCATCAGAATGGATATCACCCTGATGGCAGACATCACCACCAGACCCTTGTTGTGTGGCTTCTGGACTTACCAAGGATTTCTGACAACTGTTACACTGAATTTTATCCCAGCTCCCTTATTTTTTGACTCAGTCCCTACTCCCAGATGCATAAAAGGAGGATAAAAAGTAGATCTTCTTTACAAGAACAAGTGGTGGCTTGTTAAATATAAAAAAACAACAAGGCATCACCTTTGTGAAATCCCCATATCCACCTAAGGGCTGGATGGAAAAACAGACAAACACCTATTTCTTTCTCTGCGGTTCATGGCTTCTCTGTGTTTCCCAGACTTCTGTTTGTATCCCATTGGAGGATAATGGTCCAAAGGGAATCATGTTATTCATCTAATCTGGCCATAACCCTGTATCTACCAGCAGTGTATATTACTCATGAAATACTCCCTAAACTACCTTTGTTACTTTCTTTGCTCTGTCTTCTTCCCTCTCTTCATTCCATTTTTAATGCATATTTATTGAGCAAATGATTATATACATAGCATAGTTCTAGGCATTTATCCTTCTTTAATAGGAAAAGAACAGTTATTATCTATAAGGCAATTTGAGAACATGTGTAAAGCAGCCCATCAGTAGTATAAACACTGAGAAGATGAAAAAATGACAAATGTGGAGGGGGAGGCCACAGACAGTGTGGTCAATTTCAGATGGGTTTCTAGCCAGTTCTTGGGAGGATGCCTTAGAAATCATTTAGTGAGAGAAGGAGGTAAGTGGGAGAAGAAGGGTGGGAGGTTAGATGAGAGGCAGCTACCAAAGTACACACAATGCAAATTGAACTCAGAGAGAAGAATAACATTCCAAAAATGTTTATTAAGTAGGGACTCTGTCTGTCAACACCATCCCAGGGCTCTAAAATAAATTAGGAGACCTGATTCCTTTCCTTAAATTGCTGATAATATGGTGTGGGTAGTTAAGCACACTTTTGCTAACAAACTGGAAACTCCACATGTTCTCCACAGTACATTTAACAAAAATGTTAGAAAGTCGTAAGATTTCTCCAGTGAACCATCATCTCCAAATTACTGACTTGAATTGCTTAAATACTAGTTTCTAATTTTGACACCTCAGCACCAGGCTTCTGATGCACAGTATTTTTCTTTAACGTGGATGGCTAATAGCAAGAGAGGGGTTGAAGGGGTTAACCTACTTCCAGCAACCCCATTAGTGAACTTGAAAAATGACAGTAGAGGATATTTTGGTTTTAGTTTATGGAGACGGTTTCCATAATGGCTTCCTAAATGCCACTCCCAGTATGTGGCCTCAGATGCATCCAGACAACTAATGAAAGGACTTGATGAGACATAAGACCTGTCACACAGCTCTTAGCATCACTCTGAGCTGGGCTATCTCCAAGCCCAGCTGCAGAGCTTGTCTGCTCAGCTTTTGGACCCCCTGCATGTGTCTAATCTTGAGCAAGATATATTTATCTCAATTGCTAAGAGATCTGGCACAGAGACAGAGCAAAGACCCAACATGTAGAGTTCAAGTGTTAATCCAAAGAGGTCAACTTTCTCACCCATACATTCTTAGAACTGCAGAGACATGTGTCCTTTTCCTTCCATCAGGCTGAGGTTTTTCACAAGTACATCAATTTGAAATTAGTAATATAGAATAAGTGAAACAATAAAAATAACTTTTTTTTTCTTTGACCAGATTCCGAGAGGTGGTGGTGGTAGTGGGGACAGAATAACATTTAATAAGGGCCTACTCCTCTCTGCCAGGGTATTACGCATACTATCAAACTAATTTCTCAAAGCATATATTTCAAAACAAAAAAGAAGAAAGCCCCTTCATTTTTATGTAAGAAAACAGAATCAGAAAGACTACCTTGACCAAGATCACAGCTAAAAAGAGGCAATAGAAGTATCTGAAATCTTTATAAGGGAGTATGAATTCTCAAAATAAGAGAGAATATTTATAAAGAGAATAGTATGTTTTCTCTGTATAAAATTCAATCTTTTCCCACTATATCACTCTGCTTTTCATCCATATTATCGAGTTATCATTAGAACAGATATAACACTTATTTTACATTGTGCTTAACAGGTTGATTTTCCTGATTTACTAACATTCAAGGTAATTTAAATATTATTCAAATTCTTTCAGATAATAGCAAAACAGGACACACTCCTCAACTCATTTTATAATTCCTGAACCAGACAATGATCATACAAAAAAGAGAAGTTACCATACAATCTAAATCATGTAGATGTAGAAATTCTTGACAAAGTATTTTAGCAAATGATGTATAATATAAGAAAATAATGTAACAAATAGCATAATTTATTATCTTATTGAATTATTCCAAAGAAAGCAAGTTTGCTCTAATATTAAGACTGTATGCTCATCTTATTAGATGAAGAAAATGCATTCAATAAAATTTAACATCCATTCATGAAAAGAAACTCTTAGCAAACTAAAAAGAAAAGGACAATTATTTTATCTCATGAAAGATAACCAACCAAAAACCTTCTGCAAACACATACTTGTGGGTTAAATATTGGAAGCATTTCCCTTAAAATCAGAAACAAGACAAGGATGCTTATGGAACAAAACTGTCATTAGTTGATAATAATATTTTTGTCCTACAAAAAATAGCCTCAGATGATCTAAAGACAAATTATTAGAATTAATAAAGGAGTGTAGCAGAGTTGCTGAATTTAAACTTAGTATTTTAAAAATTGAATTTGTAAATGCCATCAATAAGCATTTAGAAAATGCAATGATAAAATAAAGATACCATTCACATTGAAAAGCAAATAACCAAGAATAGCCAAAAAACACTCTTGGAAAGAACAGGGTGGAAAAACATGCCCTATGTGATATTTTTAAAGCCATGCTAATTAAGTCAGTGTACCTGCTGTACAGAGAGAAAAATAGACTGCTAGGCTAAAGAACTGGGAAACCTACCCCTGCATATATGAAACGTGGTATAAGATAGAGTCTGCACATTCGAGGAGAAATGGACCATGGTGATGGGACAATTGATTAACCCTATCAAAGAAATGAAATTAGATGCCTACCTCACACCATACATAAAAAAAAGTTCCACGATGACTAAGACTTAAGTGTAAGATGCTTAAATATTTAGAGGTGTAGAGGCAGAAAAGGTGAAAGACAGGTTAATAAGAGAAAAACATAACAAAATTATTTATTCAAAGTTTTATGTGACACGAGCCTTCAGAATTGAAGACCCAAAGACTTAGGGAAAACTGTTTTTATGCTTAGGTTGAATGAAGAATGGACAGCTATGTAGACATCTGAACAAAAAAATATGATCTAATCTTAATAAACTGGGGGTGGGGACCCAGCAAAGCCTGTCTGTACTGATTCTTCTTGGTCTCTCTGTGCAGCATTCCTTCTTTCTGGATATGGGGCAGGAGAAGACAGAACTGGCTACAGTGTTCACATTAGTTTCCAGGGCCATTTATACTTCCTTACACCCTTCCCTAGGAAGAGTGAGGTGTAAGTGAGGCCTGCATATCACAAATGGTATAAGAGATTGTAAGATTTAGTTTGCAATGATGTGAAAATGAATTTTTATTTTACTAGTCTTGTTTTACTTCAATTTATTTTAGAAAAAATAGTAGTAGTATATCAAACTACTGATTCACAATAATGATCTAAATTTCTTTAAAAATCTTAGGAAATTTTGCCATTGTTCCAAAAGCTGTGGCTTTCAGGAGATAGCTAAAGATGGGGACAAAGTTTTATCCATGTTTCCATCTCTAGAGCAAGAGTGGCAAATTCAAATGCCCAAAGGGAGCAGACAAATCACTTTGGGAAGTGAGGTGGTGGGGGGAAGGACTGGACAACCTGCCCAGCCTGTGCCCTGTCTGCATGAGGTAGAGCTATTCATCTCAAGCTGGGAGTGACCCTTGGACAATTCAAGACTGGTGCCAACCAGATGAATCTCTTCCCAGAAAAGTTAAAACTCAGATTTTATGTGAAACCTCACAGTTTTGAAACACTGGCAATGAATGCAAATATTTAAATGTAAACACTGCAGGTCTGCTGACCCATGTCCGCAAGCTGCTGAGGCCTGTGGCCCACGCATTTGCAGTTGCACTGTAGGGCACCCTGCACTTCATTGTGGACACCTCATAAGTCTTTGCTGAGACAATGAATGATGTCTTCTTAATCTCTCTGCCAATATCTGAGGAGACAGTCTGGGAAATTCATTAAAAAATGGCTGCAAATTCTTTTTTGTTCTTTCCGTAGAGAGACAGGGCCTATGTCCTCTCCCTTGTACTAGGTAAGCTCTGACTGCTTGACCAATTGACTGCGGCGGAAGTGACACTGTGCTGCCTAAAGAGAATGGAAGCTTCCACTTCCTGTCTTTTAGAATACTTGTTGTGAGGGGAACTAGTTCCGTGAAAAGTCCAACTTCCCTGACAATGCCTTCCTGGAAAGACCAGGTGCAGGTGCTCTAACTGGTAATCTCAGCTTAGCTCAGCCTCCCGGCCACCCCTGCCAAGGTGCCAGACATATGAATGATGCTGCCTTCGACTATCCAGAACAGCCCATCTGCCAGCTGAGGACTGCCATATGCACTTCATGCCTTGAAGAACAAAAGAATTGCCCAGCTGAGCTCTGTGTGAATTCCTGACTCACACAATTGTGAGGTATAATAAACCATTTGTTGTATTAAATGAGTGTTGAGGGGTTTGTTATGCATTCATAGATAACTAAATACTCTAAACTTCTTCATTTACCTTCTAATTTATCTAACTATGAATCACTATCAGCTGATGAACTTCATTATGGTTTGCTTTGAAGAAGGAAACAGAAGATGTCTTATAAATTCCATATGCATTATCTGCAGGAAAAAGTGATCTGGATAAATGTGGAAGAAAAAAACTGTCACCAAAGGGTACAATGTTTGAGGCTGAATTGAGAAACCAAAGCCCAAACCTTATATAGGATTGCTGTGTTAATAATTTGACCATGAAGAACATATTTAAGAAACTATGAGGTTATTTAATTACTTTTTAAAATTTATCCTCTCTAGAATAACCAGGGAGCTTGTCTGAATGAAAACACTTGGCTGTGGACTATAAGGTCTTCAGACACATGCATGGTCTGTGAGTGAGGAAAATCCAGATTTTGTGCAATAGGTCTAAAGTCACTATATAATCTGACTGTCATCCATCAAGAATATGGATGTACACTGGCGGCAGAGCTGGGAATAATGCTTTAGGGGCATCACAGTTCAGGATAGACTCTGGTCCCCCTGGAAAGGGTCAGATGCTTTATTCAAATAGAAGAGGCCATTTCTAGAAAAAGAATGTGAGAGGTTAGAAAATGGAGAAATCCCCCAGAAAGAAGAATAGGATGCCCAAGATAGAGGTCTGGAGGAATCTTGTTTGTGTAAAAATCAATGGAGCTCTGAGAAAAACAATGGTTGGCATTTTAAGGTACCAGTATTAAGAGGCCTGGAAGAATGAGGTTAAGACTTTTTACATGGTGTTTAAGCATTGGCATAAACTACAATGATAAAATCCAGCTCTATCATCTCAGTACTGTTCCAGATGGCCAGGATGGGCACTCACCTAGAAAATGAAGTAGCCAACTCCTGGACTCACTGAGGGACAAGGGTTGATCAGTGGTAAGAAGGGTTTTCTATAGGCACTGGAGGATGCCATTTACACTGTCTTTCACATCAATTTTCAGGGAACTCTTCCCAAGTCTGGACTGTAGAGAGCTGAGATTATGAGTGTAGCAAGATACTTTAAAACTATAATTAGGACTATAAGGAAGAGAAATGCAAAGTCCCTCTGGTAGGGAGCCTTGGGACAGATGTAGCAGCAGTGGAAAGAATACTTTAAAAAGCAAAAGCAACACTCAGTCAGTCACCTGCCAGGATCTACTGCCATGTTATCTACATCAGCAGGGACAGCAGCAGCTGCAGAAGAGGGCTGCCTGGAGGTGAGCAGAGACTGTGCTGTTGGTGGAGAGGGGAACTCAAAGCCTTCCAAGAACAAGTTAGATGCTCTGATTTCCAAGACCGCTTTCACAGACCTGCATCATCTCCTATGTGAAAGCCGCTGTCCTCAGTACCTGAGATATAGCATAAATGAGCAATACCGTTACCCTCAAGAGGCTGATAGTTTCATTTAAGGAAAGGTCACGTGTGTTATTTTGATGTTGCACAGTAAATATTGTGAGAAAGAAATATTCTGGAAGCTACAGGGACACAAAGGAGAGACACGTAACCCAGCTTGGGGTTTAGGTCAGGAGAGGATGGAAGAGAGAATGATCGGACTGAATTTCGAAAGACATTAGTAGGAGCTGGCTAAGCAATAGAGTCGCTAAGAGTGTTTCTGGCAGAGAACACAGTATTAGCAAAGCTACTGAGGTGTGAAATAGTGCCGCATGGGAGATGGAATACAAACTGTTTTCAGAGTGTAAAGTTCAAGGTGAGTGGAAGAAGCACAGTGGGAGAGGAGACGGTGATTCTGGGAGCATTTGGCTCCCAGGACCAGTAGGGAGTTCATTGCAGGTAGATCAGTAACATGGATGGATTTGTATTTTAGAGAAAACATTCTGATGGTAACGTGCATTGATTTGTGGGTGCAGACTAGGCAAAACTAAAAGAGAGAGACAAATAAGGAAGCTATTTTTCTGTCCCAGCAAGATTTAAAAAGACCCAAACAGGGACAAGTTAGTATGGGTAGAAAGAAGAAACAGATTAAAAATAGAATCAGAAGGTCAAGCTGGCCAGACTCATAATGGATTCAATTTATAGGAAAGGGGGAAGTCCGGTGAGACTCTTGGGTTTCTGAACTGGGCAACTGTGTGGATTGTGGTGCCATTCTTTGAGCTTGGAGATAGAGGAGGAGGAGCAGTCCTGGAGAAGCTTGGCAAAGTGTAGTTTTGTGTCAGCAATTACACTGGTGGAAGCTCAGAAATTTTTTAAAAAGATACCATTTTAAATGTTATTTTTAACCTCATTCATTTTTGCTCATTCAGGAAAGGCCTGCTAAA
This sequence comes from Homo sapiens, assembly GCF_000001405.40. Classification (NCBI taxonomy): domain Eukaryota; kingdom Metazoa; phylum Chordata; class Mammalia; order Primates; family Hominidae; genus Homo; species Homo sapiens. The sequence goes on along the minus strand of NC_000001.11, from coordinate 222,025,852 downwards.
GCAAGGATTACACAATGTTATAATATATTTTAAAGGAGTAATAGATCTCTCTTTTAGGAACTTAGCCATACGTCCCAATGCCACGTACCTGAAACACACTAAGTTATGTGTTTTCATAACTTAGCAGAGGACCTGGAACACTACTCAGTGACAATAAATGCATTTTTTCTCTAGCCTGGGCATAACAAAATACTTCTGAACAGTAACGCCATAAAATCCAAGTATTAGAGCTCATAGGTTTGGAAATTATGAAGTGCTCATAAAATTTCCTCACTCAGTGTCTCTATTCACCTTTACTTTAGCCTAATAGGAAAAAAGAAAACATAGAAACAAAACCACAAAAAAGTATAAATTTGAAAGAAAAAGAGGCAAGCACATGCCCAGCAGTGAGAAATGACAACTAAAATAAAGGGAACAGTTTAAATCTAGAAAAAGCAACCCAGAAATGGGAATTCCAGGGCAGGGGCTAACAGCTGGAGGCCACAGTAAGCCTTGAACACAGAACCAAAATGGACATAGTGAGGACCCTGTATTATGAAGACATGGCAAATTGTGTTTCACATCCTTCTTCTGTTAAGATGGTGATTCCATCTTTACTTAAGACAGATTTTCATTAAAAACTGGGGGCTGGACACACCTATCTATCATGGCACCCAATAATCCCATCTGTGTGAAGCTGCTTCATTCAACTGCTTGGGTGGAAAGTAGGGTTGCCAGATAAAATATAGGACAGCCAGTTCATTTGAATTTCAGATAAACAAGTAATTTTTAAATAAAAAGATGTCCCAAATATTGCATCCTGCATTTTTATTTGTTGAATCTGGCAATCCTGAGGGACAGCAGCCTAACGTAAGTATTTTCTGAACCACAGGATCTTGCCCCTTTCCATCAGGAGGCAAAACACCACCAGGAAACAAAGCAAAACAAAACAAAACAGAACAATGAAAAAGCTGACTGGACTACAGTGACTTGATATAAAAAGTGACCTGGTATGAAAAACACTTAAGCAGTGACAATAGTGATTTGTTAGGTCCCTGAAATTTGACTTGGGAATCAGAAATCAGAAGGAGGTAAGAAGCAGCAAACACACACACACATGTACACACACACACACACGCACACACACACAGGTCACAAAGCAGCAACAGTCACAATGGGCTCTGAGTAAGTCAAAACTATGAACAAGGCAACGTGATGATGGACTAGAAACTATGAGCATTTATTCATTTCCTTATCCATTCACTCAAAAATTTATTGAGGTAGAGAAAGAATGCTGAGTACCAGGGAAAAGCATAAAATAGATGATGAATAGAGGCAGGGACAGAAGAAACAGCCTCAAAAGGCTGACTACTCTCAGTGAAAGGAGATTATGAAGGAACTCCTGTCAAGGGAGTGAGGGAACGGGTTCTGTTCTCTGTAATCACTAAGTTTCTTGCCTGCCTTAATATCTCTATGCCTTAATGTAAACCCTTTGCTTGAGGTGGGTGGGTTACTGTCTATTTCTTACAACAAAAGAGACTCATGGATGCCTAAGGATAAAACAAAACCAGTTTTAGTTCTGGAGGGAGAAAACCCTCCACAGTTGGAAAACAATTTCCCAGGGACAAATACAAGTCCTTCCTGAAGAGTGTGAGATAGCAAGGACTTCGATATGCTAGATTTTATGATTTGTTTGATGTTTAAAAAAATATTTGTAAGGCCAACCTTCTCCAGAGATGAGGCAAGAAATTGAAGTGCTATCTTCTTAATCAGATTCATTGAATCCACCCCCAGTGTGGGTCTTCAGATTGGCAATGTTTACTGGATGTGAGACTGGGCCCAGGGCATGCTGGAGTCCAACAGTTGGCCCAAAAGAATTCAGTGTGCTCGGGCCGGGCATGGTGGCTCACGCCTGTAATCCCAGCGCTTTGGGAGGCTGAGGCAGGCAGCTCACGAGGTCAGGAGATCGAGACTCTCCTGGCTAACATGGTGAAACCCCGTCTCTACTGAAAATACAAAAAATTAGCCAGGCGTGGTGGCGGGCATCTGTAGTCTCAACTACTGGGAAGGCTGAGGCAGGAGAATGGCGTGAACCCGGGAGGCGGAGCTTGCAGTGAGCCGAGATTGCACCACTGCACTCCAGCCTGGGCGACAGAACAAGACTCCATCTCCAAAAAAAAAAAAAAAAAGGGAATTCAGTGTGCTCGGACTTCTTTCTTATCTTCCTGCCCTCCTCCTTTTTCTGAGGGATTTTATAATTAGGAAATCGAGGCTACATTAGGATGCAGTGATGTTTTCTTTGTGCTTTCATCAGCAACATTTTAAGCTCTTAAATTTTATTTTGTTAGAGACACGACTATGAGGAAGGATGTTGAACTTTCCTGTTTTGGGTCTAAAGCTATCTAAGGGGCTTCTTTCATCTCTTTCATCTCCCACCTCCCTCCAAGAACTTGGCCATTCCAACCCAGGCAGCAGTGGTGAAAAAAGATCAAGAGGTTTTGATAAAGGAAAAAGTCCATCGCCCTTCTGCTTGGAAGATATAAACACACACCCAGGGAAGTCAAGGACAGACACTGTTGTAGTATACTGGCTTCTAAACATATCCTGCAGTTGCTTAGCGTGTGAAGAATAACCTCTTGAATGCATGAAGCATGCAAAGTAACTCATGAAAACTCAAATCAGGAAAAACTTTGGGTTTGCTTCATTTATGAAAATAATCAAATCGTGGAAACCACTTCCAGGTCGTTATGCCAAGGTTGCTATTTTACAATAGCAGCTGTAGTATCCCCCTATTGCTATCATTCTTCTCCCATCCCTGATGACATGGCCACTGCCTGCGGATGCCCAGTGGGCTGAGAAGCCAAGTGTGTTTGGCTCGTCTGCACATAGAGTCCTCACAAGGGGCATCTTACCTTCATCATCATCTTTTTTTTTTTTTTTTTTTTTTTTTGAGAAGGAGTTTCACTCTTGTCACCCAGGCTGGAGTGCAATGGTGCGATCTCAGCTCACTGCAACCTCTGCCTCCCGGGTTCAAGCGATTCTCCTGCCTCAACATCCCGAGTAGCTGGGATGCAAGATCTTTGAAGGTGTTTCTGTTAAAATTTCACCATGGCAATGTAAATTGATAGCTTATCTTCAGAGGTGCAGTCATCTCCTGGCCCACCAGACACGAATGCATATCTGATTGTTCCCTTGCCCCATTTTTCCATGTTATCTTATGTAAAATTCAGATTCTCCGCATTTTTCCTCTGCCCCATTTGTCTATGTCACCTTATGTAAAGAAATGCAGATTCACTGAGCCAGACAAAGGCATGAATGACTATTTTTCCCTACCCCACCTCTTACATAAAAATTGTGTACTTCTCAATATCCCACTCTTTCCCCTTTAAATTTGGAGCCCTCAAAATCATCTTCAGAGAAAGGCACAGGTGCAAGTCCTTAACTTTGCCTCCCAGGCACACATCCTTAACTTTGGCAAATATACCTCCTAAAATGATTGAGACTTGTCTCGACATTTTTCTCGATTGGCACATTTCATCCATTGATGGACTCTTAAGTTGATTCCATATGTTTGCCACTGTGAACAGTGGGCAGCCTCACTGCTGATCTTCCAGGATAGGCGAGGAGAAGGACAGCAACTCTTAGAAAAAACACAACAGACATTCACACTTAGAGAAGTTCAAAAGAAACTTTTTCCCAGGAAAGGAAAGCAGGAGAGTCTTTGGTTTATATGTTTACTTGGAATCAGAAGATACAGCTGTTCTGGCTGGGTGCGGTGGCTCATGCCTGTAATCCCAGCACTGTAGGAGGCTGAGATGGGCAGATCACCTGAGGTCAGGAGTTTGAGACCAGCCTGGCCAACATGGTGAAACCTGGTCTCTACTAAAAATACAAAAATCAGCCGGGCGTGGTGGCCCACACCTGTAGTTCCAGCTACTCGGGAGGCTGAGGCATGAGAATCGTGTGAACCTGGGAGGTGGAGGTTGCAGGGAGCCAAGATCGCACCACTGCACTCCAGCCTGAGCAACAGAGTGAGATACTGTCTCAAAATAAAAATAAAAAAAAAAAAAGGAAGAAAGAAAGAAAGAGAAGAAAAAAGAAGAAATAGCTGTTCTTAGGGAAGAAATACTGTGCTAAGTAAACTACCAGAAAGCAGAGGAGAGCTGAGGCCTCCATTCAATCATTGTCCCTCACACGGGAACCTGTGACAGCATCATGGGCCTCTTTGTGGGTGTGACTTTCTCCATAAGTGTTTGTTATTGCTGTGGATTTTGAGCTGGAAACTCCTGCCCTTTCCCCTCAAAGTGGTTCTATGTCATTAGTCTGTCTCCTACTGATGCAAAAGCTTGCCAGTATCATAGGCGAGTTGTATTTGATTTAAACATTATTAGGCTACTTTTTTTAATTTGGTAAAGTGACATTTTCCCATTTAGAGTGTTGGAAGTTTGAGTACTGAGTCAAGATCCCACAATTACTCAATCCCGTCTCTTCCCAGTCATTCAAATTCATTTTGGTGGTCCTGGAATCTACCACTACGGTGAAAACCACCCAGCTTCCTGACATCCTGATGGAGCTGATGTCATGAGTTTAGGAGACGGATGGAGCCAACTCTGGTCATGTCCAGTCAACCCTTTAATGACCGAATGCTGTGAACCCAAAGTACAAACTAATCCAAAAATTTTATCTAAAAAAATAGAGAGACTCTGAAAAAGAAACCAAACTAAGAAATTTATTTGCATTGTTTTGAAGTACAAACAAAAAATATAACTTCAATGATCTTAATTAATAAAACCAAAATTCCTAATCCTGGCTATAGGAGGTTAAAGGAGGCCTGAACTGATTGTGTGAGTTGGGCAGTAGAGCTTAGAGACATCATCTCTGCTCAAGGAGATTATTATGTCTCCTGCATCCTCCCAGACATGGAATAAGGAAAGTGAAGTCTGTTAGACAACAAACAAAAAAATGCCCTGACTCAAACTGTAATATACCCCCTCTACTAATCAAGAATAATCTCTAGTCTCCTTGGCAAGGCCTCCAGGAGTTGAACTGAGGGAGGATGGTGTCATGAAAAGCCCCAGAACTCAGCTGGTCAGAATAGGTATGAATCCTGCCTCTTCCACTAACAGGACTTTGCCCCTGAGCAAATCACTTAACCCCTTTGACCCTCTTTCTGTCATCTGTAAAATGAGGAGACTACTGAAAGGATTTACTTTACAGGTTGTCAGAATTTAATGACCATTATACTATTGGATAAGAAAAATAAAGTCAAAACCATACTGTTTGTAAGGCAATGTGCTAAAAGCTCCATTGTTTTTCCTATTTACTACTAAAGGAATGAAAGATCAGAGAAGTTAAGTGACATTTCCAAAGTCCCACAGCTAACAAGAGGCTTCGCTGGGATTCAAACTCAGCTCTGTAGGATGAAAAGCTCTAGCTTTAACAAACCTTGCACAGAACCCAGTACAAAATAGGTGCTCACTCCAGACTAGTCCATTCATCTTTTTGTCCATTTGCTCATTCAATTTTGTTCGACACCTATTTTGTGCCAGATTCTCATATGAACTGACAGTGCAATAATGAATAATGTATAGTTTGTGCCTTAAAATCATAGTCTGAGTGGGCTTCAGGCTGTGTGTTCTAGTGCAGAGAACACTGTGTTGGGGGTCAGGAATCAAGGTTACGGACATTAGTCCCTAGGATATGGAAGTGGCACAAAGGTGACCTTGCAAAACTTGGAGATAGAGATAACTCACTGGGATAGCAGGGAATCACTGATCTAGTCATTTGTGCCGGTGGAAGACTTGGCCAGGACTCTTGAAGGGTGGTTGCTTCTGTCCCTCTTGTTCCTTAGTCCTGGTGTGACAACAGCTGGCCAAACCTGGATAGCGATGGCAGTTTGTCTGCATCTGTTCATAAATCAATACCCTACCCCAGCCTTCAGTTTTACAAAGTAAGTCTGTCTCTGGAGTCCCACCATTTGTAATATGCATTTAGATTTCCTTGGTAGTTCTCAACTAGAAGGTATTTTGGCAATGGCTGAGGATGTCTTTGATTATCGTGAGTGGTAGAAGGTAGAGAGGGTGCCACTGGCATATAGAAGGTAGACACCAGGGATGCTGCTAAACATGCTACAGTGCACAGAGCAACCTCTTATAATAAATAATTATCTGTCCTCAGATATCAATGGTGTGAAGTTGAGAAAGTCTCACCTGCCTTTTCCTGTTTCTGGTCCTGGAGATCTGTAGGTGGCTTCTATGTCCATTTATCTCTGGGCTTTTTCCTTCTGCTTTGGGTCTGTTGATATGCTTATCTTGCCATTGAGCATGCTATGTCTTTCAGATTTAGATCTAAACTGTCATACTGTGTGTTAGGCAGTAATAATGGTATTACTTGATGTGAATAAATTTACACTCTGGTTTATATTTTTTCAACCTGTGAATTTGGTTAGCGTGGTCCTACCCTTTAGAGATGGATCCCCTTTCTCAAGCTGAACAATAAATAGGAGTTCCTGAGTCTGTAATGTTGAAGGCCATGCCCTGGATAATTGTGAATTCAGCAAGATCAATTCCATTCAAGAGTTAACCTCCTGGAGAATCAAGCCAACTTTTTTCAAGGGACGACCTACTTTCAACTCACTGCTGAGCACCATGTGCCTTAATGTGAAAAACCGCAGCTGGTTCTAAACCATGTTTACCAACAGCCCTTCCTTTGACTTTCAACAAGTAACATGTTTTTTGAGTTTTTAAAATCTTGTTACATGCAAAATAAAGGAATTGGGGACTAGATAATATCTGAACTCTAATATTCTGAATTCCAGATCTAAGTTGTGATTTATTTAATGCAGGTGCTAGTTATTTACAGTTTATTCCAGAATAACACAATTAATATCTAAGTATTTATGATAGAAGAACTTCCTATAGATTACTCTTGCCTTATCACGGTTTGCTTTTTAATGGACTGCGACCAAGAATAGGGTGGCAACATGGCATGTTTAATTTTGTAACCTCTAGCTCCTTATATAACTTATCTGAAAAATAGGAGTAATAAATAGCAGCCCCACTTCTTATGATTCTCTTAAGGATTGAATGAACACAAACGCACAGTAAGTGGTCAACTGATGTTAGTGTATAAGACTTCCAAAGTTATCCAGTGAATCTGTGAAAATATAGTTGGGCTGTTAGCCATCATGTAGATCAAAAAAGAATTCTGTGAATACCTTTTCGAATTTCCATTCAGTGTGGCTAACCAAAAAAAAGTCCAGAAAACAAAAACTACCCCCCCGCCACAACAACGACAACAACAGCAAATCTGAAAGACAAAAGGCAAAACAACCATGAAGGTTTGGGGCTAATAAGTGTCCAGGAAAGCAGAACAATTCCAAATAAGAATCTCTGATTTTCCACAACTGGGATATATCAACGCAAACCCTTACCTTGACTTGAAAAGAGTTTGCCATTTCTGCTTAGTGTGTGTTCCCATGCATAAATGGGAGTGCAATGTTTTGGCTGGGTTTAAGAACAAGAGCTTTAAGTTAATTCGCAAAGGGAAGTTTTAGTCCAATCTAAATCCAAATCCAAACACACAAACCCTATTTGCAAATTGGAATCTGAGTCAAATCCCTTTGAGGCTTGCATATCTCTAATTAGCAGAGATTTAGTCCCTGTGCCCAGCTACAAACAGCCAGAGTGAAGCATGCCATTGGCACGATAACGATTTGTCTGGAAAAAAATGAATTTTCTCTTGCAAGAAATGTATGTCTTCCCCCATTGCAGTTCAGTTACTTTGGAGAATATGGGAGGAAGAGAAGATATTTTAAATGGTGGAATAGGAATCTGAGAGAGGGGACATGCCTTTCATTAAGAGGATAATAAAAAAAAGAGATATTAGTTTAGTCAACTGTAACTTCTCCTAAAAATTATTGATGCAAAATTAGGTAGATTCTCACTAAAGGAGCCTAAGACAGTGAGGGAAGGAAAAGGTATTGCCCTTAAAAACAACAACAGCAACAACAACAACAACAACAAAACACACACACACACACACACACACACACACACACACACGGAAGACTGGCACTTTTAAGAAGTTAAAGATACAGGACTTTCATGTTCAATGTGGGTTAGGTTCTGGGGAAAGTTTATATCTGCAGAGAAATACCCTCTTTATACCAAATAGCCTTTGCATTATAACAAAACTCCACAAAATATAATGGCTTAAGACAATGGTTTATTATTTCTCCTGATTCTTTGAGTTGCTGGGGTTAGCTGGGTGGTTCTTCTGCTGTTGTCTGAGGTTGTCTGTGTGACTGTAATCATCTGGCAGTTTAATTGGGCCTGAAGAAGTTAAGATGGCCTCATTCGAATGTTTGGAGCTTAGGTACTGGTTGGCAGCTTGACTCTCTCTACATGGTTTTCATCATGTGGTAGTCTCTCTCAGGCTTCCTTACATAGTGATGGGAATTCCAAGAGGGAGAAAATGGAAGCTTCAAGGCCTCATATGTCTTATCCTCAAATGTCATACAATATCACATCTGCCACTTTCTATTGGTCAAAGCAAGTCATAGGGTCAACCCACATTCAAAGGGTCAGAAAATCATTTTCATCTCTTGATGGGAGGAGTGACAAAAATCACAATGCAAAGACGTATGGACACAACGGGACATGATATATTGGGGGCCATTATGAAAGCAATCTGCACACTCTCAACTCCAGGGTATAAAGCCAGGGGAAATTGTGTACATATTGTGGCATTACCACAGTGGAAAATGTTAGCCACATGACCCTAGCCAAGAAGGACATACTTGGCCTTGGCAGTAACTGACCTTTTGAAGTGTAGTAACCCCATTCCTTCTGCCAAACCCCAAAGCTCTGGATTGATCAGCTCTTCCTTGAGATTCTCGGTTCTTTCAGACTTACCTCTAGAACTACCCATGATTCTTTGGAGTAAACAAACTTAATGATCCCTTTTTGGCTTGAAAGTACATGACACAAATGCAGAAAGAAGCTTTGCCTTCTTCTTCCCCCAGTGACATTTCTTTTATTTCTTTATTACACACAATCTTCTGAAATATAACTTTGTCTGTCTCATTTTCCCCAAGGATATATTTTTGAGTAAAAACCAAAGAGCCCCACTGAATGGCATTCAGGCTGGGTGGGGCAGGCTGCACCAAGACAAACACTTACTCAGAAAAGACATACAGAATGGAGATACTGAGACCTCCTCTTCCCAGAAGGAAAATATGGGGAGATGAGCTATGTACATACAAGTTATTCTTTGCAAATTTAACAATCAGATAGTTTAGTCTCACTCTACCAGAGAAGAATAAATAACACTGGCAGAGAGGACCAGATGTTTCACATGAGTTGCATTCCCTCCACCTGGAAGGAAACATTAAAAAAGGAGACAAATTCTTTCAAACTTTGGCTCACTGAAGCTGTCTTGGAATACTATTGAATCATGTCACTATGATTAGCTTGTTCAAAACAAGGAAACTTGAAGAAGGTGCTCTAAATCAAGGGCAGATGGCAAAGACCTTGCACACCATTTAGGATGCACTAGTAGTGCTCTTTGAAACACCATTAATAAAGATTCTGAGACCATGTATTGGTTGAACATTACATTCATTTAGCAATGTCTGCCCTGGGTGCAGTAATGGGAATGGTGCCAAGTGTACCCATATTTACCAGCCATGGTACAGATTATAGAATACGTCCTCGTGTTGGCCTGGTACACTTGCCTACTAACTTTTCAAGGCTTAGCTCAACTGTTTGCCTACCCTCCAATCTAACTTTTCAGGATCACCATTCATACCTTTCCCCCCGATATCCATATACTTCATGTCTATTATACCACGTTACTTACATTATGTCATTATTTGTTTAAGCTGTATTCTTACTTAGTTTGGTATCCCCAGTGCCTAGCACCATGTTGGCACAATTGAGAACACAATACCAGCTTTTTGAATTTAATTGGGCCTCTTCCATAAACTTTGCATAATTCCATTTGGCTGGTGCATTTTGCAGACAGCTCTGGCAAGGCCATGAACATTAGCTTCAGTTTTTTCTGCAACAAAGTAGGTTCTTCTGGGAAGAATCACAAGTAAAATAGGATTAGAGGGGGTTCAGTCCATAGAGTTTGATGTGATACACAGAATACCGTGAGCCACAGTTCCAAAACTGAATAAAAAATAAAAACAGGATAGTTAAACCTAACCCTGAAGACCTGAGGAAGTTCCAGCTTAAACAGGAAGCAAGAAGATGTGGAGAAACTAGAACCTTGTATACTGTTGGTGGAAACGCAAAATGTTACAGCCACTTTGCTGAATTTTTTGTTGTTTTTTTCACTGGCGAGAGTCATAGTGTCTCAGCAGGTGCAGCCACTTTGGAAGATGGCATGGAGGTGCCCTTAAAAACTAAAAATACAGCCGAGCGTGGTGGCTCATACCTGTAATCTCAGCGCTTTGGGAGGCTGAAGTGGGAGGATTGCTTGAGGCCAATAGGTCAAGACCAGTGTGAGCAACACAGAAACACTCTATCTGTTTAAAAAAAAAAAAAAGAATTACCATAGGATCTATGATCCAGCAATCCCATTTCTGGGTATTTACCCAAAGGAATTAAAGTCAGGATCTTAGAAAGATATTAGCACTCATGTTCATTGCAACACCAGTCTAGTCACAATACCTAAGATGTGGAAACAACCTAAATGTCCGTTGATAGGTGAATGGATAAATACAATGTTGTACATACATAAAATGGCATATATATTCAGCCTTAAAAAAGAAGGAAACTCTGTAATATGCCACAACACAGATGAACCTTGAGGACATGATGTTAAGTGAAATAAGCCAGTCACAGAAAAATGAATAGTGCATGATTCCACTTATAAGAGGTGTCTAAAATAGTCAAATTCATAGAATCAAAAAGTAAAATAGTGGTTGCCAGGGGCTGGGGGGAGGGAAAATGGGAGTTACTAATTGACAGGCATGAAGTTTCAGTCAAGCGAGATAAATAAGCTCTATAGATCTGCTTTATAACATTGTACCAATGATTAATCACAGTATATTGTATACAATTTGTTAAGAGGGTAGATCTCATTTTAAGTGTTCTTATCACAAAAATAAAACAAAAGAAAATGGATGGACGCATCTTTTGGGCAGTAACATAGTGATGGGGCTATATTGACTGTAGTTTCCAAACCACTATGCAATTTTATCACATGGCATAGTGTCATATGATTAGCCTTCAGCAGTCTTTCAAAGTGCAAAGTGACAATTTCCTATAGTCAAACCATGTGTAGAGGAGAAAACAACGTTGTGTTGGAATCATGGAGCCTGGCTGTAGTTATAGTTCTGCCCCTTGATAGCTGTCACAATGGAAGGCTTGTCACAAAGGTGAGCAGCACAGGGCCTTTCTCTTTACCTGTAAAATGGAGAGGGTGATAATACCCCAAGTATCTCACAGGCTTTGTGGCAGTCATGGAACATTGTATAAGAAAGGAAGTCTCCAGGTCTACTGAGAACTATATGAAATTTGTATTTTTTTCTCATGAGCTAGTAATTATGGTGGTTTTTTTTTTTTTCAAATATTTGAGTGTTAAGAGTGTTTCCTTTTTTGGTTGTGAGCATATGACTCTGAAAGCAATTCAGTTCCAAATGGAGTATTTCGGTTTTGGAACAGCAGTATTGTCGTTTTCTCCTGTTCAGTATTGAAGCACTGGCTCTTCGTGCATATATTTGTAAGTTGTCATCCTGATCATGAAGAGATGACACTCAATGAAGAGAAAGAAAGCTGAGTAAGCCCGGGAAAGCTAACAGGGCTAAATATGTGTAAATTGGGCACCCCCTTTCTACACCTTGATTTTCCTTAGACTTTGTGCATTTCCCTCCAACCAGGATTAGTCTGTGTGAATGATTTTATTTGCAAACCTCTGCTAGGAACCCTTACCTGAACACTGGACCTGCTGGTTCTGATGGCCTGGTGAGATAGCTCAAGTTCCTGTGCACATGGAAATTAGCTACAAGGAGGTGAACATTTGGCATCTAGCAACTTTCTTCTGCAGTCTGAGTCTAGGGTGAGATTTGTAGTGTAACCGGATGAGGGGAAAACAGTGGATAGGACTAGCTTCTGTGTAAAGCTTTCTTGTTTATCCAGAATGCAAATATTTTTGTCTTGAGTTCTGCAGAGCAGTGCTTACCAAACTTAAATACACAGGGGAATCATCCAGGGGTCACCTTAAAAAGCACTGATTCTGATTCCATAGGTCTGTGACGCCACCTGAGACTTCTGTCTACATGATTCACAATCTCCATGACCATACTTGAAAGAGCAAGGCTATCTAGACAACAAGCTTTTTAAAAGAGCCTCTTCCATTCACAAAATTTTCTACAACCACACAACTCCAAACACCACAACCTTCTTCTTCCCTGGTAGATGCTAAGTCTGCTTGTAAGTTAGGGGTAGAAACCTGTCCAAAGCAAAATATATACCAGTATCTGCAATGCATTTTGTTTATTTGAATAGAAGGCAAATAAGAAGCACAGATGGGAGAACTGTCACTCACTGCTGAAATACAGAGTTCTCTAGCTAGACAGCTCAAGAAGGGATAAATAAATGGCCCCATCAAAAAACAAATGCCAGAATGCAACCTTTAAAGATGTCAGCCACGATTTATTCTGTTTTCTTATTCTTTATTTAATTAAGCACACCCAATCACTTGTTAGAATGAGAAATATTTATTTGGAAAGTTTGTATACAAGCCTCTGCTTCTCTATCAGTGGAACTTAACAATATTAGGTTGGTGCAAAAGTAATTGAGGTTTTTGCAATTAAAAGTAATGGCAAAAACCGCAATTACTTTTGCACCAACCTAAATTTAATTGCAAAAACCTCAATTACTTTTGCACCAACCTAAATAGTTTGTTTCATAAGTGTAAATGTTATTGACTCTGTCAGAAAACCTTTTACATTTTGGGGGGAATGGGGAAGTTGCTATATTTGTGTGATGCTGAAATAAACTGTTGGAAATGAAAAAAATAAAATTACACAAATAAGTTGGTTATTTGCCTCTATGTCAGTAAAGTAGTCTGACTGATTTTTTACTTTTTACTTTCAGCAAGAATTAACTTTTGGTTTTGGTATATGAATATCAAGCTTCACTCTCTCCCTTCTACCCTCAACACACAATAAAAATGGCACAATCATTGCCACTCCTTTTATTCCAAGAGTTGTTGTAAAATTTGGCAAAATCATGGAAGTACTTCCAAAAAAATTACTGTAGTCACCTAAGAATCACTTCAATTTCTTTATCTTCTTTATCATCAGCTGGGTTAGAAGCATTAACATTTTCATTAGCATCTATGTTTATCATCATCTTTGTTTATTTAATCTTTGACTTCCTTGCATCTTCACAGCAGAGAAATTCCAAAGCCAGTTTCTTGTATACTTCAGATGTGTTCCTGAAAATCTCTATGAATTAAACCATTTTCCACATTACTTTACAAGATCATGACAGATATCTGTAATTTGTTAAGAGATATCTGTAATGTTAAGTACTCCTTCTTTCTGACATTTAGATTAAAGATCCTCTGATTCTAATCTTATTATCAAGTAATTAATGATCTGTAAACCAATACTTATGTGTGTTGTGCCACTGCTGAAGGAGTGAAGGACACGCTATCCCAAAATATGCTGAATTGGTATATTGATTATTTTGAGTTAAAAACATTGAAGAAATTGTAGTTTCAGAAAGGGCAAGCTGACCTATCTCTTCCAGCAGACAGCAAGTCACAGAGATTCCTCTGGAAGGGGCCCCCTCCCTGTACTAGAGTGACAAAATAGTCCTTATCACAGAGATTGGGAACTGGGGGCTGCAATGAACTATAATAAACATATTTACTAAGGTAGCCCTTATCTTTCACTACTTCTCCACCCCTCATATATCTCCTAGTGAACCCTGAAGAAATTTACTGCCCTTAGCCAGATCCTCTTTGTCCTCTCAAGTTTATTGGTTTTTGTCTAAAAAGCATCTTGCTCTGGCCACTTCTTCGATTTTCACTCTTGTGAAGATCCCCATGTACATGTAAAACTAATAAAGTTTTTACGATTTTTTCTTATTAATCTACCTGATGTCAATTTGGCTCCTAGGTCAAGCCAAAGAGCCCACTAAGAGTTAAAAAGGGTTTGGAAGTGACCTCTGGCTCCCCTACACTGCCAAGCAACAAAATCCTGCAGAAAATCTTTTTGACATTTGAATCGTTACCTTGCAGTACTTTTTCAAAGTTTCCATTTTCAGATTCTGGGCCATCCTAAGATTTGTTGGTTTTAAAATGTGTCTGCAAATTCTTTGGTGTGTCTCCCCTAAAACATGTGGAGTCTAATTCCCTTCCCCTTAAGCATGGGTTCAGCTTTAGTGGCTCACTTCTGATAAATAGAATATACAAGGAGTGATGATGTGTGATTTATGAGACTAGGTCATCAACATCATAAGGCATCCTTCTCGTTCTCTCTCTCTCTCTCTCTGTCTCTCTCTCTCAGTTCACTCACTCTGGGAGACACTGGCTTCCCTGTTGTGAGGACACTCAAGCAGCCCTATTCAGAGGTCCATGTGGTAAGGTACGAAGGCCTCCTGTCAATTCTAGTGAGAAACCTAGGTTTCTTGCTAACAGCTATGTGAGTGAGCCATCTTGGAAGCAGATTCTCCCACCCCAGATGAGCCTTCGGATGACTGGAGTTCTGGCTGACATCTTGACTGCAATCTCATCAGAGACCTCAAGCCAAAATTACCCCACTTCCAAATTCCTGACCCTACAGAAACTGTGTGAGATAATATATGCTTATTGTTTAAGCCACTAAGTTGTTCTTTTGGTGGGGGGGATGGGTGATTTGTTATGCAACAACAGAAAACTAATACAGAAATTATACCTGCCATTATCAAAGAGGCCTCCAGTGAGGGTTGATGGTATCCTTGAATATTTAGGGAAACTAAGCATGTTAAGTGTAAATACAGAAACTGTCTTTGTCAAAACTAAATAAAGCAAGGGAAATGGAACTTGAGTGGCTGAAAATAAAGATTGAATGAAAACTCTCTAATTCCTTGATCAGAAGCCATGCATAATAAATGACCCACCATGTATTTAGGTCAGTGGCTCTTTCTGTCACTAACTATTACACATTTTTCTGCATTTCCCAGAACTGAGTGGGAGATGAGAAGGGAAGGAGGTTTGGAGATCACATTTAGAAGAAGAGTATGTGGGGTGGCTGTGACCACTCCTGCCATGTGGACTATAGTGCTTTTGTGATCCATTAACGTCACAAAATAGAAATGACACTATACACTTAATCACCACCTGTTCCTCATTTATACACTCAGGTCCACTGTGGTTTGAGTACATTGCTTTATTTGATTTACATTAGTTCACAAAGCAACAAACAGGAGAAACCTGTTATGAGGACAGAGGGTTCCTACTAAGCATTTTTTCTCTCCAGTGTCAGAAATGTCCAGTAGTGCAAATGGATCCTGCAGAGTTCAAGGAGAAGAGCTTTTCTTTTGGAAAGTCCTCTTGTGCACTCCATCTCTTTTCATTTGATGGGGCTCTGTGTTCCCCACATGTACTTTTTCAGAGGGGAGGCTGAAGCCCTGGCAAAGATTCAGAAATACTAACCAGCTCCTGTTTGAGTTCATTAGAGCGAAGTCAATTTTTCTTTTTTCATTATTTTCTTTTTCTCTTCTTCTTCCAGTGATGCAACTTGGACCAATTTCCTCAGAGCTAAACCTCTGGGACATATTATATAGATGGAGACATAGCGTTCTGGGTTTTTTTTTTTTTTTTTAATATTTTCAATGTTGAATCATAGACTATTAGAGCTAGAGAATGTCTTTGGAATCTCTTGATCTAGCGGTTTGGAAACTGAGTCACACAGAGCCCTGGGGTTCCTTAGGATTGCTCTGGGTCCAATCCAGTTTTATCTCTTTTCATATACTTGTGTTCTATCCGTATTAAACAAGAAGTTCTGAGGCCTCTGATTTAGTCTACTGCACTCACATTTAAGATGTTTGAACTGAAGTTAAGAGAGAGAAATTGATTTGTGCAGTCATATAATTTGTGATGGTTGGTTTGAGCTGAGCCTCCAGTCTGGAGTTTCAGACTGCCTGGAGGGTGGTCTTCAAACACACCATACCATTTTCCAAATAACAGGATAAATGTTACATATAGGGGTCTCAGCAGTAGAGCTGATTCTGAATGTGAAATGGAAGGACATGGCCCATTTTGGATGGCTTTCATCTCCTTCTTCTCCCCAGTGCATTGACTTACAAAATCGTTGAAAAGATACTTTATCTTGGCTAGATTTTTAGTTACTAGTGCCTTCTGGCATTTTACATATCTAGTCAAATCATTTTTTTTTCAGAAATTATACTGCAGATAGAAAGAACCCCTTTCTTAAAGTCATGGACACATTTAATATTCTAAGAATTTTGAATTATTAAAAATATCATACCCCTAGCTCCCCCAAAAAGCCTATCTTTACCTGGGTTGGATGTGGACAATGTAAAAGTGACACAGTAGGTGGCTCCCGTGAGCAAAAGTGAAACCATTTTAATTCACTATGCTCCTGCAGTTTCTCTAGAATAGATGAGAACACCTGTGGCTTTAGGAACTGGAGATCACTCAGGGGGCCTGCAGGGGCTGCTTATCAAAGGGAAACAGCATAAGGCATTAAATTCCCTCCAGTCCTGTCTATGGGAAACTCATCTGTAGAGGTCCTTTCTTTCTTTCTTTCTTTCTTTTTTTTCTTTTTTGGAGACGAAGTCTCACTCTGTCGCCCAGGCTGGAGTGCAATGGCGCGATCTCGGGTCACTGCAACCTCCCCCTCCCAGGTTCAAGCGATTCTCCTGCCTCAGCCCCCCAAGTAGCTGGGATTACAAGCGCCCGCCACCATACCCAGCTAATTTTTGTATTTTTTAGTAGAGATGGGGTTTCACCATGTTGGCAAGGCTGGTGTGGAACTCCTGACCTCGTGATCTGCCTGCCTCGGCCTCCCAAAGTGCTGGGATTACAGGCCTGAGCTACCGCACCCAGTTTTCTTTTTCTTTTTTTCTTTCTTTCTTTTCTTTTCTTTTCTTTTTTTTTTTTTTTTTTTTTTTTTTTGAGGAGTCCTGCTCTGTTGCCCAGGCTGTAGAGCAGTGGTGCAATCTCAGCTCACTGCAACCTCTGCCTCCCTCCCGGGTTTAAGCCATTCTCGTGCCTCAGCCTCTGAGTAGCTGGGGCTACAGGTGCCCACCACCACGCCTGGCTATTTTTTTGTATTTTTAGTAGAGATGGGGTTTTGCCATGTTGGCCAGACTGGTCTCGAACTCCTGGCTTCGAGTGATCCGCTCGTCTCGGGCTCCCAAAATGCTGGGATTATAGGCATGAGCCACCGCACCCGGCAGAGATTTTCAATGTAAAAACTTTCCACAAAGTTGTAAAGGAATCAATTTAATTACAAAGCAAACAATAAAATTATTTCTAATTTTTCCATGTGAAAAAACATTTCAAACTTTGGTTGTAGCTTGGGTCGTTTATGTTGTGAACTAGCCAGATAAAAGCAAGTGGTGTTTTCTGAATTTTTCTCAGTCCCCCCCCGTCTCTGGTTCCCTATTTCCCTGCCAGCAGATGACAATTCATTTTGATATTTGTAACCAACTGAAAACATTCCTTCTGTGAACCTAAGTTGGATAAATATGTCCACAGTGAAAGTATTTTTCACCTGATGAAAATGAAACCAAATTCCAGATAATATTTTCGTCTTTCTTAGTCTGTGAAAAGACTTTATCATGAAACTCTTGAATTACTTATCAGTATGTAAAATTGAGTCAAACTTATATTTTGACTGAGTACATCCCACAGTTCTTGAAATACTTCAGGATTCTTGTTTACTTGATCGAATTGATCGATGGCTAGCAACAGACCTGTAATCATGTATTTTAATGTGAATAAAGCTAATTAAATGTTTTTAAAAGTGGAATGGTATTTATTTAGAAATTTTATTACTAGGTACTCCAAATAAATTATTACAGATGATTTGCTTAGAAAGAAAAAGGGGCTAATCCCAACACTTTGCAAAGCCAAGGCAGGCAGATTGCTTGAGCCCAGGAGCTTGAGACAAGCCTGGGCAACATGGTGAAATCCTTTCTTTACAAAAAATACAAAAATTAGGTGGGCATGGTGGTATGCGCCTGTAGTCCCAGCAACTTAGGAGGGTGAGGTGAGAGGATCAGTTGAGCCTGGGAAACGGAGGCTGCACTGAGCTGAGATCATGCCACTACACTCTAGCCTGAGCAACAGAGTGAGACCCCGTCTAAAAAAAAAAAAAAAAGAAAATGAAAAGGAATGGAAAACAGCAGATTTTACAAAATATTATGCAACTAAGAAAATATTTATAGTTGCTACTATTTATTGAATACTTGTCATGTATTAGATTCTGTATTAACAATACCTAACATGTTAGTGATATGTTGCATATAATATATAGGATATTATTTAATTTTCCCAGTAGCTCTGTGAGGTAGATATTATTAGTGCCATTTTGTGCACGAGGAAACTGAGACTCACAGATGTGGGTCTCCTGAGGTCACACTGTGGAAAGGTACCCAACTCATCTTCAAACCTATATTTTTATCCATACTACTGTATTGCTTCTCTACTGCATGCATGTTGAGTATAATGTACCAGTAATCAAACTTCCTCATTTATTTTTAAAATCACTATCAGATGCATTTGAAATCCATGCAGTTCATGAAATAGGAAGTCTCCCTCTTTTAGTAAAAGAAAAGGGAGCATTTCTTGTTAGGATGGCAGTAAGACATCTGTACCTGATTAACTTCATTCTACTTTTCCACTGAAGCAGCCATGATAACTCAGATGCCAAGTGACAACAGCCAGAAATTAAAGCTATCAGTCAATTATTTGCTAATTTCTGGAAAGAATAACACATTAAGAAATACTCAATGGCAAAACAGGTCCTCAACTCAACTCAAATTACTCAAGGATGAGCAAACAGAAAGATAACAACATGAAACCAATAAAAATAGTCTGGTATTTCAACTGTCTATATTGTCCAAGAGAAATGCCAAGCAGACAACCTACAGAATGGGAGAAAATATTTGCAAACTATGCATATGACAAAGGTCTAATCACCAGAATCTATAAGGAACTTAAATAAATCAACAAAAATTATTTAAAAATGGCAGAAGATATGAACAGACACTTCTCAAAAGAAGACATATACACAGCCAACAAGCATATGAAAAAATGCTCAACATCAATACTCATTAGAGAAATTCAAATCAAAACAGTAAGATACTATCTCACACCAGTCAGAATGGCTATGATTAAAAAGTTAAAAAAAAACAAACAAACAACTGGCTGGGCACAGTGGCTCACCCCTCTAATCCCAGCATTTTGGGAGGCCAAGGCAGGAGGATTACTTGAGCCCAGAAGTTTGAGACCAGCCTGGGCAACACAGGGACTACATCGCTAGAAAAAAATTAAAAAATATTAGCTGGGTGTGGTGGTATGTGCCTATTGTCCTAGCTACTTGGGAGGCCGAGAGAGGAAGATTGCTGGAGCCCAAGAGGTTGAGGCTGCAATGAGCCATGATCAGGCCACTGCATGGCAGTCTGGGGGACAAAGTGAGACCCTGACTCAGAAAAACAAAATAAAACAAAACAAAACAAAAGCAGATGTTTGAAAAGTTGTGGAGAAAAGGGAACACATACACATCCTTCTGGGAATGTAAATTAGTTCAGCCACTGTGGAAATCAGTTTGTAGATTTCTCAAAGAACTCAAGACAGAACTACCATTTGACCCAGCAGTGTCATTCCAGATATATACCCAAAGGAATATAAATTGTTCTACTATAAAGACCCATGCATGCATATGTTCTTTGTAGCACAATTCACAACAGCAAAGACATGGAATCAACCTAGATACTCGTCAATGGTGGACTGGATAAAGAAAAGGTAGTACATATATACCATGGAATACTACACAGCCATAAACAACAACAAAATTATGTCCTTTGCAACAACATGGAAGAAGCTAGAGGCCATGATCTAAGTGAATTAACACAGGAACAGAAAACCAAATACTGCATGTTCTCACTTATAAGTGGGAGCTAAACATTGAGTACACATGGACATGAAGATGGCAACAATAGACACTGTAGCCTACTTGAAGGTGGAGGGTAGGTGGAACGTAAGGATTGAAAAACTGCCTATTGGCTCAATACCTGGGTGACAAAATCATTTGTACATCAAAGCCCAGCGACATGCAAATTACTCATGTAACAAACCTGCATAGGTACTCCCTGAATCTAAAATAAAAGTTAGAAGAAAAAAAAAAAAAACTAAAATAACATTTTCAGAAAAAAATAAAACAAATGAAGAAAAATAAACTAGATGATGTTCTCTGTGTATTTCTCAATAAATATGAGGAAGCACGGACTTATGGGACAAGAGTGGAGAGATGAGATAATAGTGGCTCTCTGGAATGCCAGTAGATATTTAAAAGGATTTTATGGGCACAATAAGAGAATTCTGGTAACTTATAAACAGAATTAAACAGAATTAAAATGTACCTTGAAGGTAATAAATAGGAGAACAGACACTACAGAAAACCAAGTCAATGACGTAGAAGGCAAACTACATCTTTCTATGAATGGTAAGGTAATAGGTTTAAAAACAGAGAGAGAAATTTGATACAGAGAACAGAAACCAATTTTAAACAGGCAATATTCAGAAGAAATAAACCAAGAGAAAAGAAGGAATAAGAAAAGATATACAGAAGAAAACTTTCCTGAGCTAAAATCGTCATCATCGTCATCACCATTACTACCATTGTTACTCCTAATGTCATCATCACCATCACCATCCATCATCATGATCATTTGAGCTGTGATCCAATGGGCTTAACCTCTTCCAGGATAAATTGCTGATAGAGTATCACATTCTTACACTTCTTCAGAAAGAATTTTAAAAGTGTACTTTAGCAAGGAAAAAAACTATGCTGCTCATAGGCTTCTCTTCATAATACTACATAAAAACTTCATAAGATAGTTTTTGAAATCTGGAGTTTTTATGGAATATGTTAACTCAAGAATTCTACAATTTTAACAAGATGTTGTTGTCTTACATGTTATTCATGTTTAAAGGCAAAATAAAGGCGTTTTTAATTAGGGAAGGATTTAAAAGAGAAATAGCATTCTTGTATCCTTTAGGAAAAATGCCTGAAGACAACTGTCAGCTGCCCAAAAGATGGGTGAAAAGCTTTTATCCAAGAGTGAACAAATTGAACTCTTAAAAAACTTAATGTAAACTGATAATATTGGACACAAAATGTTAATTCTAAATAATTGTTGTAATATGGTTTATAACTTGAATGGAAAGTAACATGATATGAAAAAGATACTTAACGTAAAAATTCAATCAAAATAAAATTTTGATTTTACAAATGTTATAAAAATTGGAAAATGGGAAGGAAGGCAGTAGAGTTTAAAGCACTCTAATTTATTTTATTACCTACGGAGTTATTGAAGGGTGCTTGATTTTTATATTAAAAAAAGTAATGGCAAAACTGCATTAAAATAGCAAAAACCGCAATTACTTTTGCACCAACCTAATAATTAAAAATGTGTAGTTTCAAATATATTTTTGAAAATTTGAGGTACAGAAGTAAAGACATAGATTAATTAAAAATGTCTTCAGTTGCAAGTACACAATAGCCAGCTAACAGCTTCAACCAATAGAAATTTATTTTTCTCTGATAAGAGGAATTCCAGAGGTAGATACTTGTTTATGTTGTTTCGGTAAGTAAATAATGGTGGAAGGTATAACTACAAGTCTTGGTCCTTCCTTCATGCTTACAAAGTGACTGCTATAGCTCCAGCAAGCTGACTGCATCCGGTAAGAAGAGAGAAAGGGCTGGCGTGGTAGCTCACGCCTGTAATCCCAGCACTTTGGAAGGCTGAGGCAGGCAGATCACTTGAGGTCAGGAGTTCAAGACCAGCCTGGCCAACATGGTGAAACCCCATCTCTACTAAAATACAAAAATTAGCCGGGCATGTGGTGGGCACCTGTAATCCCAGCTACTAGGGAGGCTGAGGCAGAGGAATTGCTTGAACTCTGGAGACAGGGGTTGCAGTGAGCCAAGATCGCACCACTGCGCTCTAGCCTGGGCGACAGAGCCAAACTCCTTCTCAAAAATAAATAAATAAATAAATAAAAATAAGGAAGCGGTCACTCCAGCGGACTTCTGCCTATACCTTACTGGCCAGAACTCTAGCACATGGCTCTGCCAGCTGATACTGTTACAGAGTGAGTATTGAATATTTGCTAAATGACTGCATGAATAAAACAAGGTGCCTAAAGTAAACTCAAGCATATATTTTAATAAGTTAAAGCCTCTAAAATCTACCTGAAAAACAAGAGACACCTAAGATTAGAGAACATAGAGAGGACATGGAAATGAATTGAAGTAAAATTGTTGTAGGAAAATTTACCACACCCCTCTTATACTTTGAAACATTAGATAGCCAAAAATCAAAGACAAAGATAGATTGACAATATAACTTAACAGAATTAAACTAATAAATACTATTTGACAAGAATGAGTTAATACATATCTATTAATAGATAGAATATACATTTAAAATGCTTACATACAGATTAAGTATGTGAAGAAAACCTCAAGAAATTTCAAAACACAGATGTAGCATAATTATATTTTCTAAAACTTTACATTTTCATCAGATATTAATAATTAAAATTTAAACAAAAACATTAAATCACATGATAGTTTCTTTTTTCAGTTTTAAGAGGCAGTATTTTGCTCTGTGTCCTAGAATGGAGCATAGCAGCATGATCAAAGCTCACTGCAGCCTCAAACTCTGGGTTGGGGCTCAAGTGATCTCACGTCAGCCTCTGGAGTAGCCGGGACCACAGGCATACATGCCACTATACCTGGCTAATTTTTTTTGTTTTTTTTTTCTGTAGAGATGAGATGAGAGTCTCTGTTGCTCAGGCTGGTCTTGAGCTTCTGGCTTCAAGTGATTTTTTGTATTGGACTCCAAAAGTGCTGGCATTATAGGTATGAGCCACAGTTACATGGAACGGTTACATGACAATTCTTTAAGATGTGTTAACCACTATGTTAAAGGAAAAGTAAAATTATTGCTAAAGATGATGAATCATATTAAGAGACTTACTTAGAAAATTATGATATGTGGCTAGGATTATACTTACAGTAACATATAGTACTTCATATGCTTTTATAATTAAGTAGAGAAGGGTGAAAATGACTGTTTTAAGTTGCAAAAAACAATAAAACTCATTTAATTAAAATAGAAATGGAAAGAAATAATAAAGATAAAAGCAGATATTAAATAGAGAACAGGGACAGAATAATTAGTGCTAATCAAAAAGTTCAAGGGCTAGCTTCTTTAGAAATACTTACAAAATAGAGGATAATAAAGGAAAAATGAAAGGGATATTCATAAATAAAACTGAGAAATCAGAAAGGGGTTATATAATGGATATGGTAGAGAAGAAAATTTTAGAGATTTATTTGTTTCACTACGGCAATAAGTTTGAAAATCTCTGTACTTTGGGATGAAAACATAATTGACTCTATGTGATTCAAAAAAATAAGTAGAAGACTATAAAATTAGCTTTTGAAGAAAATAAGTAAGATATCAATGCATTATTTCTACAAAGGTTCTTATTTTATTGGTATTTTTTCCATATTTTCAAGACATTGATAATTCATATGCTATGTAACTTTTCCAGATCATAGAAAATCATGGACAGATATTATGCTGGCTTCATGTTGGTATTCATATTTGAATGAGATAAAGCAAAATAGCATAGCTACAGAACTGAGATTTTCAGTGTGTTTCCCAACCACCTACGTTGAATTTTCTGGGAATATTTGTAAAAATGTCAGGTTCCTGGGTTCCACATCTCACCTTTTGAATCATTAAGGATGGAACCTGGGAATATGATATTAAATTCTTATTATCAATTTAATATTAAAAAGTACTTAGAAGCAAACAAACTTTAAAAATGTCAGAAAACTTTTGCTGATATTACATTTTAGTGGAGGTAATATAGAAGATTCAGACAGTGCAGAGAGTACACAATAAAACGTGTCCTTGACCTCCTTCCTTCTCACAATCTTATTATTATTTTATTTTTGAGACAGAGTCTCTCTCTTGTTGCCCAGGATGGAGTGCAATGGCATGATCTTGGCTCACTGCAACCTCCGACTCCCGAGTTCAGGCAATTCTCTCCTGCCTCAGCCTCCTGAGTAGCTGGGATTAGAGGCACCCACCACCACACCTGGCTAATGTTTTTGTATTTTTAGTACAGGCGGGGTTTCACCATATTGGCCAGGCTGGTCTCAAACTCCTGACCCTAGGTGATCCGCCTGCCTTGGCCTCCCAAAGTGCTGGGATTACATGGTAGCGTGAGCCACCGTGCCCGGCCTTACTACCTTATTCTTATACATATTTCCTAGGTAACAGTGTAGTATGAAGAATAAAAAAGATGCACATACTAGCATCTATATTTGTCCAACATTCAACATATCTACAAAAAGGGTCAGAATATGCTTACTCTTCTGCAATTTGCTTTCCTTCACTTAATAATTTATATTTGAAATTTTTCATATCAGTACACACAGATCTATCTATTCTTTTTCATAACAACATACTATCTATCAAATAAATATGCCTTAATTTATTCAATCGGTTTTCTATTAGTGGATATAACAGTTGTTTTGACTTAGTTTTGTACTTTCTATGTATATTTGGTGAATAAATCCATACTGTAAATTATTAGCTGCGGAATTGCTGGATCTAATGGACACAGATTTTAATTTGATAACTATTGCCAAACCCTTCTCTGGAAACAAGGAATAGGAATTCCCATTTCCCCATACTCTTGCCAGGACTGGGTATCATCGTCAAATGTTGGGAACTTTGCTATTTTTGATAGGCATAAAACAATACCTATTAGAGTTTTAATTGTAGGTCTTTAATTAACAAAGAGGTTGGGCATTGTTTCAAATTATATTGCTCATCTATAATTTTGTTTCTGTAAAATGCCTGTTCATAACCACTGTTCACTTTACTATTAGATTGTTTCTCTTTTCATAATTGATTTCTTGAGCACTTTGAAGAATATGAAATTGATCTCCTGTCAATTTGTTAACACATGACTATTTTTATTTTAACTATAGAGCATTACTTTCTATTAGAAAATTAAAATTGTTTGAGAATCAAATTCATCTTTCTCTTCTGTCATGGCTACTGGATTATGTAATCTTCATTTTAAAATTGCTCCCCAGATGATAACATCTGCTTTCACATTTGAGAGGAGTTAATCACTATAGACTGGTCTCAATTATAAATATGTACGTAAAAATCCATATTTTTATAAAGAATAAGTGAAACTTACCCACTACAATGAAATAAGGGATGTCGTAAAGTTTAAGAATGTTTTTAATATTAGGGAATCTATTAATATATTGCATCATAGCAATATTTCAAAGGAGACAAACATATGGTAATTTCAACAAATGTCAAAAAATATAGGATACGATGCAACATATTTCTTACAGATGAAAAAGAAACCTTTAGAAAACTAAGAATAGAATATTTCTATAGATGATTAAAAATAAGCATCATAAAACACCAGCCAGCATAATGCTTAATCGTGGAGCACTAGGGACAATCCCAATTAAAACTGGGAAGCTGACCAGAATTTCTGCCACTGCCATCATTATTTCACGTTCTTACCAATGAACATACTGTCCAGCACAATGTGGTATAAAATGGAAAGAGGATGCATGAATATTTTAAAAGAGGACAAAATTATCATTATTTGCAGATGACATAATTAAATACAAAGAAAAATCAAGATAATTCAACTGAAAAGCTCTTAGAATTAATGTAATTTCAGAAGTGAGGCAATAAAAAGTAAAATTATGAAAGGATTTTTTTTCTATAAGCAAATAATAATTAGGATAATTAGTAGGAAAAAAACTTTCATAGTTTCTTTCAGAATAACAACAAAAATCTAGGTCATTGCAATAACTCTAATGAAATACATGTGGAGCTTTTCTGAAGAAGTTTTAAAACTTACCTAGAGCTGTAAAAGTCAACATCAACAAAGAGATAGACTTATCATATTCTTAGATGAGATAAATACTTTGAAGATATTAATGGTCCCTGGATTAACTTTTAGGCATAGTATTATTTCAAGGGAAATCTCAATTTGGGGAGATAATTTGGTAAAATGATTCTGAAGTTCATCTCAAAGAGTAAACAGGTAGGAATAACAAAAAGTATTTTGCAAAAGAATAGTAATACTAAGGGAGAAGACTTAACTTACGAGATTTTTAAATGCTTAATGACGATTTTGCCATCAAAACAGCATATACATCAAGGTAAATTTCAAAATATATCCCATATAGGCCCACTGTCCTTTGTCTTAAATTCTTGGGGTTACATATGTTTGTGAATTTAAAATTTGAATTTCAGAAAGGTAATTTGGTTATATCCTAAATATTACTGAATACTTCATAGACCTCAGAACCCAGTGGGGTCAGGACCAGTACTACATAAACAAACATATTGATATTTCTGTAATGAAACTCAGTAGGACACATAAAAACTACAAACAGCCTCCAACTGATTCAAGTCATATTTTGTTCCCAAGTGAACGTTGGCACGAAACTCATGAAAAAGAAAAAAAAATGTGCTTTTTAGAACTTCGCTAATTTTGAAATTTTGGATTGCAGATCATGGGCCTTTATGTATGTCATAGGCTGTACTCCCTGGAAGCTGACTCTGATATGGAGATTAGGTTGTAGGACTTTGTATTAGTCAGTTCTCATGCGGCTATGAAGAAATATCCGAGACTGGGTAATTTATAAAGAAAAGAGGTTTAATTGACTCACAGTTCTGCCTGGCTGGGGAGGCCTCAGGAAACTTACAATCATGGCAGAAAGCACCTCTTTACGGGGTGGCAGGAGAGAGAATGAGTGAAGAGTGAAGTGGGGGAAAAGCCCTTTATAAAACCATCGGATAGCATGAGAACTTACTCACTATCATGAGGACAGCATGGGGGAACTGCCCCCATGATCTAATCACTTCCCGTGAGGTCCCTCCCTCAACATATAGGGATTATAATTTGGATTACAATGCAAGAGGAGATTTGAGTTGGGACACACAGCCAGACCATATCAGACATTCATTAGGGAGTGTGCTTGGGGTGAGCATGGAAGGAGAGGACAGAAGTGAAATTGAGCACAGAGATAAGTTGAGCTGTGATTCAGTCCCAAGAAAGGCTGCAGCCACACACCACATAGGGAGCTGTGGGGCTTAGAAGGTCATTTAGATTCTTTTTCAGGCAGATTTTTTTTTTTTTTTCTGCAGAGTCAATCCCCAAAGAACTGGCAGCTGAGAGCTGTCTTCTAGCTGCTGGAGAAACAAAGTCCTTCATTCCTGAAAGGGAGTTTGGGGTATAGGCCAAGACACCCATGATGTGTGTGGGGATCTAATACATGATAAGGAAAACCACACACAAATGGATTAGTCAGCAAACAGTTTGGGGAATGATCGCCAGTTAAATCTTCACCTCGTGCTACATGTAAAATAAACACAAGATGAATTATCAAGTTAATTACAAAAAATAAAACATCTCAAAATACAAATAAATATTCTCCTGTCTTCAAAGTGGAGAAGGAATTATAAACAAAAAGCATGGAAGAAATTACAAGGTAAAAGCAAAGATTTGAATACAAGTAAATTTAAGGGGTTCTTTTTTGTTTTTTGTTTTTGTTTTTGTTTTTTCAGATGGAGTCCCACTCTGTTGCCCAGGCTGGAGTACAGTGGTGAGATCTTGGCTCACTGCAACCTCTGCTTCCCGGGTTCAAGCAATTCTCCTGCTTCAGACTCCTGAGTATCTGGTATTACAGGCACACATACCATGCCTGGTTAATTTTTTTGTACTTCTAGGACAGACAGGGTTTGGCTATGTTGGTCAGGCTGGTCTTGAACTCCTGACCTCAAGTGATGTGCCTGCCTTGGCCTCCCAAAGTGCTGGGCTTACAGGCGTGAGCCACCGTGCCCAGCCTAAAACTTTTTAATGTTGAAATCATTAGCAAAATTAAAAGACAGAAAACATGTAGAAAAAATTTGCAGCATAGATAGCAAAGGATTAATATACATATGCATGTATATATATATCTCATATAAATCTCATGAAAGCTCATATAAATAAATAAGAATATTTCACTAGGAAAGAAAAATGGGCAAAGATTATAAATAGAGCATTCTATAAACATACACAGAGTTTTCAACCACACAAAATAAACTCAAGAAAATTTCAATAAAACTTTGTTATCACTTTTTTTTTGCATATATAAAGTTCCAAACATTATAAAACATGACAGGTTTTGGCCAGGTGCAGTGGCTCACTCCTGTAATGCCAGCACTTTGGGAGGCCAGGGTGGGTGGATCACTTGAACTCAGGAGTTGGAGGCCAGCCTGGGCAACATGGCAAAACTCTGTCTCTATGAAAAATACAAAAATTAGCTGGGTGTGTTGGCAAGCGCCTGTAGTCCCAGCTACTTGGGAGGCAGAGGTGGGAGTATGGCTTGAGCCCAAGAGGTAGAAGCTGCAGTGAGTCATGATTGCTCCACTGTACTCCAGCCTGGGTGACACAGTGAGACTGTCTCAAAAATAAATAAATAAATAAATAAATAAAATAAAACATGACAGTTCTTACTGTTGTGACAGCCAGTAGAAGTATAAATTGTTGCCACTTATCTAGAAAACTATTTGACAATTTATTTAAGAAACTTAAAAATCTTTGTATACCTTTATCCTGAAATTCTTTTTGTAAGGAATCTGCTGAGGAAAAACACAGCAGTTCAAAGAACTATTCACGCAAGAGGGTTTTCATTGCTACATTATATAAGATAAGCAAAGGGTTAGAAACACTCTCTCAATAACAAAGAAATGCTTAATAAATTGTTGTACACAGATGTAATTAAATTATTATGGAGACATTAACATATAACATTAAAAAAACTAAATGACAAGAACATGCTTACAAAATTGTTAGAAAATGTAAGATATGAAACTATATACAATGACATCTATCTTATCTCTATTTATCAGAAAGACAATACAAATAATATGCCAAAGCATTAATAGTGCTTATCTCTGGCTGGGTGTTACAGTATAACAAGTCTACATTTTCTTTTGTATACTTCTACTATATTTTCCAAATACAACCATGTAACAAACATGGTAGCAAAAGGTAACAAACATGTTACCTTTATAATAAAAGAGAAATCAAAGTTTATCTAGGCCAGGAGTGGTGGCTCATGCCTATAATCCCAGCATTTTGGGAGGCTGATGTGGGAGGATCACTTGAGGCCAGGAGTTCAAGGCCAGCTTGGGCAAAATAGTGAGATCCTTCTGCTACCAAAAATAAAAATAAAATATTATAAAATAAAACATGCAGAATTGTGTGATCTGTAGTCTTATACAGTAATGTTCAACCTTTTATGAACAGAACAAGCTTTGTATAATATCTTTTTTTTTTTTTTTTTTTGAGACCAAATCTCTGTCACCCAGGCTGGAGTGCAATGGCACGATCTAGGCTCACTGCAACCTTTGCCTCCTGGGTTCAAGTGATTCTCTGGCTTCAGCCTCTCAAGTAGCTGGGAATACAGGTGCCCCCCCCGCCCCCACCACACCTGGCTAATTTTTGTATTTTCAGTAGAGACGGGGTTTTACCATGTTGGCCAGGCTGGTCTCGAACTCTCCTGATCTCAAGTGATCTGCCCACCTCAGCCTCCCACAAGCTTTGTATAATATCTTGACTCAGCTCAAATTTACATTTAAACTCACCTGAGACACCCATGCCACATGTCTCCACCAACTGATAAGGGGTAATTGAGCATGAGGGGCTTGTTAGAGACCAGATTGCTAGTGGAGTGGGCAGGGAGCATAGCAGGACATGAGTCCTAGGGAAATGGTCACAAATAGCCCTGAAGCATCCTCTTACCCATTTTCATTCCAGAAAAGCTGGCCTGGCCAGGCTGCAGAATCAGAGGTGCATATGGGCACACAGTGGCTCCCCTATCTGTGAGGTCTAATTCCATCTGGTAAATGTCCAAGGGGGTTTCCTTAGTGCAGAGCCACCTGTAGGGTGAATCAAGGTGACAGCAGAGCCCAGAGGAGGGGCCATGCCCTCGTCACTGCTGGCTGAGCCACTCTTGACCCAAGGTACTGTGACCCTTCTTGGTTCTGAGTCCCTCAGTCTCCTAAAATCTCTAGCAATTATCTTTTCTTTTCTTACTGCAGCCTCCACTCCTGTCCCTGGGCATGTCCTAAACACTGGCCATTGTAGTATTAATCGCACAAACCAAGCAAGTCTAATTTACAAAACAAGCCATTGCTTAGTGGAGGAGACTCGGCCAATGTGCACATCGCAGCATCAGTCCCTATTTTTCACAAACTAACCCAGTTAACCCAGTTAACTTCTCTCTGCCCATCCTGCTAACTAGATAATGGATACTCAGTGAGTGCAGCCCTAACTAAACATTAGATTGTTAGTCAGACTGGAATGTTCCTCCGTCACATACTTGAACAGTGTTTTCAGTTTGGGGTTATCCACATGATCCATTTCTCATTATCACGGACGACAAAGACCCAACTGTGTTCATCAGCATATGAACATTACTCACACACACTCATTTCATAAGCAAGAAAACACAGAGAAAGGAGAAAAAAAAAGATTAAAATAAGTGCAGTAAGGAGTGGGAGGCTTGGAGAATGAATCAAATAAGAGATTGTTATAACTGGAAGAGACCTTAAAGGGAAGTCTGTTCTTCTAAACCCATCATTTTATAGTTTCTTTGTTTTTGTAATAAAAAGACAAAGCAAATGAGGCTAAGCCAGAGATCTAGTAAGTGGCAGAGAAGGAACCAGAACTCTTCTGACTCTTCTAGGTTATCTAACTCTTAGTGAGCTGTGCATTAACCTTGTCGCCCGTCTAAGTAATGGGAGGAAGAATAGGTACTGGTTGAGAGTCAAGTTGAGAAGTGAGTTCTTTGATAGAGGTGAAGATGAGGCCAGTTACTTGGGTCTCAAACTGAACAGGAAACACCATCATTTCCATTTTCTGATCACTTTTAGAGTCAGTGCAACTCTAAAAGTCAGTGCAACTCTAGGAAGTGGGTGTACCATCTCACTCTTTCCACATCCTCTTGGCCTCCCTTTGGACTCCATGGGGCTGTAGGATGGTGCTGTGTTGATCTGCACCTCAGTGAAAACACCTCTCTGCCATCAACTTCCAGTTTGTCCCTACAGCTTTCCTGACTCCACAGTGGGCTACCTGGATTTAAGCCCTGCCTTCCCTGAGGTCTGCTGTGCTGGAAACTCTCCTGAGCATCATGACTCAAACCATGCAGCCTAAAAGGACCAGTATATGAGTCAGCTGATTCTCTTCCCCTTTCAGGCAAGCAGTTGATGTCTTAGAACCCTGTTCTTTTTCTAACTAGCATTAGAGGCCTGGTTAAGCGAGAACAGCTCTTTCTTCTGTTAAGAGGATATATATTCGGGAGGGTCCGGAGACATTTGAATCAAGACTCCCTAGTTCCTTCCCAAAGGAGATAAGAATCCCCATTGGGCCTTGAAGCTTTGAGGACCAGGTCTGTTTCTGAAGCATTCTTGTAAAAAGGTACAAACCTTCAGGTCTAGTTTAAATTCATTTCTATTATGTAGCCCCAAAGATCTTGGCTCAGGGGTTACTTTAGACCTCCCGATAGCTCTCAGAATTCCAAGCATATGCCCTATGGGCTTTCCTAGGTCTTCTCCATGTACTGAAATGTCAAAGACAGGGAAGCAAGAGCTTGGCTCATGTCCTCATCATCTCTCTTCTGGGCTACTGCTGTCATTTTTTCACTGGTCTCCTTTCCCCAGTATCATTTCATGAGTGCCTGCAAATGAGTAAATGAATGAACACAATCTCACTCTTTTCTAATTCATCCTTTCCACCAGGGGTCTCCAATCCCTGGGCCATGGACCAGTATCAGTCTATGGCCTGTTAGGAACCAGGCCTCACAGTAGCAGGTGAGAGACAGGCAATCAAGCAAAATTTCATCTGTATTTACAGCTGCTCCTCATCACTGGCATTACCACCTGAGCTCCACCTCCTGTGAGATCAGTGTTGGCATTGGATTCTAATAGAAGCATGAACCCTATTGTGAACTGTGCATGCAAGGGATCTAGGTTGTGTGCTCCTTATGAGACTGTAATGACTGAGGATCTGTCACTGTCTCCCATCACCCCTAGATGGGACCTTGTAGTGCAGAAAAACAGGCTCAGGGCTCCCACTGATTATACATTATGATGAGTTGTAAAATTATTTCATTATATATTACAAGGTAATAATAATAGAAATAAAGTGGACAATAAATGTAATACACTTCATTCATCCCTCCAATCCGGTCTGTGGAAAAATTGTCTTCCACAAACCTGTCCCTGATGTCGAAAATGTTGGGGACCACTGCTTTACACTGTTGTTAAAGAAGCAGCTTTAAAGGGCAAAAATCAAGTCAAGTTGCTCCCATTTCCATAGCTCCTCAGTCCCTAGAGCACAGCAGCCCAGAAGAGCATCTAGAACATTTGGAGTTACCTGTCTTCCAACCTTATGTCCTGAGACTGCCTGTGTCTGCCTTTACGTTGTGACCACTAGTGTAATCCAAACTCTCTGATTTTGTTCTTTTAGCTCCTTCTACTCGGAGAAACTTCCCCTTCACTAATGGGAGACATCTTTGTGATTGTTTAGGGTCCAGGTAAAATTTCACATCTCGAAGAGGGAATGCTATAGAATCCAATACACCTTGGCCTGATCACTGCCCCATCATGTGCTAACTCTGTGGACACAAGGGAATGTATTACTCTCTTCATGCCCAACTTTGCTTAGCTTTATATTGTGGAAAACAATATCTACCTCTTAAGATTAATGTAAGGATTGTTAAAAAATGAACTTAGGCATATTAACATTCTAATGAGTTTGAGCATTCAGCATTTCATGACCTGGGCAGCATTAGACCACAAGTGGTTTGGCACTCCACTGAAGGGGTGCGAAGGGGATACTTTTATACGGTGTTTGTGAAAGAAAGACAGAGGAAGCATTTGATTGGTTAAAATGGAAAGTCCCTAGTTAGAGATTAGTTGGTGGTTTCTGATTGGTAAAGTCCCTAGTTAGAAGCTACTTGGTGATTTCTGATAGGATAAGCTTAAGCTTTGTTTCACTGTTTACATTGAGTTGGGTTTTGGTTTGCTTAGGAAGAGACCCAGGGTGCTGGAGTTTCTGCAGCCTACTGGCCTCCTATTAAGCATTTTCATAGGATAAATACATTTATGTACATAAAGCAACTAGCTTTGTACTTGGCAAAATAGGTGAATAAGCCATTTAATTTTTTATCCCAATAAGCCATAGTTTCCTTTTTCTTCCTTTTTATTCTTTGAAGCCCTTTTCAAACTCTCAGTGGGGGTTAACTCTCCTCTGTGCTGCCATTCTCCAAGGAGCCATTTCTCTTGCTAGATGGTATGCTTCACAGGCCGGTACCTTGTCTTATCTTTTGTATTCCCAGTTCTAGCTCAGTCTCTAGCCCAAGGCAAGTAAGAACTCCATTAAAAAACTGAAATAGTAAATAGCTGATGCATGGGAGCCTCTCCATGGGAAGGTGGAAAAGACAGTGCAGGTGGAATTGTGATCTCCTAGTAGGAAACAAAAGCTATTTTCTATTTACTTCCAAAAGACTTCACTACTCAGCACTATAGAACCTTGGGGTGTCAAAGAGCTGGCAGCAGAGTCAGAGATAATCAGAGCTTTAAACTCAGAGTGGGGCAGGCTCTGGCCCAAGACCTCAAGATGGTAACAGCCAGGCCGAGACTGCTTATATTCAGACACCTGGGCCATGACTCTCCTGCACCTGCCTTCTCCTTACCCCACATCTCAGGGGAAATGAGATGTAGGCCCAGCAGGAATGCTTAAAATTTTTTTATTTTCCCAAATGTTACCAATCTCTAAGTCTCCAGATGGGTCAGGATGGGATCTTGACCTGCCTAACTGGCTGGACAGAATCATTGTATAAAGCTTGTGAGAAGGTGGAGAAAGAATGTGCATCTCTAGATTCCATATTTATATGATCAGATAGCTCCCCACCTCCAAGTGCTTCTCAAACACTAAGTTCTCTGTCCTCAGAAGCACCCTGCTAAGAAGGGGTTATCTGTCCTTTTTTTAACAAGAGGGAACCCAAGTCTCAGAAAAGTTAAGCCATTTCCCTAGATGCCTCCGTGAGTCAGTAGGGAGGCTTTAAATAGAACCTACCATTCCTTCCACACCCACTTCCTACCCATTAGACCACACTCTCTTTTGAGCACAGGAATGTAAGCCCTGCACATACCTTCTAAGGACAAAATGTGCCCTTTAGAATTAGCTACATGATTCCAGAATGAAAGGCATGAATAAGGGAGGAAGGGGAGTGAGAACCAGGAAGATGAAAGTGACTTTTTTCCCTTCTCTACTTAAACTATATATTTATAGGAAGCCTAAGTGTCAGGGGAAGGTGAGAGAATCCTGGGATTGTATATTTAAGTGGTTTCCCACATGAGCCAAGGCCACACATTTGCAGTCGCCATATGACATTGGTATTGGTGGCAGTAATGCTTGCATAACTAGCAATTGCTGATAAGGTGAGCTCAGTGTTTCTGATCCTATTGAATAACTTCTGATTCTCACAGAGAAGACCAGAAAGACAATGTCCTATTTAATAACAGTACTGGAAAGTTATTGTCAACATATTTTTACAACTGAGAAAACCAAGCCTCTCAGGGGGGCAAATAAATTGCTTGGGTCACTCAACTGATCAGCAGCTAAACTAGAAATGAAAGTTAGCAGAGGTTGGCCCCCATGTCCATTCTTTCCTCACCATCAGTGGTTCTCAAAGTGTGGTCTCTGGACCAGCAGCCTTTATATCACCTGGGAATTTGTTAGAAAAGCAAAGTCGTGGGCTCTAACTCAGATTTAGAAATAGAACCTTGAGGATTGGGGTTCAGCGATCAGTTTCAACAAGCCTTCCAAAGGCTTCCGGTGCAAGCTTAAGTTGGAGAAGCACTGCTCTCCACCATGGTGTCTTGGGAAGCAGGAACATCAGAATGGAGGTTAGCATGGATGAGGGTGGCAGGAAGAGGGGCAGGGATCAGCCTGGGCAGAACAGTGTGTCACCAGCAAAGAGAGGGCAGGTGCAGATGAGCCCCTTCCCTGCTATACTGTGGGAAACAGCAGCAACTAAAGAGCATCACAATGAAGGTGCAATGGAGGGCCCCTGAGGGAGCCCTGGTGGGAGGGCATTAAAATAGAGCAGTGGCAAAAACTTCCTTAATATTATGCTGACCAGCCCTGCAAATATCATAGAAGCTAATAGGAAGCAGAGAAAGGGGAAAGAATAAAAAAACAGAGGGAGGATTAAAGCAAAGCAGGGAAAGAAGAAAGAAAACACGGTATTGAGAGTAGCAAAATATTAATGGGTAACATAATGGGTAATCTGGAAGCCTCTTGTGGACTGAATGCTCCTGCCCTGCATGGAAGAGTTCTGGATTACTTTAACTTTCTGCTTCTAAACAAACTGGGGGTAGGTAGAGATGGCTTTGCTGATATTCTTTTACTGGTTCTCTCTGCTGCCTGGGGAGTCTCATGAATCAAAGTCTCAAAGAATTGAACTCTTTTTCCAAAGACTTACATCCAGACCTCTCAACAGAATTATTGAATTAGAACCTTCGTGTTTTAGGAATGGGTAGAGGAAAGGTCAACTATGTTTAGTTTAGCAAAGCTTTCAAAGTGATTCAACACCATCTTTCACTACCATTACACACAAATACACACCCTATATACATATATCACTACTATTTTTATCTTTAAAAACTAAACAAACCACAACTAGAAGCTCCCTGCCAAAAACCCAAGAAGACCTCTCACCCTTCAATTTATACTTCTGTAGAATCCCAGACCTGTGGGGGTAAGAGGGAAGAGAAGCACCACCATGCACCCTGGTGCTGAGCACCTGCAGACCCGATTCTCCACAGCATACCCAGGGCTTGGCCATCCCCTTTGGTCTGGAGGTGCTGCCTGGTGCTTTGTAGCCTCCCAGACTTTTTTCTACAATTGCTCTGAAACTCAGATATTTTTCACCAAAATTGGCTGGACCAATTTTTTTTTTTCATTTTTGAGGGGCTTTTGGATGTTTTGTCCTGGGTTTCCAAGCTGGTGTGTGTGCATGTGTGTGTGTGTGTGAACATCTCTCAGAGAGCCCCTCCCCACACCCACCTGTTCATTGTCACAGTGACGGTGGAATCTGTGCTCTCTAGGAGTGCTATTGCCAGATGAGGTGGAGGGCAGGTGGTAGGTGTTTAGAATGGGCTTCTCTGTTACCAAGACAAGAGCAAGACCTCTAAAACTGTTTTGTTCCTCTACCTTCCCTTTAACTTTCCCTATTACTTCTGGGAGAAAGAGTAGAATTAGATCATAACCAAGATAGTTAAAAGGTGGATCTTCTAGCTAACAGCTTTTGAGTACATGCTACTACATGATAAAAACCTTGTTGAGCACATTATACACATTCTTTGATTGAAACTTTTCAGTGACCACCATCTGAGATAGGGGCTGTTATCCCATTGTACAGAGGAGAAAACTGAGGCTAGGTACATTAATTACCAACAGTCACACATCCAATAAATTGTGAAGTATAGACTTGAACCCAACCTGGGCCTACTGGCAGCTTAGGCACTTTTTAATTAGCATGACACAATGATATAGTTTATAATTTCCAGGGCATTTTCTAATGCATTGTCTTTTGGGTTTGAGGCAGTTTTTGACACTCAAATAGGCTTCTCTCTTACTGAAGAAGGGAAGACAGGAGGAAGGGAAAGAAATCAATATTTGCTGAGCCTGGGTCAGAAGATTTCATTTAAGTCTGTTCATTTAATTATCATGACAATCCTTTAACTTGAGTAATATTATTTCTATTTTTACAAAAGATGGTCCAGAATTTCAGGGGAGGTAACGTCTTAGCTTAAGTGTTCAAGGCAGATCTGTGGCAGAGTTGATCCTGAAACCCTGATCTGCCTCATCCAAAGCCCAGCAGCCCACGTTTCACTTTCATGTGATAAAGGTTTTTATGTAAGCACCGGACATTGATCATTTATCTCTTTGATGTGACATTTCCTGTGGTCCCAGACACTTCTTTGGGATTCTATAGGATGTCAATTCCTGGACCTAGGGAACTAAAATGTATGCCAAGGCAAAGTAAACAGAGGGTATTGTATTTTTGTTTTAAACTGTGAAGATACCACCAGGTATCCACTTGAAACACTGCTGTGGGCCTCAGTAAGTGTTCAGAGGATGGCTCAGGAATCAGGTTGTATTAATATCTCTTTTTTATCAAGACAAAAATGAAAGTCGAATCTGAGCATTCAGTCTCATCTGGAATGTTTTCTTCTTCTCTAAATATTTTAAATCAGAAAGTTTCAAATTCTTTAGTTCATGATGCTATAGTCTCACACACACGTACATACACACACACCCCTACACACAGGGCCCTAAAAAGCAAGGTCATCTCAACGCAAATCCATACCGTCTTTAGAGATCCAATGTGACAGATGTCATGGTGACTCATACCCATGAATCACTTATCTTAGCTCATTGAGGAATGGCATGACACAGCCCACATGACAGGGCCCATTTGTTCTTTTTGGTAAATCCCTAAAATTCTGAACAGCTGCTTTATTCCTTACATGTTCAATCATGATAATAGGAAGAAAAAAAAAGTGACTAGTGTGTATTTTGGCTGGTGGTTAAATAGTGCATCGTAGTCCTTTAGCCCTCCGTCCACTCTTAGAACATATCTTGCTTTTCCAGGTTCAGGGCTTGTTCCTCATCACCTCTTGCCTTTCCCTTGGGCAACATCAATGTCTGTGTGCATAACCCATCTAACACTGGGTTTCACAGGTATTTAAACTCCTCAACTCTGAAGTTCTTCAGCTCCATTTGTACCAGATAAGCAAACCCATAGCTACACCCTCAAAGCTGTCATGAACCAGAATGACTTAACTTCTGAGAGCTTAAAGTCTTTGATAATTTTCTGCTCATACAGCTCTCACATTCCCTTATTCCCTAAAATTATTCTTTGATTGAATCAAGACCTCCATTTTCTCACTCAAAATAACCCAGCCCTTTTCTGGTTTCTTCCTCCATGGTAGATACTATGCCCCATTAGCAATCAAAACTGCTCTTGTCAAGGCCATCTATGACATCCATGTATCCAAACCCAAGGGTCGGTTTTTAGTTGCGACCATACTTGACTTTCACTAGCATTTGTCACTACTGATCTCTCTCTCCTCTTGGAAATATTTTCTTGGTTTCACTTCTAAGACACCACACCTTCTTGATTATTTTCCTATTTACTCGTCAACATCTTTAGTCCCCTTTGCTGGATTTTCTTCTTCTCTCAACCTCTTAATGTCAGAGTGTCCTAGAACGCAGAGCCAGTCCCTCTTCTCTTCATTATCTGTACCCATTCCCTAGATGACAGCATCCAATCTGATGGCTTTAAAATCCATCTATATTCTGAGAACCCCTCAAGTGCAGCTACAGCCTGGATCTCAACCGTGAACTCCAGACTCTAACATCCAACTGCTTAGCCCACATCTCCAATTGGATGTCTAATCAACGTCTTTAACTTAGTAAGTCCAGACTCTAATTCAAGACTTTTGCTAGTCAAAACAGACTCTAAAAAATAAATAGGCCACAATCTCAAGCCACAGATTGAGAAATATATTCATAACACATATATCTGACAAATGATGTGCATTTAGAATATATAAATCACTCATAACTCAGTAATAAAAAGATTAAAATCCAATTAAAATGACAGGCATTCACAAAAGAAAAAAACATGGCCAATAAGTAATGAAAAGTGCTCTACATCATTAATAATGAGGGAAATGCAAGTATTTTCCCACAGCTGGTGTCTTGTCTCTTCATTTTTTAAATAAGTGTTTCACACAGAGCAAGTTTTAAATTTTGGTAAACTCTTGTTTATCTTTTTCAATGTTTTAACTATTTGGTTAGTACTTTTTGTATGCACCATTACACCTAAGAACCCACTTGCAGAATTTTTTGCTTCCTTTTCTGCTATTTGTGAGATCTGCTTGTTTGGAAGTTTTAGGACCTAGAGAGAAAACATTTCCACCAGGGGATACAACAATAATTCCAATAAATTGGAAGATGAGGTTGCCACGTGGCCACTTTAGGATCCTTGTGCCACTGAACCAACAGGCAGAAAAAGAGGTCATCCTACTGGCTGAAAGAACTGGTCCCAATTTACCAAGGGAAACAGGCCACTGCTCACAGCAGAGGCAAGGAGAATTCTCCTGGGTACCTTTTAATACCATTATGCACAGTAGTAAAGGTTAATGAAAAGCTATAGCAAAAAAAAAAAAAAAAAAACAACAACAAAAAGGCAGAAAAAGCAGAACAACAAGTGAGCCCTTAAAGAATGAAGGTTTGGATCACTCTACCAGGTAAAGAACCCCAAACAGCTGAAGTTCTGACTGAGAAAGATGAAAATATAAAATGGATTATGGAAAAATAAAATCATAGATATCAATTGTGAATAGCATTTTAACCATAGATGTCAATTATGAATAGCATCTTAACCAATTATAGAAATGAAGACCGTGGTCACTTTGCATATTTATCTTATTGTATGTACAAGGGACTTCCAAATTTGTGGAAAAATAAAATTAACAAGTAAAAACATAAAATATAAACTTTATTTTTCAATATGAGTTCCGTTAAGTTCAAGTCACTTTTATAAACAATGACATCAGCCATTTGGTTCATTCATAAAGAACTGAGGGTCTTGGGAATTTAACTATGTCAGTGCAATCTTTTTCATATTATCAACTGAAGAAAAATTTTTTTAAGATTAGGAAATCTTAAATAGCTATATACTTTAACTTAAGGTAAAAAGTTTCTTAAGATTAGGAAACAAAAAGAAGTTAGAAGGAACCAAACCAGGACTGTAAGGTGGATGCCTAATGATTTCTCATGGAAAATCTCACAGAATTGCCCTTGTTTGATGAGAAAAATGAGTAGGAACATTGTCATGGTGAAGAAGGACTCTCTGGTGAAACTTTCCTGGGTGTTTTTCTGCTAAAGCTTTGACGGACTTTCTCAAAATACTCTCATAATTAGTAGATGTTATTGTTTTTTGGCCCTCCAGAAAGTCAACGAGTAAAACACCTTGAACATCACCAAAAAACTTTGCCATGACCTTTGCTCATTGCTCATCTGCTTTTGCTGTGACTTGACCATTTCCACCTCTTGGCAGTCATTGCTTTGATTATGCTTTGATTATGTCTTTGGGATCATATTGTAAAGTCATGTTTCATCTCCTGTTACAGTTCTTCAAGGAAATGCTACAGGATCTTGATCCCACTTGTTTAAAATTTCAATTGAAAGTTCTGCTGTTATTTGCAGCTAACCTGGGTACAACAGTTTTGGTACTCATTGAGTGGAAAGTTTGCTCAATTTTAATTTTTCACTCAGAATTGTGTAAGGTGAACCAGCTGTCTACATTGTTGGCTATTGTCAGTGCTGTTAATTGTCAGTCTTCCTCCGTTAGGGCATGAACAAGATTAATTTTTTCCTTCCAAATTGATGTAGATGGTCTGCCGTTGCAGGCTTCATCTTCAACATCATCTTGTTTCTTCTTAAAATAAGTTATCCATTTTTAAACTGCTGATTCATTTGGGGTATTGTCCCAATAAACTTTTTATAAAGCGTCACTAATTTCATCGTTCTTCTACCCAAACTTCATCATAAATTTGATGTTTGTTCTTGCTTCAATTTTAGCAGAATTCATGTTGCAATATAGGAGTCCTTTTCAAATGGATGCCTTATCCTTCTCAGTGCTTCAAATTAGATTCTGTTCAGGCATGTTATAACAAGTTAGCACGAGTTTACTTTTGTGCCGAAAATGTTTGAAATCCACACATCTATTTTTATATATATAAAAAATACACATTTTCCGTGAACTTTTTGAAGACCCCTCATATAAGCTAACATTTTCTTCTTCTTATTTTTATTTTACATATAAGTTCTTGTGGGTTAATTTTATAAATTTATTTTTAGGTAACAGAGACTGTGACAGGATTTTAGAAATATTTAATATATAGCCAATGATGAAAATAATGACAACTGAGACTGTGCATCTCCTCACTGTAAAGCAAAGCTGAGGACTTCTTTACATTTTAAGACAGCTGTATCTTTTTAGGTGAAATATAGAGTTGTTTCATTGTTGCACAGAAGTGTAAATATGTATAGAAGGGTATACGTAGAGACTGTGGAGCCAAATACTTTACTGTGCCAGTTGTCAGCTTATTTTCTTTCAGCTCCAACTCCATCCTTCATTCACTATTCTGTGGATAATGCAGCTGGACCCTGCAAATATTTCTTCTAAGTCAGCTGACATAATGTTAAGCTTTGTCAGTAGAAGTTATTGGTGGAATACTGCAGGAGGAAGGGGATTCTCTTTCTGATTACAGTGTGTTTGTTTCATCAACCTCCTTCAGCATACCTGGTTTCTCCAGCACCCAGTTCTAGCAGCCCAGGAGCTTCTCCAGAACTTGGTTCCTACAATACAGGTAGCTTTTCTAGTATACAGATTTCACTGCAAATGGCAGCCAGCAGCACCTAGCAGCCAGAAGCTTTCCTTGACACCTCTTCAGGCAGCTTTGTAGCAAAGTATTGCCAGCAAGATGCATCCTGCAGACAGTTTCCTGAGTTTGGAATTCCCTACTCTTTACCTCCAAACATTCCTATCCTTTAATTCCCACCACAAAAGTCACCTCCACAAAGTGTTTCCTGATCCTTCCAGTTAGAGTTCATTGCCTTCTTTTCTGAATGGCCACACCTTTTTCATGTATGTTCACTTTCTAGTCTATGTCATACTTATTTGTGTACTTATCTGCTTGAGCACAGTAAAAACTGAGAATTTAGCAGAATTATTTGGAAATGGCTGGCAACCACTAAATATTGGTTAATGAATGAATCAGTTAATATGGAATGATGCTGTGTTGGCACAATAAAGGAGTAGCTCTGAACACAGAGGGACTTTTTCGAAATAGTGAGATATATGAGGACTGGAATAATACAAGAAGTTTTCCTGGAGGAAGGATATATGGGATTTGGAGAGGCAGAGGGGAGGGAGGGCTGGGATATGATCCCTGGTG
Source organism: Homo sapiens (assembly GCF_000001405.40). Taxonomy (NCBI): domain Eukaryota; kingdom Metazoa; phylum Chordata; class Mammalia; order Primates; family Hominidae; genus Homo; species Homo sapiens. Next base: position 221,983,454 of record NC_000001.11, on the reverse strand, counting down.
TAGACACAGCATGAGCAAAGGCATGGAGGTGGTGTGGTAGAGAGTTGTCATGTGTTCCAGGGACAAGGAGGAGACTGGCTTAGCTGGAGTGAATGTTGGGGATAGTGAAAGTTTAGATATGGAGGAAGTGTACACCTTGGAGGATGATGTGGAATGTTTTATGAGCTGAATAATCCAAACCTTCCCTAGCTGCTCACATATTTTACCTGAAGTGTGCATTCTTTACATCACACACACACACACACACACACACACACACACACACACACACGGAAGGAAAAGGAAGAAGGGATTGCCACTACTTTACCTACCATTCTCCCATTTCAGGGTAGGGAAAATTTCATAAAATGGATTATCTCTCAGGTTCTTCCAGATGGATGTGGTCAAAGGCAGATGCTGTGTTTACAGGTCTCACTGAATGATGATGCAAATGTCTCGGACCCTCTTGCAAAGGTCTTTATTCAGGGAGAGAGTTCAAGAATATTGGTTGTGGTCTTCAAACAAAATTTGTAAAATTTTTGCTTATTGTATGAGAAAAATATAACTGTAAAGCCATCCAAGCCAGTAACTGGGGTCACCTTTTTCCACGCATGCATGCAAAGCTGGCTCAAGACTGACCCACATTGTCCTATGCTATGACATCAGGACGGTGGGGTCATCAGTTGGCTCATTCCCTAGTATCAGCAGATGGATAGAGGATGGAAGGTAATAACATTGTCACATTTGCTTTATCTTATGTGAGATACACACAAATTGAAACAGATGTCTCCTAGGATCTTACAGGCCATAACAGACCCTTCTCTAATTGGTCATACATTGTTTGTAAAATTATATTCAATATCTAACCCTGAACATAATGCCTGTGACTTCCTTTTATTTTCCAAGGGCAGATTCTTATAAGAAAATTCTGTGGAAAATCATCTCCCAACATTGGCAATACCTGCTTCCCCCCTTTCCTCACCCTCTCAAAATGTGAAAATCATAAACATCTTTAGGATATCCCTTTAGGGAGACTGCCTTTAGAAGTTGAGGAGTCCAGAATCAATTATTAGATCACTGGTTTTCAAATTTGTCAGATTACAGAGAACCTGAGAGTCATGTTAGTATTAAGGATTACTAATGTGGGTACTTTTAGTTCCTTATGAAGTGTAAAAATTTTCTCAGCTGAAAATATGACTATAGTATTCATATATTTATCTAGTAGGAAACTATACACATATTTTTATTAACAAAATAAATAGCTATGATGACAGTGGCAAAAATCCCAAGCTGCCCAACTAGATATGATTAATGACTTCCGAGCTTTTCAATTAATTTCAAATATATATATATATATATATATATATATATATATTCTTATAATGTTATCTGCCAGGAGCTGCCACCAATCAAACAATGGCAAGTGTAGAAGGCTAAATAAATAAAAGTAGGAGAAAAGCCTAAAATTGAAAAGAAATTAGCCGTCAATTTAATTTTTCTATGATTTAGAAAAAGGCTACCATTACTTTATTTTATCAACAGAATACTTCTGCTCCGGGGAAGACAAACATTCCACGGGAGACAAATCTAAGAACCTCTGGAGTATGCAATAGTTATCACAATTTCTTCATTACACTAATTTCAGAATAAATGTGGTATATTAAAGACAGATTAATTTGGCAGCAGTGTTCAAGATGAATAGGAGTTGGTGCAAAAAAATAAGTCATGGTGCATAGGAAGCCATTGCAGTGTCTAAGTGTGAGGGAATAGCTTCTGGATGAGGTAGGTGACAGCCCAAGTGGGGGAAAATGTGTGTAAGAATCATCACAAAAACAGAAATGTGAGGACTTGAAGAGTCATTCAGTATAATAGATGATGAAAATGATGGTCAAGTTTCTAGTCTGAGTAAGCAAGAAATGAACTAAAAATAAGTAATTTGGGAGAGGAAATTTGAGGAATTAAAGTGAATGCATTCAAAAATACTTTTTATTTGAAGCGATGGTGTTAAAACTAAATATAAAACTATAAAAATATAGTAATGTTTAACAACCGCATAAAAAGATGCTCAACATCACAAAGCATTAGGGAAATGCAAATCAAAACCACAGTGAGACTGCTTCATACTCATTAGGATTGCTACTATTAAAAAAAAAAAAAAAAGAAAGAAAGAAAGAAAAAGAAAACAAGTGCCAGCAGGGATGTAGAAAATAGGAACCCTTGCGCACTGTTGGTGGAAATGCAAAATGGCACAGCTTCTACAGGAAAGAGTATGACCATTCCCCAAAACATTAAATGTTGAATTACCATATAATTCAGCAATTCCACTTCTGGGTATATACCCAAAATAATTGAAAGTAGGGTCTCAAAGAGATTAGTTTTATTTTTAGTTTTTCAGTTAGGGTCTCATTGTGTCACCCAGGCTGGAGTGTAGTGGTGTGACCTCTTCCGGTCAAACTATCCTCCCACCTCAGCCTTCCTAGTAATTGCGATATGCCAACATGCCAAGCTATTTATTATTATTATTATTATTATTTGTAGAGATAGGGTCTCACTTTGTTGCCTAGGCTGGTCTCAAACTCCTGTGCTCAAGGAATCCTTCTGCCTCCCAAATTGCTAGGATTGCAGGTGTGAGCCACTGCACCTGGCTCTCAAAAGGTTTGTACACCTGTGTTCATAACAGCATTATTTGCAACAGTCAAAAGATGGAAGCAACCCAAATATCCAATGAAGATGAATGAACAAACAAAATGTGGTCTATACATACAGATAGAATATTATTCAGCCTTAAAAAGGAAGGAAATTCTGACACATGCTACAACAAGGATCAACCTTAAGGACATTATGCTTAGTGAAATATGTCAGTTACAAAAAGACAAAAGTTATGTAAACTGGCTTACATGAGGTACCTAGAGTAGTCAAATTCGTAGAAACAGAAAGGAGAATGGTGGTTGCCAAAGGCTTGGAGTTGGGGGGGGAGAATAGGAAATTGTTATTTTCTTAGTATGGAGTTTCAGATTTGCAACATGAAAAAGTTCTGGAGCTTTGTTTCTCACCAATGTAAATATACTTAACACTACTGAACTGTACACTTAAAAATGGTTAAGATGGGCCAGGCATGGTGACTCATGCCTGTAATCCCAGCACTTTGGGAGGCCAAGGCAGGAGGATTGCGAGGTCAAGAGATCGAGACCATCCTGGCCAACATGGTGAAACCCCATCTCTACTAAAAAATACAAAAATTAGCTGGGCATGGTGGCACGTGCCTATAGTCCCAGCTACTCGGGAGACTGAGGCAGGAGAATCACTTGAACCTAGGAGGCAGATGTTGCAGTGAGCTGAGATCACACCACTGCACTACAGCCTGGTGACAGAGTGAGACTCCGTCTCAAAAAAAAAAAAAAAAAAAAAGGTTAAGATGGTAAATTTTATGTTATGTGTAGTTTATCACAGTTAAAAAAGTAAAAATACAATACTGTAGTGTTGTGAAAGGAAGGAAAAATTATACTTAAGGTTAGCAAAGGGTTTTAGATGAAGGGATTGAAGGCTTATTGATACCTAGGGCTCTATTTTATGAAGCAGCCACCTGGTGGCAGGAATTTTAGAAGGAATATCTCTAAACTTCATTAAAACCTTTTAAGGTAGGTATTATTTTACTCATTTTAAAAGATGGGACAGGTGACACTCAGAGAGACTAAATAACTTGACTAGAACCCACAGCTGGCCAATGATAACACCAAGTTTGGGCTCCATAGGATATGGTGTCTCAGGGTACCATGTGGTCTCTACTGAAGGAAAAAAAGAGCTGAAGCCTGAGCTCAGAAAAGCTACAAAAATGTATAGGCACAGGAGGGAGACAAAAGTCAGAAAATATTTAGCAGAAAAGTTAGGTTAGGGAGAGAGAGAGGCTGGGGAGCAGAAAAGTGCAAGGTAGTAGGAGTCTGAGAAAGAATTCTGGGGAAGCAATTTTGGTCTGTATCTGCCTATTTTCATGTAATTTCTTATCATACTACCTTTGTACTTAATTACTCCAATTTTGTTGAGAAAAGCAAGCTAGATGAGCCTCATTTGCTTTAATTCTTCTTTACTATGTTGTTGACTGTTTTGAAGGCATGTTTTAAAAAATCACTCTGTGCTGCTTTCTATTTAATTCTTTATTTGATTGTTTGATCCCACTGGAAATACTCACTGTAGGTGTCACTCAGAATATGTTCTCACTGAATTATCTGCTGGACTACCTTAGAAAAAAACAAATTTACCCAAGTTGGATTCTGCATCTCCCTTTCCCATGACCTGCCCCTTCCATTACCCAATAAGCGTATGCGCATATACTTAACCACCCACACTCCCAACCACACATACACACACACACACACACACACGCCATGATGTATCAGATGTCTCCATGTCTATTACTCTTTAGTAATAAAGGACATCAATTCTTCCAAACCCTTGGCTTTCATTTAGAGATTTCAATTGTTATATAGTAGATATTGAATAAGATGCCATCATCATCATAGGTGTCAGGCCTCTGAGCCCAAGCCAAGCCATCGCATCCCCTGTGACTTGCATGTATACGCCCAGATGGCCTGAAGTAACTGAAGAATCACAAAAGAAGTGAATACGCCCTGCCCCCACCTTAACTGATGACATTCCACCACAAAAGAAGTGTAAATGGTCGGTCCTTGCCTTAAGTGATGACATTACCTTGAAGTCCTTTTCCTAGCTCATCCTGGCTCAAAAAGCACCCCCACTGAGCACCTTGCGACCCCCACTCCTGCCCACCAGAGAACAAACCCCCTTTAACTATAATTTTCCTTTACCTACCCAAATCCTATAAAACGGCCCCACCCTTATCTCGCTTCACTGACTCTCTTTTCGGACTCAGCCCGCCTGCACCCAGGTGAAATAAACAGCCATGTTGCTCACACAAAGCCTGTTTGGTGGTCTCTTCACACAGATGCACATGAAATTTGGTGCCGTGACTCGGATTGGGGGACCTCCCTTGGGAGATCAATCCCCTGTACTCCTGTTCTTTGCTCCGTGAGAAAGATCCACCTATGACCCTCAGGTCCTCAGACCGACTAGCCCAAGGAACATCTCACCAATTTTAAATCAGGTAAGCAGCCTCTTCTTACTCTCTTCTCCAACCTCTCTCACTGTCCCTCAACCACTTTATCCTTTCCACTCTTCAATCTCTCCCTTCTCTTAATTTCAATTCCTTTCATTTTCTGGGAGAGACAAAGGAGACACGTTTTATCCGTGGACCCAAAACTCTGGCGCGGGTCACGGACTGGGAAGGCAGCCTTCCCTTGGTGTTTAATCATTGCAGGGACACCTCTCTGATTATACACCCATGTTTCAAGGGTGTCAGACCACGCAGGGACGCCTGCCTTGGTCCTTCACCCTTAGCGGCAAGTCCCGCTTTTCTGGGGAAGGGGCAAGTACCCCAGCCCCTTCTCTCCATGTCTCTACCCCTTCTCTGCTTTTCTGGGAGAGGGGCAAGTACCCTCAACCCATTCTCCTTCACCCTTACTGGCAAGTCCCACTTTTCTAGGAGGGGGGCAAGTACCCCTCAACCCCTTCTCCTTCACCCTTAGCGGCAAGTCCTGCTTTTCTATGGGGCAAGAACCACCAATCCCTTATTTCCATGCCCCAACCTCTTATCTCTGTGCCCCAATCCCTTATTCCTGTGCCCCAACCTATCTCTGCACCCCAATCCCTTATTTCCGTGCCCCAACCTCTTATATCTTTGTACCCCAATCCCTTATTTCCACACCCTGACCTCTTATCTCTGCACCCCAACCCCTTTTCCCACTTTTCTGGAAGGTAAGAACCCCCAAACCCTTCCCTCCATTTCTCTACTCTCTCTTTTCTCTAGGCTTGCTTCCTTCACTATGGGAACCTTCCACCCTCCATTCCTCCTCCTACTCCCTTGGCCTGTGTTCTCAAAAACTTAAAACCTCTTCAACTCACACCTGACCTAAAACCTAAATGCCTTATTTTCTTCTGCAATACCGCTTGACCCCAATACAAACTCGACAGTAGTTCCAAATAGCCAGAAAATGGCACTTTGAATTTTTCAATCCTGCAAAATCTAAATAATTCTTGTAAAATAGGCAAACGGTCTGAGGTGCCTGACGTCCAGGCATTCTTTTACACATCAGTCCCTTCCTAGCCTCTGTGCCCAGTGCAACTCATCCCAAATCTTCCTTCTTTCCCTCCCGCCTGTCCCCTCAGTACCAACCCCAAGCATCGCTGAGTCTTTCTAATCTTCCTTTTCTACAGACCCATCTGACCTCTCCCTTCCTCCCCAGGCTGCTCCTCGCCAGGCCGAGCTAGGTCCCAATTCTTCCTCAGCCTCTGCTCCTCCACCCTACAATCTTTTTATCACCTCCCCTCCTCACACCTGGTCCGGCTTACAGTTTCGTTCCGTGACTAGCCCTCCCCCACCTGCCCAGCAATTTACTCTTAAAAAGGTGGCTGGAGCCAAAGGCATAGTCAAGGTTAATGCTCCTTTTTCTTTATCCCAAATCAGAAGCGTTTAGGCTCTTTTTCATCAAATATAAAAACCCAGCCCAGTTCATGGCTCGTTTGGCAGCAACCCTGAGACACTTTACAGCCCTAGACCCTAAAAGGTCAAAAGGCCATCTTATTCTCAAAATACATTTTATTACCCAATCTGCTCCCGACATTAAATAAAACTCCAAAAATTGGAATCTGGCCCTCAAACCCCACAACAGGACTTAATTAACCTCACCTTCAAGGTGTACAATAACTGAAAAAAGTTGCAATTCCTTGCCTCCACTGTGAGACAAACCCCAGCCACATCTCCAGCACACAAGAACTTCCAAACGCCTGAACCGCAGTGGCCAGGCGTTCCTCCAGAACCTCCTCCCACAGGAGCTTGCTACACATGCCGGAAATCTGGCCACTGGGCCAAGGAATGCCCGCAGCCCGGGATTCCTCCTAAGCCGCGTCCCATCTGTGCGGGACCCCACTGAAAATCGGACTGTTCAACTCACCTGGCAGCCACTCCCAGAGCCCCTGGAACTCTAGCCCAAGGCTCTCTGACTGACTCCTTCCCAGATCTTCTCGGCTTAGCAGCTGAAGACTGACACTGCACGATCGCCTCGGAAGCCCCCTAGACCATTCACGGACGCCGAGCTTCGCGTAACTCTCACAGCGGAAGGTAAGCCTGTCCCCTTCTTAATCAATACGGAGGCTACCCACTCCACGTTACCTTCTTTTCAAGGGCCTGTTTCCTTTGCCTTCATAACTGTTGTGGGTGTTGACGGCCAGGCTTCTAAACCTCTTAAAACTCCCCAACTCTGGTGCCAACTTAGACAATACTCTTTTAAGCACTCCTTTTTAGTTATCCCCACCTGCCCAGTTCCCTTATTAGGCTGAGACACTTTAAATTATCTGCTTCCCTGACTATTCCTGGACTACAGCTATATCTCATTGCCGCCCTTCTTCCCAATCCAAATCCTCTTTGCATCTGTCCTCCTCTTGTATCCCCCCACCTTAACCCACAAGTATAAGATACCTCTACTCCCTCTTTGGCGACGGATCATGCACCCCTTACCATCTCATTAAAACCTAATCACCCTTACCCCACTCAACGCCAATATCCCATCCCGCAGCACGCTTTAAAAAGATTAAAGCCTGTTATCACTCGCCTGCTACAGCATGGCCTTTTAAAGCCTATAAACTCTCCTTACAATTCCCCCATTTTACCTGTCCTAAAACCAGACAAGGCTTACAAGTTAGTTCAGGATCTGCACCTTATCAACCAAATTGTTTTGCCTATCCACCCTGTGGTGCCCAACCCCATACACTCTTTTGTTCTCAATACCTTCCTCCACAACTCACTATTCCGTGCCTGATCTTAAAGATGCTTTTTTCACTATTCCCCTGCACCCCTCGTCCCAGCCTCTCTTTGCTTTCACTTAGACTGACCCTGACACCCATTAGGCTCAGCAAATTACCTAGGCCATACTGCTGCAAACCTTCACAGATAGACCCCATTACTTCAATCAAGCCCAAATTTCATCCTCGTCTGTTACCTATTTCAGCATAATTCTCATAAAAACATACATGCTTTCCCTGCTGATCATGTCCGATTAATCTCCCAAACCTCAATCCCTTACAAAACAACAACTCCTTTCCTTCCTAGGCATAGTTAGTGCGGTCAGAATTCTTACACAAGAGCCAGGACCACACCCTGTAGCCTTTCTGTGCAAACAACTTGACCTTACTGTTTTATCCTAGCCCTCATGTCTGCGTGCAGCGGCTGCCACGCTTTAATACTTTTAGAGGCCCTCAAAATCACAAACTATGCTCAACTCACTCTCTACAGTTCACGTAACTTCCAAAATCTATTTTCTTCCTCATACCTAATGCATATACTTTCTGCTCCCCAGCTCCTTCAGCTGTACTCACTCTTTGTTGAGTCTCCCACAATTACCATTGTTCCTGGCCCGGACTTCAATCCAGCCTCCCACATTATTCCTGATACTACACCTGACCCCCATGACTGTATCTCTCTGATCCACCTGACATTCACCCCATTTCCCCAAATTTCCTTCTTTCTTGTTCCTCACCCTGATCACGCTTGATTTATTGCTGGCGGTTCAACCAGGCCTAATCGCCACACACCAGCAAAGGCAGGCTATGCTATAGTACAAGCCACTAGCCCACCTCTTAGAACCTCTCATTTCCTTTCCATCATGGAAATCTATCCTCAAGGAAATAACTTCTCAGTGTTCCATCTGCTGTTCTACTACTCCTCAGGGATTATTCAGGCCCCCTCCCTTCCCTACACATCAATCTGGCGGATTTGCCCCCACCCAGGACTGGCAAATTAGCTTTACTCAACATGCCCGAGTCAGGAAACTAAAATACCTCTTAGTCTAAATAGACACTTTCACTGAATAAGTAAGGGCCTTTCCTACAGGGTCTGAGAAGGCCACCGCAATCATTTCTTCCCTTCTGTCAGACATAATTCCTCAGTTTAGCCTTCCCACCTCAATACAGTCTGATAACAGATGAGCCTTTATTAGTCAAATCAGCCAAGCAGTTTTTCAGGCTCTTAGTATTCAGTGAAACTTTTATACCACTTATGGTCCTCTGTCTTCAAGAAAAGTAGAATGGACTAAAAGTCTTTTAAAAACACACCTCACTGAGCTCAGCCACCAACTTAAAAAGGACTGGACAATACTTTTACCACTTTCCCTTCTCAGAATTCAGGCCTGTCCTTGGAATGCTACAGGGTACAGCCCATTTAAGCTCCTGTATAGATGCTCCTTTTTATTAGGCCCCAGTCTCATTCCAGACACCAGACCAACTTAGACTGTGCCCCCCACCAAAAAAAAACTTGTCATCCCTACTATTTTCTGTCTAGTCATACTCCTATTCACCGTTCTCAGCTACTCATACATGCCCTGCTCTTGTTTACACTGCCGGTTTACACTGTTTTTCCAAGCCATCACAGCTGATATCTCCTCCTGCTATCCCCAAACTGCCACTCTTAATTCTTGAAGTAAATAAATAATCTTTGCTGGCAGGACTTTGCCGAATCTCCTTAAGCACTCTCTAATCAGATATCCTGAGTCATCCCAATTCTTAGACCTTTTATACCTGTTTTTCTCCTTCTCTTATTCCATTTAGTTTTTCAATTCATACAAAACCGTATCCAGGCCATCACCAATCATTCTATACGACAAATGTTTCTTCTAACATCCCCACAATATCACCCCTTACCACAAGACCTCCCTTCAGCTTAATCTCTCCCACTCTAGGTTCCCACGCCGCCCCTAATCCCGCTTGAAGCAGCCCTGAGAAACATCGCCCATTCTCTCTCCATACCACCCCCCAAAAATTTTCACCGCCCCAAAACTTCAACACTATTTTGTTTTATTTTTCTTATTAATATAAGAAGGCAGGAATGTCAGGCCTCTGAGCCCAAGCCAAGCCATCACATCCCCTGTGACTTGCACGTATATGCCCAGATGACCTGAAGTAACTGAAGAATCACAAAAGAAGTGAATAGGCCCTGCCCTACCTTAACTGATGACATTCCACCACAAAAGACGTGTAAATGGCCGATCCTTGCCTTAACTGATGACATTACCTTGTGAAAGTCCTTTTCCTGGCTCATCCTGGCTCAAAAAGCACCCCCACTGAGCACCTTGCGACCCCCACTCCTGCCCACCAGAGAACAAACCCCCTTTGACTATAATTTTCCTTTACCTACCCAAATCCTATAAAACGGCCCCACCCTTATCTCCCTTCACTGACTCTCTTTTCGGACTCAGCCCGCCTGCACCCAGGTGAAATAAACAGCCATGTTGCTCACACACAGCCTATTTGGTGGTCTCTTCACACAGACGCGCATGAAAATAGGTACTAGTAAAAATGAAAAGATGCTGCCAATTATAATTATGACATCATCAAGAGGTGTTAAAATATAAGCACTTCGTATGTAAAGTCAGTGAAATATGCTTGTATAAAACTTTACTGTAATAACAAATATATTAAAATACGTTCACCAATTGCTTAATATAGATTCACAGATGGACTAAAAGATCCAACATTGTATTTTGCATTCAAAGAGAGGAGCTCCAGTTTTGCTCTATGCCACAAACCACCCCCTCTCTGCTCTCCTCTCCTCTCCAACCAATGCTTCCTGGCCCTCCACAAAAACTTGGAGAGGCCAGCTGTAGGTGGGAGACGATCTACAGGGTGTTGACGAAAAGAGTAGAACTCTGTAAAGTATTTGAAGAGGTTTATTCTCAGCCAAATATGAATGACCATGGACTGAGACACAGCCCTCAGGAGGTCCTGAGAACCTGTGCCCAAGGTAGTCTGGGCGCAGCTTGTTTGTATACATTTTAGAGAGGCATGAGACATCAATCAAATACATTTAAGAAATGCATTGGTTTGGTCCATCAAGGTGGAAGAGCTCAAAGGTGGGGGGCCTCCAGGCTATAGGTGAATTTACATATTTTCTGGTTGAGGATTGAGTTTGTCTGAAGACCTGGGATAGATAGAAAGGGAATGTTCTGGTTAAGATAAAGACTGTGGAGACCAAAGTCTTTTTGAAGTGTTATAGTGGCTGTCCTTAGAGACAATAGGTGACAAATGTTTCCTATTCAGATTTTAGTTAATCTCTTTAGGATTGGGAGAGTCTGGAAGAAAAAGATGTAGCTATGTCAATAGAGATTCTTTACAGATGCAAATTTTCCCCTACAAAGAAAAGTTTTGCAGGGCCATTTCAAAATATGGCAAAGAAACATGTTTTGGGGTAAAATATTTTGATTTTATCTTTGTCTCCTAATGTTATGCCAGAGTCAGGTTGGAAAGTAAATCATTATATACGGGGTTAAATAAAACTCATCTAATGAGAATTTATGATTTGTAGGGCATGACTCCCCAGACCCCTTAGATAGGAATTTGGGCAAGACAAAAAAAAATCAGAGTTTAGTCCTCAAGGGCTAGAGATCACTTACCTTACTCTCACCATCCTGGTTTAGATCAGTGATTTCCAGCTACCCACGTAGATTTCCAGAAACATTTACTTAATTCTTCCATAGCACCCTGAACATTTTAGCTCTTTTCTTGCCTGATCATAAACATTTCTGACCCCCTCATCCATGTTAATTTGTGTTGTTAATTTATTTTTCGCTTAAGAAGATAAATTTTACTTTAGATTCAGATGTTGAATGGAGGCACAGAGCCCTGATACTCCCATTATAAGCCTTTTCTCATTTACAAATGACCTCATTTACAAGTTTCATTTATAAATTACAAGTTTTTTTTTATAAATTTCCTCCTTTATAAGTTTCTTGCGCATCCGTGTGAAGAGACCACCAAACAGGCTTTGTGTGAGCAACATGGCTGTTTATTTCACCTGGGTGCAGATGGGCTGAGTCCGAAAAGAGTCAGCGAAGGGAGATAAGGGTGGGGCCGTTTTATAGGATTTGGGAAGGTAATGGAAAATTACAGTCAAAGGGGGTTTGTTCTCTGGTGGGCAGGGGCGGGGGTCACAAGCTGATCAGTGGGGGAGCTTCTGAGCCAGGAGAAGGAAATTCACAGGGTTAATCACTCAGTTAAGGTGGGGCAGGAACAAATCACAATGGTGGAATGTCATCAGTTAAGGCGGGGCAGGGCCTTTTCACTTCTTTTGTGATTCTTCAGTAACTTCAGGCCATCTAGGTGCATACGTGCATACGTGCAAGTCACAGGGGATGTGATGGCTTGGCTTGGGTTCAGAGGCCTGACATTCCTGCCTTCTTATATTAATAAGAAAAATAAAACAAAATAGTGTTGAAGTGTTGGGGCGGCGAAAATTTTTTGGGGGTGGTATGGAGAGAGAATGGGCGATGTTTCTCAGGGCTGCTTCAAGCGGGATTAGGGGCAGCGTGGGAACCTAGAGTGGGAGAGATTAAGCTGAAGGGAGGTCTTGTGGTAAGGGTTGATATTGTGGGTTGTTAGAAGAAACATTTGTCATATAGAGTGATGGGTGATGGCCTGGATACGGTTTTGTATGAATTGAAAAACTAAATGGAATAAGAGAAGGAGAAAAACAGGTATAAAAAGACTAAGAATTGGGAGGACCTAGGACATCTAATTAGAGAGTGCCTAAGGAGGTTCAGCATAGTCCTGCCAGCAAAGATTATTTATTTACTTCAAGAGTTAAGAGTGGCAGTTTGGGGATAGCAGGAGGAGATATCAGCTGTGATGGCTTGGAGAAACAGTGTAAACCGGCAGTGTAAACAAGAGCAGGGCATGTATGAGTAGTTGAGAACAGTGAATAGGAGTATGACTAGATAGAAGATAGTACGGATGACAAGTTATTTGGGGGCACAGTCTAAGTTGGTCTGGTGTCTGGAATGAGACTGGGGCCTAATAAAAAGGAGCATCTATACAGGAGCTTAAATGGGCTGTAGCCTGCAGCATTCCAAGGACAGGCTGAATTCTGAGAAGGGAAAGTGGTAAAAGTATTGTCCAGTCCTTTTTAAGTTGGTGGCTGAGCTTGGTGAGGTGTGTTTTTAATAGACCATTAGTCTGTCACTGAATACTAAGAGCCTGAGAAAATGCTTGGCTGATTTGATTAATAAAGACTGGTCTGTTATCAGACTGTGTAGAGGTGGGAAGGCTAAACTGAGGAATTATGTCTGACAGAAGGGAAGAAAGGATTGCGGTGGCCTTCTCAGACCCTGTAGGAAAGGCCTCTACCTAACTAGTGAAAGTGTCTACTTAGAATAAGAGGTATTTTAGTTTTTGTGACTCGGGGCATGTTGAGTAAAGCTAATTTGCCAGTCCTGGGTGGGGGCAAATCCTCCAGATTGATGTGTAGAGAAGGTAGTGGGCCTGAATAATCATTGAGGAGTAGTAGAATAGCAGATGGAACACTGAGAAGTTATTTCCTTGAGGATAGATTTCTACAATGGAAAGGAAATGAAAGGTTCTAAGAGGCGGGCTAGTGGCTTCTACTATAGCATAGCCTGCCTTTGCTGGTGTGTGGCGATTAGGCCTGGTGGAACCGCCATCAATAAATCAAGCGTGATCAGGGTGAGAAACAGGGAAGAAGGAAATGTGGGGAAATGGGATGAACATCAGGTGGATCAGAGAGATACAGTCATGGGGGTCAGGTGTGGTATCTAGAATAATGTGGGAGGCCGGATTGAAGTCTGGGCCAGGAACAATGGTAATTGTGGGACTTAACAAAATGTGAGTACAGCTGAAGGAGCCAGGGAGCAGAAAGTATATGAGTCAGGTATGAGGAAGAAAATAGATTTTGGAAGTTATGAGAACTGTAGAGAGTGAGTTGAGCATAGTCTGTGATTTTGAGGGCCTCTAAAATTATGAAAGCAGTGGCAGCTGCTGCACACAGACATGAGGGCTAGGCTAAAACAGTAAGGTCAAGTTGTTTGGACAGAAAGGCTACAGGGTGTGGTCCTGGCTCTTGTGTAAGAATTCTGACCGCACTAACCATGCCTAGGAAGGAAAGGAGTTGTTGTTTTGTAAGGGATTGAGGTTTGGGAGATTAATCGGACAAGATCAGCAGGGAGAGCAAGTGTGTTTTTACGAGAATTATGCCGAGATAGGTAACAGATGAGGATGAAATTTGGGCTTGACTGAAATGGGGTCTGTCTGTGAAGCCTTGCGGCAGTACAGCCCAGGTAATTGCTGAGCCTAATGGGTGTCAGGGTCAGTCTAAGTGAAAGCAAAGAGAGGCTGGGATGAAGGGTGCAAAGGAATAGTAAAGTAAGCATGTTTGAGATCCAGAACAGAATAATGGGTAGTAGAGGGAGGTATTGAGGATAGGAGAGTGTATGGGTTTGGCACCACGGGGTGGATAGGCAAAACAATTTGGTTGATAAGGTGCAGATCCTGAACTAACTTGTAAGGTTTATCTGGTTTTAGGACAGGTAAAATGGGGGAATGGTAAGGAGAGTTTATAGGCTTTAAAAGGTCATGCTATAGCAGGCGAGTGATAACAGGCTTTAATCCTTTTAAAGCGTGCTGCGGGATGGGATCTTGACATTGAGGGGGTAAGAATGATTAGGTTTTAATGAGATGGTAAGGGGTGCATGATCGGTCACCAAGGAGGGAGTAGAGGTATCTTATACTTGTGGGTTAAGGTGGGGGAATACAAGAGGAGGACGCAAAGGAGGATTTGGATTGGGAAGAAGGGTGGCAATGAGATGTAGCTGTAGTCCAGGAATAGTCAGGGAAGCAGATAATTTAAAGTGTCTCAGCCTAATAAGGGAACTGGGCAGGTGGGGATAACTAAAAAGGAGTGCTTAAAAGAGTATTGTCTAAGTTGGCACCAGAGTTGGGGAGTTTTAAGAGGTTTAGAAGCCTGGCTGTCAATACCCACAACAGTTATGGAAGCAAGGGAAACAGGCCCTTGAAAAGAAGGTGATGTGGAGTGGGTAGCCTCCGTATTGATTAAGAAGGGGACGGACTTACCCTCCACTGTGAGAGTTAACTAAAGCTCGGCGTCCGTGATGGTCTACGGGGTTTCTGAGGCGATCGGGCAGTGTCAGTCTTCAGCCGCTAAGCCAAGAAGGAGTCAGTCAGAGAGCCTTGGGCCAGAGTTCCACGGGCTCTGGGAGTGGCTGCCAGGTGAGATGAACAGTCCGATTTTCAGTGGGGTCCCGCACAGATGGGACACGGCTTAGGAAGAATCCTGGGCTCCAGGCATTCCTTGGCCTGGTGGTCAGATTTCTGGCACTTGTAGCAAACTCCTGGGGGAGGAGGTTTTGGAGGAACCCCTGGCCACTGCGGTTTAGGTGTTTGGAAGTTCTTGTGTGCTGGAGATGTGGCTGGGGTTTGTCTCACAGTGGAGGCAAGGAATTGCAACTTTTTTCTGTTATTGTACACCTTGAAAGTGAGGTTAATTAAGTCCTGTTGTGGGGTTTGAGGGCCAGATTCCAATTTTTGGAGTTTTATTTAATGTCAGGAGCAGATTGGGTAATAAAATGTATATTGAGAATAAGACGGCCTTTTGACCTTTTAGGGTCTAGGGCTGTAAAGCATCTCAGGGTTGCTGCCGAATGAGCCATGAACTGGGCTCGGTTTTTATATTTGATGAAAAAGAGCCTAAATGCTTCTGATTTGGGATAAAGAAAAAGGTGCATTAACCTTGACTATGCCTTTGGCTCCAGCCACCTTTTTAAGAGTAAATTGCTAGGCAGGTGGGGGAGGGGTAGTCACTGAATGAAACTGTAAGCCGGAGCAGGTGTGAGGAGGGGAGGTGATAAAAAGATTATAGGGTGGAAGAGCGGAGGCTGAGGAAGAATTAGGACCTAGTTCGGCCTGGCGAGGAGGGGAGAGGTCAGATGGGTCTGTAGAAAAGGAAGATTAGAAAGACTCAGCGACGCTTGGGGTTGGCACTGAGGGGACAGGCGGGAGGGAAAGAAGGAAGATTTGGGACGAGTTGCACTGGGCACAGAGACTAGGAAGGGACTGATGTGTTAAAGAATGCCTGGACATAAGGCACCTCAGACCATTTGCCCATTTTACGACAAGAATTATTTAGACCTTGTAGGATGGAAAAATTGAAAGCGCCATTTTCTGGCTATTTGTAACTACTGTCAAGTTTGTACTGGGGTCAAGTGGCATTGCGGAAGAAAATAAGATGCTTAGATTTTAGGTCAGGTGAGAGTTGAAGAGGTTTTAAGTTCTTAAGAATACAGGCTAAGGGAGAAGAAGGAGGAATGGAAGGTGGAAGGTTGCCCATAGTGAAGGAGGCAAGCCCAGAGAAAAGAGTAGAGACACAGAGAAGGGGTGGGGGGTTCTTGCTCTCCAGAAAAGCAGAGAAAGGGTTGGGGCACGGAAATAAGGGATTGGGACACAGAGATAAGAGGTCAGGGTGCAGAAATAAGGGATTGGGGCACAGAGATAAGAGGTCGGCGTGTGGAAAGAAGGGATTGGGCGTTCTTGCCCCTTAGAAAAGTGGGACTTACCGCTAAGGGTGAAGGAGAAGGGGTTGACGGGTACTTGCCCCTCCCCCAGAAAAGCGGGACTTGCTGCTAAGGGTGAAGGAGAAGGGGTTGAGGGGTTCTTGCCCCTGCCCCAGAAAATCAGAGAAGGGGTAGAGACATGGAGAGAAGGGGTTGGGGTACTTGCCCTTCCCCCAGAAAAGCGGGACTTGCCGCTAAGGGTGAAGGACTAAGGCAGGCGTCCCTGCATGGTCTGACACCTTTGAAACGTTGGTGAACAATCAGAGAGGTGTCCCTGCAATGATTAAACACTAAGGGAAGGCTGCCTTCCCAGTCCGTGACCGGCTCCGGAGTTTTGGGTCCACGGATAAAACGTGTCTCCTTTGTCTCTACCAGAAAATGAAAGGAATTGAAATTAACAGAAGGGAGAGATTGAAGTGTGGCACCAAGATTGAAAGGAGAAAGAGGTTGAGGGATAGTGAGGGAAGTTGGAGAAGAGAGTAAAAAGAGGCCGCTTACCAGATTTGAAATTGGTGAGATGTTTCTTGGGCTAGTCGGTCTGAGGACCTGAGGTCGTAGGTGGATCTTTCTCACGGAGCAAAGAGCAGGAGGACAGGGGATTGATTTCCTGAGGCAGGTCCCCCGATCCGAGTCACCACACCAAATTTCATGCACATCTGTGTGAAGAGACCACCAAACAGGCTTTGTGTGAGCAACATGGCTGTTTATTTCACCTGGGTGCAGGTGGGCTGAGTCCGAAAAGAGAGTCAATGAAGGGAGATAGGGGTGGGGCCGTTTTATAGGATTTGGGAAGGTAATGGAAAATTACAGTCAAAGGGGGTTTGTTCTCTGGTGGGCAGGGGCGGGGGAGTGGGGGCACAAGCTGCTCAGTGGGGGAGCTTCTGAGCCAGGAGAAGGAAATTCACAGCGTTAATCACTCAGTTAAGGTGGGGCAGGAACAAATCACAATGGTGGAATGTCATCAGTTAAGGTCGGGCAGGGTCTTTCACTTCTTTTGTGATTCTTCAGTTACTTCAGGCCATCTGGGCACAAGTCACAGGGGATGCGATGGCTTGGCTTGGGCTCAGAGGCCTGACAATAAGTTGTCTCATTGTAAAATAAGGTTAATAATAAATAATAATAATAATTCACATTGTAATTACAAGCATTCAATGAAATGGTGCATATAAAGCGCTTAGCACAGTGCTAGGTGCATGTGGCTAACACTCAATTAGTGGTAGAGATGATTAATAATATTGTTACCCTGAAAGTAACAGAACTAAACAGAAAACTGGGGGAACATTTTCAGGGCATTCATGCTTGTGATATCTCCTTCACTTGTGTAAAATATGAAGACGTTTCCTCTGTGTTCCTGAACTGTTGGGGTTTTGTTTTCTGTGCCCCAATAGGAATATTGCCTATTTCTCAGTGTTGTGCAGATTTTAAAAGATAACACAGGCAAAGAGCCTGACAAAGAATAGGTGCTCAGAACACATTATTTTATCCTTATTTCCTCATTGGATTTACCCTTTGAGCTGCCTGCTCAAATCATGGTGTTGACAAAATGAGTCAAACTCTGTAAAATATTTCAAGAGTTTTATTCTGAGCCAAATATGAGTTTCCATGGCCCATGAAAGAGCCGTAAGAGATCTTGAGAACCTGTGCCAAAGGTAGTCAGGCTACAGCTTGGTTTTATACATTTTAGGGAGACACAATACATTAGATGTCGATCTAATTTATTAATTAATATACATTAGATGTCGATCACTACTTTTAAGATGACATGGGTTGTGTCTGGAAAGGTGGACAAATCAAAGGTGTGGGGGGACTTCCAGGTCTTAGGTGGATTCAAAGATTTTCTGATTGGCAATTGGTTGAGTTTATCAAAAGGCCTGGAATCAATAGAAGGGAGTGACTGAGTTAAGATAAGGGGTTGAGGAGACCAAGGTTTTTATTATGCAGATGAAACCTCTAGGTAGCAGGCTTCAGAGATAATAGTAAATGTTTCTTATAAGACTTAAAAAGGTGCCAGACTCTTAATTCTCTCCTGGATCAGGAAAAAGACCTGGAAAGGGAAGGGGATTCTCTATAGAATGTGGATTTTTCCCACAAGAAACAACTTTGCAGGGTCATTTCAAAATATGTCAAAGAAATATATTTTGGGGTAAAATACTTCTATTTATTTCAGGGCCTGCCATCTGTCATGTTGATATCTTACTGCTACAAAGAGTCTGTTTTGTCAATCTTAAAGTTGCTGTTTGAATGTAAATACTGGTCAGATGTGCCTGAATTCCACAGGGAGGAAAGTGTAATGTGACATGCCTGACCACCTATTCCCATCATGGCCTGAACTAGTGTTTCAGGTTTAGTGTTTTAGAAGGCCCTTGGCTGAGAGAAGGGGGTCCATTCAGTTGGTTGAGGGACTTAGAATTTTGTTTTTGGTTTAATGATGGCAATTTGATTTTTTTTTTTTTTTTTTTTTTTTGAGACGGAGTCTCGCTCTGTCGCCCAGGCTGGAGTGCAGTGGCGCGATCTCGGCTCACTGCAAGCTCCGCCTCCCGGGTTCACGCCATTCTCCTGCCTCAGCCTCCCAAGTAGCTGGGACTACAGGCGCCCGCTACCACGCCCGGCTAATTTTTTTTTTGTATTTTTAGTAGAGATGGGGTTTCACCGTGTTAGCCAGGATGGTCTCGATCTCCTGACCTCGTGATCCGCCCGCCTCGGCCTCCCAAAGTGCTGGGATTACAGGCGTGAGCCACCGCGCCCGGCCGGCAATTTGATTTCTATGTCCTAATTTGTTCTCTGAGATAGGGTTTCCACTTGGCTTCTTAATAAGATTCATTTAGTAGTCTCTAATTTGGTTGGAGACATTTCTTTCATTTTAATTCTCAGGAGCATTCTTTCTAGACTATTGGGTATCTCAAATGGCTTAAAATGTCAGGTTTGGGCCACAGTAATGTATTCTCTGTTTTTTTTAATCAGAAAGTGGATGACACGTGTGTGCATGTCAGCAAACTCTCATTATTAAAAAGTTCCCTCTGTCCTTTAGTCTTTGACTGTCATGAGCAAGGAGACCTTTGGCCAGGGTAATAAAGATGACTAATGATGGGGCTCAGGACATACTACCCCAAATATGCCTTTTTGGCCTAAGGATTATTTTGAGCTATTTTGGGAAATAGCAAACACAGAGAAGCTTTGAAAACAAATTAGTTTTGAAAACAGTTATGATTTCATAAGATAAATTTACATCTGTAAAGAAAACCTCCATTGTAAGGGTGTCTCCTTTCTGCATCAGAAAGAAAAGAAGAACTAATTCCCTAGAGAAGGCATCAACTTAAATCTAGTTATCAAATATTATGCTTCTTTAACGGTGCTTTTCCTGGCCAACTTTTCTTTTTCTTTTTTTTTTTTTTTTTTTTTGAGACAGAGTCTTACTCTGTCACCCAGGCCAGAATGCAGTGGCATGATCTTGGCCCACTGCAACCTCTGCCTCCTGGGTTCAAGCAATTCTCCTGCCTCAGCCTCCTGAATAGCTGGGATTACCGGCAACCACCACCACGCCTGGCTAATTTTTGTATTTTTAGTAGAGATGGAGTTTCAACATGTTGGCCAGACTGGTCTCGAACTCCTGACCTTGTGATCTGCCTGCCTCAGCCTCTCAAAGTGCCGAGATTACAGGTGTGAGCCACCATGCCCAGCCATGGCCAACATTTCTTAATTGCATCATTCCCCTCAGCCTTCTCTCTTTGTTTCAGAGAAGGATAGTACTTAAGGGTGAGGTCTAGGATAATTCTTTGAGATCTGCTGCAGAGATTTACTCATTTCTCTGGGTTGTCTCCCATAGGTACACATTTTATCAGAATTCTGTTTGTTTTTCTCTTGTTAATTTGTCTTTTTTACAGAGAAGCTCAGAAAAAACTCATCAAGGTGAAAGAGAAAATTTATTGTTTTCTCCCCTACACTTTCTGGAACTTGGGCTCTGAGGCTGCTCTGGCTTAATCGGTCAAGCATCTGGGTCCTGGGTCTGAGTTCAAATCCTGATCCTTCTTGCTGTGCAAGCTTGGGAGAACGATCTCACCAACCTTGCACAGGTACTGCCCGTTTAAGATGTAGACCATAGTCCCTTTATTACAGGACCTTGTATGGATTAAATGAGTTACTGGGTGAAAAGCGCTGAGAAGAGTGCCTGTCACAGAGTAACTGCTGTTATTGCAAGTAAAGAATCAGAACTATGCTAAATTCACAGTCAGCCTGGGAAAAATGTCAAAAGGAGTGCACATGAATGGTCAATGGACCAAAGACCCTTAGATTTGATAAAGATATGAGCTTTGTGTCTTATTTCCTAATGTTAAGTAAAAATTATGAAAGGCTATTGTTTTGTATTAGGCCCCAACAGACCAGACTAAAAATCAAAATGGAGTCACCCATGCCAAAGTTCCATATCACCAAACTGAAAATAAGTTGTTATTTCATCTTCCCCAAAATCAGGACAGAGCAGTAACAGCCAATGTTCCAAGCAGACCAGTTTCCGTCTTTAATGAGCAGGATAACGAAGTTCCCTCTGTTTTAATCCTTACAACAAAAGTAACCCGACGTAACCTGATGCTAACAAATCTGTTATTTCTCTATTGTTCTGTTTCCTTGTTCTCACCTTGTAAGGGAGGTAACTTTCAAAGGACGAGTCCACATTTTGTTCTTTGCTTCTGGTTTCTTCAACCCCCTCTGTCTATAAAATGAATCCCCTCTGCTCAACTCTTTGGGACACTTATTCTATTTTATGGAATGAGACATTGCCCAATCCTAGAATTGCAATAAAGCTAGTCGAGATCTTCAAACTAAACGTGTAATTTTGTCCTTTGGCAAATCTGGTGACCACAAAGGAAACTGAAGGAGACTGCTGAAAACCCTGAGACCTTCTGAGAAACATAGGAAAAATGCTGTAGTCCCTTTTGGAGGGGCGGGGGTGAAGGGGTTCCTCTGTCTTTCTCATGGAGCTCCAGGAGTCATAAGTAAGTTCCTCTCAGGTTGGAGCTCTGTTGTCTTTTGCATTTGAGCTCCCTAATATCTTTGGCCTTTGGGGTACAAAGGGTTAGTTTATATAGTGAAAGAGCACTTGACTGTGTGTTACCAAGGGTTGCTTTGTGCTGTGGCAGGGCACATGACCTTTCGGTTTGTGGTGACTGATGAGTCACTGGCAAAAAAGCTGCAGTTTTTAAGGTAACTGATGGCAGTTACAATAAGTAGTTATTACTGAAGGGGGGCTCTTTATTTTTTTCTCTTCTTATATGCTGAGGTCTTATAGCTAAAGCCATGTCAGCTCTAAGAGACCCAAGATCATACATAAAAATGGGATCCTTAATTTATAAATATCTGAGTACTTCGCCTTCTGGTGTACTTGCCTTTTTCATGTCTAGGAGCTATGACCTTGGAAGCTGCAAATATTTACAAAAGTGGCAAAATCTTACTAAAGATAATTCAGAATTACAGGGCCATTATATGGAACATTCCAGATGAATAAGGCTGTTCATTTGACAAGCATACTTAAATCTCAAGTCTCTCAAATTTAGCAGAGAGAATGTCATTCTAATTATTAATAGCATTCAGAAGCCTCAAAGAGACAGAATTCTAACTTTTTTTAAATTAATTGTGAAGAACTAATAAAAAGCTAAAAAGGCTGGGTGCAGTGGCTCATGCCTGTAATCCCAGCACTTTGGGAGGCCGAGGTGGGCGGATCACGAGGTCAGGAGTTTGAGACAAGCCTGGCCAATATGGTGAAACCCTGTCTCTACTAAAAATACAAAAATTAGCTGGGCATAGTGACATGCGCCTGTAGTCCCTGCTACTCAGGAGGCTGAGGCAGGAGAATCACTTGAACTCGGGAGGCAGAGGTTGCAGTGAGCCAAGATCGCACCCCTTCACTCTGGCCTGGGCGACAGAGCGAGACGCCATCACACACATACAAAAAAGCTAAAAATGCAAGATATCATCCACATCAAGAACAGTAAAACTGACAGAATTCCTACTGCTCCTCTCTATCCCACTTTGCCTGAGTATTTAGTCTACTAACTCTCAGTCTGACTTGGCTTTCTCCTCTGAAAACAAAACAAAACAAAACAAAATAAAACCACAATTAAACAGTTTGCTTAAAGCCACTCAAAAATTCAGGAAATAATCCCAGAGTGACTTACACTCCCTAGGTGATAATAGAACTCAGCGCCATAGTTAAAAATTTTGCTAAATCTAGGGAAGGCCTTCAAAAGGTTTCTGAAGAATTCAAGGTCTTAATTGAAATTTATGACCTCAAGATATTTGATCTTTACCAATTAATTCACATACTAGTGAAAACTGGTGAAGCCCAGAAATGGATAAAAGAGGCAGAATGGTATTACTGGACAAGCTCCTACCTGGTCCATGTATAGGCCTAACAAAACCTGAAAAATCACAATTGAGCATTTGAAAGCCATTTCCAATGTGTTTCAGCTCCACGCCAACCAACAACCTAGAATGGCCTTTGGGTCTACCCCAGAGCACTTCTTCAACAAGCAACCCCTAAAACAGCAGTTGCTATTGGTGCAAACAACCAGGACATTGGAAAAGAGGCTACTCCCAAAATTTCAAGGAAAGTCCCTAAAAACAGCCTTTTCACTCCCTGATAATTTCCATGTTAACTATCAGGATTGATGGGCCTTAGAGGGAGCTGCTCTAACCTTCTACCGGTTGTTATCCAATCTAGGTAGACACCAGAGCCACTATTTCCATTTTCAACCCCACTATTATAGGACAACCACTCCTTTGGATAAAGAAGAAAATTTATATTGTAGGGAATATGAAATCAAGTTCTATTCTTGAATCCAGGCATAGAAAATGCCTTTTTGCCATGTTAGTTACAGGGCTTCATCCTGAAGTCAGTAATCTAACTAACAAGTAAGATAAATTCAAAAGACTACCTATCAACTATATGGTCCAAAAAATTCAACTTTTGACATTTGACTGGCTATTTTGAAACTTTTTGTAAAAGATATTTATCTCTATAATGAAAACCTCCATTTGTAAGGGCCTGTCCCTCTATTCACCTAAACCCCTAAAAACTTTACAATGGTGAAGACATGGGTATAAAGTTTACATAATAAACCTTACCTTTAAGGTGCTTTTCCTGGCCATTTTGTCTCAACTGGACCTATATCTATGCTGTTCTTTGTCTGGGGAAGTAATGGTGTTGAGATCTAAGTTCTGTGCCTTTGAGATATAAATTTTCTACTTTGTTTTACCTAAGAGTCGTGTCTTCGAAAGTGCAAATTTAGGGTTGCCTAATTATTATTTAGGGCAATGAAACAGATGATTGGGAGATTTATGGTATAAAATGGAGAGAGAAACTATTTTAACATTGAGAAATAAATAATCTTATAAAAGCTATAAGACCTGCTTCTGTCTGTGTGTCTATATGTTCATATGGGTTATGTGTATGTGATATTTCTCTCTGAAAATATATTAACGAGCTGTAATTAATAGCTTAAAGGAAAAAGTAAGCACTTTAAAATATTTTATCAGAAAAGTAGAAATTAACTCAGATGCCTTTTAGTGCATGTGACTTGGGTAAATCTGACTAGTTTAATATTTTTGCTTTAACAAAAACAGCTGTGTCTTCTGATCAATAAAATAGCCATGTATTTAACTTTAGGGTACTTGCTTAGGTGGCTACTGCCTAACATTTGCACACTGTAAAAATAGTTAAAAGGGAAATAACTTGAGATGATGGCTAGTTTTCTTCAATGTCTCCTACAATTTTTATAAACAGTTCAAACATAAGTTTTAAAGATGAGTAAATTAGATGAATGTGAATGAGGTAAAAGTTTACATATAAGCTTTTTCAATGATTATGGGCGGGGTGTGATTGCACTTTGGGAGACCATAGCAGGAAGATTGCTTGAGCCCAGGAGTTTGAGACCAGCCTGGGCAACATAGTGAGACCATTCTCTACAAAAAAATTAAAAATTATTTGGGCATGGTGGTGAACATCTGTGGTCCTAGTTACTTGAGAGGCTGAGATGGGAGATCACTTAGGCCTGGGAGTTTGAGGCTGCAGTGAGCTGTGATCACCCCATTGAACTCCAGCCTGGGTAACATAGCAAGACCCCATCTCAGATTAAAAAAAAAAAAGGTCATGTTTTATAAAACTTCTCCCTTTAAAAATCGTCTTAAGAATCCCTTTTGTGGATAAATGAAATCTTAAATGTATGTTATATTGAATTAAGTAGTAAATATTCATTAAATGTCTGAGTCATTTCCAAAATAAGGTTAAATACTGAAACGTTAATTGTTAACAGAAGTTTATTTTTGGTTCCTTAAATTTATAAAATGACAAATTATATTTGAGCCTGATAGTAAATGTCACACATGTCTGTATAGAAGACCACCTAAAACACGCTTTGTGTGAGCAACAAGGCTGTTTATCCACTTGAGTGTAAATGGGCTGAGTCTGAAAAGAGAGTCAGCAAAGGGAGATACCAGAGGGACAGCTTTATAGGACTTGGGTAGGCAGTGGAAAGTTACAGTTGAAGGTGGTTATCTCTAGTCAGCAGGGGAGGGGGTCACAAGGTGCATGGTGGGGAGATCATGAAACCCATTGTCCAGGAGAAGAATGTCATAACGTCAATTCATCAGTTAGGGTAGAGCAGGAACAAGTCATAATGGTGGAATGTTGTAGGGTTGGTTAATCAGCAAAGGCAGAAACTGGCTGTTTCACTTCTTTTGTGGTTTTTTGGCTGCTCCAGACTTCTTGGCTCCTGCAGGCCATCTGGATGTATATGTGTAGGTCACAGGGGTTACAGTGGCTTAACTCCGGCTCAAAGGGTTGACATTCTTGTCTTGTATTTATAAAATAAAAAGTCATAAGGAAAGATAAATAATATAAGTTCCTTCTGGGTTTTTTTGGAGGGGGGTAGAGGCGATGTTTCTCAGGGCTGCTTCAGGCATGACCAGGGACTGCTTGTGGACACCTTAAAGAAAATTTAATTTTATAATGAGTTAGTCCAGTAAGTTTTGGGTCTAGAGCACATTTTTATGTGGCTACCAAGGTGCCAGTTAGCATATTTTTGAGACTGGAACTGCCCTAATAAAATAAGTTCGCTAAAAATAGTAATCAGGCATATTAGCTTTAATGTAGGTGGTGATAAGTTTTTAGGCCAGGGGAGGAACAAAGTTTTTTTCTTTTTTTTATATATATATTATACTTTAAGTTCTAGGGTACATGTGCACAATGTGCACGTTTGTTACATAGGTGTACATGCGCCATGTTGGTTTGCTGTGCCATGTTGGTTTGCTGCACCCCGGGTCCAAGTTCTCATTGTTCAATTCCCACCTATGAGTGAGGACATGCGGTGTTTGGTTTTCTGTCCTTGTGATAGTTTGCTGAGAATGATGATTTCCAGCTTCATCCATGTCCTTGCAAAGGACATGAACTCATCCTTTTTTATGGCTGCATAGTATTCCATGGTGTGTATATGTGCCACATTTTCTTAATCCAGTCTATCATTGATGGACATTTGGGTTGGTTCCAAGTCTTTGCTATTGTGAATAGTTCTTCAATAAACATGTGTGTGTATGTATCTTTACAGTAGCATGATTTATAATACTTTGTGCATATCCCCAGTAATGGGATTGCTGGGTCAAATGTTATTTCTAGTTCTAGATCCTTCAGGAATTGTCACACTGTCTTCCACAATGGTTGAACTAGTTTACCTCCCACCAACAGTGTAAAAGCGTTCCTATTTCTTCACATCCTCTCCACCATCTGTTGTTTCCTGATTTTTTAATGATCGCCATTCTAACTGGTGTGAGATGGTATCTCATTGTGGTTTTGATTTGCATTTCTTTGATGACCAGTGATGATGAGCATTTTTTCATGTGTCTGTTGGCTGCATAAATGTCTTCTTTTGAGAAGTGTCTGCTCATATCCTTTGCCCACTTTCTGATGGGGTTGTTTTTTTTTTTCTGGTAAAATTTGTTTAAGTTATTTGTAGATTCTGGATATTAGCCCTTTGTCAGATGGGTAGATTGCAAAATTTTTCTCCCATTCTGTAGGTTTCCTGTTCACTCTGATGGTAGTTTCTTTCGCTGTGCAGAAGCTCTTTAGTTCAATTAGATTCCATTTGTCTATTTTGGCTTTTGTTGCCATTGCTTTTGGTGTTTTAGTCATGAAGTCCTTGCCCATGTCTGTGTCCTGATTGGTATTGTCTAGGTTTTCTTCTAGGGTTTTTATGGTTTTAGGTCTAACATTTAAGTCTTTAATCCATCTTTAATTAATTTTTGTATAAGGTGTAGGGAAGAGATCCAGTTTCAGCTTTCTACATATGGCTAGCCAGTTTTCCCAGCACCATTTATTAAATAGGGAATCCTTTCCTCATTTCTTGTTTTTGTCAGGTTTGTCAAAGATCAGATGGTGGTAGATGTGTAGTGTTATTTCCGAGGCCTCTCTTCTGTTCCATTGGTCTATCTCTCTGTTTTGGTACAAGTACCATGCTGTTTTGGTTACTGTAGCCTTGTAGTATAGTTTGAAGTCAGGTAGTGTGATGCCTCCAGCTTTGTTCTTTTTGCTTAGGATTATCTTGGCAATGTGGGCTCTTTTTTGGTTCCATATGAACTTTAAAGTAGTTTTTTCCAATTCTGTGAAGAAAGTCGTTGGTAGCTTGATGGGGATGGCATTAATCCTATAAATTACCTTGGGCAGTATGGCCATTTTCATGATATTGATTCTTCCTATCCATGAGGATGGAATGTTTTTCCATTTGTTTTTGTTTTCTTTTATTTCATCGAGCAGTGGTTTGTAGTTCTCCTTGAAAAGGTCCTTCACATCCCTTGTAAGTTGGATTCCTAGGTATTTTATTCTCTTTGTAGCAACTGTGAATGGGAGTTCTCTCATGATTTGGCTCTCTGTTTGTCTGTTATTGGTGTATAAGAATGCTTGTGATTTTTGCACATTGATTTTGTATCCTGAGACTTTGCTGAAGTTGCTTATCAGCTTAAGGAGATTTCAGGTTGAGACAATGGGATTTTCTAAATATACAATCACATCATCTGCAAGCAGGGACAATTTGACTTCCTCTTTTCCTAATTGAATACCCTTTATTTCTTTCTCTTGCCTGATCGTCCTGGCCAGAACTTCCAACAATATAGAAGTGGTGACAGAGGGCATCCCTGTCTTGTGCCAGTTTTCAAAGGGAATGCTTCCAGTTTTTGCCCATTCAGTATGATACTAGCTGTGGGTTTGTCATAAATAGCTCTTATTATTTTGAGATATGTTCCATCAATACCTAGTATATTGAGAGTGTTTAGCATGAAGAGCTGTTGAATTTTGTCAAAGGCCTTTTCTGCGTCTATTGAGATAATCATGTGTTTTTTTGTCATTGATTCTGTTTATGTGATGGATTAGGTTTATTGATGTGCATATGTTGAACCAGCCTTGCATCCCAGGGATGAAGCCAACTTGATCGTGGTAGATAAGCTTTTTGATGTGCTGCTGGATTCGGTTTGCCAGTATTTTATTGGGGATTTTTGCATCGATGTTCGTCAGGGCTATTGGTCTAAAATCCTCTTTTTTTGTTGTGTCTCTGCCAGGCTTTGTTATCAGGATGATGCTGGTCTCATAAAATGAGTTAGGGAAGATTCCCTCTTATTCTATTGATTGGAATAGTTTCAGAAGGAATGGTACCAGCTCCTCTTTTCACCTCTGGTAGAATTCGGCTCTGAATCCGTCTGGTCCTGGACTTTTTTTGGTTGGTAGGCTGTTAATTATTGCCTCAATTTCAGAACATGTTATTGGTCTATTCAGAGATTCAACTTCTTCCTGATTTAGTCTTAGGAGGTTGTATGTGTCCAGGAATTTATCCATTTCTTCTAGGTTTTCCAGTTTATTTGCATAGAGGTGTTTCAAGTATTCTCTGATGGTAGTTTGTATTTCTGTGGTATTGGTGGTGATATCCCCTTTATCATTTTTTATTGCATCTATTTGATTCTTCTCTCTTTTCTTCTTTATTAGTCTGGCTAGTGGTCTATCAATTTTGTTGATCTTTTAAAAAAAACAGCTCCTGGATTCATTGATTTTTTGAAGGTTTTTGTGTGTGTCTATCTCCTTCAGTTCTGCTCTGATCTTCGTTCTCCTTGCGTTCTGCTAGCTTTTGAATTTGTTTGCTCTTGCTTCTCTAGTTATTTTAGTTGTGATGTTAGGGCATCAGCTTTAGATATTTCCTGCTTTCTCTTGTGGGCATTTAGTGCTATAAATTTCCCTCTACACACTGCTTTAAATGTGTCCCAGAAATTCTGGTACATTGTGTCTTTGTTCTCATTGGTTTCAAATAACTTATTTATTGCTGCCTTCATTTCATTATTTACCCAGTAGTTCAGGAGTAGGTTGTTCAGTTTCCACGCAGTTGTGTGGTTTTGAGTGAGTTTCTTAATCCTGAGTTCCAATTTGATTGCACTGTGGCCCGAGAGACAGTTTGTTGTGATTTCTGTTCTTTTACATTTGCTGAGGAGTACTTTACTTCCAACTGTGTGGTCGATTTTGGAATAAGTGTGATGTGGTCCTGAGAAGAATGTATATTCTGTTGATTTGGGATGGAGAGTTCTGTAGATGTCTATTAGGTCAGCTTGGTGCAGAGCTGAGTTCAAGTTCTGGATATCCTTGTTAACCTTCTGTCTTGTTGATCTGTCTAATATTGACTGCGGGGTGTTAAAGTCTCCCATTATTACTGTGTGGGAGTCTAAGTCTCTTTGTAGGTCTCTGAGGACTTGCTTTATGAATCTGGGTGCTCCTGTATTGGATGCATATATATTTAGGTAGTTAGCTCTTCTTGTTGAATTGATCCTTTTACCGTTATGTAATGTCCTTGTCTCTTTTGATCTTTGTTGGTTTAAAGTATGTTTATCAGCGACTAGGATTGCAACTCCTACTTTTTTATGCTTTCCATTTGCTTTGTAGATCTTCCTCCATCCCTTTATTTTGAGCCTATGTATGTCTCTGAACGTGAAATCGGTCTCCTGAATACAGCCCACTGATGGGTCTTGACTCTTTATCCAATTTGCCAGTTTGTGTCTTTTAATTGGAGCATTTAGCCCATTTACATTTAAGGTTAATATTGTTATGTGTGAATTCGATCCTGTCATTATGATGTTAGCCGGTTATTTTGCTCGTTAGCTGATGCAGTTTCTTCCTAGCATAGATGGTCTTTACAATTTGGCATGTGTTTGCAGTGGCTGGTACTGGTTGTTCCTTTCCACGTTTAGTGCTTCCTTCAGGAGCTCCTGTAAGGCAGGCCTGGTGGTGACAAAATCTCTTAGCATGTGCTTGTCTGTAAAGGATTTTATTTCTCCTTCACTTATGAAGCTTAGTTTGGCTGGATATGAAATTCTGGGTTGAAAATTCTTTTCTTTAACAATGTTGAATATTGACCCTCTCTCTCTTCTGGCTTGTAGAGTTTCTGCCGAGAGATCAGCTGTTAGTCTGATGGGCTTCCCTTTGTGGGTAACCCAACCTTTCTCTCTGGCTGCCCTTAACATTTTTTTCCTTCATTTCAACTTTGGTGAATCTGACAATTATGTGTCTTGGGATTGTTCTTCTCGAGGAGTATCTTTTTGGTGTTCTCTGTATTTCCTGAATTTGAATGTTGGCCTGCTTTGCTAGGTTGGGGAAGTCCCCCTGGACAGTATCCTCAAGAGTGTTTTCCAACTTGGTTCCATTCTCCCTGTCACTTTCAGGTACACCAATCAAATGCAGATTTGGTCTTTTCACATAGTCCCACATTTCTTGGAGGCTTTGTTCATTTCTTTTTACTCTTTTTTCTCTAAACTTCTCCTCTGGCTTTATTTCATTCATTTGATCTTCCATCACTGATACCCTTTCTTCCACTTGATCGAATCAGCTATTGAAGCTTGTGCATGTATGACATAGTTCTCGTGCCATGGTTTTCAGCTCCATCAGTTCATTTAAGGTCTTCTCTATGCTGTTTATTCTAGTTAGCCATTCACCTAATCTTTTTTCAAGGTTTTTAACCTCCTTATGATGGGTTCGAACAAAACAGGAAGTTTGTTATTACTGACCTTCTGAAGCCTACTTCTGTCAGCTTGTCAAAATCATTCTCTGTCCAGCTTTGTTCCATTGTTGGCAAGAAGCTGCGATCCTTTGGAGGAGAAGAGACGCTCTGATTTTTAGAATTTTCAGCATTTCTGCTCTGGTTTCTACCCATCTTTGTGGTTTTATTTACCTTTGGTCTTTGATGTTGGTGACCTACAGAAGGAGTTTTGGTGTGGAAGTCCTTTTTGTTGATGTTGATGCTATTCCTTTCTGTTTGTTAGTTTTCCTTCTAAGAGTCAGGTCCCTCAGCTGCAGGTCTGTTGGAGTTTGCTGGAGGTCGACTCCAGACACTGTTTGCCTGGGTATCACCAGTGGAGGCTCAGTTGGAAATGCAGAAATCACTGTCTTCTGTGTTGATTATGCTGGGAGCTGCAGACCGGAGCTGTTCCTGTTCAGCCATCTTAGGAATAATGTTTTACATACCAAAGCTTTTTGTCCCCATTTCCCATCATATGAATAGGATTTCCTGTTGTCAAGCCAATGATCTGTTATATCACCCTTTTCCCATAGGTGCGAGTGGCGGTCTGAATGGAGAAGTTCAATAGCTCTGATTGCAGATCCTATGCAGGAGAGATAATAAGTAAAATAATCTTTGTCTCCTGGATTAAGCTGCGGCTGGCAAAGGGAGAAATGTCCCAAGCCTTCTAACAACCAACGGCATACTCTATGTTGTCCTGGATGCTGGTCTGGTGGCTGAATATGTGGAACTGGCCCCGTATACCCATACTGTTGTCTATTTCTATAAGTGTAGGCTTGAGGACACCATGGGCAATAGTTACTATTGGGGTTTCAATAAAGAGTGAATAGAGCTGGAGGAGTCGATGGGCAGAAAATAAGTGTGAAAGGTGCATGGAGGATATTAACACTTGAAGGTTTTGAGAACTGTAGAGGGTAAGTGGAGCATAGCTTGTGATTTTGAAGGCCTCTAGAAGTATTAAAGTGGCAGCTACCACCACTTGTAGATATGAGGGCCAGTCTAGAACTGTGAGGTCAAGTTGTTTGGATAGAAAGGCTATAGGTTTTGGGCCTGGCTCCTGTGTGAGACCTCCAGCAGCACAACCTTGTATTTCAGCTGTGTGTAAGGAAAAAGGTTGGGATGAGCTGGGGGAGCTGTTTCTAAGGCCTTTTTGAGAGAATGAATGAAAGAATGAGGAAAGGACTTAGGGTCTTTGGGATCAGCTAAATTGCCTTTAGTGAGCTTGTAAAGTGGTTTGGTTAGGATGGCAAAGCCTGGTATCCAGAGTTGGAAGTATCCAACAATGCCTAAGAAGGAAAGGAATTGTTGCTTGGTGGTAGGGATTGGGGTCTGGGAGATTAACTGAACGTGGTCTGCAGGAAGAGCACATGTATGTTGATGGAGGACTATGCCAAGATATGTAACACTAGGGGAAGAAATTTGAGCCTTAGAGATGGATACTCAGTACCCCTTCAAGTAGAGATGCTGAAGAAGTAGGATAGTGTCCTGCTGGGAGGATTGGTAAGAGGGGCTGCAAAGAAGAAGGTCATCAACATATTGAATAAGGTGGGAGGTAGATGGGCAAAAAGATAGTAAGTCATGAGAGAGAGCCTGACCAAAGTGATATGGGCTGTCCCTAAAACCTTGGGGTAGGACAGTCCAGGTGAGTTGCTGGGACTGGTGGGTGTCAGGGTCAGTCCAAGTAAAGATGAAAAAAGGTTGGGAGGAGGGATGTAAAGGAATAGTAAAGAAGGTGTCTTAGAGGTCAATAACTGAATAATGAGTTGTGGAAGCAGGTATTGAAGACAGGAGAGTGTAAAGGTTTAGCACTATAGGATGGATGGGAATGACGATTTGATTAATAAGGTGAAGATCCTGAAACAACCTGTAAGACTTGTCTGGTTTTTGGACAGGTAGGATAGAGGAGTTGTAAGGAGAATTTGTAGGCTTTAAAAGGCCATGTTGTAACAGGTGAGTGATAATAGGCTTCAGTCCTCTTAGAGCCTGCTGTGGGATGGGACACTGGCAATGAGCAGGGTAAAGGTGATTAGGTTTTAATGGAATGGTAAGGGGTGCATAGTCAGTTGCCAAAGAAGGAGTAGAGGTATCCCATACTTGTGGATTAAGGTGGGGAGACACAAGGGGAGGATGCAAAAGAGGCCTTAAATTGAGCAAAAAGGCAGCAATGAAGTGTGGCTGTAGCCCAGGAATAGTCAGGGAAGCAGATAATTTGGTTAAAATGTCTCAGCCTAATAAGAGAAGTAGGCAGGTGGGGATAATTTAAAAAGAGTGTATAAAAGAATATTGTCCAAGTTGACACCAGAGTGGGGGAGCTTTAAGAGGTTTAGAAGACTGGCTGTCAATAACCAAAACAGTTATGGGGGCAAGGGAAACAGGCCCTTTAAAAGAAGGTAATTTGAAGTGGGTAGCCCCCATATCGATTAAAAAGGGTTACCCTCCACTGTAAGAGCTACCTGAAGCTCAGTGTCCGTGATAGTCCAGGGGGCTTCCGAGGTGGTCAGGCAGTGTCAGTCTTCAGCCACTAAGCTGAGGAGATCTGGGAAGGAGTCAGCCAGAGAACCTGAGGTTTTTGTTCCAGCATGTCTAGGAGAGGCTGTAATCCTAGTTGGACAGTCTGACTTCTAGTGGGGTCCCACACAGACAGGACAAGGCTTAGGAGGAATCCTAGGCTGCGGGCATTCCGAGGCCCTGTGGCTGAGTTTTTGGCATTTGAAGCAAGGTCCATGAGGAGATTTTAAAGAAGTGCCTGGAGGCTGTGGTTTGGTTGTTCTGAAGTTTTTGTGTGCTGAAGGCATGGCCGGGGTTTGTCTTACAGTGGAGGCAAGCAGTTGCAGCTCTGAAATACATTGCTGCTTTGCTGACTCTTCTCTATTGTTGAACACCTTTAAGGCATGGTTAATTAAGTCTTTTTATGGGGTTTGAGGGCTGGAATCTAGTTTTTGGAGTTTTTTCCTAATGTCGGGAGCAGACTGGGTAATAAAATGCATATTAAGAATGAGACAGCCTTCTGGGCCTTCTGGGTCCAGAGCTGTAAAACGTCTAAGGGTAGCTGCCAAGTGGGCCATGAACTGGGCTGGGTTTTCATCCTTACCTTGGGTGGCTTCTTTAAGCTTGTCATAATTAACAGCTTTTTATGCTGCCTTTTTGAGCCCTTCAACTAGGCGAGAGACCATACAATCTCACCTAGCTGTACCTCTGGAGCCTGTTTGGTATTCCCATTAGGGATCCTCTCAGGGAACTGCCCTGGTGCCTTCTTGGAGGCCTGGCTCATGACTCCAGCAGTTGTCAGCATGAGATTGGGCTAGGTTATAAACTCTTTCTCACTCATCTGGGAAGAGGGTAGAGGTCAGAATGATGTTTAAGTCACTCCAGATTAAACTGTAGGACTGAGTTAAATATTGGAATTCATATATGTATTTAGTGGGGTCTGATGAGAAAGAGCCCAAATGCTGACTGATTTGGGAAAGGTCTGATAGAGAAAAAGGTACATGAACCCTTACTATGCCCTCAGCTCCAGCCACCTCTCTAAGAGGAAATTGTTGGGCAGGTGGGCGAGAGCTAGTCATGGAATGAAACTGTAAGCTGAACCGAGTGTGAGGAGGGGAGATGATAGAAGAATTATAAGGTGGGGGAGCAGAGGTTGAGGAAGAATTGGAACTTGATTCAGCATGTTGAGGAGTGGCCTTGGGAGGGGGAGAAAGGTCAGAGGGGTCTGAAGAAAAGAAGGATTCAGAGGACTCTGAGGTTGGGGTAGAGACTGAAGAAATGGACAGGAGAGAAAGAAGAAAGATTTAGGGTGAGTCGCATTGGGGTCAGAGGCTAAGGAGGGAACAAAGTGTAAAAAACGCTTGGACGTAAGACATCTCAGACCATTTACCCAATTTTCAACAAAAATTATCTAGGTCTTACAGGATGGAGAAATCAAAAGTGCCATTTTCTGGCCATTTGAAACCACTGTTGAGTTTGTACTGGGGCCAAGCAGTATTGCAGAAGAAAAAAAGATGTTTGGGTTTTAGGTCAGGTGTTAGTTGAAGAGGTTTTGAATTTTTAAGAACACAGGCTAAGGGGGAAGAGGG
The DNA here is from genome assembly GCF_000001405.40 of Homo sapiens. NCBI lineage: Eukaryota > Metazoa > Chordata > Mammalia > Primates > Hominidae > Homo > Homo sapiens. The sequence continues at coordinate 221,948,840 of NC_000001.11, read as the reverse complement.
AGGAATGGTGGGTGGAAGGTTGCCCATAGTGAAGGAGGTAAATTTGAAGAGAAAGGTAAAGACAGAGAAGGGGAGGTGGGCAGCTACCAGGCTTTCAGTAGGCGTCCCTGACTGAGTCCTAGGCTGCAATGTGGGTGAGCAACCAAAGCAGCTGTCCCTGCAATCGGCTTGCCACCAGGGGAGTGTGGGTGAATGATCAAGGCAGGCGTCCCCACAGTGATCAGACACCAATGGAATGTGGGTCAGTGATCAAAGCAGTTGTCCCTGCAATGATCAGACACCAAGGGAAGACTGTCTTCCCGGGTCCGTGACTGACATTGGAGTTTTTGAATCCACAGAAAAAATGTGTCTCCCTTGTCTCTACTAGAGAGGAAAAGGAGCTGAAATTGAAAGGAGAGAGAAATTGAAGGGTAGCAAGAGAGGCTGGAGAAGAGAGTATAAAGGACCAGTTACCTGATTTGAAATTGGTGAGATGCTCCTTGGGCTGGTCTGAGGACCCGAGGTCATAGGTGGATCTCCTCATGGAGAGAGGGCAAGGACATGGGACAGGTCTCCAGAAGGAGTCCCCCTGTCCTGGGTTTTGGCACCAAGTGTCATGCATGTCCATATAGAAGACCACCTAAACAGGCTTTTTTGTGAGCAACAAGGCTGTTTATTCACTTGGGCGCAAGTGGGCTGAGTCCAAAAAGAGAGTCAGCGAAGGGAAGATAGGAGAGGGACAGCTTTACAGGACTTGGGTAGGCAGTGGAAAGTTACAGTTGAAGGTGTCTGTTGTCTAGCAGGGGAGGGGGTCATAAGGTGCACGGTGGGGAGATCATGAGACCCATTGTCCAGGAGAAGAATGTCATAACCTCGATTGATCAGTTAGGGTAGGGCAGGAACAAGTCATAATGGTGGAATGTTGTAGGTTTGGTTAATCAGTTAAGGCAGAAACTGGCTGTTTCAATTCTTTTGTGGTTTTTCGGCTGCTCCAGACTTGTTGTCTCCTGCAGGCCATCTGGATGTATACTTGCAGGTCACAGGGGTTACAATGGCTTAGCTCCGGCTTAGAGGCCTGACAGTAAATATTGCTGTTTTACATTAATTAATTTTTCTATGAGGAAGCATATATTACTAAAACCTACAAAATGTATTTTGCAAAATCTTGTAGATGACAGTTCAAAATCTTTTTAGATTTTCACTAAAAAGGCTACTAAGAGTTACAAATTTTAATTAATATATGTAATTCTGTATGCAAAGTACACAAAAAAGTAAGATATGTTTTGGTGATAAAAAATTTAAAAAAAACTTAAAGATATATTTTTTGTTGGAAAAAGTAATTTTGCTTAATTTTGAGGTTATTTAAAGGTTATTTCAAAATATAAATATAAGAAGGAAATAAAAAGGCACAAATAAACCAGTAAGTAGAAGAAAGAGATGCAAAAAGTTATGTATGAGGGTATATTTTAGGAAAAAAATGAAAAGTGAAAGAGGGTAATTTTTTTGTATGAGAGAAGTTTGTGTGGTCAAAATAATAAGAAAAAAAGAGAAGCAAGTTTTTGTCCTAAGGTAGAATGATTTGTTGTCCCAATAGGATAAGAAAAAGAAATAGAGGACAAAACTGAAAGTCTAAGCAAATTGTAGAAGGTTTGTGAAGAATGAATCTTATAAAAAAATCTTGTGTGATTAAGTTGACTTAAATTAAGATGGATTCCCAAGGCCGAACAAGATGGCAAAGTAGAAGGCTCAACTGATTGTCCTTCCACAAGGACAAGTAAACAACTATCTACACAGAAAAAACACCTTCATTAGAATCAAAAGTCAAGTGAGCAGTATCACTGAAAGAGGCAACGAAGAGATAGAAAAAACAGTCGGTAATTGCTGACGTCACTCCCTTCCACCTGCAGCAGCAGTGTGGTGCGGAGAGCCTCTCAGGGTACTGGGAGAGGTAGGATACAACAATTGTGAGGCGTTGAACTCAGTTTCTGTCTTGTTAGAGCAGAAAGTAAAACTGGGCCAAACCTAGCTGTCACCTCCCCATGGAGGGAACATTTAAGCCAGCTCTAGCCAAACTGGAATCATGGATCCCAGTGGTGAGAACTTGAGTGTCTGCAAACCTCACCACAGAGGGCTACAGCACTGGGTCTCCAAGTAAACTTGAAAGGCAACCTAGGCCATAAGGAAAGTAACTCTTAGGCAAGCCCTAGTGCTAAACTAGGCCCAGAGACAATGGACAAGGGGTGAACATGACATACTGAGACACCAGTTGGGGCAATCTAGGGACTGCTGGCCTCATCCCTCCCCTCCCCAAGGCTGCACAGCTCAAGGCTTCAAAAGAGATCCCTTCCTTTCACCTGAGGAGAGAAGAGGAAAGAGATGGGGAGGACTTTGCCTTACATCTTGGAAACCAGTTCAACCACAGCAGGGTAGGGCACCAGATAGAGTCATGAGGCCCCTGTTTTAGGGCCTTGCTGCCAGATGACATTTCTAGACACAACCTAGCCAGAAGGGGACCTGCTGCCTTGAAGGAAAGTATCTAGTCCTGGCAGCAGCATTCATCACCTGCTAACTGAAGAGCCCTTGAGCCCTGAATAACCAGCAGCAATACCCAGGTACTACACCAAAAGCCTTAAGTGAGCCTCTGAGACTTGCTGGCTTCAGGTGAGACTCAGCACATTCCCAGCTTTGGTGGCTACAGGGAAAAACCCCTTCTGCTTGAGAAAAGCAAAGGAAAATATAAAGGGGACTTTGTCTTACACCTTAGGTACCATGATGGCAATGGGGGCAGAAAACCAAGCAAGATCTTAGGGTCCCTGATTCCAGAACTGGACTCTTGGATGGCATTTCTGGACCTGCTCTGGGATAGAAGGGAGACAACTTCCCTGAAGAATGAGTCCCATGCCAGGCAGCATTCACCACAAGCTGGCTGAAGAGCCCTTGGGCCTTACAGGACCATTGGCTGGTAGTCTGGTAGTACTCCTTGTGGCCTGGGGTGGCACTGGTTACAGGGTGCAGCTCCTCTGCCTTCGGAAAGAAGCAGGAAGAGTGGGAAGGACTGCATCTTTTAGTATGAGTGCTGGCTCAGCCATAATAAAATAGAGCACCAGGTAGATTTCTAAGGTATTTGACTCTTGTCTCTGACTCTCAGACAGCACCTGTGAAACTACCTTGGGCCTGGGGGAACTTGCTGCCCTGAAGGTGAGGATACAGGCATGGCTGACATTGTCACCTGCTGATTGTAGGGCCTCAGGGCTTTAAGCAAACATAGGCAGTAGCCAGGGAATGGTTATAGCAGGCCTTGGGTTTCAGGTCTGACCTATTGCAGTCACAGTGGTGGTGGCCACAGGGGTGCTTGTGACACTTCATTCCCAGCTTTATGTGGCTCAGAATAGAGAGAAGACTCCATTTGTTTGGGAGAAAGTAGGAGAAGAGAACAAGAGTCTCTATCTGGTAATACAGAGAATTCTTCCAGATCTGGTCTAAGACCATCAAGATGGTACCTCTACAAGCCTGGAAGAACCACAGTGATACTGGGCTTGGGGTGCCCCATAAATCAGATACAGCTTAGATCACAATACCAAAGTCCTTTCAAATATCTGGAAAACCTTTGTAAGAAGGATGGCTACAAACAAGTGTAGATAGTAAGACTACAATAAATACCTAATTCCTGAATGCCCAGACACTAAAGAACATCTGTTAGCATCAACATCATCCACGAAAACATGACCTTACCAAATGAACTAAATAAGACACCAGGGACCAATCCTGGAGAAACAGATATGTGACCTTTCAGGTAGAGATTTCAAAATAGCTGTGTCAAGGTAATGCAAAGAAATTCAAGATCACAAAAAGGAGTTCAGAATTCTATCAGATACATTTAACAAAGAGATTGAAATAATTAGAATCAGGCCAAAATTCTGGAGCTGAAAAATGCAATTGGCATACTGAAGAATACATCAGAATCCTTTTATAGGAGAATTGATCAAGGAGAAGAAAAGGATCCTAAAAGCAGCAAGAGAAAAAAACCAAATAATATACAACGGAACTCCAATAGTCTGGCTGCCAAAAGTCTGACAGCAGATTTTTCAGTGGAAACCATACAGGCCAGGAGAGAATAGCCTGACATATTTAAAGTGCTAAAGAAAAAAACTTTTACCCTAGAATAATAGTATATCCAGTGAAAATGTCCTTCAAACATGAAGGATAAATATTTTCCCAGACAAACAAAAGCTGAAGGATTTCATCAACACCAGACCTGTTCTATTTTTCTCTGATATAAATATAGTGACTTCTGCTCTTTTTTGGTTTCCATTTGCATGGAATATCTTTTTCCATCCCTTTATTTTCAGTCTATGTGTATCTTTACAGGTGAAGTACGTTTCTTGTAGGCAACAAATCTATGGATCTTGTTTTTTCATCCATTCAGCCTATGTCTTTTGATTAGAGAGTTTAGTCCATTTACATTCAATGTTATTATTGATAAGTAGGAACTCACTCCTGTGATTTTGTTATTTGTTTTCTGGTTATTTCGTGGTCTTCTCTTCCTTCTTTCTTTCCTTTCTGTCTTCCTCTAGAGAAGGTGATTTTCTCTGGTGATATGATTTAACTTCTTGCTTATTATTTTTTTTGTGTGTCCATTGTATGGTTTTTGGTTTGAGGTTGCCATGAGGCTTACAAATACTCTTATAATCCATTATTTTAATATGATAACAACTTTACATTATTTGCATAAACAAACAAGCAAAAAGAAAATGAATAAAAACTCTACACCTTACTTTTGTCCCGCTGCTTTTTAACTTTTTATTGTTTCTATTTATATCTTGTTGTACTGATTAGGTCTTGACAAAATACACTGATGCAAAGTGACCAGTGATTGTATTTTAATCAAGCATTTTCAACCTTTGATATTTTTAACAAACTTCCCAAAATCAAATTCTAAAATTAAGAATTTTTGACCTCAAATTAACTATTAGACATTCTAGAAAAACCCCTAAATGTCCAAAAGAGAGACTTTAAGCCAATTAGGCTCCGTCAATTATGTTAAATTATATAGAAAACATTATCAAAGAAGAAATAACATTTATGCTTATTTGAGTTATATTTGTATGGCTGTTATTAATATGTTTTCCGAATTTGTATATTTGTAGATATCAATTATGTTATCAATCTTGTTTGGTTATTATGTTAACATGTTGTATGCCACAGAACTAAACAAATTCCTTTGTCAATTGCATTATTATTATAACAAATTCTTATCAGGCTGTTAACCATAGCCAGTTGAAGTTATGTTGTCCTTAATTAATTGCTTTATTCCAGTGGCTTTCTGAAAGCTTTTTGCAAGTAATTCTAATTCTCAGATGTGTGCCTTTAAGGAGGTTTATAGAAAGAATGGAAAGAACACTAACAAGTACAGGTATCTGACTGCTTTGAGATACCACTGGACTGAGTAACAATTTTGAGAACTTTAATGAAGAAACAAATGAATTCGTGAAACTGTTAACGAAGATCAAACACAGCAAGAATTAATTACATGAGACTGAATGAACTGATGAGGAAGAATTATGGGTTTTTACAACTTTTTAATTTAAAACATTGCTAGCTCTCTCAATGTTTTGCTTTCCAGACTTAAGGAAAGTATTGTTTTTTTTCTTTTAAACTATCAATGGCTTATAGCAGTTTGGTAAATAATACTTTTCCAAATAAAAATGAGACATTTGCTTTTCTTTCTTACCCAGTCCCTCCAATGTGCAATGGCATGATCTTGGCTCATTTCAACCTCTGCCTCCCGGGTTAAAGCAATTCTCCTGACTCAGCCTCCCAAGTAGCTGGGATTACAGGCATGCACCACCACACCCAACTAATTTTTTGTTATCTTTGGTAGAGACGGGGTTTCACCATGTTGGCCAGACTGGTCTCAAACTTCTGACCTCATGATTTGCCCACTTCAGCCTCCCAAAGTGCTGGGATTACAGGCATGAGCCACCATGCCTGGCCCCCTCAAAATTTTTTTAAATTATTTGTGAATGTTCTTATTATGATGGCAATATGGCTATTTATATAAGTTCACAAAAATTTCCTCTCTTTATAAGAGGATGCAATTGGAAACATTGGTTATATCATAGAGGCTTTGACTGGAATGTCATATTTGAAAATGTACATAAAATGCCTAGCTTTAAGTGTTCCCACCATTACAGTGAGTGAACAAAAAGTTGTCACTTTCTGGCAGGCCCAGGAACCTCAAGATATTAGATACTTCAGGCAAGGTCTGATCTGCTTTGGTTTGGCTTCCTAGTGTCAAGAGATTTTTAAAAGTCTAATTTGAGATTCCTTGTCAAAATTTCCAGCAAAGAAAATTTAAAAGGAAACTATGTGATTATGCATGCTGCACTTAGGTGAATAAATAGGCCAAGTTTAATGAAACTAAACTTAATTTGCAAACAAATTAGTCTTACTCTGATTATCTTTTATAGAAATGGTAGTGACTATAGAGAGAAAAATTACATTTTAGAAGAAAACTGTGTTACATCTGTTATTCAATTGTAGCCAAGTTCATTGCTTTCAAGTTTTTATTTTCTGCCTGTAGACTGAATTTGATTCTGAATTCTAGTTTCCTCTAATATCTGGCTATGATTCTCCAACTAAGAACAAAAACTACTCTGTTCATAAAGCCCATAAGGCCAACTTAATAAATTTCAAGAGGCAAAGCTCATGCCTGATGTATGGGCCACACAGAGAATTCACCAAAATGCCTGATGCCATAATCAGAAACATACAAACTGCAAACCAGGAGAAGTTGCTGACTTCATGCAGTGGAGAGCTTTTCCCAAGACTGTCAGAACAGGACTCCATGATATGAGACTTTTAACCCTCTTAATTTTCCCTTGTTTATGCCTATCTCTTTCAGTTGGCAGGATAATGCTGTAGTTAAACTTTGACAATCATTAGCTTCTACAGGTAACCTGCAAATTGCCCCTCCCTACTTTAACCAAGTCATGCAATGCTAGATAAAAGAATTGATGCGTACTGGCTAGATAGGGAGAAATCTGTGCAATTGCTAACATTTCTTGTTGTACAGGAAAAAAATATATGGGTAATTTTGAGACCCAATTACAAAAATTAACAAACAGGTTATTTGGTTAAAATGGGTCCACCCCTCATCTGGCTCATTCTTTGATCTATTCATTTTTAGTTGGTTTGATTTACTGGTACCCTAGCTAAGAAGCATATCTCAAAATCTTGATAGTATTCTCCAGATAGTCGTAATACTAGTCTCCCTGGTGCATTGTGTCCTCTAAAAAATTTTTAAATGTTTGCACAGCCCATCAGTCAAACATCAGATGGCCTCTCTTCTATTGGAATGACAAAAACTCAAGGAAATACATGATCATGAGTACATCATAACCTATGAATGATGTGTTGAGACCAGAAACCTTGAATGATAGTAACTGAGAGTAGTGCTAATGCCTTTAGTTTTGTTCACACTGTCACGTAGGTGAAAGCTCGACCAGAAGGGGGAAATTGTTTGACACTATGCAGCTGTAGACTAGCTGGCTGCCTCCATCCACTGGAACAGAGTCTCTGGGTTTCAAGAAAACGTGGCAGATAGGGATGTTTGGGAACTATCAGACAGGAATGACTTGCCTCGGGAGTGATTTGCTTTCTGAAGTTAGTGTTGCAGGTAAAACAGGGAGTGAATTGCCTCCTGAGGTTAGTGTTGCAGGTAAAACAGGGATGGAGGTTGTGGGTTCTCACACGCGCTTGCTCGGTAGTATGTGGTGCCTTGGCTCCAGGCAGATGACTAAGAGTTCAAGGGGTAAGTTTGCCCATGCTCTGCTACTGAGGTCCTGATTTGCTCTTGGGTGGTGTTTTCTCTCATGGTTGACAAGATTGAGGGTCCCACTCCCTCTCTAATCAAGCCATTCATATTACATTAATTAATTAATTAATTTTGAGACATGGCCTTGCTCTGTCACCTAGGAGTGCAGTGGTACAATCACAGCTCACTGCAGCCTTGACCTCCTGACCTCTTACCTCAGCCTCCTGAGTAGCTGGGGCAACTGGTGTGCAGCTGTGCTATGCCTGGCTAATTTTTGCATTTTTCATAGAGATGGGGTATTGCCATGTTGACCAGGCTGGTCTCAAACTCCTGGACTCGAGCAATTCTCCTGCCTTGGCCTCCCAAAGCATTGGGACCATGAGTATGAGCCACTGCACCTGGCTACCATTCCTATTTAATAAAGAAGGATAGCATTTTCACCGGAATTTTGCTCAGAATTGAACCACATGCTGAAATTCATTTTGGGCTGGGCTTAGGGCGTGTGCTCAAAATATGTTTTACTTTAGGATGGGTCCTGCTCTGGAGAACCCCACATCTTCCAGCATCATGATTCTAACTGTAGGAATGCCAACTTCAGAAATACTGAGAACATATTTTGATTTCTGGCTAAATGTCATGATAGTGAGGACTTGTGAGGAGTAAACCAAATAAGCCACAAGTAGAAAGCTTGATATACTTCACTCTTTCCTTGGCCTTGCCCTTATTAAGCAATTAAATATGTGTTTATACACCTAGTCTATCAACGGACAGTGGGGAGCAACTCCAGAAGCCTGGAGAAAAAAAATATTGTTCGACCATTATATTAACATGACTTATTGACATCAGTTATCTGTAATAAGGCATATGGGATTTTGTGAGGATTGAAGGAGAATTTTTTCTTGTTATCTTCTTTAATCCTGTATTTTCCCTTGTATTATGCAGTCCTTATTTATTAAAGACTGTAGGAAGAGACTATGAGGAAATGTCATTGTTGAGATGAAGGGGCAAGTGTGTATTTTATAGATGGTGATGTGGTAAAGGAGATCTACTCATAAATAAAAGCAGTATTTTATGAAAAGAAAGTCATAGCAGTGTGCTGGCAGGCAGACTCTACAGATGGGGAGGGGACTGGGAACTGGACCAAGGCTAAGTGGCAATCTGGTTGACAACAGAGAAGAGTCTGGGGGGAAGCAACTAGCTCTCGTAGTGGTTTATGACATCAGTCACCACCAGCAGGGGCTGCCAGCTGGTGCAATACCAGGGACCCAAGCAGGTGGGTGAAGCCAATAATGAGAAAGCATGCAGGAGACACTTGCAAATTCAGACCACAGGCTGGCAGCTCTTGGGTAGTGAAGCCTGGCCACTGGGCTGATATTCAGAACAAGAATTTAGAAGGTAGAATTAACACCTGAAACTGAAGCATGTGGAAGCATTTGGCGAAAGAATTGCTGTTTGAAAAGAGGCTAAACTGCAGCTGGAAACTTGGCATGGAAGCCCAAAAGCCCTGGGTCTCAAGTCTGTGTAACGTGGAGGTGGGCTGAGATGATTTCAACACCTTCTGCTTCAAATTCCCATTTGCTGGTAACTAGGAAGGCTGTGCTATGGGAAGGTTGAAGAGGACAGCTGCAGGTGACAAGAGGTGGGGCCAGTACGGATTATGGTGGAAATCTATGTTTACCATTAAACAGAGGCTGGAACTAGTTAACTCTGAGGAAAAGTCAGGAAGTAACCACACACTTAGTCTGCATAGTTGTTGCGTTCAGATTGTTTTGGAGTGAACATAAGGCACCAAGATTTAGTGAATGAAAGATGAGACAAAGAGTCAAAATGCTGGAACTTAACAGACTCATTTCTATCAGTGGTCTTGGCATGGACAAGGCACTGAATCTCTCTAAGAGGCAGTGTCATTATCTATAAAAGTGTATCTGCCTTGTTGTCCTCAATTCCCCAAACATTAATCTGTGCCAAATGTGATGCTAGGGACAAAGATGAGGAATGAGTGGCCCCTACCTTGGGGAGGCCACAGTCTTCCAGTCTCCCAAGAGACAGCAGGAGAAATAGAAAAGGATGAGGCATTGACACGTACTGTGTTCCAGACTCGGTGCTTCACACATGTGATCTCATTTAAATATTTTATAAAGTGATCGGGCAGGTATTATTATTTCCTCTCTCAAGGATGAAGCGATGAAGGCTCAAAGAAGGATTCCAAGGTCATCATTTGGGTAAATGGGGAAGCCATGTCTTGAGCCCAGGTATGTCATCCCTTAAATCCCAGGATTTTCCCAACATCCCCCACTGTTCAGGAGAGAGAGAGATGGGTAAAAAACTCACCTTATATGTTTGAAGGCCAGCATCGATTGGAACCCAGGGAGGAGGCAGAAATGTTTTTTCTGAGTTTAAAAAATGTTGACATATGGGGGAAGATGAAAAAGGGCATTTAGGAAATTCAGGTAGTATGATTTGTGTGACAGTGGATTTTCTTCAGCTGCAGACAGAATCTGAGGGTGTGAAATTGCAAAGGTAACCTTCTCATCCTATATAGCCTTTCCCACTAAGGAGTCTGGGCACATGCAAGCTGTGTGCAAAAGCATCATCTATCCCTGGGGAGATGAAAGGGTGGCCTTAATGGGACAGGAGGAAAATCAATAATGTATCACTTTGGAGCAAGGAGCTGGGTGACCAAGCACAAAATGTCAGCAGCCTGACAAGGCAAAGGCAGCCTTGGCCTGGGGCAACTGATATTGATTGTAATAAGCCCAAAACAATTAGCTTATGAATCTGCCTCCCAACTACTTTGCGTTCCTTCTCAAAATACGTACTTTTAGATCCACAATGAACCATTGCCCCCTGGAAGGCTGGTTCTGCTATTTGGAAGGACATGAAGAGTCATGCCACATGGCTGTTAGCTCCTCATCACACAGGGTTTGGCAAAAGGAAGAAGGGGTTTTAGAATGTCTGAGGCCTACAGGATCACAGGCAGGGTCATACAAATGACAAACAACATTGTACTGGCATTGAACTTAAATTCTAGAGTCCTGAGTGTTAGTTCTAGAGAAGTCATTAATTTGACGTGTAACTTTGAGAAAGTCACTTTACCTCTCTGGGCCTGTTTCCTTGCCTTTAAAATGAAAGGAATAAGCTAAAAATGTTCTTTATATGGCTTGTTTTGGTAGATGCATACTTTTGGGGTGTGTTTGTGTGTCTGCGTTTGCATGTGTGTTCTCTCTGAGGGATCACAACTAAGAATCGTTGACTCTATCCCTCCTTGGCTCATAGAATGTCCCTTGCACAATTTTGTGCGTAGGAATGTGCTGGATGCCTGAGATACAATATACACGTGATAGTTAATGTTATGTGCCAATTTGGTTGGGTAACAAGTGCACAGATATTTGGTCAAACATTATTCTAAGTGTGTCTGTGAGGGTGTTTCTGGATGAGATTAGCACTGGAATCAGTAGACTGAGTGAAGTAGATGGGCTCCCTGTGTGGGTGGGCCACATCCAATCACTTTAAGTCCTGATGAGAACATAAAAGTTGACCCCTTTTTGAGTAAAAGGGAACTCCTACTTGACTGCCTTCTGGCTGGGACGTTATTTCTTTTTTCAGCCTTCGTACTGGCACTGCAACATTGAACATTCTAATTCTCAGACCTTCAAACTCAGACTGAAACTATACCATTGGCTTTTCTCCAGCTTGCTAACTGCAGATTTGGGGACTTTTCAGCCTCCAAAATCATGTGAGCCAACTCGTTATAGTAAATCACCTCTCTCTTTCTATGTGTATATAGATACACACACGTATATGTGTGTGTGTGTGTGTATGTGTCTGTATGTGCACATGTGTATTTTATTGGTTCTATTCCTCTGGAGAACCCCGATTAATACAATAAATAAGGCAACATGTCAAGAAGTGTGTTCCCTACTTGCTTCTTGGTCTGCTGCTCTCAGAACCTTCTGTGGAACAGGAGATGGAATTTTGCCATAAACAGTGGTTCCTAAACTTTGTTGCACATAAGCGTCAGCTGGGGAGTTTAAAAAATCTCAATGCCAAGATTACACCCCAGATCAACGCAGTCAGAATGTCTGGGGTGGGGCCCAGGCATCAGTATAGTTTAAAGATTCCCAGGTCATTCAAATGTTCAACAAAGCTTGGGCACCACTGCCTTGAAATAAAATTTGAAGGTCTGATGCAACTTTTAATGATTTCAGATATACAATTGAACTTTGACTAAAATATCACGGGAAAAGCTTCATCCTTCCATATATTGAAGTGACTTCAAATAATGATAATTACCATGGATTGAGCACCTGTTATATGCCAGGCTTTAATGTAAGACTTTGAACACATTAGGCCCTTAGTACCATTTCATAGATGAATTAACCGGGACTCAAGGAGATTAAATGACTTTTCTGAATCTACAAACATAGGAAGAATTGGGATTGGAACCAGGTCTGTCAGGAATAAAAGGGTATGATCATAATCACCCACTGTGTCATGGTGGGCTAACCCTCCAGGTCAGGGACCCAGGCTTCACTTCACAGTTTCAGGAATAGAAATGCGGTATTAGGATCAGCTTAGTCCAGTTCCTCCATGAAGCATACCATTACTGCTGTGAAACTTAGATTTCTCCCTTCTCATCTTGAATCTATAAATTAGGTCTGATTCATATGTTTTATAATATTGGGTAATTATGTGATGTTGTCTTTACAGCAAGCTTGGGTCTTCCTTGGGATAGGGGACTGTCTCATTTTTCTCTGATATCCTCCTTTGATTCCTGGAATAGTGACGAATACATAGTAGGTGCTCACTAAATACTTGCAAATTAATTTCTATATAAGCTTATGGCGGGGAGTCTTCTCAACATTTAGCCATGGAGGGCAGGTAAAGTAGGCTTATGGGATTGGAAAAGGGAGGTGTAATGTGGTTGGGAAGAACAGTAATATTTGTGGACATGTTACTGCCTATTGCTGAGTTCCACTTTGCCATAGGCCTTCCCAGGTACCATCACTTGGGCTTTTTCGTAGCCCAGCAGGGTCTCCATCCTCAGCTCTCCTGCAACTGAGGTATGTGTCCGGTTGTTGCAGTCTCTCTCTCTCTTTCTCTCTCTCTCTCTCTCTCTCGATGAGGTCTTGCTCTCTAAACTAGGCTGGAGTGCTATGGTATGATCATATCTCACTGTTCCCCAGTTGTTGCTCTTAAATATTTAGGGCAAATGACATTTAGGTTTGGCACCATAAAGATTTTCATACTTGGAGAACTGGTGACAGCCAGAAATACGTCATTGGGATGACAGATATTCCACCATTCTTTTTTAAAGGAAAAAATTCAGCATCATCTTATCATGGTTGGGACTCTTGTTTAGATCATTGTTCACCTGTTTTGCTTTTTACTTTTTTGGTAGGTGCATATATGGGGTACATGAAATATTTTGATACAGGCATACAAAGCATAAGAATTTCATCAGGGAAAATGGGGTATCCATCACCTTAAGCATTTATCCTTTCCTTATGTTACATACATACCAGTTATACTCTTTTAGTTATTTTAAAATGTACAATAAATTATTGCTGGGTGTAGTCACCCTGTTGTGCTATCACAATATAGATAATGTTTATATTATCTATATACTATACTATTTATTTATACTATACTATTTATACTAACTATATACTATATTATATTTACACTACCTAACTATATTTTTGTACCCATTAACCATCCCCACTTTACCACCCTTTCACCCTTCCCAGCCTCTGGTAGCCATCATTCCCCTCTCTAGCTCCATGAAGTTCAACTGTTTTAATTTTTAACTCCTACAAATGAGTGAGAACTTGTGAAGTTTGTCTTTCTGTGCCTGGCTTATTTCACTTAACATAATGACCTCCAATTCCAATCATGTTGTTGCAAATGACAGGATCTCATTCTTTTTCATGGCTGAATAGTAAGTACTCTGTTCTGTATATGTACCACATTTTTTAATCCCTTCATCAGTTGATGGACACTTAGGTTGCTTCCAAATCTTGGCTACTGTGAATAGCGCTGCAATAAACATGAGACTGCAGATATCTCTTTGGAATACTGATTTCCTTTCTTTTGGGTATATACCTAGCAGTGGATTGTATGGTAGTTTTAGTTTTAGTTTTTTTGGGAACCTCCATACTGTTCTCCATAGTGGCTGTACTAATTTACATTCCCACCAGCAGTGTACAAGAGTTCTCTTTTCTAAACATCCTTGCCAGCATTCTTTATTGCCTATCTTTTGGTTAAAAGCCAGTTTAACTGGGGTGAGGTGATATCTTATTATAGTTCTGCTTTGTATTTTTCCAGTGATCAATAATGTTGAGCACACCTTTATATAACTGTTTGACATTTATGTCTTCTTTTAAGAGATATCCATTCAGATATTTTGCCCATTTAAAAAATGTTTTCCTATTGAGTTGTTTAAGCTCCTCATATAC